>NW_025791754.1:0-695023 GCF_000001405.40 Homo sapiens
TCTTTTAAAAGTATTATAGTTCAATAACCCTGACAATCTCCCAGGACAAACTACCTAGAAATGTTAGCTCAAGTATCACACACACACATGCATACATACACACACACACATACACACACACAAGACACACAACACAAATTATATTATTGTATTTCAGAAGAGAGTAGAATGGAAAACATTTTCCCGTATTTGGATTCAAATATTCCTGACATTTAAAGTTCAGTGAAACTTTGTATTTCAATGAAAAAGTAGTTTTAAAAATTAAGTTCATTTAATTTACATAATCTTGATTGAAACACTTATTCTTACACTTTGTTCAATTATAAAATTAGATTTTGATTAAATAATATTTAATCTAAAAAATGTTGCATTTATCTTCATTGTCTCATTGTATCATTTTCTCATTTATCATTTATCTCTTTACTGATTTAACAGATACCAAGCAACAACTGTGGGCCAATCACTGCTGCAGGTTCTGAGGACAAAATGTTAAATAAACATAACAAACATACAAACATAATATCTGCTATCGGGAAGTTTTAAAGTAACAGCATAAACAGATATTAACCAAATTCAATTAATACACAATTACACCTGAGACACAGGCTCTAACTGAAAGATACGTGTTGCTATGGAAAGTTACCCTTGACGATAAATAATGTCTTTGGGAAATGCCTTACGTATTTTTACACCTCATGCTTTGTATTTCCAACCTTTACTCAAACTGATACATCTTATACATTGCAACTAGATGAATTTTCTCATCAAACAGAAGTTTGGTAAGGTCAATCTTCTGTTCATTTTTAACTTCCTCCTAACCCCAAAAGAGAAGGAGTTCCCGTTAATATATTATAAATCTCCGTCAGTTGGACCCCAACCCATCTCTACTCCCATGTCTCTTATTATCTCTCATTCATGTTTATTTTTTCTTCAACAAGTGAGGATGTTTCATTTGCCATATAGGCTGTGGAGTTTAGTAGCCAATATATGACTTTGTTCATAATATTTTACTGACTTGAACATTCTTACAATTCATAGGTACAGATTTTAGTAAGTTTCTCAGACCATCTCAGGGTTAAAAAATGTTTGCACATCAGGCATATTTGGTGACTGCTGTTAATTAATGGATTGATTTTCTCTCACTCCTCTTGCATAGTAGATGTTGAAACTGATCTCCTGCATACAAAATCTAACAAACAACACTTTACTCAGCACATATATAAATTTAGAATATAAAAATTGACCGTTTTTCCAAAATAATAATATTTATTGAGTGCCTATTAAATGTACTAACATATATAAATCTCACAACGACCATATGAACTATAAGGCTTTAGGCCCATATCATGATGAAGAAACAGAAAAATCAAGTTAAATAACTTGCACATAAATAGCAACTTGGGGGCCAAAATATAAACCCAGGCAGCCTGATTTCAGAGCCCACACTCTTAATCACTTTACCATAATGCCAACTCAGTCCCATAAGTCAAAATCAAAATAAAATATAACTGTGGCACCTGCAAAGAAATGCAGTTAATTCTTACTCAGAAAAATCCTGTTAGAAAATACTTTTACTAATGGGAGAATTCAACTTTCTACACTGGAAATAGGTTTCTCCTTTTTTGCTTCCTAGCTGTTTCTTTGGACACATTTCTTAATTTATGTAGGGCTCAGTTTCTGTGTGTGAAAGATAGATAACAAAACCTACCTCATATGAGCATTCAGAGCCTTAACTAATAGAATAGATGTGAAAGTGTCAATTTAAAATGTCAATACTTTTGTGTAACAAAATGCCTCAGAATAGAATGGCTTGAAACAAAATGCATGTATTTTTGCTCCTTGCTGTTGGCCATCTGGGGGTCAGCTGATCTAGGTTGAGCATAGCTGGGCTTGACTCCAAGCTGCAGGTTAGAGCCCAGGATTGGCCTTGTTACTCTCATCCTTGTTGACACAGTGGCCTAGTTCGGGCATATTCTCCTTATCACAATAATATAAGAGCAAAAGAGAAAGTCCAACCGGTAAGCACGTCTCATGCTTTCACTTGCATTTTGTCTGCTTGCTTACATGCCATTGGCCAAAGTAAGTCATATAATTAAACATAAAGTCAAAGGTCAGGAAAATACACACTTCCTCTAGTGTGTGTATTTTGGAAGGAACTGCAAATGCACAAGATAAAGGGTATGGATAAAGGAAGGATAAAAATGGGGCCAAAATTCAATATCTGAAAGTAATTATTAATAATTTTAGGGAAATCTTTATCAAAAAAGGTATCCTGACCTTATTTACATACCTCATTCCATCCAAAGATTGAAATTCAGGAATGAGAAAACTGTCTTTGTATTTGAAGAAGTCCATCGCAAAAGCAAAAAGTAATATAACATTGTTATTTTTATAATTACTATGACATTATTACACATTATAAAGCAAAGTTTTATGAAAAAAATTCCTATAACCTGTATTCTCCTTTCATAGAGAATATTTCCTCAAAATCTAACTCGTGGAGTCTTTGCACCTTCAAGTCAAGCAAACTGTCATCAATAGAAACCAAAACAATAGCGATGTTATTACTTTTTTCCAGCTTTATTGAGGTAAAATTGACAAATAAAAATTAAATATAGTTAAGATATACAACATGATGTCTCAACTTATGTATACTTTGTGAAATAATTGCCACAATCAAGCTAATTAACATATCCATCACCTCACATAGTTATCTTTGTATGTCTGTGTGTGTGTGTGTATGTGGTCAGAAAATGTAAAATCTCCTCTCAGCATATTTCAAGTATACAATACATTATTACGAAATATAGTTGTCATCCATTGCGTTAGTTCCCTAGAACCTATTCATCTTGTAACTGAAAGTTTGTACCATCTGACCAACATCTTCCCGCTTCCCCCTCCCCTTGACGCCTGCTAACCACCCTTCTGGTCTTTGTTTCTATGAGTGGGACTATTTTAGATTTCTCATGTAAGCGAGAAAGAGATCATACTGCATTTGTCTTTCTGTGTCTGGCTTATTTCATTGAGTATAATGTTCTCTAGTTTCATCCATGTTTTTACAAATGGTAGTATTTACATATTTTTTAAGGCTGAATGATATTTTATTGTACATATACCACATAAGTCCACATATTGGCTAATGTGAATAATGCTGCAATAAGCATGGGAGTACAAATATCTCATTGTGATAAGGATTTTATTTCCCTCGGATATTTCCAGAAATGGGATTGTTAATAGTTCATACGATAATTCTACTTTTAATTTTTTGAGTAACTTCTATATGACTTTCCATGATGGCTGTACCAATTTACATTCCCACCAACAGTGTACAAGGGCTCCGATTTCTTCATATCCTCACCAATATTTGTTATTTTTGCATTTTTGAAAATTGTCATACTAACAAGCATAGTTGATATCTCATTTTTGTTTTGATTTGCATTTCCCTGATGATATGTGATATTGAGCGTCTTTTAAAATATCCATTTGCCATGGTATGTCTTTGGAAAAATATTCACTCAGGTTATTCAAGTCCTTTGCCTACTTTTAATTAGGTTTTGTTTTGTTTTGCTTTGCTTTGCTATTGAATTGTATAAATTCCTTATTTTTTTATAATAACCCCTTGTCAGATATATGCTTGCAAATATTTTCTTCCATTCCCTGATTTGCCTTCTCATTTGTTGTTTTCTCTACTGTGCAGAACATTTTTAATTTAATGCAGTTCCACTTGTTTATTTTTACTTTTATTCCCTGTAGTTTTGGTGTCATATCCAAAAAATTGTTGCCTAGAACAATGTTGCAGAGCTTTTATCAATGTTTTTCTCTGAGAGTTTTATGGTTTCAAGTATTATGTGTAAGTCTTCAATATATTTTGAGTTGATTTTTATGTATAGTGTAAGATAATGATCCAATTTAATATTTTGCATATGAATATCCAGTTTTCCCAACCCTATCAAAGAGACTATCGTTTACCTTTATTTCTGAGCCCTCTATGCCCTTCCATTGGTCTATGTGCTTGTTTTTACACCAGTATCGCACTATTTTGATTCTACTGGAAATATAAGGATTAAGTTATTAATAACTAAATTAAATTTCTGCTTTGCAATATAATTTGAAATCAGAAAATGTGATCCCCCAAGGTTTCTTCCTCTCACTTAAGATTGCTTCAGCTGTTCTGGAGCTTTTGTAGCTTCATATAAATTGTAGAATTGATTTTTCTATTCCTGTGAAAAACGCAATTTAAATTTTGATAGAGATTGTATTAAATACGTAGATCGCTTTGGGTAATATGGATATTTTGACAATATTTTTTCTATCTATGAATACAGTATATCTTTTCATTTATTTGTGTTTTTCTTAGTTTCTTTCATCTGTGCTTTATAGTTTTCAGTGTGTAGATCTTTCAACATTTTGGTAAAATTTATTTCTATATATTTTTGATATATTGTGACTGAGATTATTTTCTTAATTTCCTTTTCAGATAGTTATTTGTTATTATACAGAAACATAACTGAATTATGTATGTTGATTTTGTATCATATAGCTTTACTGAATGTATTAGTTCTAACAATTTTTTTATGAAGTCTTGGGAGTTTTCTATATAAGATCAAATTGTCAGCAAACAGAGATCATTTGACATCCTTTTCTAATTTGGGTGGCTTTTTTTTCCTGCCTAATTGCTCTGGTTAGGATTTCTAGTACTATGTTGAATATAAATGAGGAGACTGGGCATCCTGTCTTCTTCCTGATCATATGGAAGCTTTTCACAGTTAAATATATAATGGTAGGTGGGAGCCTGTGATATATGGTCTTCACTGTGTTGAGGTATATTCCTTCTGTACCTAAGTTGTTGAGAGTCTCTGACAGTTATTTTACTGGTCTTTGTATAATTAATGCTATGATAGATTTAGACAAGTTATTCTCTATTCAATAAATAGTGCTTGAAGTTCACATCTCCATTTCTTCTTTTTTCTTTGCTTTTAAATTTGATGAGAAAAATGGGTATAAAAGTTCAAATCAATACAGAGGTCTCAGTTATGTTTAAAATGTGTTACCAATGGTGACTATCATTTAGGCATTACTCTTTTGTCAGTATCCATATTAATAAGCTATAGCATTCTAAGTGATTATTTAAAAATACTAAACAATTTATATAGAATTTTACCCATCAAAACATTTTTATCAAAATAATAATAATATTTAGCTCTGGTCAGGGTGCTGTTATTGAGAGTGTAAGTTAGCATTACCTTGTTTGACGATTTATTTTAAAACTATTACAATGTTCAGAAACTTTGACACAGAATTCCTATAGACAACAACCTTTTTCTCTGCCTGAAAACAGAGCCACAGATAGAGCTTTAAGAGAACATGTCTTAGTTATGTGACAACCTATTGTTTCTAATACTAAAGCCCAGAAACGAAGACTTGCCCATCTGATCACAGACCGCCCTGAAGAACTGCAGGCCTTCCTACTAAGACAGAGCTTTCATTGATAAACTTAAGGCACAAAAGTACACTGGGGCACATGTTCTCTACAGGATTACAGGTCTCAAATGAAGAGGAGAAGGGCAGGGCTGAGATTTAAACATCTTCTTAGTTCCTGCTCCTAAATGTTTCATTCTGAGAGGCCAAGAATATTGCTCTAATAACTGTCTACCAGTTGGGAAGAATCAGGAGTAAGGAGTAGGTGTTCTAACATGTAACTACAATAAATCTTTAACTATAATCATAGATACAAACATGTAGATCCTAAAAGTACAAATCAAAATTTTAATTATAGTGTCATATAAAACAGAGGATCTAAATATTCCTCCTATATTCCACTTCATGGTACATTATATAGTATCTTAGAAATCATGAGGAATATAGGAAGGTGGGTTTAGAGTTCAGAGGCAATAACTTAAAAACTGATCATATGAAAATAGTTACATTTTGATGTATATAAATAATGAGATATTATGCAGCTCTGGAAATTATGTTTTGAAAAATTCTTAACAGCTTTGGTAGCTATCGCAGTATAATACTAAGTTTAAAAACTAAGACACAAAAGTGCTTATGCAGTGTAGTGTAATATTTAAAATACATACTACATTGAGATAGCCCTAAAAAGAAAAACACAAATGTATTAATAACAAATGTTTGGGTACTGGTATTGTGAATTATAATGCTCTCCTATAGTTTTATTTATATTCTAAAATTTCTAGAAGCATGTGTATGATTAATTGATAACAGCACAGCTTATTTAGATATGTTGTGTGCATTTACCTTATTCAAATGAAAACACTGTTGAAAATAAGCCTTACTGATGAAACATGCTCAGTTTCTTTTTTTTTAACATTTCCTCTTTGTGATTGTTAAAAGGAAAACTTCAGCTGAATTAAATTTAAAGGAGTTTAACTGAGCAATGAACAATTCATGAATCCAGCAGCCCCATAATCACAGCAGATTCAGAGAGACTCCAGGGGTGCCTCGTGGTCAGAACAAATTTATAGACTGAAAAAGTAAAGTGACATACAGAAACTGGAAGTGAGGTACAGAAACAGTTGGATTGATAACAGCTCGGAGTTTGCCTTATTTGAACATAGTTTGAACACTCAGCAGTGTATGACTGGTTGAAGTATGGTTGCTGAGATTGGCCAAGACTCAGCAATTGTTGCAGGCACATACTTCTAAGTTAGGTTTTCAATCTTGTCTACCTATTAAGTTAGGTTTCAGTTCATCCACAAGAACTCAAATATAGAAGTACGGCCATATTTAGTTTTTGTTAACATTTCCCCACTTTTGGTCATTTTCTTAATTTTGAGAGATTGACCAAAACTTTGGACATTGATGTCACTATCACCTTTGTAAATGTACATATTTGGTCTTGAAACCCACTGAAAAACAAAACAGTGGGTACTGCAAAGGTAGAAACAAGGAATAAGTAGAGGGTACCTCCTTGTGCTGGAATGTTCTGTTTACAGGAGAAAACAAAACCAAGTCTGTTCTAATCTAAAATCTACGTGTTTCTTTAAAGTCTTAGTTTGATTGTGAAAATTTCAAACTAAGACTTTAAAGAAACACCTACTCATCTGACAAAGGGCCAATATCCAGAATCTACAATGAACTCAAACAAATTTACAAGAAAAAAACAAACAACCCCATCAAAAAGTGGGCAAAGGATATGAACAGACACTTCTCAAAAGAAGACATTTATGCAGCCAAAAGACACATAAAAATGCTCATCATCACTGGCCATCAGAGAAATGCAAATCAAAACCACAATGAGATACCATCTCACACCAATTAGAATGGCAATCATTAAAAAGTCAGGAAACAACAGGTGCTAGAGAGGATGTGGAGAAATAGGAACACTTTTACACTGTTGGTGGGACTGTAAACTAGTTCAACCATTGTGGAAGTCAGTGCGGCGATTCCTCAGGGATCTAGAACTAGAAATACCATTTGACCCAGTCATCCCATTACTGGGTATATACCCAAAGGACTATAAATCAT
Source organism: Homo sapiens (assembly GCF_000001405.40). Lineage (NCBI taxonomy): Eukaryota > Metazoa > Chordata > Mammalia > Primates > Hominidae > Homo > Homo sapiens. Next base: position 7,492 of record NW_025791754.1, read on the forward strand.
GCTGCTATAAAGACACATGCACACGTATGTTTATTGTGGCATTATCCACAATAGCAAAGACTTGGAACCAACCCAAATGTCCAACAATGATAGACTGGATTAAGAAAATGTGGAACATATACACCATGGAATACTATGCAGCCATAAAAAAGGATGAGTTCATGTCCTTTGTAGGGACATATATGAAATTGGAAATCATCATTCTCAGTAAACTATCGCAAGGACAAAAAACCAAACACCGCATGTTCTCACTCATAGATGGGAAGTGAACAATGAGAACACATGGACACAGGAAGGGGAATATCACACTCTGGGGACTGTTTTGGGATGGGGGGAGTGGGGAGGGATAGCATTAGGAGATATACCTAATGCTAAATGACGAGTTAATGGGTGCAGCACGCCAGCATGGCACATGTATACATATGTAACTAACCTGCGCATTGTGCACAAGTACCCTAAAACTTAAAGTATAATAATAAAAATAAATAAATAAATAAAATAAAATAAAATAAATGAAGTCTTAGTTTGATTATGTCACATTTAGCCTGAACAACTCCATTTTTGTTTTGTTTGGTTTGGTTTGTTGGGGCCTAGTGCGTGAGCTCAGTCCAAAACAATGGCCTCTAATAATTTCGTTTTAAAAATTTCCCACTTTTTGGCCAGGTTCTCACTTAGGTAAGAGTTTTACTAAAACTTAGGGCCTTAGCATCACTCTCAGTTACCATCATTTTGGGTTTCCGGTCTCAGCATGCCATTCATAGGTTACAGAGTCCCCATGGTCACACATTTCTTTCAGCTCTTATCATTCCAATTGAAGAGAGACCATTTGACATTCTAGAGATGGTTGCATGCAAACATTTATAACCCTTGAGAGAATGCAGCACAATAGGGAGACTAATTTTATGACTCTGTGGAGGATAATACCAAGAGGGTAGAGTATGCTTCTTACCCAGGGTCCCCATAAACCAAACCACCTACAATCAAATAGATCAAAGAATGAGCTAGATAAAGAGTCTATTCACTTAACTAAGCAGTCTCTTATCTATATTAGGCTCTCATCTTTTACCTATCAAAGTATAAGTTTATCCATGGTCATCCACGGATATACATTTGGTCATCTGATGGGTTGTTTAAACATTTTGTAAAGGGAGTTCACTCAAATGTTATTTCCAAAGCATGTTTTCTGGTTGTATAAAAGCTCTCCCATGGAGGAGGCCTGATATTATAACACTAAGTTATTATGCCACAGTGTATTTTCACCACTAAAGAAAGCTTTTTATGGTTCACAGAGATATGATTCACAGAGGATAATCAATCCCTTCACAATCTAGAAGCTTAGATTTTTTTCCCGGGAATATGGGACCAAATATTGGTTATAAACTACTTTAGCAATTTATGCCACCACACCAATATATTCAATTAGGATCATTTTATCTTTTCCATGATGAGTCATGGAATGCAGAACTTTTAATAATAAAAGCTTTATGTACTCAGGAAGGACAAGGTGGCCATCCTGGTTCTCCATGAGTCCATGTTTAATTAACATTAGACTTCTATACTCTTGAATATCAGTTGTTTCTCCAAATTTGGTGCATAGCACTGATAACTGATGGGTTATCATCGGTAATTTGACTTGGACAATGGAATTTTTATTTCATGGGAACCACAGGCAAAAGCCTTTCAATTTTGCAAGTTGCTGCCCATGGGGTTGCATGCGGGGGGTAACCCAATTAACATTTTTCATTCTGGCCAGAGCAAAATTCATGACATTAGCCACTCTGCTTAGCACCCAACGTTGAACTGGCAAAGGTCAAACTTGTCCTTGGTTGGGCCCTGCGATCTTTAATCCATTTTTAACCAAGAGGGACTTTATTGAGGGGAGGGCCTCTAACCCAATTCCATCTTTTATTCAGGTAAAATGTACCCCATTACCTATCCGAAGTCGGCCAATTGGTGCTGCAGTGTATTTCCTTTGGAGTAGGATAATAATTAAGCTGAAAGATTGGCAGCTTTAATTTTTGGGAGCCCTCATTTTTAAATGCACTTGAATGCATTGTTGTTTATTCAGAATGTTTCACCATAAGTTACTTTTAGTAAGATTTTGCCATTTCGGTAACACTTTGTTTTTTCCTGTGCCTAATGTATAAGCCAGAAGGGACTCAGTTTTTCAGATATGAAGAATCCCATTTTTACCTAATATTGGCTTTGCTTTCAGGTTCCCTTGATTAACCTGCCCAATGATTTTTCCTGCCTAAGTGCACAAGTAAAATGAAACAAAGGTGTAGAATACAAAAATCCCCACAAATTTTTTAAAGCCAAATTTTACACCCCTACAATATTACCATTTGCTACCAGTTTCTTTCTGACCCAGTCAGATGTAAGAGGCCTCTAACTGGATCCAAGCTGGTTAATTACTAAATCAAATCCATTCCTGGACCCAATCCAGTTTCTGTTGCAACTTCCAAACCCAGTTTGGATCAAAAATTTGCTCTAAGAAACTCAGAGAGCTCAAAACACAAATAGGTGGAGCCCCAAAATCTGAGAGAGAACTTACCCATGATCTCCAGGCACTCTGAGAGATCGGTGGACACAAGTGGGTTCTGCAGATACCTTGCTTGTTCACTCAGTACTCCCGGGGGTTGTCAGAAGCTCTACTTTGCACCCCACTTCTGACATCATCTGTTAAAAGAGAAACTTGGCTGAATTAATTTAAAGAAGTTAAATTGAGCAATGAATGATTCACGAATTGGGCAGCCCCTGAATCATAGCAGATTCAGAGAGATGCCAGGAGTGCCTTGTGGTCAAAAAAAGTAAAGTGATGTACAGAAATCAGAAGTGAGGTACAGTAACAGCTGGATTGGTTACAGGTCGGCATTGGCCTTATCTGAGCATAGTTTGAACACTCACAAGTGTATGACGGGTTGAAGGATGGCTGTTGGGATTGACCAAGACTCAGTGATTGCTACAGGAGCATACTCCTATATTCAATCCTCTCTACCTATTAAGTTAGGTTGCACTTCATCCACAAGGACTGGAATATAGAAGTACAGAATCCTTCCCAGGTCATATTTAGCTTTCTTTAACAGTGGATATTAGATCCACTGATATTGGATAATTTATCTTCACATCTTAAATTAACTTATGCATATCTAGCTTTACATTCTGTAAAAATCCAGTACAATAACTACATGAGTAAGAAAGCTTTTTATTGATCATTTTTACCGTAGGATATCTCAAGTTTTCACAAGCCTATTAGACACCACAGAGCATTTCTTTTTCAAATTTAAATTCTTGATCACACTTTAGATTATAAATTAAACCTCAGTAAATTCAAAATATATTTTTCTTACAGTGCATAACACTTACAATTTACAAATCTCTTTCACATACCAAGATCACTGAAGACAGAACAGAAACAGTCATTATAGGTTTCAAAAATAGGTATACTTATATGTATTCACAGATACACACATACACACATTTTACACAATATTCTAGGCAGAGGATACAATTATCATTAAAATACACAATAATTTCTGTCAATCTAATGGAAAAAGAGACATTAAACAAATGGGTACAATGTAATGACAGTCTGGGCAGCTATAACAAAATTCTGTAAACTGGGTGGTTTATAAACCAAAGAAATTTATTTCTCACAGTTCTGAAGCCTGAGAGGTTCAAGATCAAGCCACCAGCAGGTTACATATATGGTGAGGACCTGCTTTCTGCCTCATAGACGGTGCCTTTTCACTGTCTTCACATGATAGAAGGGACTAGCTAGTGTTCTGCAGTCTTTTACAAAGGCAGTAATCCCAATCAAGAGGTCTCCACTCTGATAACCTAGTCACCTCCCAAAGGCCTTACTTCCTAATATCATCACCTTATGAGTGAGAATTTCAACATATGATTTTCATGGGGAGGACACAAACATTCAGCCCATAGCAGTGGCTATATCATACAGATGGTGACAGTATAACTGGTATTGTGAGTAAGTATAATTGGTGTTGCATTGTAGATAAGGAGAATAAGAAGGGATTCTGAATAAGGGACATTGATGCTGAGACCTAATGTATTTAAACTTGGTAATCAACAGAGTGAAATTTTTATATATGTATTATTTCATTATAGAAGCAAATTTAATTGCCTTAGGAAAGAATGTGGAGTAAGGAGGATAGCAAGGACTGAATAGAAAGGAACGCTCCATGTAAGGCATAAAATGAAGGCATGGCAAGAGACATAGGGACCAAGTCAGGGAAGAAGGCATATGATGTTGTAGAAAACAAGAAGAGTCAAAATAATGCCAAAATCTATTCAGAGTTCATGTAAAATGAGAACTGAAAAGTTTCCAATTGGGATTATATTATCAGAAGAAGTTGGTAAAAATTATGAGAACATCACAACCTGCAGAATAACTTATGTTATGAAAACTCTGGGAAGACTTTATTGATGTCATTTCTAATGTAATCCTCATTACATTTCCTTAATTTTATTTCTATTTATTTAGAGGGTTTTTTTCCCCTTGAACTATTTCCCTTTAATTTTAATTCAGCTTTGCCATTGTTTTGAAAAAATATCTCTTCTTTAACATATATACTTTCATCTGGCATAAAATTGTTCTATTATATGGCTTTCACTGTCATCTTCTGAAAATTATCTTCAGAAATCCAGAAATCTACAATGTGCACATTATGAAAGGCACCCCTTTAAAGGCAGAACCATACATAGTAGCCCTGTGATAGAATGTTTTTCTTATGTAGCATGTGATTGATTCTATTGGACTCATATTGTTAAAGACACCTCTTTTATGGAAGTCTCCATCCACCTTCTACAATATGGTAAATCATTGACTTCTGTGATCATTAATACTGAATGTCAACTTGATTGGATTGAAGGATACAAAGTATTGGCCCTCACCAGTCAGCCACCTTCCCCAGCCACCCCTGCTATCGCCCACTGGGCCCATGAACAAAATGTCCATGGTGGCAGGGATGGAGGTTACGCATGGGCTCGGCAATATGGACTTCAACTCACCAAGGTTGATCTGGCTACGGCCACCACTGAGTTCCCAATTTGCCAGCAGCAGAGACCAACATTGAGCCCTTGATGTGGCACCATTACTCGGGGTGATCAGCCAGCTACCTGGTGGCAGGTTGACTATATTGGACCTCTTCCATCATGGAAAGGGAAGAGGTTTGTCCTCCCTGAATAGATAATTACTCCGGATATGGGTGTGCTTATCTTGCATGCAATGCTTCTGCCAAGACTGCCATCCATGGCACTCACTTTAGGGCTAAAGAAGTATGGCAGTGGGCTCATGCTCGTGGAATTCACTGGTCTTACCAGACATCCTGAAGTAGCTGGATTGATAGAACAGTGGAATGGCCTTTTGAAGTCACAATTCCAATGCCAACTAGTTGACACTACTTTCCAGGGCTGGGGCAAGTTCTCCAGAAGGTCGTGTATGCTCTGAATCAGCATCCAATATCTGGTACTGCTTCTCCCATAGCCAGGATTCATGGGTCCAGGAATCAATGGGTGGAAGTGGAAGTGGCACCACTCACCATCACCCCTAGTGACCCACTAGCAAAATTTTTGCTTTCTGTTCCCGCGACTTTCTACGCAACGTTCTTCTGGCATAGAGGTCTTAGTTCCAGAGGGAGGAATGCTGCCACCAGGAGACCCAACAACAATTCTATTTAACTGGAAGTTAAGATTGCCACCTGGACACTTTAGGCTCCTACTACCTTTAAGTCAACAGGCTAAGAAGGGAGTCACAGTATTGGCTGGGGTGATTGACCTAGACTACCAAGATGAAATCAGTCTTCTACTCCACAATGGAGGTAAGGAAGAGTATGCATGGAATACAAGAGATCCATTGATGCGTTTCTTAGTATTACCATGCCCTCTGATAAGGTCAATGGGAAACTACAACAGCCCAATCCAGGCAGGACTACAAATGACCTAGACCCTTCATGAATGAAGATCTGGGTCACTCCACCATTAAAAAAATCATGACTGGCTGAGGTGCTTGCTGAAGGCAAATGGAATACAGAATGGGTAACAGAAGAAGGTAGTCATCGATACCAACTACAACCACGTGACCAGCTGCAGATACGAGGATTGTAATTGTCATTAGTATTTCCTCCTTCTTTTGTTAAAAACATGTTTGTACATGTATACACTTGTACTAAGAAAATATCTTCATTTTTTTCTTTCTCTGTCATCATGTGACATATGATTTATTGACTTCACATCAACATTTAAGTATTGTTAACTTTATGTCACAGTATTTGGGTTGAAGATTGGTGCATTTCCAGTTGTACAAAGGATAGTTGTATTACGTTAGGCATAATTATGACCTTATTATTGTCTTCATTTGAAGATTATGTTTGATCTCAGGAGATGTGTGTGGGTTCATGTTGATAAGGGGTAGACTTGTGATGGTTAATACAGAGTGTCAACTTAATTGGATTGAAGGATACAAAGTATTGATCCTGGGTGTGTCTGTGAGGGTGGTGCCAAAGGAGATTAACATTTGAGTCAGTGGGCTGGGAAAGGTGGACCCACCCTTAATCTGGGTGGGCATAATCTAATCAGCTGACAGCATGGCTAGAATATAAGCAGGCAGAAAAATGTGAAAAGAAAGCCTGGCCTAGCTTCCCAGTGTACATCTTTCTCCCATGCTTGATGCTTCTTGCCCTCGAACATTGGACCCCATGTTCTTCAGTTTGGAAACTCAGACTGGCTCTCCTTGCTCCTCAGCCTGCGACGGCCTATTGTGGGACCTTGTGATTCTGGGAGTTCATACTTAATAAACTTAATAAACTTTCATTTATATATATGTCTATCCTATTAGTTCTGCCCCTCTAGAGAACCCTGGCTAATACACCCTCTAAGCCTGCTTGTCATCCTGGTGCTTCCTTCCATTGCTGTCTTTCTTTTACGTACACATAGTGAGAAGAAATCTCACATGAAAAGATGAAGGGGAGATATATTATCTGAGCACTCCTGCTTCTGAAGAATGACTTTATTCTACCATGAAGAGATTGATCATTTTATTTCATATAGAATCAAAATGGAAAACAGTTTCCTTTAGAACATTAAAGGCAGAACTTCATTGTCTTCTAGCACAGAGTGTGTTAAAGAGAAATCAGATACTAATATGAAATTCATGTCTTCTTAGATGACCTATTTTGTGTGTGTGTCTGGTTTTAGTGTCCTTTTGGGAACTTCTGGGTTGTTATTTTTATGACTGATGGCCCTACATCTTACTATGTGTCTAGGTGCGTATGGCAGCCATTAATTATACTCACCAAATAAGTAGTAGGAAAATATCTATTTGATCTTAATATCCTATATGTTCAATAAAAACCAAAGCCTTTTATTTTTTATATAAAGCATTGTTTTCAAAAATGCTTTTACTGAACAGTATTCTGGGAGATGTTAATAAGTATGCATGAAAATTGATTATAAAGGTAAATGAGGTTAGGAATATACTACATTTTTAATGCTATATCCCCTGGTTTGAGATTCCTGAACTGCATTAGAATTATAAAGCCCAGATAAACATAGATGCAAAAATCCTCAAAAAAATATTAGTAAACCAAATTCAACAAGATATTAAAAGAATCATTTACTGTAGTCAAGTGGGATTTATCCATGTGATGCAAGGATGGTTTAACATACTCAAATAAGTACTTGTGATATACCACATTAAGAAAATAAAAAAACATACAATTATCTAAACATTTTTAAAAAGCATTTGACAAAATTCAATATCCTTCATAATGAAAACTCTCAATAGATTAGGCATATAAGGTATGTACCTCAACAAAATAAAGGTCATATATGGCAAACTTGTAGCTAACACCATTTTCTATGGGAAAAAATTGAAAGCTTTTCTTCTAAGATCACGGAAAAGATAAGGATGCCCACTTTCACTATCTCTATTCAACATGGTACTGGAAGTCCTAGCCAGAGCAATTAAGCTAGAGGAAGAAATAAAAGATATCCCAGTAGAAGAGGAAGAAGTAAAATTGTCTCCATTTGCTAAAGACTCTGCCAAAAGCTATTAGAACTAATAACTCAATGAATTAAGTAAATGTGTTGGAATAATCGCAGCATACAAAAATTAGTATCATTTCTTTATACCCATAATAGACTTTTGGTGTTGCCAAAAGGAAATTGAGAAACAATTAAGAAAACAACCCCAAAATAACAGCAAGGAAAATAAGTACTTCGGTTTAAATTTAACCACGGAAGTGAAAGGCCTGTATATTGAAAACTGTACGACACTGATAAAAGAAAGTGAAAAAAACACAAATAAATAGAAAGGCATTTTATATTCATGTATTAGAAGAATTGATATTGTAAAAATGTCTATACAATACAAAGTGATCTACAGATTCAATGCAATCACTATCAAAATTCCAGTGTCATTTTTTACAAAATAGAAAGAAACAGTCTTTTAATGTGAATGGCACCACAAAAGACCCTGAATAGCAAAAACAATCTTGAACAAAAAGAACAAAACTGGCAGCATCATACTCCTTGTTTCAAAGCACATTATAAAGAGATTAATTAAAACCTAATAGTACTGGGATAAAACAGACACATAACCAATGAAAAAGGGTAGAAATCCCAGAAATAACCCACACATTCATGGTCAACTGATGTTTTACAAAGGTGCCAAGAACACATAATGGGGAACGGATGGTCTCCTCATTAAATGTGTCGGAAAAACTGGATAACCACATGCAAAAGAGTGTAATTAGATCCTAATCTCACACCACATACAACATTAAACTCAAAATGGATTAAATACTTAAAAGTGGAACCTGAAACCGTGAAACTACTAGAAGAGAACATAGGGGAAAAGCTCCATGACATTGGTCTGAACAACAATTTTGTTTTTGTTTTGTTTTGTTTTTGGATATGACCATGAAAGTGCAGGCAAAACAAAAACAAAAACAAACAAACAAAAAAACCCAGCTACATAGGATGGCATTAAACTAAAAATCTTCTGCACAGCAAAGGAAACAATAAAGTGAAAAGACAACCCATGGATTAGAAGAAAATATTTGCACACCATACATCTGATAAGGGGTCAGTATTCAAAATATATCAGAAACTCAACTCAGTAGCAAGAAAACAAATAAGTTGACTTTAAAATGGGCAAAGGACCTGAACAGACATTTCTCAAAGCAGACATACAAAAGGCCATGGGTACGTTAAAAAATGCTCAAAATCACTGATTATTAGGTAAATGTAAGTTAAAACCACAATGATACATTACCTCACACTTATTAGAATAGCTTTTATCAAAAAGATGAAAGATAGTGTTGATGAGGATGTGATGAAAAGGGTTCTTTTCATTGCTAGAGGGAATATAAATTAGTATAACTATTATAGAAAGTTGTATTTTTTTCCTAAAAAAATTAAAAATAGAACTACCATATTATCCAGCAATCACACTGCCTGCTGTGTATATATACAAAGGAATTGAATTCAGTATGTCAAAAAAATTCTGCTCTCCCATGTTCATTGCAGCATTATTCATAATAGCCAAGATATGAAATCAACCTAAGTGCTTATCAAAGGATGAATAAAGAAAATGTAGTATATATATATATATATATATACACACACATGGAATAATAGCCTTAAAAAAGGAGAAGTTCTTGTCATTTGAGATAACATGGATGAAAACTGGAGGACATTATGTTAAGTAAAATAAGCAAGGCACAGAAAGACAAATACTGCATGATCTCACTTAAATGTGGAATCTAAAATAGCTTAACTCATAGAAGTAGAGAGTAGAATGACGGGTACCAGAAGCTGGGGTGGTCATGTTGGGACCAAAGGAATGGGAGGTTGATCAAAAGATATAGTTTCAAATAGACAAGAAAAATAAGTTTTGAGATCTGTTGCACAGCAAGGTGACTACAGACAATAATAATTTACTGTATATTTCAAAAAACTAACAGTAAATTTCAAATATGTCATGACAAAAAATAAGTAAGTGAGGTGCTGTATATGTTAATTAGCTTGATTCAATCATTTCTCATTGTATGTTTGTCATATTGTACCCCATACCCCATAAATGTAAACAATAATGATTTATCATTTCTTTTTTCCTTCTTTGCTGAATTTCTCAAATTAAACAAGAGTACTTGCATGTTACAGTTGGCAAAAGCTGAATTTTTAACTTATAAGTGGATAATTTGTTCATTATCATTTGTCCTCCATCCATCTACCAGTCACAGGAATAAAAACTGAGTTCACCTCATTTACCATGACAGGGTATGAATTTTCTCAGCTCTGCGACAAGTCCCGTATGGAGCCTACGTCTAGGGCACACACCATTTGTTTAATTCTATGCTTCAGTTAGGCCAGAGGATTTTACTTACTTTCTCTGCAATGCCAGAGGCCTGTCTTTGCTCATCCCTGACCTAGCACCAAGGTTTATCCTGTTACAGATGATCCTGGAGGCTTGGCTTCTATCAGAGCTTCTCCAGAGAAAAATGGAACTCAGGGCCTCTCTTCTCACAGTTCCACAAATGGAAAGGAAGATCCTATTGCTCTGAACTTTACTCCTACCCCATACCTTAGTTTCAAGGGTATCAGAGAAACTCGTATTGATCTCTAGAATCTTTCCAATCCCAACCACTAGTTTTCCTCGACTAGGAGGAGGTTAAACAAATCATTTTTGTCTCACAACTGAATGGTTGAATATTATATTTCAAATTATCTGACAGAGTTACTCTTTATGGAGAGTAATCTCTAAAACACTGAGTATACTTTCTTCAGCTCCCAAAGTAGAAGGTGTGCAGGTAGATGTTAGGTATGGAAAAGGAGATCAAGCACGTCCTGTGCGTCACTCACACATATTATATTCTTACAAAGATTAGAAATCAGCAAAGCCACCTGATGTTTGCCTTTTTTAAAAAAATAAAAATTTAAAATTAAAATCAAAAGCAATCTTTATAAAATTGTAAATAAAATTGACTTGAGTGAGAGTAATCTTTAGTCTGAAAATTATTTGTATTTTCTCTATAAAATATTGTCTAAATATCTAATAAGGACATTTTTTTCAGATCTTATAAATTCTGCTTGCAAAATTCCATCCTTCATAATTTGTCCTGATTACATGTACTTTGTTATTATTTATTCTAATGAGAAAAAGTTTATTATCCTTAAAATTTCTTTACACTTTTTGAAGATTATTTTTGTCATGTCTATTCATTTCACTTGTTAAATAATAGAGGGCAAAGAACAGTAAGGTATAATCACAGTACGTTTAATTTTTTAAAACATTGTATGTTTAATTTTTTAAAAGAGAACTATTATGTTCATTAGCTTATTAAACTAGGTTAAGCATAAGTCATGTTACATTACTTAAGTCACGGGATAACATGATTTTTTGTTATTTTTTTCAACATAGAAATATGCAATTTAAATTTTATTTCAAGTAAACATTTATCTAGCTATGGACAAAATAATGAAAGAAGAGTTAAAGCAGGTTTCAGTTATGTTAAATGATTTTACTTAGCTGAAACAAAGATTTCTGTGACCTCTGATATAAGCTTTAGCATTGTAATGCTCAATCCAGTCTAAGTTTTCTTGTTCACTAGCAGATTATTAGGAATATATGTCTGTCTGTAATGTAAATTCCTACAAAAAGATATATTTTAATTATATTATTTTTAAAAATTAGTCACACCTTATACAAGGCAACTTACTGCTAGTGATATTTCCTTGAATAAACCAAATGACAAAAATGTGGCATTTATTCTGGTCAGTAAACAGAAATAACATAAACTTATGAAAACACAGCCTTTTGCTTTTCAGTTTTAGACCTAGTTGCAGTCAATAGCATTATAAATAATACAAACAGAATGTGCAGACGAAATTTTCAAGTTTTCTTAGTTTCAACTATAATAAAATAGCTAATATTTGACTATTTTGGATCTACTAAAATAGCATCTTCATATGGTTCAGTTTAATAAGTACAATAAAATGGCCACATGGTGAAAAGCTAAGCTAAAGGCACTGACTTAACAATAAAACTTGTGAATGGTTTTGTAAATGATCCTTTATCTCATACTTTTATTATGAGGAGGGTGAGTTTCAAAAAATAATTCAGAATGATGACCTCTGAGTGATGAGTTATAACTCAACTAAAGGACAGAGACATTGTTGTGGACCATTTCTCTCCGTAAAGGAAATAAACCCACACATATATGACAAACTGATTTCAATAAGAGTTCCAAGAATACACAATAGGGAAAGGATAGTCTTTCACAAAGAGTGATAGGAAAACAAGATACCCAAATACAAAAGAATGAAATTAGGCCTTTGTATTACACCATACACTCAAATCAACTCAAAAATGAATTAAAGAATTAAACCCAAGACTTAAGTCTATAAAACCCCTAAAAGTAAACATAGAGGAAAACCTTCATGACATTAGTTTAAGCAATAATTTCTTGGCTGTGACATGAAAAGCATAAGCCACAAAAGCAAAAACAGACAAGACTACATCAAACATAGAGCTTCTGCACAACAAACGAAACAATCAACTCTTCCTTTGCTATCCAATAGTTATCTTGGCTTGTTCTGTGAAAATGGACCTGAGTTGGGCCCTTTAAACACTGTTGCCAGCTGGCAACGTGAGGTTTATTTTTGTCAGTAGAGAGTTCTACTACAGCAACACCAGAGGCGGAAGAATTTGGTTTGCTTCAGTTTGATTATCTTTTTTCCGGGTTCTGTTGTGCTCCCCTTACTAGGCTGCTTTAGCATACAGTTTCTCTAACTGTGGATGCCCCAGTGTGTGGCTTCCCCAGTTTTCTGCTTCTGCAGTGAACAGCTCCTCCAGGAACAGGCTTCTTCAGCACCCAGTAGCTTCCTCAGACACCCACCTTGGGAAACTTTATAGAAGAGTTCCATCAGCAAAGTATCTCATATGAACAGCTTCTGAGGCTTCTCACATTTGACTTTGCAGCAAGTTGCAAAGCACAGCATCTCTCTGTAGTTAGCTTCCCCAGGTACCCCAGAGAGCAGATTTACAGCAACTTCTGACATTCCAGGCACCACAGCAACTTTTCTGCCATGTAGGAAGCCACGTTGCTTCACTCCCCAACAAGGCTCTAACTACCTTTTGGGGAGGATCTCTCCATTAGATCCCTTATCTTAACCCTACAAGTAATAGCTACTTATACCTATGAGTCTATATTCTTAACAGTTCTTTTTATATCTTATTAAAGAAATAAATCTTGTATTCTCCAATTTCTGTTATTATTAAATAATTTTCATACTAAAATTTTCTGTTCACACTATGGTATGGTTTCTCTCCCATGGTTGGACCCAGACTGATGCTGATACCCAGAATTGGTAGTGGAAGGTGTTCCCACAACTACAATTGCCAGGATTGGATTTTGCTGTTGGTTTAATCCTGCTCTTAAACTTGACTTTCTTGCCAAGTTGAAATGAGATGCTTGTAATCTATGGTATGCAGTATCATCATAATTAATCAAACTATTATCTGGATTGAGTGTGATAGAGTAAACTAAAGCACACTGCTTTGGGAGCTGGAATGGTTACTGTAATTAAGGTTCATCACAGTAATGATGACTATGATGCAAATGAGATTTTGAGCCCATTTTAAGCTTACGGAATAAAAATGACAAGCTCAGAATTTTTCAGAACCAGCTCAAGCCATGTTGTGAGAACTAGAGAGCTTCTGTGCAGGCTTAAGAGAATAGCTTAGTTTTTGTAGCTATTTGGCTAATGTTGCTGAGAATCAAACGTAAAATTTAGTTCTGCCTGGCTAAACTACAGCAACAGGTGAAGTCTTAGTCTCAGTGAGTCTCACTTGGGAACATTGGTCATTAGTTGGAAAAAGATGAATCCTGAAACATGTAATGGGGAAATCTCATTTAATCTAGATGAAACTGACGATTTTGTACTAAAATCACTCTGATTCCCCCTTACTAGTGGAAGTAGCATGCTGTCGTGAGTCTCAGGATCCTGCTCTTCCTTCAAATCATAGACTTTTAAAATTCTCTGATTAGCAGATATCTAGAAAGGTATGATGGCTAGTTTTTGTGTCAACTTGAAGGGTATTTTTAGATAAGATTTGTATTTTAGTGGATTCTCAGTAAAGCAGATTGCTCTTCATAGTGTGGGTAGGCCTAATCCAATCAGTTCAAAGATTGAACAAAAGACTGATCTCCCCTGAACATAAGGTAATTCTGCAGCACACAGCCATTGGACTTAAACTGCATGTGCACTTCTTCCTGGATCTCCAGCCTGCCCACCCAATCTGGAGATTTTGTACTCTTTCTACAGAAAGGTATAGATATAGGCATAGTTATTGATATTTATATATATCTTCTATTGGTTCCATTTCTCTGAAGAATGCTAATACAAAAGGGGACACTCAATTTCTTCAAGACCATCAGAGTTACTCCCTGTTTCCTCTTGACTTGACTAATGTCAAATCTCAGCATGCTCCAAGGAGATAAGTACAGTTGACCCTTGAACAACATGAGTTTGAACTGTGAGTCCACTCATATGAGAATTTTTTTCAATAAATATCTTGGAAACATTTTTAGAGATTTGCAACAATTTGAAAATACTCATAGATGAACTGTATAACCTATAAATATCAAAAACAATTCAGAAAAACTTAGGTATGGCATAAATAAAAATATATGTAGATGCTAGTTTATTTTGTCATTTACTACCATAAAATATACACAAGTCTATTATAAAAAGTTGAAATTTATCAAAACTTACACTAAAATATACAGACCATACATGGCGCCATTTACAACTGAGAGAAACCTAAAGATGCAGTATTCAATCATAACTACATCTGTAGTAATTTCATAGCCAACTCCTATTGCTATTGTGGTGGGCTCAAATGTTGTGGGTACAGGCTTAAAGTGTCATGTGACAATGATCAACTCCTCATGAGTAGTTTGCCTCTCCAAGTAAATTGTGTATCTCGGTAAAAAGTAATCTTTCCTTGTTCTTGTGCATTTTTCATCATGCTTACTATAATACTGTAAACCTTGAGTGACACCATGAGACCCATATGAAATGCCACTTGTGATGCTGGAAGTGCTCCCAAGAAGCAGAGAAAAGTCATGACATTAGAAGAAAAAAGTTGAAATGCTTGATATGTACTACAGATTGAGGTCTACAGCTGCAGTTTCCCGCCATTTCAAGATAAATGAATCCAGCCTAAGGACCATTGTAAAAGAAGAAAAGGGAATTCACAAAGCCATCACTGCAGCTACTCCAGCAGGAACAAAGTCCTTACACTTTTTGCAAAATATCCTCTTATCTCGTATTGAAAATGCAGCTTTTTTTGTGAGGGAATAAGTCAGATATGCATATTGACTTTTAAAGTCATCACTTAAAAGGATAGAAATATTGTATATAGTTTTCAAGATAGTATAAGCAAGCAATAAATGCCAGAAAGGAGGAAATAAAAAGTCATAGAAAAAACAAGGTTAATAGCATTAAATAATATAGTAAAAATAAATTTAGGTATATTAGTAATCACAATAAATGCAAATGGAGAAAATACATGGGTTAAACTTAGGGATTATAATGAATAACAGAAGAAAATTAAGTATATGCTTTTTACCATAAATACCACTAAATATAAGGTTTAATTTAAGTATTAGCCAAAGAAAGCTAGAGTAGCTGGATTTATAACAAACAAAATGAATCTTGAGATGTTTTAGGAGTTAGAATACTCTCCTTTAGTCAGAATTGCTATTCTTGTTTAGATTTCTACTTGTTCCAGGAGTTAGAAATTTGTAAATAGAATAAAACCTTGGTCAGTTGGGGAAATGTAGCAAAAGAAACTATGTAGTAGAAATTTCTTTTTATTATTATTATTATACTTTAAGTTCTGGGATACGTGTGCAGAACGTGCAGGCTTGTTACAGAGGTGTACACGTGTCATGGTGGTTTGCTGCACCCATCAACCTATCATCTACATTAGGTATTTTTCCTAATGAAAACTCAGCTTTTATTTGATTGCAGGATTGCTACAAGCCCTCAGGTTTATGATCAGGACTGCCCCCATCCCCCCAAGCCCCAAAGGGAAAAGATAAACATCAGTTGTCAATCTTTTGGTTCTGCAATAAGAATGTCTGAAAAACAAGAACCCTTTTTGGCATTGATTCTGTTGATGCTTAGCCCCTGAAGACAAGATGTATCTTGCCAGTGAGGGACTAATTTTAAAGTTATTTTCATATTGAAAAATGCCCCTGACCACCCAGAATCCCAGGAATTCAACACTAAAGGAATCAAAGTGGTTTACTTGCCCCCAAACACAGTATCTCTAATTGAACCTCTAGATCAGGGAGTCATAAGGATTTTTAAGGCTCACTACACACAGTACTCTATGAAAAAGATTGTCAATGCTATGGAACATAATTCCGATAGAGGGAATGGAACGGTTACACCATTGAAAATGTCATTGTTATAGAGAATGCCACAAATGCCATCAAGCCCAAAACAATACATTCCTGCTGGAGTAAACTGTGTTCAAATGCTGTGCATGGCTTCCCGTATTTATGACAAAGCCAATTAAGGATAGTATAAAAGACACTGTGGATATGGCAAAAAAAAAAAAAAAAAAAAAAAAAGATCAGGGGTGAAGGGTTTTAAGATACAAATCTTGGAGAAAGTAGAGAGTTAATAGAGACCAGAGTGGCAGAATTAACAGAAGACAACTTGATGAAGATGGGTGCATCTGAGCCAGTGCCAGATGATCAGAAAAAAGAGACAGAAGAAGCAGTGCTAGAAAATCAATTGCCAGACAATCTGGCAGAAGGATTCGAAGTATTAAAGATTGCTTTTGACTTCTTTTATGACATGGACCCATCTGTGATATGGGCACTGAAACTAAAGCAAATGGTGGAAGGATTGGTACTGTATAGAAAGATTGCTAGAGAAATGAAAAACCAAAAAATGTCAGACAGAAATTACCATGTACTTCTATAAAGTCATACCAAGTGTGCCTGCCTCTCCTGCTCATATTTACACCTCCTCCATCTCTTCTGTCTCTCTACTCCTGAGCCCTCTCTTCCTTCTCCTCCTCAGCCTACTCAATGTGAAAACTATGAGGATGAAGACCTTTATGATGATCCACTTCCACTTAATGAACAGTTAATATATTTTCTCTTTCTTATAATTTTCTTAATATAATTTCCTTTTCTCTAGCTTACTTTATTGTAAGAATACAGTATAATAACACATGTAACATATAAAATATGTGTTAAGCGACTGTTTATGTTATCAGCAAGGCTTCTGATCAACAGTAGGCTACTAGTAGTTAAATTTTGGAAGAGTCAAAAGTTATAAGTGGATTTTCAACTAAGGGAGGGTGAAAGGAGCTGGGTAAAGATCCCTAACCCTGAATTGTTCAAGGGTGAACTTTTTACACTAGACTTCTGAAGAAAGGAGCTTAGAAACAAGAAGAATTGCAGGATTTTGCTAATATATATTAGCAATATATATTAGCTAATATATATTAGAAACCTGGGGAACATGTGTAGTAGTAATTCTAAGGAAATTAACCAAGGAGAGTAGGATACAGCAGGTCCTTAAATAATGCCATTTCATTCAATGTCATTTTATTATGTAAATGAGAAAAAATTGATTACCACCTGAGGGCCACTGTTGTGTTGAATGTGAATGTTCTTCCTACATCTGTACGGGTTTTCTCCCAGTATTCCAGGTTTATCTCACTTCCCACAGATGTGCACATTAGGTGAATTTGTGTGTCTAAATAGTCTCAGTCTAAGTGAGTATAGATATATGTGTGAATATGTCCCTCAATGGATGGCATTCTGTCCAGAGTTGGTTCTCACCTTGGGCCCTGAACTGCTGGGATAGGCTCTGACCATCCATGACCCTGAACTGGAATAAATGAGTTGGAAAATAAATAAATGAATGAATATAAATAATTGTAAAATAAAAATTCATAAGGTATACAGTAATCATACAGATGCACAACAATGAACAATTCTGTAGGAAAGTGCTCAGTGAGCCCACCATATGTTTCATTGTCTTTTTTTAAACTCTGTGGTGGTAGGAGGTGCTCTTTACAATTTTCACTTTGCAAACATTTATTTCTTTACTTAACCCACCATCGTTATGACCACTGTCACTCACTGACTCACCAAAAATTGGGTAAGTATTCTTACTTGTTTTATTAACATTTCTTTAATGAATGTATAGCTCACATTTGTTTCAATGTTTAAAATTACAAGTATTTTGGTCTTTATTTAGATTTCCACGATGAAAGATGAGAGTAAATGAGTAGGCCAGGTGAGGTGGCTCACGCTTGTAATCCCAGCACTTTGGGAGGCCGAGGCGAGCAGATCATGAGTTCAGGAGATCGAGACCATCCTAGGTAATATGGTGAAACCCCGTCTCTACCAAAAATATAAAAAATTAGCCGGGCGTGGTGGCTCATGCCTGTAGTCCCAGCTACTCGGGAGGCTGAGGCAGGAGAATGGCATGAACCTGGGAGGCGGAGCTTGCAGTGAGCAGAGATAGCGCCACTGCACTCCAGCCTGGGTGACAGTGACAGTGTGAGACTCCGTCTCAAAAAAAAAAAAAAAAAAAAAAAAGAGTAAACGAGTAATCAGACTAACTACTATGATACAGATAACTCACACGGGGTCAGGGAATGAGCTAACAATACATGTGACGTCATCCAGAAAGCTCTACACACCAAACTGATAGCTGCTAGGATTAGGAAATTTACAGGGGGCATCATACATTCATACAAATACTGTTTATGTAAACTTTCAGCTTTGATAAATGTTATTTAAAATTCTTAAATTGATTGTTATAATAAATAATGCATAACCACAAAAATTTTTCTTTCCTTCTTTCTTGTTTTCTTGCTTTCTTTCTTTCTCTTTCTTTTTTTTTTTTTTTTTTTTGAGACAAGATCTCTGTCCGTCCCCCAGGCTGGAGTGCAGTGGCGAGACCTCACGGGTTCAAGCAATTCTCATGCCTCAGCCTCCCAAGTAGCTGGGACTACTGGCACATGCCACCAGGTCTGGCTAATTTTTACATTTTTAGTAGAGATGGGATTTTACCACGTTGGGCAGGCTTGTCTTGAACTCTTGGTTTCAAGTGATCCACCAGCCTTGGCCTCACAAAGTGCTGGGATTACAGGCATGAGCCACTGCGCCTGACCATAAAAATCTTATAACATAACATTTATCATATTCACGGCACAAGACAAGGGATGTTTTGCTCTTCAATATACAATACTAAAGAGTAGCCAGATTTTAAATTTAGAGAAAATTGACTTTTGGTGCTTATTAATGAAGAAATAATCATATTATAAAGTCATGAAGTTTTGACTGCCGTCTCTTTGAAGTCTCACAATTGACCACTGAAATCTCAATATTTTAAAAATCTGAACTTTGTGTTCTTCTAGTGTCTTTGCATGTTAGACTTAATGACTGTGATATGAGTTTACAGTATTTAGAAATTTCTGGGTATATACCCAAAGGACTATAAATCATGCTGCTATAAAGACACATGCACACGTATGTTTATTGTGGCATTATTCACAATAGCAAAGACTTGGAATCAACCCAAATATCCAACAATGATAGACTGGATTAAGAAAATGTGTCACATATACACCATGGAATACTATGCAGCCATAAAAAATGATGAGTTCATGTCCTTTGTAGGGACATGGATGAAATTGGAAATCATCGTTCTCAGTAAACTATCGCAAGAACAAAAAACCAAACACCGCATATTCTCACTCATAGGTGGGAATTGAACAATGAGAACACATGGACACAGGAAGGGGAACATCACACTCTGGGGACTGTGGTGGGGTGGGGGGAGCGGGGAGGGATAGCATTGGCAGATATACCTAATGCTAGATGACGAGTTAGTGGGTGCAGTGCACCAGCATGGCGCATGTATACATATGTAACTAACCTGCACGTTGTGCACATGTACCCTAAAACTTTATTAAATATAATAATAATAATAATAAAGAAAAAGAAAATTTCTGAAAAGACGCTTTTTTTCCCCTGAGATTTGTCCCAGTGAAAACAACTAAACCCTAATCTATGCCTTGTTATATGACTGATAATTTCGGTCAATAAGTAACAAATGACATTGTACAGGTGTGTGAAACAAGATGGGCAGCATTGCTCTACCCATTTATAAATGATGTGTTAATAATCACATGGGCAGCTCTGGAGGCCACATATGAAGAAAGATACAATAAATTTTGGAGAAGTCCAGAGATGGCAGTTGTTAAGTACTGAATATTTGTGTCTCCCCAAAGTTTATACATTGCAATCCTAATTTCCAATGAGACAGTATCTGAGGTAGAGGCTTTGGGATATAATTAGAGTTAGATGAGGCAATAAGGGTAAGGACCTCATGATGAGATTAGCACCCTTTTAAGAGCAGAAGAGCTTGCTTTCTCTCTACCATATGAAGATACAGGGAGAAGGCAGCCAGACTTGTATTCTCACATAGTAGAGAGAAAGGGCAAGTTCTCACGAGAAATTGAATCACTCAGAACATTAATCTTGTACTTCCAAGCCCGCAGAACTGTAAGACACAAATTTCTGTTTATGCCACGCTATCTGTGGTATTTTGTTATGGCAACCAAAGCAAACTAATGCAGAAGGATATAATTGGACCTTGCTTTTTATGGGTTGAGCCACTCTATGTATTTTGCTAAGAGGCTTAATCTATTCACATTCAAGGTAATTATTGATAGGCAAGCACTTACTTTTGCCATTTTATTAATTGATTTCTGGCTGTTTTGTGCTCTTCATCTCTTGCTGTCTTCCTTTGTGATTTGATGATTTTCTGTAGCAGCATGTTTTGATTCCTGTCCCATTATCTTATGTGTATCTACTATAAGCTTTTGCTTTGTGATTACCATAAGGTAATAAAGCCTCCTGTAGTTAGTCTATTTTAAGCTAACAATATAATTTTAATCACATAGAAAGTTATGCACTTTTATTCTATTTCCCTCATATTTTATGTTTTTAATGTCACAATTTACATTTTTATATTGTATATTCACTAACAGTTATTTTTAATATTTTGTCTTTTAACTTTTAATTACAGTTAAAAGTGATTTACACACTGCCATTACAGTATCAGAGTGTTCAGTATTTGACTATATATTTGCTTTACCAGTGAGCTTTATTTTCTCATATGTTTTCATGTTAGTAATTGCATCCTTTTGCTTCAGCTTGAAGCGCCCCCTTTAGCATGTCTTGTAAGGAGGTGCAGTGGTGATGAACTTCCTCAACTTTTGTTTGCCTGGGAAATTTTTATCTTCAGTTCTGAAGGACAGATTTGCCAGATAAAGTATTTTCGCTTGCTAGTCTTCTTCCCCTTCCTCTTCCCCTTCCCCTTACTCCTCATCCTCCTCCTCTTCCTCTTCTACTTCTTCTTCTCTTCTACTTCTTCTTCTTTGAATATACCATCCTATTCTTTCCTGACCTACCATATTTTTTTTCCATAAAATCAGTTGACAGTCTCTTGGAGGTCCCCTTTTCTGTGAGGAATCTCTTTTCTCATGCTGCTTTCACTATTTTTTTTCTTTGTCTTTGATTTCTGGCAATTTGATGTCGACAGCTGTTGATGAACTCTTTTTTGGATTCAACATTATTGGAGACTTTTTAGGATCATGTACCTGGGTGTCTGTATGTATCCCCATAATTGGGGAGATTTATCCATTATTTCTTTAAGTAAGTTTTCTGCTCCTTTTTCTTTTTTCCTTCTACAGATCTATTATGTGAAAATTAGTTCTCTTGACAGTGTCCCATATATCCCATAGACTTTCTTCATTTTTTTCTCTCCTCTTACTAGATATTTTCTAATGACTTGTTTTCAAGTTCACATATTCCTTCTCACATTTGCTGCAGATTTTACATATATATATATATAGATAGATAGATAGATAGATAGATAGATAGATAAATAGATAGTATTTTTTTATTTAGCTCATTGTCTTCTTCAGCTTCAGAGTTTGTTTTCTTTTTAAAATTTTTTATTTCTTCATTGAACTTCTTATTTTCCTTATACAGTTGACTCTTGAACAACACAAGTTTGAACTGTATAGGTCCACTTATACACAGATTTAAAATAAATACAGAGGACTCTTCCTATCCATGGATTCTGACTCCACAACAAATAGTGAATTAAAAATACAGCATTTGTGGGATGCAAAACCGATGTGTATGGAGTGCTGACTTTTCATATTCCTGAGTTTCACAGGACAAATTGCAGAACATGAGTATGCACAGATTTTTGCATCCACAAGGAGTCCTGGAACCAGTTTCCCATTGATACCAAGGGGTCTCTCTTCATATTGTTTTCTGATATTTTTGATCTTTTAAACCTATATTCTTTTGTAGTTCAACTGAGCTTTTCAACAACAATTATTTTGATTTTGTTTGTCGGAAAATTTCTATTTCTTTGGAGTCAGTTACTAGAAATTTATTTTCTTCCTTATTATTTGGTATTGTCATTTTTTTCTTGTTGTTGGTGTACCTGTTGGTGGTGGAGTGCGTATGTGTGTGTGTGTGTGTGTGTGTGTTTCCTGTTGCCTTAAATTAATGTCTATGTAATGGACAATCACCTCTTCTGGACTTTATCAACTAGTTTTAGTGGAGAAAGACCTTCACCTATGTGTGAATGTAAGGGCTCTCTCTGGCTGTGTAGGGTGAGATGGTTCCAGCTCTGGTGAGAGCACTGCCTCTATGAAGCTCTGTCAGCTGAGGCCAGCATTAGTTAAGATTGCAGGGGCCCTCAGCAGCTAGCGTTATGGATGTCTATAAACATAGTAAAGGCTATTGAGGTTTTTTTGGTGAAGCCTGCTGGTGTCCTCCTGTTCTATTTTTTTTTTCTTTTCTTATGGGAGAGAGAATCTCCCTTGGCATCAGGTCCAGGTCATGTACATGCTCTTGGTGATAGTATGCATGTTCGATGCATGATGCCTGTGGTGTGGCCATGGAGCTGGAGTGCAGAGCTCAAGTACACACCAAGCTACAGCACCCCTGGAATCTGGATGGAGGCTAGCTTGTTGTAGGGGTGGCTCCAATTACCAAGGTGCAGGTGATCACAAAGTGCTGTGTAATTAGGATCTGGAGTGCAGGGCAGTATGGAGCAGAGTGGCTCTAAGGTTCAGGGACTACACAGGATTGGGGAGAGTGGTGATCCCAGTGGCAATAAATTTTTATAACTCTTTATTGCCTAAGTATCCATTTTGACTACAAGTTTAACTTTCTCATACCAGAAGTAGAGTTCTGGCACCATTTACAAGAGTCCAGTTCTACATCTCACCCAAATGACTCAAGTCAGTTGCCAGAGATAAGAAGTTAGAGTCATCTCTCCTGCCTAGCAGATTGGGCTCCTTGCTTTCCCACTGCTATCCTTTAAATGAACCATTCAGCTATTTGCCTTTTAACTTAAAGTGACTCACATCCTGTTTCTTTATTTGTACTGCTAGTTGCCACATGCATCTCCCTTTCTCTGCCAAACTCTTCCTTGATGACACACAAGATCCGAGGATGAATGATTGCCCTCTTGAACTCATTACACTTTCCTTGCCTAGAATCTGTAAGTAAAAATCTTTGGATTTATTTTCTGTTCTGGTAGTTACAGAATTTGCACCTTCCATCTGAAGAATTAGAGGCTTCCTCAGGCCCCACTTTCCCTGGGATGCCAGGGAGAACATGAGATCAAGCTCCCAGCTGCAGCATAGAGCAATGGTCAGACAGTCATAACTGGTCAGGAAACAGACTCAAGGAAGTCTTCCAGTATAAACAAGTTTCACATGTGAGAGACCCCTATCTGTGGGTGGGACAACTAGCCATTAGGCTGTCTGCCAGGTAAAAGTAGTGTCATGTGAAAATCACACCATAAAACACCCATATCCAGCTTCCCTTTATTTCCCATTAGAACAGGGTTATTAGCCTCTTTAGTACTGGAACCCCAATGTAGCTGGGGCTTTAATAACACTGATCTCTGAGTGGCACAACAGTAGCTTCTTCTTATGGGTAGGGATACCAGCAGCATCTCCCTCTCCAAGGAGGTTTGTTTCTATGATGGCTGTTGGTTAGCTCAGTGGCAAAAACTGCCAGTATCCTCTGCAGAGCCGGCTGCTGGGGTCCATGCCAATAAACACTAATGGCACCTTTGCTGTGAAGGCTATGGTGAATCGGCAGATGCCATATGGGCTGTTGTAACCCTCAGTGGCAAAGTCTGCCAAGGTGCTCTGCAGAGAAGGCCACTGGGAACCATGTTGGCACTCACCATGTGGCTGGTACTGATATCCATGCCATTTTTGTTGTTGTTGTTGTTCAAGCTCCCAGCTGCGGCATACAGCAATGGTCACACAGTTGTAATTGGTCAGAAATCAGATACAAGGGAGTCTTCTAGTATAAACAAGCTTCCCATGTGAGGGACACTGGTTGTGGGTTGAAAAACTAGCCATTAGGAGGTTCCTCGTCATCTCCAGGAGTCTCAAGTATGCTGATCTTCTCAGTGTTCCTTTGTGTACAGATTTTGTCCATGTTTCCTTGTTCCATGGTGATGCTGAAGGTTTTTAATTGGATTATTTTGCCCTCTTAGTATTTCATTCATTGATATCTGTCTAATTAATTGTTACTTTGCAGGGGGACAGAATGAAGGCTCTGTCTTCTACTCCATCATCTTGTTGGCATCACTCCTGGAAAAGGTACATTAAAAAATAAGTTGAAATATATAGAATTGTGTAATTACTTAGCTATAGAGTTGTATGAAAACATAAATAGTTTTCCAAAAGTGTTTAGATAAATTCAGTGCAATTATAACTACAAGTGCATGTTAAAGGAATCAAGGAGCATTTCTAGTTTTTGAGATTAATTTTATGAAAGCAAATATATCATTTTGGTATATCAGCCAGCTTCTTAGTAACTAGAGATTTCTTTGGCCACATAACATGACTTCTGTATTCTTGTAAGTTTAAAGTATCTAAAAAAAGTAAAATTATTTATAAAAATTTCAATAACCTTCTAACTTTAACACTTGCATCCCTCCAGCCTTTTTAACACTTGCCTCCCTCCAGTCTATTCTCTACTCAATATCTAAAGTAACCTTACAAAAGTAGAAATCAGATGATCGTATCCGTCTTCTACTGAAAACACATCAGTGAATTCTAATCACCTACATTTAGAAAAAAATTGAAACTCTTCATCATCTCCTTCCTGCTTATTTGTGTAACAGATATATGGGGAAATTGTTTAATAGGAACAATGGGTCCACTAGTAAGTTATATAGGGGCTGCAACATTTCAGATAAGTTATTTGTTTGCAGGAAAAGAACACACATACACATACACACACAAACACACATGTGTGCACAAATTCACATATACCCTCTCTGTAAGCTACAGTAAGTTCCCAATTTAGTTAGCAAGGATGTATAAACCTAGCAGTGGAAAGCTGGCCACACAAATCAGGAGCAGATATTGACTATCTGAATACATCTCTTGTTTTCAGAGACCTTGAAAGGGGAAGGTTAATGATGGATCAGTAACTGGGACTCATTTGTGTCTTGGAATATTGTCCATAAGATAGCAATATATAGGAATATTGTCCGTAAGATAGCTATTGCCTTTTATTTGGAAAGAAAATGGGCTAGTTTTAAGTCACAATATGAATTTTTTTCTCTCTTCACCACATTTTTAATTAAATGCCTTGTTGCTCAATAATTCTTTCATTTGGTTTTTCAAAATAAATTGTAAATAATCAAAAATTTTAATACTGAAAAAACCATCCCCACATTAAAACACTTATTCAAATATTAGAATCTCTTCCCAAAGTTGTTTTTATTCCTTTTATCCATAAAGATGGGATACAATGAAGTGCTTAGATGTACTATGTTATTTCTTCAATGCCTAGAGCCTGTGCTTTCCACC
The DNA here is from genome assembly GCF_000001405.40 of Homo sapiens. NCBI lineage: Eukaryota > Metazoa > Chordata > Mammalia > Primates > Hominidae > Homo > Homo sapiens. Next base: position 33,497 of record NW_025791754.1, read on the forward strand.
GCTGAAGCTGATATAGCTCTTTCAGCAACTTCCAAAGATAGAAACTGTTCAAACATTCCTTGGAAGAAGCAATGGTACACATGAAAGTAACACAAGCTAGTTCTACATCTATCTAATATATAATCAACATTATAACTAAATTAACATACATTAAACAGAAGGAATGCCTCACTTTGCTATTGTCAGTCATGAAGCATACCTAAGAATCCACACTATCCTCTCTACCATGGGGAGAAGACACAGTGTAGACAAAAATCCTGGTTTCAGCTTCACTGGAATGAAAGCTAGTGCAAGCTCACTATCAAGATTTACTACAAGTGAATATGACTCGAGTGGAAGAAATTTTCCATCAAAATGTCAGTTATGGTTTTATGATGTTTATATATTTGGGAGAAACTCACTCATACATGCCTTTTTTTTTTTTTTTTGAGACGGTGTTTTGCTCTTGTCACCTAGGCCGGAGTGCAGTGGCGCGACCTCGGCTCGCTGCAAACTCCGCCTCCAGGGTTCAAGTGATTCCCCTGCTTCACTCAGCCTCTGGAGTAGCTGGGAGTATAGGCGCCTGCCACAACACCTGGCTAATATTTTTGTATTTTTAGTAGAGATGGGGTTTCACCATGTTGGCCAGGCTGGTCTCGAGCTCCTGACCTCAAGTGATCCACCCGCCTCGGTCACCCAAAGTGCTGGGATTACAGGAGTGAGCCACTGCATATGGCCATACGTTATTTTTAGTAGAGACTATTTGAAATACTCTTTCTTATGGAAAAAATAGTTTTATAATATATTTCCTCAAAGTTCCTACTTCTTTTTTTAGTATCTACCCAATATATTTAAAACGTCTTAGTTTCACTTCTTTTTTGAATCTTTCTTACCAGATATTCCAGTGCAAAGTTGAGTGTGGATCATCTTTAGGGATGTAATCTCGACTTCCCTTCGGAGAAAAGGAGAAATACCACATTTGTTGGAAGCCAGTCTCCAAGAAAGGTTATTGACTTTGCGTTACCCACAATCCCAATTTTCCACTTAAATCCCTGTATTTAGAATTCTCAGGCTATCTAGAGCTGTAGTTGTTCTAGAAATTCTCACATACATGGCACATATCTACCTCTTTCCTAAGTTTGCCCTAGCTGAAGGATCACACTCAATAGATTCCTGAAGATAAACTTCTGGTAATTGATACCATTGTTGGTATACTTAGGATGATAGCAAGGATCAATATTTCTTCAGTAATATAAACCTATTAGCTTTCCTTCCTTTAGTACATTCACTTTCCAATCCCTGAATAACTATTTCAGTTACAGCATATGCTTTCTTTTCCATGTTGTCTTTACATGTCTCCTTGGTAAATTCCTCTAATGTTTCATTTTGTCTCAAAAAGACAAAAAAAAAAGATCCTAACTACTTTTATGCAGTACCTGTGGACAAGGTAAAATAAAGAAATAAATAATCCTGCATTTCTGTAGGGTCAAAACTAGTTTTTACATTGGTTATGCATTTCCACCGTTCTACTTATTAACTGCAAGATTAGTATCTGTATTTTATAAATTTCATATATTCTTTTTCTAATTTTCATTAATATATTTCTGCTAATATATTCCATTTAGAAGAGGTCTAGCCCCTTCACTACAGTTTTCTCATAGCTTTTAATAAAATCTGATGGCTAGAGTATGCCAAGAATTCTTGGGTTTTTAACAACTCCTTTGTGTTTTTTTCCCCAGCCCAGAAGATGACATGTTTATATATAATAAAGGGCCTTATTGTTCTTCATCCATTATTGATTACATTACCTGGAAGGTGAATAGGCCATGATCTGTACCTATGACATCTACAGCTTTGGCTGAGCTTATCAACTAAACAAATGAGAATCAATTTAAAAGCACATGGTAGGGACAGTGTGAAAGAGTTGGTGGAAAACCTATAGGAATCTCCAAGTTAATTTTTTCATTGCTTACCCTTTATTACTGCATGAAGTCCAAAACATGATAACAGAGTTTAGGTCTGCCTACTAAAGACAAATACTTGAACTTAATAACAATAATAATACCAATAATTCAAAAGCTGAAGACACAAAGTGTTAATGATTTATAATCTTTTATGAGTTCTCATCTAACAATTAAAGACTATTTTTCTGCATAATACTAACACTTTTCTCCTCAAGCAGTAGACTCTTTCCATGTATTGGCTCAAATTCCTAAGAATTTTCCTACATGACACTGTTAAATTGTGAGATATTTAATACATAATTACCAGAACCTTGAATCTGAAGCATGCTTCTCAGTTCACAGTTTTTCCTGATGCCTATTGTCAAGCTCAGCAGAGCTGCCTGCCTCCAGCTCCAGTATTAGAACTATCCTGGTGTAATGTGCAAAAAAAGAGAACAGAGAGAAGATAGAACAATCATCAAATTCTTACTCTCATATTTCTACAAACATGAAAAGATAAAATCTAAGAGGGAGAACAAGTAAGTCAGGGATTACGGCTACGATTCAGTTTCGAGATTCCACTAATTGATCAGAGAAAAAGAATGGACTGCAAGATGAGCTTAAATCATGTTATTGTTTCACAATCACAAAGACAAGTAAGTAAAAATATAGAGATACATATCTGCCAGATCGATTTTGTTGTCGTTGTGGTTTGAGATGGATTCTTGCTCTCTTTCCCAGGCTAGGGTGCAGTGGTGCTATCTCTGCTCATTGCAAACTCCACCTCCCGGGATCAAGTGATTCTCCTGCCTCAGCCTCCAATAGCTGGGATTACAGGCGCCTGCCACCGCACGCAGCTAATTTTTGTATTTTTTAGTAAAGACAGGGTTTCACCATCTTGGGCAAGCTGGTCTCAAACTCCCGACCTCTTGATCTACCTACCTTGGCCTCCCAAAGTGTTGGGATTACAGGCATGAACCACTGTGCCCAGCCATTCTAGATGTTTTAAACTGCTATCACTAGTGAGAATAGACGAAACAGAGTCCTGGACTTTGGCATAGTACATTAGATTTTCTACCACTTGGAAAGAAATAGAAAGGTAGAATGAAAAGAGTAGGTTTTTCCCCATGGAAATTGCTATTGTATCTTCATTTAAAGAAACACAGTGGTGTATCGGCATTTTGTTTTCTCTTGATATGAATGATGTTAGTATGTACTGTGCCGTGAAGTATATATTGCTTTCAGTCCTTAAGCCATTACATTCTTGTTTTAAATCAATAAGAACTAATGTCATCCAAAAAAAATTTGCTGGTGATACATTTATTTGCCAGCATCATTTGTGTCAACTATATGAAACTTAAGTTATATTATTTTCAGACACAAACTTCACCTTATTTTACCTGTAATATCAGAGGATTTAGAGAAGCAGAAAAAGAAAAAAAAATTTCCTACTAAGTAGTAAAGATCAGTGTCTTGGAGCTATATATACTTTCTCTAATGTAACATATCAATTTTTTACTACTTTTATTTTTATTTTATTATTTTAGTTTTTATTATACTTTAAGTTCTAGGGTACATGTGCATAATGTGCAGGTTTGTTACATATGTATACATGTGCCATGTTGGTGTGCTGCACCTGTTAACTCGTCATTTACATTAGGTATATCTCCTAATGCTATCCCTCCTCCCTCCCCCCACCCCACAACAGGCCCAGTGTGTGATATTCCCCACCCTGTGTCCAAGTGTTCTCACTGTTCAGCTCCCACCTATCATCTGAGATATGCGGTGTTTGGTTTTCTGTCCTTGTGATAGTTTGCTGAGAATGATGGTTTCCAGCTTCATCCATGTCCCTACAAAGGATATGAACTCATCATTTTTTATTGCTGCATAGTATTCCATGGTGTATATGTGCCACATTTTCTTAATACAGTCTATCATTGATGGACATTTGGGTTGGTTCCAAGTCTTTGCTATTGTGAATAGTGCCACAATAAACATACGTGTGCATGTGTCTTTATAACAGCATGATTTATAATCCTTTTGGTATATACCCAGTAATGGGATGGCTGGGTCAAATTGTATTTCTAGCTCTAGATCCTTGAGGAATCACCACAGTGTCTTCCACAATGGTTGAACTAGTTCACAGTCCCACCAACAGTGTAAAGTGTTCCTATTTCTCCACATCCTCTCCAGAACCTGTTGTTTCCTGACTTTTTAATGATCACCATTCTAACTGGTATGAAATGGTATCTCATTGTGGTTTTGATTTGCATTTCTCTGATGGCCAGTGATGATGAGCATTTTTTCATGTGTCTTTTGGCTGCATAAATGTCTTCTTTTGAGAAGTGTCTGTTCATATCCTTTGCCCACTTTTTGATGGGGTTGTTTGATTTTTTTCTTGTAAATTTGTTTAAGTTATTTGTGGATTCTGGATATCAGCCCTTTGACAGATGGGTAGATTGTAAAAATTTTCTCCCTTTCTGTAGGTTGCCTGTTCACTCTGATGGTAGTTTCTTTTGCTGTGCAGAAGCTCTTTAGTTTAATTAGATCCCATTTGTCAATTTTGGCTTCTGTTGCCATTGCTTTTGGTGTTTTAGTCATGAAGTCCTTGCCCATACCTATGTCCTGAATGGTATTGCCTAGGTTTTCTTCTAGGGTTTTTATGGTTTTAGGTCTAACATTTAAATCTTTAATCCATCTTAAATTAATTTTTGTATAAGGTGTAAGGAAGGGATCCAGTTTCAGCTTTCTACATATGGCTAGCCAGTTTTCCCAGCACCATTTATTAAATAGGGAATCCTTTCCCCATTGCTTGTTTTTGTCAGGTTTATCAAAGATCAGATGGTTGTAGATGTGTGGTATTATTTCTGAGGGCTCAGTTCTGTTCCATTGGTTTATGTCTCTGTTTTGGTTCCAGTACCATGCTGTTTTGGTTACTGTAGCCTTGTAGTATAGTTTGAAGTCAAGTAGCATGATACCTCCAGCTTTATTCTTTTGGCTTAGGATTGTCTTGGCAATGCAAGCTCTTTTATTGGTTCCATATGAACTTTAAAGTAGTTTTTTCCAATTCTGTGAAGAAAGTCATTGGTAGATTCATGGGGATGGCAATGAATCTATAAATTACCTGGGGCAATATGGCCATTTTCATGATATTGATTCTTCCTACCCATGAGCATGGAATTTTCTTTTTTTTTTTTTTTTTTTTTTTTGAGACAGAGTCTCGCTGTCGCCCAGGCTGGAGTGCAGTGGCGCAATCTCGGCTCACTGCAGGCTCCGCCCCCTGGGGTTCACGCCATTCTCCTGCCTCAGCCTCCCGAGTAGCTGGGACTACAGGCGCCCGCCACCTCGCCCGGCTAATTTTTTGTATTTTTAGTAGAGACGGGGTTTCACCGTGTTAGCCAGGATGGTCTCGATCTCCTGACCTCGTGATCCGCCCGCCTCGGCCTCCCAAATGGAATTTTCTTTAGTTTGTTTGTGTCCTCTTTTATTTCATTGAGCATTGGTTTGCAGTTCTCCTTGAAGAGGTCTTTCACATCCCTTGTAAGTTGGATTCCTAGGTATTTTATTCTCTTTGAAGCAATTGTGAATGGGAGTTCACTCATGATTTGGCTCTCTGTTTGTCTGTTATTGGTGTATAGGAATGCTTGTGATTTTTGCACATTGATTTTGTATCCTGAGACTTTGCTGAAGTTGCTTATCAGCTTAAAGAGATTTTGGGCCGAGACGATGGGGTTTTCTAAATATACAATCATGTCATCTGCAAACAGGGACTATTTGACTTCCTCTTTTCCTAATTGAATACCCTTTATTTCTTTCTCTTGATGGATTGCCCTGGACAGAACTTCCAAAACTATATTGAATAGGAGTGGTGAGAGAGGGCATCCCTCTCTTGTGCCAGTTTTCAAAGAGAACACTTCCAGTTTTTGCCCATTCAGTATGATATTGGCTGTGGGTTTGTCATAAATAGCTCTTATTATTTTGAGATACATCCCATCAATACCTAGTTTATTGAGAGTTTTTAGCATGAAGTGCTGTTGAATTTTGTCGAAGGCCTTTTCTGCATCTATTGAGATAATCATGTGGTTTTTGTCTTTGATTCTGTTTATATGCTGGATTACATTTATTGATTTGCGTATGTTGAACCAGCCTTGCATTCCAGGGATGAAGCCAGCTTGATCGTGGTGGATAAGCTTTTTTATATGCTGCTGGATTTGGTTTGCCAGTATTTTATTGAGGATTTTTGCATCAACATTCATCAGGGATATTAGTCTAAAATTCTCTTTTTTGGTTGTGTCTCTGCCAGGCTTTGGTATCAGGATGATGTTGGCCTCATAAAATGAGTTAGGGGGTATTTCCTCTTTATCTATTTATTGGAATAGTTTCAGAAGGAATGGTACCAGTTCCTGTTTGTACCTCTGGTATAATTTGGCTTTGAATCCATCTGGTCCTGGACTTTTTTTTTGGTTGGTAGGCTATTAATTATTGCCTCAATTTCAGAGCCTGTTATTGGTCTATTCAGGGATTCAACTTCTTCCTGATTTAGTCTTGGGAGGGTGTATGTGTCGAGGAATTTATCCATTTCTTCTACATTTTCTAGTTTATTTGCATAGAGGTGTTTATAGTATTCTCTGATGGTAGTTTGTATTTCTGTGGCATCGGTGGTGATATCCCCTTTATCATTTTTTATTGTGTCTATTGGATTCTTCTCTCTTTTCTTCTTTATTAGTCTTGCTAGCAGTCTATCAATTTTGTTGATCCTTTCAAAAAACCAGCTCCTGGATTCATTGAGCTTTTTGAAGGGTTTTTTATGTCTCTATCTCCTTCATTTCTGCTCTGACCTTAGTTATTTCTTGCCTTCTGCTAGCTTTTGAATGTGTTTGCTCTTGTTTCTCTAGTTCTTTTAATTGTGATGTTAGGGTGTCAATTTTGGATCTTTCCTGCTTTCTCTTGTGGGAATTTAGTGCTGTAAATTTCCATCTCCACACTACTTTAAATGTGTCCCAGAGATTCTGGTATGTTGTGTCTTTGTTCTCATTGGCTTCAAAGAACATCTTTATTTCTGCCTTCATTTCATTATGTACCCAGTAGTCCTTCAGGAGCAGGTTGTTCAGTTTCCATGTAGTTGTGCAGTTTTGAGTGAGTTTCTTAATCCTGAGTTCTAGTTTGATTGCCCTGTGGTCTGAGAGACAGTTATCATTTCTGTTCTTTTACTTTTGCTGAGGAGTGCTTTACTTCCCACTATGTGGTCAATTTTGGAATAAGTGAGATGTGGTGCTGAGAAGAATGTATATTCTGCTGATTTGGGGTGCAGACTTCTGTAGATGTCTGTTAGGTCGGCTTGGTGCAGAGCTGAGTTCAATTCCCAGAAATCCTTGATAACTTTCTGTCTCGTTGATCTGTCTAATGTTGACAGTGGAGTGTTAAAGTCTCCCATTATTATTGTGCAGGAGTCTAAGTCTCTTTGTAGGTCTCCAAGGGCTTACTTTATGAATCTGGGTGCTCCTGTATTGGGTGCCTATATATTTAGGATAGTTAGCTCTTCTTGTTGAATTGATCCCTTTACCATTATGTAATGGCCTCCTTTGTCTCTTTTGACCTTTGTTGGTTTAAAGTATGTTTTATCAGAGGCTAATATTGCAACCCCTGCTTTTTTTTATTTTCTATTTGCTTGGTAGATGTTCCTCCATCCCTTTATTTTGAGCCTATGTGTGTCTCTGCATGTGAGATGGGACTCCTGAATACAGCACACTGATGGGTCTTGACTCTTTATCCAATTTGCCAGTCTGTGTCTTTTAATTGGAGCATTTAGCCCATTTACATTTAAGGTTAATATTGTTATGTGTGAATTTGATCCTGTCATTATGTTAGCTGGTTATGTTGCTCATTGATGAAGAAACTGACCATTGATGAAGTTTCTTCATAGCATCAATGGTCTTTGCAATTTGTCATGTTTTTGCAGTGGCTGGTACCAGTTGTTCCTTTGCATGTGTAGTGCTTCCTTCAGGAGCTCTTGTAAGGTAGGCCTGGTGGTGACAAAATCTCTCAGTATTTGCTTGTCTGTAAAGTATTTTATTTCTCCTTCACTTATGAAGCTTAGTTTGGCCGGATATGAAATTTTGGGTTGAAAATTCTTTTCTTTAAAAATGTTGAATATTGGCCCCCACTCTCTTCTGGCTTGTAGAGTTTCTGCCGAGAGATCTGCTGTTAGTCTGATGGGCTTCCCTTTGTGGGCAACCTGACCTTTCTGTCTGGCTGTCCTTAACATTTTTTCCTTCATTTTAAATTTGGTGAATCTGACAATTATGTGTTTTGGAGTTGCTCTTCTCGAGGAGTATCTTTGTGGCATTCTCTATATTTCCTGAATTTGAATGTTGGCCTGCCTTGTTAGGTTGGGGAAGTTCTCCTGGATAATATCATGAAGTGTGTTTTCCAACTGGGTTCCATTCTCCCTGTCACTTTCAGGTACACCAATCAGACGTAGATTTGGTCTTTTCACATTGTGCCATATTTTTTGGAGACTTTGTTTGTTTCTTTTTACTCTTTTTTCTCTAATATTCTCTTCTCACTTCATTTCATTCATCTGATCTTCAATCACTGATACCCTTTCTTCCACTTGATCAAATCAGCTACTGAGGCTTGTGCATGCATCACATAGTTCTCATGCCATGGTTTTCAGCTCCATCAGGTCATTTAAGGTTTTCTCTACACTGTTTATTCTAGATAGCCATTCGTCTAATCTTTTTTCAAGGTTTTAACTTCTTTGCGATGGGTTCAAACATCCTCCTTTAGCTCGGGGTAGTTTGTTATTACCGATAGTCTGAAGCTGTCTTCTCTCAACTCATCAAAGTCATTCTCCATCCAGGTTTGTTCTGTTGCTGGTGAGGAGCTGCACTCCTTTGGAGGAGAAGAGGCGCTCTGATTTTTAGAATTTTCAGCTTTTCTGCTCTGGTTTCTCCCCATCTTTGTGGTTTTATCCACCTTTGGTCTTTGATGATGGTGACATACAGATGAGGTTTTGGTGTGGATGTCCTTTCTGTTTGTTAGTTTTCCTTCTAACAGTCAGGACCCTCAGCTGCACGTCTGTTGGAGTTTGATGGAGGTCCACTCCAGACCCTGTTTGCCTGGGTATCACCAGCGGAGGCTGCAGAACAGCAAATATTGCAGAACGGCAAATGTTGCTGCCTGATCCTTCCTCTGGAAGCTTCATATCAGAGGGGCACCCAGCTGTATGAGGTGTCAGTCAGCCCCTACTGGGAGGTGTTTCCCAGTTAGGCTATGCAGGTGTCCGGGACCCACTTGAGGAGGCAGTCTGTCCATTCTCAGATCTCAGACTCCATGCTGGGAGAACCACTACTCTCTTCAAAGCTGTCAGACAGGGACATTTAAGTCTGCAGAAGTTTCTGCTGCCTTTTTTTCAGCTATGCCCTGCCCCCCAGAAATGAAGTCTACAGAGGCAGGCAGGCCTCCTTGAGCGGCAGTGGGCTCCAACGATTTCGAGCTTTCCAGCTGCTTTGTTTACCTACTCAAGCCTCAGCAATGGTGGATGCCCCTCCCCCAGCCTTGCTGCCACCTTGCAGTTCAATCTCAGACTGCTGTGCTAGCAGTAAGCGAGGCTCCATGGGCATGGGACCCTCTGAGCCAGGATATAATCTCCTGGTGTGCCATTTGCTAAGACCACTGGAAAAGAGCAGTATTAGGTCGAGGCAGGCAGATCACGAGGTCAGGAGTTTGAGATGAACCTTGTCAACATAGTGAAACCCTGTCTCTACTAAAAATATAAAAAATTAGCCAAGTGTGGTGGTGAGCACCTGTAATCCCAGCTACTTGGGAGGCTTAGGAGGAGAATTGCTTGAACCCAGGAGGCGGTGGTTGTAGTGAGCCAAGATCGCACCACTGCACTCCAGCTTGGGTGACAGTGTGAGACTCCGTCTCAAAAAAAAAAAATTCTCTGGACTTTTGTGGGCATTTTTGTTGACTCTATGGAATTTAAAGTGTATGATAATTTATATGACCCAAATTTGAATTAATTTTACTTTTTATATCAAAAGACAAATATACAAATGGAAATTTTTAATGATTTATTATCTGAAGATATTGGCTGACTAATGTTTATTATATGGGTGCAGTTTTTGGGAATTAGTTGGATGAATGTAATGAAAGTGCATTAAGATAAAAAAAATTAATTGACCATAGGAAGAGTATTAGTTTCTCTATGGGAATGCAATAATGAATAGGAAACTATTCTTTTGACTTTATACGTGTCCAAAGTTTTTTTTAACTCCTCCCTTCAAGAGATGAAGCTTAATTACCTTCTCCTTGCATGTGGGCTGGAATTGATGACTCATTTCTATCAAATAGAAAAATGCAGAAGTAATGCTATGTGACTTTACAACTAAGACATTAAAGGCATATAACTTCTGTCTTGGCCTCTCTCTCTCTGTCTCTCTCTCTCTCTCTCTCTCTGTCTCTCTCTGTTGAATCACTTGCTCTGGGGGAAGTCAGATGCCATGTTGTGAGAGGACCATGTGCTGAAGAACTGAGGCCTTCTGGTGAGAGCCACCTAAGTGACCTTAGAAGCAGATCTTCCAACCCCAGTCAAACCTTCAGATAATTGCAACCTCAGCTAATCTCATGAGGACTATACGCTCATGAGAGACTCAGATAAATTGCTTCTAGATTTCTGACCCTCAGAAACTCTGCATGATAATACATATGTTTGGTTTTAAGCCTGTAAGTTTGCAGGTGACTTGCTACATCGTAATAGGTAATACATTGCTCTTACCTGAAAGATACCTAAAGCCTTGTTGTGGAAGAGGACCAGAGTGAGATGTTTTGAAATACTGCTTCACGCACTGTGTCACAGAAAAATGGAGAAACTGTATAACAGAAATAAAGGGTCCATAATAATTCACGCAAGGTTTGCCACATTTCAGATTGGTTATAAATTCACAGGAAAAGACCACACATGCATCCACACAAACATACACACATACAAATACACACTATAAGACTACAGTAAATTCCCAGTAAACTGAACATTCAGAGCAGGAGCAGCTACATGATAGCCAGGTAATTAATTTTTCTGCTCTATCTAAGCTCAAGAAGAAAAAAAATCACCAAGGTCTTATGGCCGTGAATATTTTATTTCTTTTACTTCCTTTTTGTGCATGTGCAAACATTATTATTTAGTATAAATAGCTCTCCATTGACATGTATATGAGACTTGGAATTTAGTGTAATTTAAAACTGAAAGACAAAATTGCTTAGAACATGAGAAGAGCGAGTTTGTGTTGTATGCTAATAGGCTTAGACTACAAATTTTTTTTAAACAAAATTTGCCTTTGGGAGAAGAATCACTTGTGATATTTGTACTAAACTCAGTATTAGAAATCCCCACATATAAGAAGATTAAATCATCATCATGCAGCAAACTACAACAATGTTAGTTGGGGACATCTGGACAATTATTCTGCTCCTCCAGAAAAGGACGTGCCTTGTCATTGCTGAATTTAAGTCAGAACCAGAAAAAATCATTATTAAAGAAAAAAAAAAAGAAAGAAACAGGGAAAGAAAGAAGGAAAGGAGGGAGGGAGGGAGGGAGGAAGGAAGGAAGGAAGGAAGGAAGGAAGGAAGGAAGGAAGGAAGGAAGGGGGGAAGGAAGGAAGGAAAAGAAAGCAAAAGAAAAAGAAAGAAAACAGAAGAAAGAAGGAAAGAAGGAAGGAAGGAGAGAAGAAAGAAAGAATAGAAGGAAGGAAAGAAAGAAAGAAAGAGAGAAAGAAAGAAAGAAAGAAAGAGAAAGAAAGCTTAAATGAGAGCTGACAGTTTATTTATATAAAATGTTTAGAATTTTTATGAAGTACCCTCATAAACTGGAACTCCAGACCTGCTAAGATAATCATGTGAATGGACAGTGTTGCCAGCATCTGCCTACCCCTTTTCAAGGTTTCTGTGGTGCTGAGATAGATGCAACTGCTCCTGCTTATTGTAGCCAGTTTATCATTGCTAAAATTACATACCCTTGGTTAATTAAATTGGGAACATACTATAACCGTTCTGTGTATGTGTGTATGTGCATGTGAATGTAGTCTTTTTCTGTAAATACCAAACAGAGATGTTCCTGACTCAGGGATATATTTTTCAACCACAGTAAAATTCATTTTGGATCCAATATTTCAAAGGTTTTGATTATTAAATATGAAAATAATGGTTTTTTACCATATCCCTCATACCTAATAATGAAAAATAGCAAGTGCTTTATAAACATTTGTTATTGCTTCTCTACACTTAAACTGAAGAAAGATAAATATATGAAAATAATACATGAATATTCTTCTCTAGATTTTACTAGAAAATTTAGAGCATTTCATTTTTAATATTACATGGAACAGATAATCTATAAATATGGCATATGGTGTATTGCTAGACAAGTATATTTACCTTCCTTTAAAAAATATTTTTACTTCTCAAACTACCCCCACGAATGCTCTCTAAGGTATAATGCTTCATATACTTCACTTTACAACCTCACACTATACTTACAAACATTAAAACATATGTAACTCTTTTAATAGGCTATGCATATTTTTTTCATTTCAGAGCTACTGACATGTTTCTGCAAATTTATAGGAAAAAATGATAAAGATAAATTAATATGTCTAATCAAGTTATGGATCAGTGATGCCTCCAGTGTGTACTCTAAAAAATATTTTTAATTAGTATTCTAATATCTAATACTCCTACAATATATTTTTCTGTTCTTTAGTCAATCCTTCTGTATACTTTAGAAACTACAGAAAGGGCTTATTGTTATTAATGAAAATGATTAAATGCATACTAGCCTATGTGCATTTGTATATTCTCTCAGAAATCAAGTTGCTTGTCACCAGGAAGAGCCCAATTAACTCTAGAAGAAAATCTAAGAAGGCAGAGCGAAAGGTGGGAGGCTGATTTGAATTTTACCCTGCCAGGAGCACACAAGAGATTCAGTTAGGAGGATTCAATTCACATACTCATTTGTCAGCAAAGGAATGTGTTTTTGTCAGTTAAAATGAACTCTAGACAAAATTAAATGCAATATTTTTGCACTCTGCATATCTATGAACTGAAGTTCAGTGATATCTGTTTTATTACAGGGAATGTCACTGAAAAATAACCCTGAAATATTTCAGGGTGGTTTTAGGTAGCTTTCCTCTTAATTTTTTTGGATACTGATGGTAAAATAGAATTATAAGAGCCATGCTTATTTACACTAACTCAATTTTCTCTTTCCTATATTTTTTTACCTTTATTATTTTCAACATGCTAACATTAAATATAGCTAAAAATAAGTAAAGTGATTAATAGCTACACCAGACAGGTGATGCATAGATAGGACATAGCCAAAAGAATCATTAGTGTTTGCTTGATTCATTCGACAAAGTTTTATTGAGTATCTACACTGTGCCAGTCATGGTGCTACCAACATAAGACACTGCAGAATGCAAAACAGACAGAAAGCATTGCTCTTTCAGAGATGACATCTGGGGAGAGGCCAACGACAATCACATAATAAATAAATGAATTATGTAATATGTTAGAAATTTATGGGGAAATTAAGCATTTTGGTTTAAGAGACTAGGAAGCAAGCTAAAGGTGAGACAGGAAATATTTATACTTAATAATTTCCAGCTGAAAGTATGATTCATACTATCAGAAAACAAAATAAAATATCCTCTAGTAATGGTTATCTTTATAATTTTCTCCTCTGACTGGGGATATGCTAAGAGTAGATGTGGGAGGAGAGCATGGAAGTGAGACTGAATTTATCTCAGACATGCATTAATTTAACAAATAATTATTGATTACCTACTATGAACAAGATATTGGGGATGCAGAGGCAGACAAAATAAACAAAATTCTAAATACATGGAACTTATATTAAGAGGAAGCCACCAAGTAAAGGAAGTAGATATGTGGTATATCAGATGGTAATACATTTGCTACTTGAAATATATCAAGGAAGTGAGATAAAGATGCAGCCGTAAGAGGCAGAGCTGAGAAAGAGTTTGAATTTTTGTATATGGTATTCAAGGAGAGCCTAAAGGAGGTATTAAAAGAAAAGAAAGTCATTCAGATATCTGAAGGAAGAATATTCCGAGGAAAGAAAACAGGAAATGCCATGTCCCTGAGGAAGGAACATATCTATTTGATTTTTAAGAAAATAACAATAAGACTAAGTTTGGCTAGAGCAGAGTGATCAACGAGGAAACAGTAGGAAGATTAAGACAGGGAGGTAACAGGAGTCCAGATATGTGGGGCATTACAAACTTAAATTTTATGTGAGTAAGTTGGAAAGCCATTAGAAGGTTTTAAGTGGTGGGATTCAACATATTTTAATAGAATGACTCAGGCATTTGTATTGAGAATATATTATTGGAAGTAGAAGATGAAATACAGAGTGATTAGTTAGGAGGCTAATACAATTATCTCAGATAGGGAAGATAGTGGCTTTGACCAGGGTATAGAAGTGAAAGAATTGGTCAAATGCTGCATATACTTTGAAGAAAGAACAGGATTTGCTGACGATTTTAATACAAAGTATGAGAAAAAATCCAGGAAACAAGGATGACTATGAGGTTCCTAACCTATACAATTGACAATGTGACAGTACTCATTATTAAAAATAGAAGATTGTAGAAGAAGGAGTTTTAAACTTGAAATTTAGGTTCCTATTATATATTTAATTGGAATTATCAAGAAAGCAATTAAATATGAATCTAAAGTTTAAGGGGCATATAGAAGTTAGCAACATAAATTTAGATTTCATCAACAGTAGATAACATTTAAGGCCAAAAGATAATATGAGACCACAAAATTGAATGTGTGCCCCCAGAGAAGAGAACGCATATAAAGACAAGTCCTATGGAGCCCAATTTTAAAAGATGAGAGAGATGAGGAAGAACCAGCAAAGAAAAAAAAAGTAAACATTTAAAAAAAAGGGTGGCCACAGAAGTAAATGAAACTGAAACATTTTTACTGTCCATAAGTCAAGAGAATGAGTGTTTCAAAGAAGAAAGGGTACACACTAAAATTTCTCCATCAGGATTAACAATTACCTCTGTGTAGCTAATTCCAACGGTCAATTATTGGTCCTCATGATATTTGACCTATCACTGGTAAATTATCATGTCATTGATAATTTGCTTTTTTATCCAAGAACCTCCTTAGTCTCATGGGAAGAAGATAAACTTGAGTTAGTCGAGTAAACCTGGACAGATGTGAAGGCATAATAATAATTATTTTCTTTTTTAGTACAGGGGCTCAGTTAACTTCACTTTCATCTGATGTCCTCAGGCTGTAGAATTAATAATAGCGCTTAATTATTATGTGTAAGCATAAATCAATCACAGAAAAGGTAGGAAAACAGTCAGAAAGAACTTACCCACTATCGGAACAAAGAGAAAGTCCCAACAAACTTTCCCACATTAAGTAAGAGAAAGAAGAAAATAAATGAAATGGCTACTATACAAAAGTGAATTGGAAGGAAAAAGAAATAGGAAGCCATGGAATGAAGATGAGGAAGGTGAGGCAAAAGCAAAAGGAATATGTGCAGGAGGAAAAAGAGCTAAAAGGAAGTCTAGTATGTGGTCACTGATGAATGAGGAAGAGATGGTGGGGAAGATGAAGAGAATACAGCCTGCAAAATGATCAAATAATCTAATCTAGAAGAAAACGAGAGGAATCAAATAAGAATAATCTGAAAGTGTTCATTATAAGAAAGTACTTTAAAGAAAACATTATTCTGTGAGATAAATTTTTTGAAAAATAATGAGTTGTGAAAACAAAAGAATTATAAAGTGAGAGTGCAGTAGAAGGATGTCAACTGAGAACCAAAAGAAACTACAAATAATAATTAGTGGAACAGAACAGAAAAGAGAGGCTCAAAGTCTAAATTAGTGCCTTAGAGGAAAGTCTAAGAAAATCATTTTGAATTCAGGGAAAAAGTGTAAAGAAACTGATTTTATAAGAAAGAAAAAGGATACCTAACAAAAAAGATGCTGTACATAATAATAATTTACTCCTTAAAGTAGAGAAGAGAAAAAAAAATTATAAAAATAGAACAGAAATTTATTCATTAGACAATACAATGTTTTTCTAAAAGAAAAAATACAAATCTGCTTATTGAAATGGTATGCACTGTTTCACGAAGAAAAAAAAAGATATAGAAATACCCAGACATATGCTAGTGAAGTTACTAAACTTCAAAGATAAAGGATTCTTGAGACATTTTAGCAGAAATATCATGCTTCTAACAAATAAAGATTAAAAATATCAGGCCAGCCTCAGACTTTCAAACTTTTTTCGTTGACACATCCAGTGCTAGAATGTGATAGAGCAGTTTACACAAAGTTCTGAGAAAAATAAAGAGCAATGCAAGAATGTTTATTATAGAAGCTGTCATTCAAATCTAAAGCCACTAGCAGACATTTTCATACATATCATAAAACCAGTGAGACTCAATGAAGGATCTAGGCACAGAGGTTAAAAAAAAAAATCTACATTATACTTATTCTATGTTTGAAAAATCCAGCCAACCAAATGCTGATTAGAAAAACCATAGTAGAGCACTTTTACTCACTGGAAATCAGGATTTATTCTAAAACCAAAATTAAACTACTGCAGGAAGATAAATGTTATATATGTTGACAAATTCCAAAATAAAAATGTAAAAGATTAGGAAAGGTGAATGGGAAAAATATATGCACTTATTTCCATATCTTTATTAATTAGATTTTCTCTATATCTGTATGAATGAGGATTCAAACAGCATTGAATTTAGTAATTAAGAAACAATTTGTGTATGTTATTTAAAGTTATGCTAAAGGAACCAAGAGATTCTAACACATATTAGGAGATCCTAACACGTACCAGGAGATTAAGAAGGGAAAATAAATTAAGTATATTCTGTCAACTTTTGACTTCCCCAAACATCTGCCAGAAAAGTAGATATTGATGTTTAGCAACCAATTTTATTTATCAAACTTACTACAGATACTGCTTTGACAGAACTTAAGTAATGTCTCAGAAAAGAAAAGTCAGATTTAAGGCCTGGACTGGATGATATAAGGTAGTCTTGCAAGGCACGGAATTATTTGGATCAGGTAAAGTTTTTGATATGAAATTTTGTATTGTTTGCTGGGTGCAGAAAGGTAAGAGTCTTGTGAGTTTGATGAGCAAGCTGCTAATTTTGATAAGAAAATTGTTTAGGTTGGTTCACAATCTTATCTTTGAAAAGTAAATATTTCCTGGAGCAAGCATATAAGTAATTTTTGCCTAAGGCCTATATTGCCTGACACACAAAAAGAAAAGCATGTTATGTGCTAGAATTATTTAGTAGAGAAACAGTAAAGTATCTCTGGGTTAGAATTTCTGAGCAGAGAATAGAAAAATATACTGGTTTTAGTTCTCCATCTCCTCTTTCGTTATCCTTTAGCTTAGAAAGGAGGGGAAATCATTATCACCTGGGGATATAATCAATCCAATCTGCACTGGTTTTAATGTGTAATGGTCACATGTAGAGTTCCTGGTGGTAACTGTTCCAATATCTCTAAGTGTTATGTTAGATTTTCTTTTACTTTTCTTTTTTCTTTTGTTTTGAGTACATTTATTAGATCATGTTATGAAATAGCAGCTATGACTGAATTAAAAAATTTGGAGATCAAACATTTGAGCAGTGAAACAGACTAAGATATGAACAGATCTTGCAGTTTGTTTCTAATCCAGAAGCCAAGATACCGAAATAAATTAAGCAAAAAGAATTTTGATATGAAAAATCTACTGACCCATGTACAGGGCTAAGCCTAATTATTAATTCCATAATTTTATTGTTTGTTTCACAGACCCTTTTTGCAATATTAAACATTCCAGACAAGCCTATGAGGTTTTAAGTACAACATTGTTTTCCTAAAATTGTTAATATTCTACTGTGAATGGCTTGCATTTTATGTAAAATGACTCTATTTTGAACGACCTGTTCTATTACATTAAATTCTTTCAAGCATGAAGTTCTATGGCCTTAATTACAGTGTACAATCCTCCTGCTATTTCTGTAAATCATAGCATGTAAAACTCTTCCTATGTTTTGATCTTCTGTAATTTGTGAAATGAAGACACTTAGAGCAGAAGACAAGAGTCCTAATTTCCTCTCTGGTGGTTAAAATTTTGAATTTACACTTTAAGTTTTTATCTTCTTGAATCAAATTATACAAATACCTTAAGTTAAATTATTTGATATTTGGTGAGCCAAAATGAATCTCCATTACAGTAGGGACTATCTCTAAAGCAGGCATCAGTTCAATAAAATTACACATTACTCCTCAATTTGTAGAAGTAGGTACAATAAATTTCCCCCCCACAAATCTAATACCAGTGTTTAGAGGCAATTCAATTATTTATTTTTGGTACAGTTATTCCTATGAGATTTTCAAATACTGTTTCAATGTTTTGCTATCATATATGAAGAATAGTTCAGTGTCAGTTGTCGAAATTTATACGACAGGGATCATCATGTAAATCTAACAAAAACTGCTTTTGGCTGTACCTAGTTAGTTTGACTTTATTTTAAAGTTTAAACATTAGCCTCTGATCATGCCTCTTATGTTCCCTAACTGTTTATCAAAGTCCATTTCTCTGAAAGTTTGGTTACAAATCTAGTTCATATAAAATGTACCCAGTTGTTTCTGTGGAGAAAGGAAACTCTCTTTTGGGGTACAATTTGATTCAGTGTTCATATTTCTGAACTATTTATTTTTTGTATCATCTGAAAAGTCACTTAGTGGTTGAGTTCATCCATTCGGGAAACCAAGTTAATTTTACGAAGAACTTGGATCAAAGGAAGATGGGTGACATTCAAAGAAAAGTGAGTACAAACCCAATGGTAGGTTTAATTGTATATTTTAGCCAAATTATGAGCAAATTATAGCCAGACTATTTGTCTCATACTAAAGCGTTACTAATGATGCAAAAAAGTAACATCAGGTTTATAACTCTATTAAACAATTATAGTACTTACGTAACAGGTAGTGACTGAGATTAAACAAGAATAAAGGACAGAGTAGGATTTGCCCTGATGGTGTCAAGTCAGATAATGGAGCCATGGCTCTTAGTTTGGGGAAGAGTGTTGGGAAGATGTCTGGGGCTCCATCTTAAATCCAGTCAATTATGTCAAGGTGTGCTAGAGAGGAGTTTTCTTATAATTGGCATTTTCTGTGGTCTGGAGGTGAGCCAATACAATCTTTTATTTGCCAAACACTTTACATGCATTATCTCTTCGGTTACTCACTACAACTGTGTCAAGGGTCCCAAAGATTATACTTAGACTCAGTGATTTGCTAGAAGGACTCACAAGATTCAGATGCTGTTATACTCATGGTTATGGTTTATTATTGCGAAAGGGTACAAGTAGATTAAAATCAGCCAAGGGAAAAGTTACATGGGACAATGTGCAGAAGAAACAAAGTACAAGTTTCTAAAAGCCCTCTCCCAGTGAAGTCATACAGATGTTTCATTCTTCCATTAATGATGTGTGACTACATGATGTAATGTGTTGTCAAGTAGGGAATCCCACTTGAGCCTTGGTATCTAGAGTTTTCCTGGGGTCAGTCATGTAGGAACACACCACCTGCATGACTGACCTCAACTACTAATACTCTAACACACCAAAGCAAAAACAGGAATTCACTATAAATTATATTAGTTTGCAAAAACTATCTAATCCATCAGGTACAAAGCGGCCCAAGACCTCATTCACACATATAAAATATCTTACCAAGCATAATATTCCAAGGACTCAGTGCTCATCTACCAGAAGCTGGCCAAGGGATATTCCTAAAGAATGTCCTTCCTTGAAAATTTGCAGAATCTGAGCAATACAGACCTGCTGAATAATTCCTTTCCTGCATAACAGCCTTATGAGATAGTTATAGTTCTGGAGTTCAACTGTGGATTGAATTCAAGGATTCCTGGAAATTGAATGGGAAAAAATTAATCTCATTGTCTTTAATCACTCATCTCTAATTAAAATGGCGCATTTTTTCAAATTTGAATATGTTCAAAAATTTGATAAACTTGGCTGGGCAACACATCCTTTCAGTGTCACATGGGGGCATGTTATATAGGCAAAGGTTCTTAGTTTATATTAGGCTCCCAGGCTTCAATTGTAAAGTTTTTTTTTTTTTGAATAGTGTATTTTTGGTGAAATGTAAATAATTTCTGTACAGTGGAATAAATTGCCCTACAGATTAATTAACTCATTAGACAATAACTAGTATTATATCTAACATAAGCATTATATTTTTTCATATATTTTCTAGTTTTGCCTATGCTCTTTGAATTAGTTATAAAATCCTACTGTTTCCCTCATTAATTAATTAGTTCAATAAAATCTTTGTTCATTTTATGTTTGTATGAGAGTCATGATTTTACTTTTGTGAAAATTATTCTCTAACAATTATAAACAAACCAGCTTTATTGCTAGTTCCTATAACTTTGCAAGAAAGAGAAATCAAGCAGATATTTTCTTTTTTCATTTTTCTTTTTTTTCTTTAGTTTTACTTTAAGTTCTGGGATACATGTGCAGAACGTGCACGTTTGTTACATAGGTATACACGTGCCATGGTGGTTTGCTGCACCTATCAACCCACCATCTAGGTTTTAAGCCCCACATTCATTAGCTATTTGTATTGATGTTCTCCCTCCCCTCTCCTCCCGCCCCCACTGACAGGCCCCAGTGTGTGTTGTTCCCCTCCCTGTGTCCATGTGTTCTCATTGTTCAGCTCCCACTTATGAATGAGAACATGTGATGCTTGGTTTTCTGTTCCTGTGTTAGTTTGCTGAGGATAATGATTCCAGCTTCATCCATGTCCCTGCAAAGGACATAAACTCATTCTTTTTTTTATGGCTGCATAGTGTTCCATGGTGCATATGTGCCACATTTTCTTTATCCAGTCTATCATTGATGGGCATTTGGGTTGGCTCCAAGTCTTTGCTATTGTAGATGGTGCTGCAATAAACATATGTGTGCATGTGTCTTTAGGGTAGAATGATTTATAATCCTCTGGGTATATAAGCAGTAATGAGATTGCTGGGTCAAATGGTATTTCTGGTTCTGGATCCTTAAGGAATCACCACACTGTCCACTACAATGGTTGAACGAATTTACACTCCCACCAACGGTGTAAAAGTGTTCCTATTTCTCCACAGCCTGTCCAGCATCTGTTGTTTCCTGACTTTTTAATAATCACCATTCTAACTGGTGTGAGATGATATCTCATTGTGGTTTGGATTTGCATTTCTCTAATGACCAGGGATGATGAGCTTTTTTTCGTATGTTTCTTGGCCACATAAATGTCTTCTTTTAAGAAGTGTCTGCTCATGCCCGGCATGGTGGCTCAGGCCTGTAACCCCAGCAATTTGGGAGGCCGAAGTGAGTGGATCACTTGAGGTCGGGAGTTTGAGACCAGCCTGACCAACATGGAGAAACCCCATCTCTACTAAAAATAAAAAAATTAGCCAGGCATGGTGGCACATGCCTGTGACCCCAGCTGCTCAGGAGGCTGAGGCAGGAGAATTGCTTGAACCCGGGAGGTGGAGGTTGCCATGAGCCGAGATTGTGCCATTGTACTCCAGCCTGGGCAACAAAATCGAAACGCCATCTCACAAAAGAAAAAGAAAAAGAAGAAGCAGTGTCTGTTCATATCCTTTGGCCACTTTTTGATAGGGTTGTTTTTTTTTTTCTTGTAAATTTGTTTAAGTTCCTTATAGTCTGGATATTAGACCTTTGTCAGATGAGTAGCATGCAAAAAGTTTCTCCCATATTTTCATACTGTATTATGTTTATTTTCATTTATTAGAATAGCATTTATCTCTACATTAAGCTCTGGTTATTAGACATACCTCTATATCATCATTTTAAGCACTGAAGTAGTACCATATTAGTGTATCGATAAAATAATATTTATTATTTCTATACATGTATTTAATTTTTTGTAATTATAGGAATTCTGTGTCCTCTTAGAATATGTTGCATGTTTATCTAGCATCCCTCACTTCTGCATATAGCACTTTCCCTCTTTTGAAGGATTTTTTCTTCACTCCAACTTTTCTTTTCATTCCAACTCTGAATAATAAGGGTTTCAGAGGTGAGAACGTTATCCAATTCACGCACTTCAGTGTTATTCATAACATGTTTTGTACTAGAATTAAGTACAAAGAATTTTTTTCACTGGGAAGAAAGGTGTCTTATCAGGAGTGGTCAGTGAGATAGGAGAGAGACTAGTGTGTTGTCTCAGACAAATGATGAAGGAAAAAATTATCTGTCAAGTGCTGCTTGCTG
Source organism: Homo sapiens (assembly GCF_000001405.40). Lineage (NCBI taxonomy): Eukaryota > Metazoa > Chordata > Mammalia > Primates > Hominidae > Homo > Homo sapiens. Next base: position 55,790 of record NW_025791754.1, read on the forward strand.
ACAGATCAAGATGAGGGCTGCATACTGACTTTTAATTTATCAATACAGAGATCAATGGTATCATGACAAGAGCTATTTTAATGTAGTGGTGAGAGCAAAAGAAGAATAGGTTGAACAGAAAATGGAAGGAGAAGAATTGAGAACAGGAAGCATGGATAACTTTTTCAAAGAGTTTTGTTGTCAGAAAGTGTAGAGAAATTAGACATTAACTAAATAAGTAATTAAGTTGAGAAGGCTTTTTTTTTTTCAATTTGTAAAGGTGTTCTCCTACCTTTATAAATGCTAATGGGAATAGTTAAGTAGAGAGTAAAAATACCACTGGAGAAATGTTCTTGGGTAGAAGTTAAAAAAAAAAGGGAATACATCATAAAAATAAAGGCATGGTCTGAATTGGGAGAAGATATAATTTATCAATTGCAAAAGAAAAATGGACAGAGTGTACAGATATATATTATCAAAGATATGCTCCTGAGATACTTTGAAAGTTATATGTTGTGGGCTTCCCTCAGTTAAATAAGATGCAAGGTCATCAGTTGGGACTGAGGATGAGGGAGAAAGCACTAGGGTATTGAAAACAGACTCTGATATAGTCCTTTAGGAGAATAGGAAACAAAAACACTAGAGAATGGTAGTATCATTTCTAGGAACATTAAAGAAACGCTTGAAATTTGGAATGAATTACAAATTTAAAGTGAAGCCAGTCAACACATGTTTTACATAGGATAAACTAGTCTCTGCAGCAGTAATAAACAACTTTCTGTTCTCACTAGCCTTAAGCAACCAAGTTGATATCTCACTCATTTTATATGTCTTTAGGTTGGTGGTATTGGGTGTGGTGGTGCTGGGGTTGTGTGTGTGTGTGCTCTGCTCCACATGGTCATTCAGGGACCTAGGCTGATGAAGCCTTTTTCTAACTATGAGTCTGGGAAAGAGAGTACTGAGGCTTATGCACAGGATCTTAAATGCTTCATCTAGGAAATAATACATGGTCACAGAGCATTGACAATACTAGTCCCTTGTCCTGAATAAACTACAAAGAGGCCGGAAAATATGGGAGAGCACATGAATGGACAATGAGCAGAAAAGCCCTCTATATCTGTGGGTATATGTCACCATATAAAATAGTCACAGATGAAGAGTTGAACTTAACTAGTGTTACCAAGGATTTTCAGTTGAGTATAATAACAAAAGAAATTAACAAGAAATTTAAAGATACATATAAGAGGGCTATTAAAATGATTAAGTGTAAATATTTAAGCATGGAAAAGAAGAAAGAGACATTACAAGGGATGTGAGGGATGGTGAATAGACAGCAGCTATGGGGTAGGGGTGGGGGTGGTCCATGGGTTACTGTGTACATATTTCTAGAGTGAGAAAGCTAGAAAGATTGAGGGTCAATCACAGTGTGGAATCTATGTAAACTATAGAAAAGTTTCTTGTGTCTTAGTGGAAAACTTTGCACCACCTATAACATGCCCTTACAAGTTGTCTGATTCTGGTCCTTTTCATTGTCTTTGACCTATATTGTAACTATTTGTAAAAGTTGTATGCAACTGAGAGATATGTACATTAAGTCTTCTTTGATAGTGATTTGGGTGATTTCCTCTCTTCGGTGGAAAAAGTTTTCTTTTTTTCCATTTGCAAATTCATCTCAGCATTCCTTTACTCCAGTTACAACATCTGCCTGGATTCCTGATAGCATAGAAGTAAAATAAATTCTTTAACACATGTTTATTTTCATATCTCTTCGAAAGTCATGACTTTATCTTTTTCAGAAAATTATCTTTCAACAGAAATGAGATTCTGAAGGCTTTTTTCACTTATTAATACTGAAAATTTCTAAGATATGATCATAAGAATGAGTGGCTGAGGAGTGGTGGAGGATAAGGTCTTTTTAGGAGAGGAGATCTAAAAATTATGCAGTCACAGAGTTGGAATGTTCATCTATTACATATTTAGATCACCAAAAATTAAACAGGAATTTTGTTGAGGAATCCAATGCTAATCCAGAAGCTAAAATATTTAAGAAATGGAGGCAAGGTTTATAAATGGCGTGTGGCAAAAAACAGGAATAATAGTTGGTGGATTGCATTCATCTGATCACATGAGATTCAGAATTGGAGGGAGTGATTCAGGAAAGAGGGAGGAAAACATACCTAGAAGCAGCCATGAGTATCAAGGAGAGGACCAACCTCACTGTTAGGCCTAGTGGAATAAGAAATATGAGAGAGCAAATGAGACATTATTCAATATTCAGGAAATATAGTTTCCTAAGGAGAGATATGAGTTCCTTTTAAAGAAAGAAAGTAAAGAGAATTTGCAGAGAAGAAGTTGAAAATATACAACTTTTTGCTGATACTGGAGAAATCGTTGCTAAGGGCACGTACAGTCAAATGGATTCAGAAGTTGAGGGTAATGGGAGGTGGATGCTTATAGGCAGAGTCAGATGTAGATTTGAGTGTGGAAACAGAGGACTGACATGGGATTAAATGTGGTAACTGAGACAAAGAAGAGGAAAGGGCACATGGGATACTCCTGACCCTCAGATTAACTCCTCAACAGACACTCACAGGCAAACACATACCAGTGAATATCAGTATCCCACAAAGAAAGTTAATTTTCAGAGACAGTGGCAAGTTAATTCCATATTTAGGGGAAAAATAACAATCCTGGTTGTACATTAGAATGATTTAAAGATCCTTAAATATATATAAACATCCAAGATCTCCCTTCAGAGATTCTGATTTAATGGATTTAGAATGAGGCCTGAGCATCAATATTTTTAAAAAGCTCCCTGGGTAATTCTAACCAGCAACAAGAACGTGATCCACTGGGCTATAGTTACAACTCACGTGCCTTATCAAAATATTTAATATCTAAATCATATTAGCACTTTATTACTGTTCTCTCTATGCCTGGAATGCCGCTGTATTAGTTCATTTTCACACTGATGTAGAGAATTACCCGAGACTGGGTAATTTATGCAGAAAAAAGGTTTAATTGACTCAGTTCAGATGGCTGAAAGGCATCAGGAAACTTATAATCGTGGTGGAAGGTGAAGGGGAAGCAAGGCACATCTTACATGGTGGCAGGAGGAGAATGAGGTAAGTGCCACACTTTAAAACCATCAGATCTCATGAGCACTCACTCACTATCATGAGAACACTATCATGAGAACAGCACGGGGGAAACTGCCATCATGATCCAATCATATCCCATCAGATTCCTCCCTCAACTGGTGGGGATTACAGTTCCAGATGAGATTTGGGTGGATACACGGGGCCAAATTTTTCTCAGCCAAACCATCAATGGCTGGGAATGGTGTCAAGTACTGTGATCTCAGCTGGGATGGGAGGAAATCCAAGGCAGCAGGACTGGGTATCAGCTCTCAATGTCTCAAGTAAGGTTGCTATGGTTACCCTCAAAGGCATCAGATGGATGTCATGATCGGATCTCAAATAAAATTTCACTGGCAGTAGTTAAATTCTGTTTTATAAAGGAATAAAACTAGTTGATAGGCAACCCATCAACATTTTCCTTGATTTGTAGAACCTGAGTCATATAACCATGAGAGTCATCGATCTTTATTCCACTCTCATATCTGAAGGAAATTATAGAATCATCAGAGTTCCTTAAATGGAAGAGAGGCCCAGGTCACCTTGAGGAAGGTCATTGCTGTTACACTGGAGATCAGATGGCAAAACGAATTTCCACGCAGAGCCTACATCATTATTAGCCCAGTGGAACACGGGAATAATTGAATGTTTATTATTTCCTACTGTCAGGCTGTCTGGTTAAAGTACTTTTAATTTATTTTACTTGCCATTACTATCTTGGTATCCCCCGTTAACACCACTGACCAAGCAACTTACTTCAAAGTAAAAAAAAAAATGAAGATAAGCATATTTGTTTCCTTGGGCTGTCACAACAAATGACCACAAAAGTGGAGGTTTATGACAAGAGAAGTTTATTCTCACAGCTCTGGAGGCCAGAAGTGAGAAATCAAGTTGTCAGCGAGATGTACTCCTTCTGGAGACTCCATGGGAGAATCTGTTCCATGGCTTTCTCCCAGCTTCTGGTGGTTGCTGGCAGTCCTTGGCGTTTCCTTACTTTTTTCTGCATAACTGCCTTTATTGTCACATGAGGTTCTCATTATGTGTCTGTGTACAAATATGTCTCTTCTTAAAAAGACAATAGTCCTATCAGATTTGGCACCCACCCTAATGCAGTATGACTTCATCTTAACTTGATTACATTACAAATACCCTATTTTCAAACAAGGTCACATTCATAGGTTCTCTGTGGACATGGGTTTGGGAGATATTATTAAATCCAGTACAGTAGTCCAATATCTATAATATTTAGTGGTATTATATACCTTGTGGCCCAGAAGCACAGGCCTTAGAGAGCTATGGGTTGTATATTGGATATTCAGATATAGGGTCACATTGACAGCAATGTCTTTCAAATTTTGGGTGCTATATTGGAAAATGTGATGTATCATGTCAACCAGTAGCCAATATATGATTTTATTTCTACTATAGCCAGAAAACTTTGCTTTGAATACCAAGAGATGGCGTTGAAGGTGGTTCTTTTCAGAATTACATGTAATGACACATTTTTGAAAAAAGAAAGAGAGAGGATGAGAAAGGTAGAATAGTTTTTCTTTCTATTTTATCTAGGCTTTTCTGATTTAGAGACTTTAGCGTCTGAGGGGTGAAACTAGAGAAGAAATGGATATCATCCAGTGATCCCGAATTTAGAGTTGGATGAGTGAATTAGAAAAGTGTGTTCTCTTTGGGCATATAAATTAATTATTGGTGTATCAATTACCTTTTGCTATATAATAAATCAGTTCAAAACTTCACAGCTCACAACAACAAATGTTTATTTTTTTTCTGATTATGTAGGACAGTTGGTGGTTATTCTGGTCTCAGCTGTCTTAGATAATTTCTGTGGTCACTTGGAAGATTGGTTGATATCCAGTGGTCTATAATGGCCTCAATAACTTGTTTGGTAAGAAGTTTGGTCTCTTTTTTATGTGATCTCGAATTCTCAAGATCAGCCAGCCCTGGTCTCACAGAGAGCAAAAAGTCTTAAATCACAATAAATAAGCCTTTTCACAACCTCTACTTTCATCTTGTTTGCTACTGTCCCATTGGCCAAAACAGTTAACAGAAAGGGGAGACTCAATACAGAGGGAACCACCAAATGATGTGAATACAAAAAGAATTACTATGGTTCTTTTTGAAAAACAAAACAAAACAAAACAAAACAAAACTATCACAGTTTTTTTAAACTGACAAAAACACATTTTTCTTATACAAAAGAGGAATTTTTAGATAGATATGGGGGCTTACGCTTCAAACTTAATAATAAAGAGGCAGGCTTGGAAAACAAGCAAGAATCAATGAGGATCCTGAAGTTTGGTAGGACAATGATCTAGCCAGAATAGTACTACTGTATACTGCATCCACTGCTAGACGTTTTATTTTGTTGAATACTGCAAATGGACATCACTGATGCTTTTGTAAGGCATCACAAATCAATTTGAACCACCTCTTCATCTTCACTTTGTCAGCTCCAGATTAAAACCTTAGATGTAGGTAAGCCTAGATTATTGAAAATGAAAGAGTGAGGATTTTCTATCTTCACTTTCTGTAGTGGAGGAAGGACATTGCATGCCACTAATTCTAACAATTAATAGAGAATTACTCTATAACAGGAAGGGCAGATACTGAAATGCCACTCACACACACTTTCAAAACACACATACATATAATGTGCATAACAGGGAATAGTGTGTTCATTTGCATTGTATTAAAATGATTCAATCTTTAAGGTCTAGGAATTAATATCTTGAGAATAGTAGCACAAGGTGGACCGAAAAATTGGACCTTTTTTTTTTTAATACCACTTTTGCATCATGGGAAGAGATTCCTGACTTCTCAGAAGTTTGCTTTATTAGATTTTCCTTAGCTATGGTTAGCTATACATGTAAATACATTTTTGCAACCCATGATCTTATACAGAAACTGAAGCAGAAAGATAACAAGGCAATTATATGTGTAGAATTAATGAGATTTGCATCCCCTGCCATTGTCCACTTTGTTCTACATGTGCACGTCAGTGATGTCGTTTGTATTAGGACTGAACCAATAGATTTTAATTTCAAATATTTCCCTTTCTACATAATGGCTTCAAAACCACTGGATTAGTTTTTCCCTGTTCTCTAGCTGCAGTTTGTTACTCTAAATTGAAAATACTTTTAATGTAAAATAATGTTCTTACTTTTTCTCCCCTATTCCTATCCCTCAATGCTTTCTCTCCATGCTGATTGGCACACATATATGTTTGAGAAAAGAAATTAGAAGGTTGCATTTCTTAAATAATATGTGGACACACAGAATATAACCAGTTTATAAGGCCTAATTTCTGAATTATTAGGTATTCTTTGATATCTAGAGTTTATAATGCAATGCCCCATTGGTAATCAACAAGTATTTCCCAAGATCAATATTCTAGGAGGCTGGGCACAGTGGCTTAAGCCTGTAATCCCGGCACTTTGGGAGGCTGCGGTGGGCAGATCACTTGAGATCAGGAGTTCGAGACAAGCCTATAATCTTATGAGGAGCAGTTTAGCTGTCACTTGTCTTATCTTAGCCCATTCACTCTGTTTCCATATAAGCTTCTCTTTTAGCTAAACTCGCCCAACATGGAGAAACCTTGTCTCTACTAAAAATACAAAAAATTAGCTGAGTGTGGTAATCCCAGCAACTCAGGAGACTGAGGCAGGAGAATCACTTGAACTCAGGAGGCAGAGGTTGCAGTGAGCCGAGATCGCACTACTGCGCTCCAGCCTGGGCAACAGAATGAGACTCTGTCCCAAATAAATAAATAAATAAAATAACCTAGGGCTTTGTGTGGATAGTCATGGTCCCTGACTTCAGGAATTTTAGTCTATCAAGAAAATCTAGCATTAAACAGATGTAGGTGGGTAGCAGTTTCTCCATTTCCCCTACCACAATTATTTTAAGTTAGAGGAAAATCAAATTGTATTAACATGATGTTGAGTGCTTCACCTGGGAGCTGCTTTTTTCATGTCATCTATTCTTTCTCAGCTGCCTGTTTTGCCTTGAGACACTGACTATTTTATTGCTAAGCATCCCTTTATTCTCCAAATATCAATTAGACAGGATTCTATAAATAATAGAATTTATTGAAGGTTTAAGTTGATAAGAGGGGAGGAAGCAGGTACCCTGAAGTATACCACAGCACATAAACAAAAACAATTAATCCACTGGGCACGGTGGCTCACACCTGTAATCCTAGCACTTTGGGAGTCCGAGGCAGGTGGATCACCTGAGGTCAGGAGTTCGAGACCAGCCTGACCAACATGGGGAAACCCTGTCTCTATTAAAAACACAAAATTAGCTGGGCGTGGTGGCACATGCTTGTAGTCCCAGCTACTCAGGAGGCTGAGGCAGGAGAATCACTTGAACACAGGAGGCGAAGGTTGCGGTGAGCCGAGATTGTGCGATTGCACTCCAGCCTGGGCAAAAAGAGCGGAACTCCGAAACTCAGTCTCAAAAACAAACAAACAAACAAACAAACAAACAAAGTCTTTTTTTTTTTTTTTTACCACCTCCTGGCACTAAAAGCTTTTCTAGTCAAAGCTCCTCTACAGTTGACTAGGCTTCTCACCTGGGAAATGGTGCTTGGACCTCCTGTCTCATGATATCTTCTCACTGGACTTAGTTCTCTTTCTATGCTTTAAATCTCTCCTATAATCTTATGTGTAGTTCAGCTGTCACTTGTCTTATCTTAGCCCCTTCGTGCTGTTTCCATATGAGCTTCTCTTTAAGCTAAACTTGCCCAATAGTGTATTTCTAAACAAAACATACATTCTCTCCCTGAGAGTCTTTCCAACCAGATTTTAAAATTTTGTTTCTTCTCTATTGATCAAATACTACATTATAATACTGTTACTAATAACACAAGTACACATCGGAGCAAAAAGCTGTGAAGAGGCATAGGATACTATGAGGGTATATAAAGGAAATATTTAGTTGTATATTATCATTAGTGAAGATATTTGAGACCGTCCTTGAAAAGTACTTACTTATTTCAACAGTGGTTCTTGATAGGTATTTTTGCATAACTGAATGAATAGTTAGAATGACAAGAAGATCATACCTATTTATTAGGCCTGATAATCACTTTGGTTCTTATTCTAAGAGTAATAAAAGGCCTGTGGATGATTTTAACTAAGAATACATTAAAATCTTTGAACAATCTTTCTGAGCATAATTTGGAGAAAAGAATGGAAGCAGGAAAGATGGAGTTTGGGAGGTTTATCTGAGAAATGCAGAATAAGGCTAACATCCGAGTTCACTGGTCCAGAAAGGCAATGGTGAGACTGGATCTGAGAGACATTTAGGAAGGAAAATCACAAGAAATGACAACGAATTGATGGACAGAAGGTGTGGTAAAGGAGAAGAGGGAAATTCAAGATGAATCTCAGGTTTGCCCTTTGGGGAATTTTTTTCTCTACTAGGATAAAATAATAGCCTTGTGTTTATACCCTGTGAGCAGGCGGTAATCCGATTGGTGTGATGAACAATAGGTATTGTCAGCTGAATAAAATTTTAAAAATTTTCAGCAGAGACCTATTTTTGAGCTGCTAAGGGCCTCATGACAATTTTTTTTTTTTTTAGTTCATGAACTCATAAAACCACATAAAGTTGCCACATAATAATTGTGGGTGTCCGTATCTGGGGTGTCTGTATCTACAATAATTTTTTTCTGCAGAAATAATTTCCAGTTTCATCACCCAGTTACCATTGTCAGTTGTTTCATGCTCCTAAAAGTCAGTTGGAATGAATCCTTGTTCCAAGAGCAAGCTTAATAACTTGTTTCCTTCAGCAAAGATTCCTATGCATCATCTCGTTAAAAAATGGACACAGGCAAAATTCATTTGTCTTGGCTCTCAGAGCACCATTCCTGCAATGTTACAAAACAGGGGAATTGCTGCTGAGTGACCAGCCACCTTTTCATATGGTCAACATGCCCTGCCATTTAGCTCCTGAATGCTTGAGGGTCAAGTAGCCATCTCTGTAGAAGTGAGTGCAATGCAGCATAGCAGGATGCAAGGTGTGCCAATTACAACACAGACATGTCTAGAGAGGTGGTCAATATTTTCACACACATCCGTGTGAAGAGACCACCAAACAGGCTTTGTGTGAGTGATAAAGCTTTTTAATCATCTGGGGGCAGACGGGCTGAGTCCGAAAAGAGAGTCAGCGAAGGGAGATAGTGATGGACCGTTTTATAGGATTTGGGTAGGTAGTGGAAAATTACAGTCAAAGAGGGTTGTTCCCTGGCGGGCAGGGGCGGGGGACACAAGGTGCTCAGTGGGGGAGCTTCTGAGCCAGGAGAAGGAATTTCACAAGGTAATGCCATCAGTTAAGGCAGGAACCGGCCATTTTCACTTCTTTTGTCATTGTTCAGTTACTTCAGGCCATCTAGATGTATACGTGCAGGTTTGGGTCCAGAGGCCTGACAAATATTGTATACACAAAATAAATTACTCACCCGTGATCATCATCTGTATCCTGTAGTTTATTCTATGATATTGGAAGAGTTACAGAGAAACAATTGATTTTAGACTCTGATGAAAATTGGCTTCTATCTATGATACGAAAAGATGTTAAATTACTTCACCAAGTTGCTTCGAGGCTATATGGATTTGGTAATTGCTTTGGTGGTTATTTGATATAAAGAAGTAAACAAATGGAGAGTGTTAGAGAATACTGAAAGATATCAGGGAAGCTTGAAAAATTGCTCTGAAAGTTTAAATTATTATGAGTTTAAATGATTATGAGGGCAGATCTTGTCAATATTTTTTAATATTGACTAAGAAAAACTTTAAAAATATTACAGGAACTACTTCAGAATACTAAACCATCATTCATGCAGATTCCTAATAATACATTTTCAATGGTTTCTTACTTTCAGCCAAACTCAAGAAAAAAAATGACAGTATAGCCCTCAAATCCCAAAATAATATTTTAACAAAATAAAATTATTTTATTAAGTGATTTTAAATTTCAGTAATAAATGTCACAACTATATTGATAATTAGGTAACACATTTTCACCAGACAGATTTCTTATCTTGAAAAATATGTGACCTGAAAATTTTATATTTCAAAATGATCAGAGGACCATCTCCTCTTTGGCTAATTTAGGCTTTTGAGTTTGTAACAGTGACTCAGAAGTAACTGACTACTTCTTTTTTTTTCTTCTTAAATTAGGTTGCAACTTGATTCTAGTACAAGAATAAATCTTAACATCACTAAACTGAGAAATGAGGATTGCCCACATTAACTAACTTAGAGGATGCTGAATGCTTCAAAATAAGAACTTCTGTCCTTTAGTTACTGATAATGTATCAAGCACAGCTACTTAATTATTTTTAGCAACTTGTTTGCCAGTGGAAATGTCAGTTATTTTGTAGTTATTTCACAGGATGCTTTTTGCCAGAAACATTAAAAATCAATTATTTTTAATTAAAAAGTGATCATACTTTGTTTTCAAAATCAAATCATTTATAACTTGGCCCAAGAACATTTGAAATTTTAAAATAATTATTGTTTTCTCCATATTTTATTTTCAAGTCTGAATTTTTAGTAAAGGTAATAAATACTTTAGATATATTTCTATTGTTCTGATGATTTGTATTTTATATTGTTTCAATGAATGCACATTTATAAAATCTTTTATCTTAAAATGTCAAATCGTTTTCTGCATTAGATATTATTCCATATAAAATAGAATGTTTATTATATTAAACCACTTGAGATTATGTATGGAGTTTAATCTATTACTGCACTGTTGTAGCAGGATGAGCAGCAGACAAAACTTCTCAGACACTGAGTTGTAGAAGGAAGGGCTTTATTCAGCTGGGAACATCGGCAAGCTACTGTCTTAAAATCCGAGCTCCCCAAATGCACAATTTCTGTCCTTTTTAAGGGCTCACAACACTAAGGATTTGACATGAAAGGGTCGTGATTGATTTGAGCAAGCAAGGGGTACATGACAGGGGCTGCATGCACTGGCGGTCAGAGAGAAACAGAACAGGGCAGGGAGTTTCACAGTGTTCTTCTATACAATGTCTGGAATCTATGAAAAACGTCGGTTTCTAAGTTATGAGTTGATTTCTAACTACTGGGTTTAGGCCAGGCAGGCCCAGGCCTGGTTTCGGGCCTGGCGCCGGGCTGCCTGTCTTTGGTTTTACTTCCCTGTTTTTTTCTTAAAACAGGTACTGAGTATAAAACAATATGAGAGGGTCTCTCTCTTCCCTCACTGTAGCTTAACTTGTCCTGCCTAATATATATCACAAAATGTGAGTTTCTTTGTGAAATCTTATGACAGATTGAAAGATCTTTTGGTGGCTTTCATTCTGTGGTCTCAATTAAAATTTGGAATCTATTACCTTTTTTAACGTATTTCTTGCATAAGATAATAATCAGTAATTAAAAGAACTTAAAGCTTTAAAATATTACTTTAGCAATGTATAACTTAATTATGCCTATATGGCTATGCAGTGTATTTACAAACATCGACTTCAGTAGCAATCTCATGTCTATTAATAAAAGTGTCTCATAGCTCCTGTTTTTTGAAAGTCGAGAACTTTCAGAGGAAAAAAATATATTCTGATGAACTACTCATGCTTTCTTAGTCTATATGAATAACATACAGATCAGAGAGTGGAAGTCAATAAATTTAGAAATGTTTATTTTTGGAATTGTATTTAATTTCCAAGTACAAATATATCTAGCTTGGTGTCACTAGGATGAAATATATTTTGTGTATGATACAAAAAGAAGAAAATACAAATCTTGGAGTGGAGCTATATTATATTTCCTTGGAGTGTGACTAATTATAGTGCAATTTGTGAAAGATTTCTATTATTTATTTTTAGAAAAACGGGTCTTTGTTTTGTTTCTACAAACACATGTTTACATTAAGTAATAAAATACAATTCTATTGGATAACAATATAAGCATATTGTTTAATTATAAGCAAAATTACTATTTTTAAGAACAATTTGCTATAATTTTAGATTGACCTACATGATTGAACTTGGCATATCTCTTTCTCCCTTCCCACAAATGAGTTAGTCCTATAAACTATAGGACTGAAGACAGTCCTATAAAAAAGAGTAGAGAAGATCAAAACGAAATGAAAATGGTCTAATGCTCCACGGGATGAGTGCATCATCTGTCTGCAAAGTTTCCCAGCAGGTGCTATTTAATTTTTTGAATTTGCCCAAAGTCTGTCTCTCAGGTTTGCAGAATTTGATATCACCATTATTTCATTAAACCAAGAACTGCTGATTTGTGCATTATGTATCAGTCGGGGTCCTGTTTGGAGAGAGAAATCACACAGTGATTTGGACAGAGAATATTTTACACAGAGATTTTTTAACTATAACAGAGCAATAGAGAAATATCAGATTGGTTAGTAATAGTAAAGAGAACTTGAAAATAATACAGCAATAGCAGATGTAAGGAGCATGCATTATTTTCAAGGCCAAGATAAAGTGCTCCAGGAAGAGATTCCAGGACTGCACTGGAAATTAAGATAGCACGGCTGTGGCTCACAGAACAGCAGAGAAGTCACTACGGTGCTGCACTGGCAGAACTTGCTGGAATTCCACCCTCTAAGGTGCCAGAGGAAGCTTTTTATGGGAAAGCGTCTCACTGGAAGCACGCCACTAGAAAACCATCTAACAGGGTGCTGAGGGAAGTTTCAGGCCACAAGGTGTGGAGCCCATTTCAGAAGAAGAAGCCATCCATACTAAACTGTCAGCAGTCTGGTGCTGCAGAAGCCGCATCTGCCGCAGGAGCCAGTCCTTTTGAAGGAGACAGCAGGCTTTTCTTAGAACTTTTTCATCTGTGCTCATTGATGTTTCTCAATATCAAGATCAGGATATACAGGAAGCCAAGAAAAATCCCACAGAATTCACCACCATGTTTTTCTTCAAGTCCCAATTCCCTAGTCTGTCTTCCTCCTTCTTTCCACTGTTCAGAACCTTCTTAGGTTTGTTTTACATATAATATCTAGGGGGTTTAGCTGTGTTTAGCAGGAGGAATAGGGAGAAATGGGTGTATTCCATTTGCCTGGAACTGGAATTCCATCTTTGCGTTAAAAACTATTTTTTCTTTTCTCTAACCAGTGCTTTTCTGACTCTTTTTTTTTTTTTTTTTATACTCTAAGTTTTAGGGTACATGTGCACATTGTGCAGGTTAGTTACATATGTATACATGTGCCATGCTGGTGCGCTGCACCCACTAATGTGTCATCTAGCATTAGGTATATCTCCCAATGCTATTCCTCCCCCCTCCCCCGACCCCACCACAGTCCCCAGAGTGTGATATTCCCCCTCCTGTGTCCATGTGATCTCATTGTTCAATTCCCACCTATGAGTGAGAATATGCGGTGTTTGGTTTTTTGTTCTTGCGATAGTTTACTGAGAATGATGGTTTCCAATTTCATCCATGTCCCTACAAAGGATATGAACTCATCATTTTTTATGGCTGCATAGTATTCCATGGTGTATATGTGCCACATTTTCTTAATCCAGTCTATCATTGTTGGACATTTGGGTTGGTTCCAAGTCTTTGCTATTGTGAATAGTGCCGCAATAAACATACGTGTGCATGTGTCTTTATAGCAGCATGATTTATAGTCCTTTGGGTATATACCCAGTAATGGGATGGCTGGGTCAAATGGTATTTCTAGTTCTAGATCCCTGAGGAATCGCCACACTGACTTCCACAATGGTTGAACTAGTTTACAGTCCCACCAACACTGTAAAAGTGTTCCTATTTCTCCACATCCTCTCCAGCACCTGTTGTTTCCTGACTTTTTAATGATTGCCATTCTAACTGGTGTGAGATGATATCTCATAGTGGTTTTGATTTGCATTTCTCTGATGGCCAGTGATGATGAGCATTTCTTCATGTGTTTTTTGGCTGCATAAATGTCTTCTTTTGAGAAGTGTCTGTTCATGTCCTTCGCCCACTTTTTGATGGGGTTGTTTGTTTTTTTCTTGTAAATTTGTTTGAGTTCATTGTAGATTCTGGATATTAGCCCTTTGTCAGATGAGTAGGTTGCGAAAATTTTCTCCCGTGTTGTAGGTTGCCTGTTCACTCTGATGGTAGTTTCTTTTGCTGTGCAGAAGCTCTTTAGTTTAATTAGATCCCATTTGTCAATTTTGGCTTTTGTTGCCATTGCTTTTGGTGTTTTGGACATGAAGTCCTTGCCCACGCCTATGTCCTGAATGGTAATGCCTAGGTTTTCTTCTAGGGTTTTTATGGTTTTAGGTCTAACGTTTAAATCTTTAATCCATCTTGAATTGATTTTTGTATAAGGTGTAAGGAAGGGATCCAGTTTCAGCTTTCTACATATGGCTAGCCAGTTTTCCCATCACCATTTATTAAATAGGGAATCCTTTCCCCATTGCTTGTTTTTCTCAGGTTTGTCAAAGATCAGATAGTTGTAGATATGCGGCATTATTTCTGAGGGCTCTGTTCTGTTCCATTGATCTATATCTCTGTTTTGGTACCAGTACCATGCTGTTTTGGTTACTGTAGCCTTGTAGTATAGTTTGAAGTCAGGTAGTGTGATGCCTCCAGCTTTGTTCTTTTGGCTTAGGATTGACTTGGCAATGCGGGCTCTTTTTTGGTTCCATATGAACTTTAAAGTAGTTTTTTCCAATTCTGTGAAGAAAGTCATTGGTAGCTTGATGGGGATGGCATTGAATCTGTAAATTACCTTGGGCAGTATGGCCATTTTCACGATATTGATTCTTCCTACCCATGAGCATGGAATGCTCTTCCATTTGTTTGTGTCCTCTTTTATTTCCTTGAGCAGTGGTTTGTAGTTCTCCTTGAAGAGGTCCTTCACATCCCTTGTAAGTTGGATTCCTAGGTATTTTATTCTCTTTGAAGCAATTGTGAATGGGAGTTCACCCATGATTTGGCTCTCTGTTTGTCTGTTGTTGGTGTATAAGAATGCTTGTGATTTTTGTACATTGATTTTGTATCCTGAGACTTTGCTGAAGTTGCTTATCAGCTTTAGGAGATTTTGGGCTGAGACGATGGGGTTTTCTAGATAAACAATCATGTCGTCTGCAAACAGGGACAATTTGACTTCCTCTTTTCCTAATTGAATCCCCTTTATTTCCTTCTCCTGCCTGATTGCCCTGGCCAGAACTTCCAACACTATGTTGAATAGGAGCGGTGAGAGAGGGCATCCCTGTCTTGTGCCAGTTTTCAAAGGGAATGCTTCCAGTTTTTGCCCATTCAGTATGATATTGGCTGTGGGTTTGTCATAGATAGCTCTTATTATTTTGAAATACGTCCCATCAATACCTAATTTATTGAGAGTTTTTAGCATGAAGGGTTGTTGAATTTTGTCAAAGGCTTTTTCTGCATCTATTGAGATAATCATGTGGTTTTTGTCTTTGGCTCTGTTTATATGCTGGATTACATTTATTGATTTGCGTATATTGAACCAGCCTTGCATCCCAGGGATGAAGCCCACTTGATCATGGTGGATAAGCTTTTTGATGTGCTGCTGGATTCGGTTTGCCAGTATTTTATTGAGGATTTTTGCATCAATGTTCATCAAGGATATTGGTCTAAAATTCTCTTTTTTGGTTGTGTCTCTGCCCGGCTTTGGTATCAGAATGATGCTGGCCTCATAAAATGAGTTAGGGAGGATTCCCTCTTTTTCTATTGATTGGAATAGTTTCAGAAGGAATGGTACCAGTTCCTCCTTGTACCTCTGGCAGAATTCGGCTGTGAATCCATCTGGTCCTGGACTCTTTTTGGTTGGTAAACTATTGATTATTGCCACAATTTCAGAGCCTGTTATTGGTCTATTCAGAGATTCAACTTCTTCTTGGTTTAGTCTTGGGAGAGTGTATGTGTTGAGGAATGTATCCATTTCTTCTAGATTTTCTAGTTTATTTGCGTAGAGGTGTTTGTAGTATTCTCTGATGGTCGTTTGTATTTCTGTGGGATCGGTGGTGATATCCCCTTTATCATTTTTTATTGTGTCTATTTGATTCTTCTCTCTTTTTTTCTTTATTAGTCTTGCTAGCGGTCTATCAATTTTGTTGATCCTTTCAAAAAACCAGCTCCTGGATTCATTGATTTTTTGAAGGGTTTTTTGTGTCTCTATTTCCTTCAGTTCTGCTCTGATTTTAGTTATTTCTTGCCTTCTGCTAGCTTTTGAATGTGTTTGCTCTTGCTTTTCTAGTTCTTTTAATTGTGATGTTAGGGTGTCAATTTTGGATCCTTCCTGCTTTCTCTTGTAGGCATTTAGTGCTATAAATTTCCCTCTACACACTGCTTTGAATGCGTCCCAGAGATTCTGGTATGTGGTGTCTTTGTTCTCGTTGGTTTCAAAGAACATCTTTATTTCTGCCTTCATTTCGTTATGTACCCAGTAGTCATTCAGGAGCAGGTTGTTCAGTTTCCATGTAGTTGAGCGGCTTTGAGTGAGATTCTTAATCCTGAGTTCTAGTTTGATTGCACTGTGGTCTGAGAGATAGTTTGTTATAATTTCTGTTCTTTTACATTTGCTGAGGAGAGCTTTACTTCCAACTATGTGGTCAATTTTGGAATAGGTGTGGTGTGGTGCTGAAAAAAATGTATATTCTGTTGATTTGGGGTGGAGAGTTCTGTAGATGTCTATTAGGTCTGCTTGGTGCAGAGCTGAGTTCAATTCCTGGGTATCCTTGTTGACTTTCTGTCTCGTTGATCTGTCTAATGTTGACAGTGGGGTGTTAAAGTCTCCCATTATTAATGTGTGGGAGTCTAAGTCTCTTTGTAGGTCACTGAGGACTTGCTTTATGAATCTGGGTGCTCCTGTATTGGGTGCATAAATATTTAGGATAGTTAGCTCCTCTTGTTGAATTGATCCCTTTACCATTATGTAATGGCCTTCTTTGTCTCTTTTGATCTTTGTTGGTTTAAAGTCTGTTTTATCCGAGACTAGGATTGCAACCCCTGCCTTTTTTTGTTTTCCATTGGCTTGGTAGATCTTCCTCCATCCTTTTATTTTGAGCCTATGTGTGTCTCTGCACATGAGATGGGTTTCCTGAATACAGCACACTGATGGGTCTTGACTCTTTATCCAACTTGCCAGTCTGTGTCTTTTAATTGCAGAATTTAGTCCATTTATATTTAAAGTTAATATTGTTATGTGTGAATTTGATCCTGTCATTATGATGTTAGCTGGTGATTTTGCTCATTAGTTGATGCAGTTTCTTCCTAGTCTCGATGGTCTTTACATTTTGGCATGATTTTGCAGCGGCTGGTACCGGTTGTTCCTTTCCATGTTTAGCGCTTCCTTCAGGAGCTCTTTTAGGGCAGGCCTGGTGGTGACAAAATCTCTCAGCATTTGCTTGTCTATAAAGTATTTTATTTCTCCTTCACTTATGAAGCTTAGTTTGGCTGGATATGAAATTCTGGGTTGAAAATTCTTTTCTTTAAGAATGTTGAATATTGGCCCCCACTCTCTTCTGGCTTCTAGGGTTTCTGCCGAGAGATCCACTGTTAGTCTGATGGGCTTTCCTTTGAGGGTAACCCGACCTTTCTCTCTGGCTGCCCTTAACATTTTTTCCTTCATTTCAACTTTGGTGAATCTGACAATTATGTGTCTTGGAGTTGCTCTTCTCGAGGAGTGTCTTTGTGGCGTTCTCTGTATTTCCTGAATCTGAACGTTGGCCTGCCTTGCTAGATTGGGGAAGTTCTCCTGGATAATATCCTGCAGAGTGTTTTCCAACTTGGTTCCATTCTCCATATCACTTTCAGGTACACCAATCAGACGTAGATTTGGTCTTTTCACATAGTCCCATATTTCTTGGAGGCTTTGCTCATTTCTTTTTATTCTTTTTTCTCTAAACTTCCCTTCTCGCTTCATTTCATTCATTTCATCTTCCATTGCTGATACCCTTTCTTCCAGTTGATTGCATCGGCTCCTGAGGCTTCTGCATTCTTCACGTAGTTCTCGAGCCTTGGTTTTCAGCTCCATCAGCTCCTTTAAGCACTTCTCTGTATTGGTTATTCTAGTTATACATTCTTCTAAATTTTTTTCAAAGTTTTCAACTTCTTTGCCTTTGGTTTGAATGTCCTCCCGTAGCTCAGAGTAATTTGATCGTCTGAAGCCTTCTTCTCTCAGCTCGTCAAAATCATTCTCCATCCAGCTTTGTTCTGTTGCTGGTGAGGAACTGCGTTCCTTTGGAGGAGGAGAGGCGCTCTGCGTTTTAGAGTTTCCAGTTTTTCTGTTCTGTTTTTTCCCCATCTTTGTGGTTTTATCTACTTTTGGTCTTTGATGATGGTGATGTACAGATGGGTTTTCGGTGTAGATGTCCTTTCTGGTTGTTAGTTTTCCTTCTAACAGACAGGACCCTCAGCTGCAGGTCTGTTGGAATACCCTGCCATGTGAGGTGTCAGTGTGCCCCTGCTGGGCGGTGCCTCCCAGTTAGGCTGCTCGGGGGTCAGGGGTCAGGGACCCACTTGAGGAGGCAGTCTGCCTGTTCTCAGATCTCCAGCTGCGTGCTGGGAGAACCACTGCTCTCTTCAAAGCTGTCAGACAGGGACATTTAAGTCTGCAGAGGTTACTGCTGTCTTTTTGTTTGTCTGTGCCCTGCCCCCAGAGGTGGAGCCTACAGAGGCAGGCAGGCCTCCTTGAGCTGTGGTGGGCTCCACCCAGTTCGAGCTTCCCGGCTGCTTTGTTTACCTAAGCAAGCCTGGGCAATGGCGGGCGCCCCTCCCCCAGCCTCGTTGCCGCCTTGCAGTTTGATCTCAGACTGCTGTGCTAGCAATCAGCGAGATTCCGTGGGCGTAGGACCCTCTGAGCCAGGTGTGGGATATAGTCTCGTGGTGCGCCGTTTCTTAAGCCGGTCTGAAAAGCGCAATATTCGGGTGGGAGTGACCCGATTTTCCAGGTGCGTCCGTCACCCCTTTCTTTGACTCGGAAAGGGAACTCCCTGACCCCTTGCGCTTCCCAGGTGAGGCAATGCCTCGCCCTGCTTCGGCTCGCGCACGGTGCGCACACACACTGGCCTGCACCCACTGTCTGGCACTCCCTAGTGAGATGAACCCGGTACCTCAGATGGAAATGCAGAAATCACCCGTCTTCTGCGTCGCTCACGCTGGGAGCTGTAGACCGGAGCTGTTCCTATTCGGCCATCTTGGCTCCTCCTCCCTTTTCTGACTCTTAAATTAGGGTATTGTGACATGATTCTGTGTCATAAAATACTTTTCTCTTCTGACATCTTCACTAAGGTTTATTTTTTTTCTTACCTTCTGTTTTCTTCTTGCTCCCTTTCTTCCTATTGTTCATTTCCTCCCATTTCAACTCTCCTTCCCTCCTCACTTCTCCTTTTCTGACATGGTGCAACTATTCAGAATCTATTATGTTAAGACATAATTCAACAGAAGTTTGTTTATCACTAAATTTTCCAATGAGATAACCTCCATAGCTATTTTGGGTTTAAAATATAAAAATGAAAAATGATTTTTATAGTTCCAACACACAATTTATCTAAGCAACTGAAGTTTTGGCAAAAAAAAATCAAGAGTTTTCATCATTAGAAATAATTTTATTATTTATTTTAAAGCAGTTCAATGTAACTGGTAGCAAAATGGTACAGACAATAAACAGAATCAATTCCCATTGGGCTACAAGGACTATTATTGACTTTATATTTTATTTTCATGTGCAAGTATAATTATTTTAAAAAGGCAACATTTCATTAAAAGTCTTTTATAAGCATGTTTTTATTCTTTAAATAACAGAAAGACTAATAAATTATCATTATTGTAGCAAGCTGGTATGAACTGTGTCAAATATTAAATTTGGACTAATGTTCATAGTCAAAAATAATTATTTTAAAATTTATGAAACAAAATTTTTAGTTATATAGGAAATATAATCATATCCTAGCTTAAAATCCTAGTCTCAACAACTGTCATAATGCAAAAATACCAAACTTCAGATCTTGTGGGGAAATAAAAGATTTGTAAAATCTTACATTTATTCCTAAAAATAATGAAGTAAAAAAAGTCAACTTAAAGAAACATCATACTTGACTCTTGATATGCAAATATAAAACAAGTTCATAAAATTTATTGTTTTTCTCTGTTACATATATTAGTTCCATTCTGCCTTCAGTTTTTAACAATTTATATGTGAATGTGTGTGTCAAATATATTTCACGTTTATAACATATACACATATATGCATACAATCTTTAAGTTTTAAGGCATGCTCCCAATTTTAGCTAACCTGTTATAAATTCTACTTCTCTGATCAAAGTAGATTAAATACAGGGTCTCTGTTTTAGGGGTAATTCTTGGTGTTCTTGTTATTCTAAAATGTGAATAATGTAAAATACCAAAAAGAAAAAAAGACATTTCATAGCCTCCAAGCCAAATTATACAATGACTATAATCTTTGATTTCACATTGCACTTTACAGTTTTATTTCTGTAGAATTATTGAGAGTACATTAGAATATCTTTTCTTTAAAAATTTTATTATCCTTTAAGTTGATCTGCTTCATTATGAAAAGAAAGGAAAAAAAGTCCCTTTCTAGTTTTATATGTATTTTTTGTTGTTGCTGAATTAAACTCAATGTCAAATTCAAAAATTAAAAAATACAAAATTAGAACAGTATGTATTTAAATTTACCAATGTTTCTTTTACAGGAACATTTTAACACACTTCTACTACCTGGTAAACTATGTACGCATACTCTTGTGCTCTTTTGATCTATTTCTCTAGGGGGAAAATGCAATACAGGTAAAAAATGAAAAACTGGATATCATCAATGGTCAATTTATATTTAAATTTATAACTCAAATTCTGCATGATTTGCATTAATGTTAAAAGCCAAGAACTACCTATTTTTGTTTTATGCTTTTCTCTCATAATGTTAAAGTATAGCTCATATATACGATTTCAAAATTAAGTCAAAAATTTTAATACATCCTTCATTGAGTGTTATTGTTTCATTACCAAAGACATAAGGACTTTTAATGTTTTGAAGTGTCTTCAGAGTCCATAAAAGGTATAAATTATCTTCTGTCAATTTTAAAAGAATTTTTCTAGTGAAATTTACTATATAGATATATGAATAGGAAAGATGGTAAAGTTCAAGAGTCTAAGGACAATCATTACTGTATATTTCAAGATATCCAGTTAATTTTTCAATCCTTGAATTAAATTTAAGTCAACAAATGTGTATTAAGTATTTTCTCTATGCTAGGCATTCGTTTAGGAGAATAATAGATATTTGCTTTATAGTATGCTTTTCTTGGCATAAAATATTTGCTAGACATAAAGTTACCAAAAAGTGCAGGAACCTAGTGTTTCTTTTCATTTATGTTTTAGTTTCTTCAATGTAATAAAACATGCTATGAACATCTCAAATTCTAAGATAAATATTTTTATATCGTAAGGCAGAAAAAAAAGTTAAAATGACTTAAAGATTTGTATTCTAAAGCAAACTATGATTCTTACACAAAAGTCAGCCACACAAGTTTGTTGGTTAATCTCTATGTGAGAAGACTAGACATTTACGATGAGCTCAATTTTGTAAAACAGTAAGTTTAAAGAATATAATATGACACATTTAATTTTTAAGAGGAGCAGCAGCATTCTGTGTCCATTGTGATGCACCAAATATAGTTAGATTTTGTCAACTTCATAAAACCTTAATAATTTTTAAAATTGCTTTCATAGAGTTTGGATTATTATAAAACAATTAAATGTCAGATTTAAATTTTTGTATTTTAATTTAGCTTTTCAAATTTATTCCATTGAGGTCCTTCAAATATTAATAGGGAGAGTACCAGTAAGTAGTACATTAAGTTTCAAAATGATCTATACTTCTAAGAGAAGAGATTACGTTTTTAAATATGAGAGAATTACATATATTTCCATCTAGTTTCTTTCGTGCCAGCAAAACTTTTGTGGTTTCAAGCAAGGTCTTTGTAGGAAAAAAGTTTCTCATTTTATTTTTATCAAAGTTGAGTTTCCTCCCGAGAATCTTGACCAGTGACATTGCAGATGCTGTTTCTTCGACTGGGCTCACTGTTTGGAAGGTAGGCCAGTGGATCTGGTCGAATTAAGTATCTAATAAAAGAAAACAAAATAAATAACTTTGCAATAGTAAATACAGGCAACATTAATTCACACTGACACTTCATATTTCTAATTTATTTGTTCAGTTTTCAGATTATCTAAACTGTCTGTATACAACATTGGTGGTAGAACTCACTGTTTGGTTGGCCTTTACAATTTGGCATGGTTAATATTATCATTTTCATACCTGAGAAGATTATGATGATGAATGCTGATGAATCAAGCACTATTATTTTTCTTCTTCATCTTTTTCCCTGTGCATGTTGACTGTCAGTCACCATTATTTTTCAATTATAATCAATTTCAGCACCTTCGTCTCATCAAAGTTTTATGATTAAGTATGCTGTTGACTTATTATCCCTTACTTTGGCCATTTTTCTATGAAGGAGACCTACATTTTAGCCATCATTCTTCCATTACTTAACTGTTCTTTGTCTTATTTTTATCACTTAAAAAATTAGGAGATTGATGTAAGCAATTTCTATAGTCTTTTCAATTTAAATATTTTATGAATCTATAAAATCAACAGTTTAACAAATGTTATAGTGAATATAATGCATAACGTTTAAATTAGCAGGAAAATTATTTATCTAAAATTCAGCTTATGGTATAGTAAGTGATAATACTAAAGTATAGAGAATAATTCTTAATTAATTCTGCTAGTAAATAGAAAAATGTTTATCTGCCAAACTCAAACATTTCATTAATGTGAGAATTTGTTTTCAGAGAGTTGTCTTACTTTAGACTGTCAAATGATGTACAGGCATGCCTTTTTTATTGCTTTTGACTTGATTGCACTTTGCCAATATTGAATTATTTATAAATGGAAGGTTTGTGGCAACCCTGAATCAAGCAAGTCCGTTGGAGACATTTTTTCCAGCATGTGCTCACTTAGGGTCTCTGTGTCAGATTTGGTAACTTGAACTTTTTCCATTGTAATTATATCTGTTATAGTGATCTGTGATCAGTAATTTTTGATGTTCCTATTGTAATTGTTTTGGGATACCACTATCCGCACCCATATAAGAAGGCAATTTTAACCAATAAAATATGTGTGTTCTGATCACTCCACCAACTGGCTATTCCCTCGACTCTTTTCCCTCTCCTCCACCATCTGTATTCCCCAAGACACAAAAACATTAAAGTTAGATTAGTTAATAACCCAAAAATGACTTGTAATTGTTTAAGTGAAAGGAAGAGTATCATGTCTCTCACTTTAAATCAAAAGCTAGAAATGATTATGCTTAGTGAGGAAGGAACATCAAAAGCTTACATAAGTTGGAAGTTAGGTCTTTTGTGCCAGTTAGCCAAGTTGTGAATGCAAAGGAAAAGTTCCTAAGGAAATTAAAAGTGCTACTCCAGTGAATACACAACTGATAAGAAAAGGAAACAGCCTTATTGCTGAGATGGCAAAAGTATGAGTGGTCTGGAAAAAAGATCAAACCAGCTACAACATTCCCTTAATCCAAAGCCAAATCCAGAGCAATGCTCTACCTCTTTTCAATTCTCTGAAAGGTGAGGGAAGTGAAGAAGCTATGGAAGAGGTTAGCTATGGAAGAGGAAGCTAGCAGAGGTTAGCTCATGAAGCTTAAGGAAATGAGTCCCCTCCATAACATAAACGTGCAAGATGAAGTAGATAGTGCTAATGCAGA
This sequence comes from Homo sapiens, assembly GCF_000001405.40. Taxonomy (NCBI): domain Eukaryota; kingdom Metazoa; phylum Chordata; class Mammalia; order Primates; family Hominidae; genus Homo; species Homo sapiens. The sequence goes on from NW_025791754.1 coordinate 79,673, forward strand.
AGCTACAGCAAGTTATCAAAAAAATCAAACTATTAATAAGATTATTGATGAAGGTGGCTAAATTAAACAACAGATTTTCAATTTGGAAGACAGCCTTCTATTGGAAAAAGTTGCCATCTAGTACTTAAGTAGCTAGAGAGGAGAAGACAAAGCCTAGTTTCAAAGCTTCAGTGACAAGCTGACTCTCTTGGTAGGGGCTAATGCATTCGGTGACTTTCAGTTGAAGCCAATACTCATTTACCATTCTGGAAATCCTAGGACACTTAAGAATTCTGCTAAATCTGCTCTGCCTATGCTCCAGAAATGGAAAAACAAAGCCTGACTGGCAGCAAATCTGTTTAAAGCATAGTTTACTGAAAATGTTAGGCCCATTGTTGAGACTTAACACTTAAAAAAAAGACTTCAAAATATCACTGCCCCTTGATAAGGCACCTGGTCACCCAAGAGCTCTGATGGAGATGTACAATGAGATTAGTATTGTATCATTCTTGCTAACACAACATCTATTCTGCAGCCCATGGATCAAAGAGTAATTTCAATGTTCATGATTCGTGGGATGAGGTAGAAATATCAACATTAACAGAAGTTTGGAAGAAGTTGACTCCAACCCTTATCGATGACTTTGAGGGGATCAAGACTTCAATGGAGGAAGTAACTGCAGTTGTGGTAGAAATAGCAAGATAACTAGAATTAGAAGTGGAGCCCAAAGATGTGACTCAACTGCTGCAATCTCTGACCAAAATTTGAATGAATGAGGAGTTGCTTCTTATTTATCATCAAATAAATTGGTTTCTTGAGATGAAATCTACTCCTGGTGAAGATGCTATGAACATTGTTGAAATGACTGTAAAGAATTTATATTATTACATAAACTTAGTTGACAAAGTAGCAGCAGGGTTTGAAAGGATTGACTCCAGTTTCAAAAGAAGTTCCACTTCGGGTAAAATGCTATCAAAGGGTATTACATGCTACAGATAAATATTGCATGAAAGAAAGAGTCAATCAATGCAGCATACTACTTCATTGTTGTCTGATTTTAAGAAATTGCCACACCCCTCCAACCTTCAGTAACCACTACCCCAATCTGTCAGCAGCCATCAACATTGAGGCAAGACTCTCTACCGGCAAAAAAAGATTATGACTCCCTGAAGGCTCAGATGACTGCTAGCATTTTTTTTTTAGCAATAAACTGTTTTTTAATTAAGTAAATTTTTAGACATAATGCTTTGCTTTTGCACACTTAGTAGACTAAAGTATAATGCAAACATAAATTTTGTATGCACCGGGAAACCAAAAAATTCAAGTGACTGGCTTGATTGCAATATTCACTCTATTGTGGTAGTCTGGAACCAATCCTGCAAAATCTCTGAGGTATGCCTGAGTATCTTTAGTGACTGCTTCTTGAGCACCTGTAGGAAACTGTGCTAACACCTTAGAATTAAAACAAAATCACAAAACATGACTCCTGTCCGGCAGAAGATTAAAGTAAAATTTATGAAGCAGATATAATGGAAGAAAAAAAAAGAAATTCCAAACATCATACAAAGTGAAAAAGAACAACAGAGAGAATTAGGAACTGCTTTATTGTGGGGTTGGGTTGAACTTGCCTCTCCAGGCTTCAGAGAAGATTTAGGAGGAAGGAACAGGAGGTGATCCCAAATGTTGTCAATGGAGACCACAGAGGATGGATGTTTCTGATGTGCTTAGAAATGATTTGACTTTAGAAAACTAGTAAATCATGGTAGGTAAAGTCAAAAACAAAGGTAGGAAACAGGTAATGAATGACCTTAAGTTTCAGAATAAGTAGTTTCAATTTGTGTTTTAAAGGCAGTAGGAAGCCACTAAGGGTTTGAAAAGGAGAGAAGAAAATAAATATATGCAACACAGCATTCTAAGAAAGTCATGTTCCAAGTCCAAATGAAAGAAGTATTTAATACTTCTATAATATTTTTAAGAGGCAGTATATAAAATGAACAGGAAAACTAATTAAAAAGTGAGAACGCTAATAAAGTTTGCACTTTTGTCTTAAAGACTGAAGGGAAAAATTCACAAAATATACTCCTTAATGAAAATGAGAAAAGGCAATCAAAAACACTGAGTCTATTTTCTTTGACCAAATAAAAGTTGAGACTAGTGTTCTTGGACCTATTAACTGGATTTTGTCATCTATGCACACTGCTTTATAGTTACTTTAAATATCAATAGCATTGTGGATTGATGAAGAAAACTAATAGTGCACATTACACTTTTTAATACCATATCATCTAGTGATTTATTATTGTTCGCATCAAATTAATGTTGCTTCTTCATTTAAAACAAACTTCCGAAAGTGAATTTTTAGAAAAACATAAAAGATAACAGTATAATCCATTATTCTCTGCATTCATTGATGCAGTAGCAAAAGTTCCTTTTCCTATTATTGTCACTACAAAACCTATGAGTCCAATAAAGCAAATTTCTTAAACTGTGTTTTTATATATTACATGTCATGGTAGGCATCTTTCAAATGATAATTTATCATTGTTCTGGTTCCACTGAAATTTAATTATCTCAATGCCACAAATACAGATCACTGCAATGGTGTAAGAAAAGCTTTTTTATTTTTTTAATAGCAGTCAAGTTGATGTTTTAGCTTAAAACTAATAAAAAATAAGAGTATCTAAAAGACAGAAAATTCTCTAAAAATATGTCTACTTTACCTGTCCACATTGTGACATACATATTTTATTCATAAGTAAAAAGATTAAACATCATTTGAAATCAAGAACATAAATATTTGACAAAATGACATGTTCTTAGTCTCAAAAGGGTGACAACATTTTCTTTGAACATTCTGTCAAAAATAATTATGGGAAATGATTGTATTAAGCTTAAGAAACATAATTTATTATAAAATACAAATAAGGTAAGCATAATTTTTTAAATTCTATATAATTAACACAATTATATTTATTTGAAAAAAGGTATAAGAAGGCTGGAATTAATATGGGTAGATTAGATATTTAATAAAAATTATCTATACTTATGGACTTAAAAGAAAAAAGACATGTATAAATGTGGATGCCATGAAAAAAGAACAGCTTTATTTTATTATCATAATATACTATGTGAAGGGTCCAGGATGAGTAATTAAAATCCAAGTGCATCATAAATAAGATGTTTTCCTCTAATTGAAGTCCTTTATAAATTCAATATCACCATCAGATACAATTTTTGACAGTGACTTAAGAATTCTACTAGCTTAAATTGTTATTCATCTGTTTCCCCAATGCTCCTGTATTCTAACCAGTATTATCAGATGGCAAAATAAAGCAATATTATACTTGATAGTTCTATCTTAGGTGCATTTTAGGAATCTTTTCACACTTATTTGGGGTCAGATTTACTCCTGCTGTTTTATTTTCCTAATAAGTTTTTGAAATGCTTCCTGTTTCTGCCCTAAAACAAAACACTCGTCAGTAGTACAACACTAATTATTCTACTGTTTCTTCTGTATTTATATTTTTGGAAAAAACATTCCCTATTTAGCCTTTTTCAGCTGGAAGATAAAAAATATTTTTTCTACAGAAAACTAGCTTATCTTCAAAGTTCCAATACTGTGTATCTAAATGCTTTCTAGACATTTCCTCTTTATACTTTAAATAACATATTTGAATGGATGGATGAAGAAAATTTGTGGTATATATGCAAAGTAGAATACCATTCATCCATAAAAAAGATGAAATTCTGTCATTTGCAGCAACATAGTCAGTGTTAAATGAAATAAGCCACAGAAAAACAACATAGTCAGTGTTAAGAGAAATAAGCCACAGAAAAACAAATATCATGTTTTCATTCAAATGTGTGAGCTAAAATAATTGATCTCATGGAGATAGTAGGCAGAATGTTACCAGAGGCTGGGAAGGGTGATGAGGAGGGGAAGATGGAGAGAAACTGGTTTATTAGTAACCAAAATACAGTTACACAGAAGAAATAAATTCCAGTGCTTCAAAGCACAGTAGGGCAACTATGCTTAACAAGACTTCATTGTATATTTCAAAATAGCTGGAAAAGAACATTTGGGATATTCCTAACACAAAGAAATTATAAATGTTTGGGGTAATGGCTACCTCAATTACCCTGATTGATCATTACATATTTTATGCATGTATCAAAATATCACATGTACCTCATAAAATGCACAACTATTATATATCAATAAACTTAATTAATTAGAAAGTCAACATTTATTAAAAATACATATATACCTGGACCCACATATCATCTCTTTTTTTTTTACTACCCAACAGCCCCTCTTTCCTGCCTGGAAAATTGTCTCCCCATTCTGACTTGTTTTGATGAAACAACATTTTTTTTTTATTTTTGTAATCACACAGTTTGAAACCCTAAAGCTGTGTTAAACTTCTTTTTCAATTCCCAAATCAATAATCAAGTCTCATTTTCTGCCTTCATAAATCTATTTACATAGGGGCTTGCCTTTACAATGCTTTATCTTGATGCTATGACAGATGGTTGTTTCTCTAACACCTGCTTTTTAACTGTTTTCCCTACGTTCATATTCACCCCAACCCTAACCCATCCTATCAGTCAATTCTATTGTTTTCTGCAGAACTCTTTTAAAAAAATCATACCCTTTTCACTCCAGTCGAAATCTTCCACAAAACTGACAACATATAAAAGAGTCTTCTAAAATTTTGCATATTATTACATTTAGTTCTAAACCTCTTGCATGGATCCATATTATGCTCAGCATAACAAAATGTTCTCAGTCCTGCTAGTCTCTGACTTTGTCACTTGCTTTCTGGATTACAGACACAAACACATCCTATGGATCTAATATCCAACAAAACATGTGGATCTTTGGCATTTGTTTTATGTCAGTAATACAATCTATAGTTAGTTACCCTGGGTAAACATCACTTGATCTACCCCAGGACAGGTCGTGTATCTCAAGGGAAGATTCTTGTAAGGAATTTCTTTCCTAGGCTTACACCAACAACTGTCAAAGTGCCTTTTCTAAAGTCTTGTTACATACTTGCTCATATATGTCTAAGTGCTGTCCATCATCTATAAGGCCAACTTTAAATTCATTTTGTCACGTAAGACCTTTCCAGAGGCAAATATAATTTATTTTTCCAGTATTACATTTGCCTTACAACAGAAATGCTAACTATACACAATTTCTACTCCAGTCAAATTGACACTGAAACACTTTATGCAATTCCTGCATTTTCCAAGCCATTCTTTCTGTTCTGGAATGTCCTCTCTTCTCCACCATCATAAATTCTATCTACCCTTCAGAGTCTAGTTTAAGTCTTACATTCTTTATAATTTCTCCAACTACTCAATAATGTCTCCTTCTATTAATTCAGAAAAGCACTGTCTATGTCACTCAACTGATGCTTAGTTTATTAGTGACAAAGTGCTATTATGTATTGCTATTAAATTTTTCATGTGTAAATTGTAGCTTTGTTAATTAGAGTGTAAGGACTTTGAAGTCAGAGAAAATGCCTTAGTCTTTCTATCTCACATCTTTAGGTGAGTGCTACCACTGTACATGTTCAATAATTATTTTTCAAGAAATAAAATTAGTCCCATAGAACTTTTTCTATTAAGTGTTTGACCAATCACAGTTTGGCTTTTGGGAAGTTGAAGGTATTTAGAACTAGACAGTGTGGGATATTTCACTGTTTCTGTTGAGTTGCTCTTTTATTCTTCCACGTCTTCACTTATTTTTTCCAAATATTTTTTAGCTCACATAATACAGAATTCATGCTGCTATTTCTTTATTTTATACTGCTTTTAAACAATCATATTTTTATATTGCACACAACACATGAAATGCATTTGTTTATTTATAAAATTAGGTATAGACTATTTAAGCACTTATAAGAAAAATAAGAGGCTATTATGGCCTAAATATAAGTACAAAAATAAATAGTAGTTTTCTAAAAATATCTGTCTTATATGAGATATGAGATCAACTTACACAACATCATTCAGCTCTATTCTGGTATCTGGAGATGGGTTAATCAGGATGTAGGAGAGGGTACTTTGATGATCATTCATTTCATCTAGAAGATAAATAAATGCCAAGTTTGTTATACTGCTTATAGAAAATTACAGGAATTACTAGTGAACAGCTTATATTCAAACCATATAACTGTCAACAAGAACTTGGTATAGTTTTGTCCACAGCATGATTGTGCACATAAGTTTGGCTATTTTCAAATTGCTGTCATTGAAAATATCTGACACATACTTATTTTTTGTTCCAATAGATGATAACAATAAAGTATCTAATTCTGTTCAGAATAATCACAGTTATAGTTTACCGTTTATTACACTGAAAAAGTATTTTTCTTTAATAAATGACTGGATAAGATGTTTACTTGATTATTATGCTTTATCAATTACAAAAAATAATCATGGTTATAGATAACAATCCTAGAAAAGAATATCCACACAGGAAATTCTTGGGAAAAATAATATAATTACATTATGTTTAGAAAACATGCTAGAAATGTGTCTAAAAAGCTTGAAGACCCTAAATATGTGTTTGGCTTCACTACATGACACATCTCATGTAACTCATCCTAATGCTTTTGCAGAATGCAAAGAATCCTCTAGAACAGAATTTAACCATGAATTTTAAGGGAAGTGTACTCCTGAATCATTTGTTTTTCCTAAAGCAATATATATATGTGTATATATTTAAAATGAAAAGCTGAACCCTTTTAATTTATTAATTCACTCTGAAAACATCCTCAGGCTGCAAGTTGAAATGTTGACCCTGCATTACATAGGACATTGAAAAAAATAAAAGGCAAACAGCTTTGTGGTCTCAATTTTTTAGATTTCAAGATTATCATAAGATGTAAATATAAAGTTATGTGGATGTATATACTTCAGTAAACATAATTCCTCCCATGGGTAAAGTTTTCAGTCTATGAGAATTCTCTCAAAAATCCTGTTTTTGAGCTATAGTATTCCAGGCACTGCAGTTGCAGACAAGAATGGCTCCTGAAGAAAGAACTAAATTTTTCAGTTTGACCCAAAGTCTAAGAATAAGTTTCATACCAGTCTAAGAAATGGTTTCATACCAATACCTATAGTATTTAGTGCATACTCAAATAACTGCATTAAACTAAAATCAAGATATTTGTAGCTGACCCTGATAAACAATTTGCTGCACTGGAATATAAATTACATTCATAAAATAATGTTGACTACTGTGTTCCTCTAACGAGAAACCTGTCACTTTAATATGAAAGACACTATTTTCGGCTATGGTATTTCAAGTTGATATGGAGATGTGCCCCATTTTTAAAGTGTAAAAACAAAAATCCTTATCTTTCAAGGCAGAAAAATCACAAAATAATTAAACCCACTGTAAGTTTGCCAGTAACATTATTACAATCAATAGCTCACCAAATTCATAATCAAATAAATTAGTATATTCAGCTCCACATCTATGGGATAGACACAAGGAATTGTATCATGCCATAGTGTTAGGGTTGCCAGGAAAAATAGAGAATGCCCATGAAATCTGAATTTTAGATAAACAACTACCATTTTTGTTGCTGTTGTTGGAATCTCAGTCTGTCACTCAGGCTGGAGTACAATGGCTTGATCATATAACTAATGTTTTTTAGAATAAATGTATCCCAAATATTGCATGTGATATACTTACACTAAAATATCTTTGTTGTTTATCAGAAATTTAAGTTCCACTGGGAATCATGTATTTTTATTTGCTAAACCTGGTGGTCATATCTAGTGTTAGATGGCTAAGTTAACTGTCTGGAGATTAGAATTCCAATGAATATATATTGATGCTTACTACAAATAAGGTATAATTCCAACTCAAAACATATTTTACTGGCAGGAGATTACTAGGATTATTTCTCCATAAGAAAAGAAATTTTGATTCATATGTGCTTTTTGAGAAATGCCCCCTTATTTGAATTTCTACAACTGTTGTGCAAAGGTACAGATTGATAGTGCATTGTGGAGACTAAATTGTAATAATCTAAAAAGTAAGAGGTGGACTAGAAAATCTACATCTTATTTGACTATATATAACTCCGTTTCTTTTATGAACAATGACATTATTGAACTGTGATACAGGAAAAAACAATTTAACAGATAACTTCTCAGTCAATATCAACACCTAGCCTTTATCCTTGATTATTAACAGGATATTATACTTCTTGGTTCTAGAATCAAGCCAAATTCTATCGGTGACCTGGCTTGCCTGTTAAAAATGTAAAAATTGTGTAGATAATTGAGAAATTTCCGGTGGGAGATATGATTTTTGTGCCAATATTTTTTTTCTGCTTAAGTAGCCTGTATTATTTATCCTACTGAAGATATTTATTTTCCCACAAACCACGGAATTGGAGCAAGCATTTTGCTAAAGTTTTCAATTCAATTATTATACATGGCTTATCAAGACGTAGAAAGCATCACAATCAGAAATAATCTCTCTTGGTTTCTTTCCTCACCCCTCACTGACTTTTCCTAAGGGAGGAGGAATGACTTATCTTTTAGAATTAGGTTAAAAGAATTTGCTGACTTCAAAGCTATTCTCTTTTTCTTTCACGTGTGCCTTCCTATAGGGTACATTTTGCCTGCTTGTTCTCTGCCATGCTGCTTTGCACAGAAGGCCTACAGTTGCCCCTCTTTTTTGTGACTTTGTGTTTAAGAAGCATTTGGAGAAATACCTAATGTAAATGACGAGTTAATGGGCGCAGCAAACCAACACGGCACATGCATACATATGTAACAAACCTGCATGCTGTGTACATGTACCCGAGAACTTAAAGTATAATAATAATTAAAAAAGAATTAAAAAGTGAGATTTTCTAAAAGCCTATTGCAGTCACACATCAAAACCACATTCAACAATAGTTTCTATTAGCCATGATCCTGGAATATTTTGTCTCCATCAGTCATTCTCTATGGTTGTTTTCTAGATATTCTTTCATTCTGGAGGTGAAAATGTGGCAAATTTGTAGGATCTTCAAGATCCTATCAATTATCATTGACTATGGCAAAGATACAAATTAATTAAAATATGGCTTTGCTCCAAGAATGCCATATTTACTGAATAAAATAAATTTTATTTGGTAAATTAGCTTCATGAACAACAGAATCTATTTCTTACCAAATAAAAATATATATGAAGGGAATTTGCAGTGAATATATTTACTGTGTCCCTGATAACCAAAATACGACATTAGCAAAATAAAAAAATTATAAGTTTAAATTATTTTCATTAAAAGTACTGTTTCATCAGTGACATAATTATTTTAATAAAATTACTCATAAAAACTGAAAATAATATTTTTGAATATTATAAACTTTAAAATAAATTATATGGAGAAAAATTTAAAGATTGCTACTAGCATTTACAAAGAAACTTCTTTTGCTATATTAACTAGCATATACAATTATTAAACAAAAATCTTCAAATGGCAAATATTTTGCTTAGAGTAGTTTGTGTAAATAGATCACATTAGAAAAGGGACAGAATCATATTCCTATGGTTCTTACAAAATAATTGATTAATGAGTCCTATTCCATACACATTACTTTCATATTTTTGTTTTGTTTTAAATTTTCATGTTGAAGTATTTTAAGAGGATTTTTGAAAGAGGATAATAGAATTTTGTAAGACAGAAATTTAAATATTTTGTATATTTGTGTAGGTTACCATTAAATAATATTTCTGTTATAGACTGAATTGTGTGTTCCCCCACAAATTCCAATGTTGAAAAGCTAACCACCAAGATGACTGTATTTGGAGATAGAGCCTCAAAAACTAATTAAGTTTAAATGGGGTCAACAGGGTTGTCCTCTAATCCAATAGGACTGGTGTCCACATTAGAAGAAGAAGAGATACCAGGAGTAAATACACACAGAGACAAGACTGTATGAGGACACAGAAAGAAGGCAGCCATCTGTCAGCAAACATGAGAGGCCTCAGAAGAAATCAAATTTTGGGCACCTTGATGTTGGACTTCCATCTTCCACAATTGTGAGAAAATAAACTTCTAGTGTTTAAACCATGCACTCTGTGGTATTTTTTTATGGCAGCCCTAGTACACGAATATAACTTCTGAAAACACATATCCATTGTATCATGTGTAGTCAGAGGAACATTCTATATAATATAAAGATATCACTTAGAACAAAGGCTCTGAATCCAGACTGCTTGCTTTGAAATTATGGATCTGCCAATTGCTTACTCTGAGATCTTAGGCAAATTATTTAATTTCTCTTAATCTCTCTGCGATTAACATCCTGGCATGAAAAATGAGGATAGCAACAGTGCAATCTCACAGGTTGTTGTTAGAATTAACATTTATTCTATTTATTCTAATAAATAAATAACAAATATAATTTAAAAATAATATGTTCACATTGATTTATAGTTCTTGTACTTAGTATCTTATTGCTATCAAGTGCAACATAAAGGTTATGTATTATTATAGTAGCAGGCAAAATCAAGCAGTAAGTTATAAAAAACAATTATATATGTATTGCTATGTGAAGGTGTGGGCATGCATAAATAGAGAAAGCGTGTTTTGAACAGATAGAAGGGCAAATGGCATAGCAAGAGATGATTTGGTTTAATTTGCAGAAAGTAGGCACCAGGGAATGGACTAAACTAAAGTGAGAGAGGAGAAGATTAATTTGAGATGATGTTGAACAGGCAAGCTGGGACCAGATTCTTGAAGGGCTTTACCCTTGGTCAGCAGTTTGAATTTTATTCAAAGTGCAATGAGAAAACATTGAAAGCTTGTAAGGATCGAGGGGAAGGCTGGTGGTATGAAACAATTTTACATTAAATATATCACTTTGATTGCTTTGTGGGAAATTAACTTTGTGTGGGACAAGTTTAAACTCAGGACTATTAGGTGGTCATTGTGAAACAGAAACCCATGTGAGAGATATTGGTAGCAAGAGAACAATAGAAATGGAATAAATTAGTAAAAGGGGCGAGGAAGAGAGATAGAAATGATGTGGAAGACAGAAATAGGAGAGAGAGAGAGAAAGGAAGACAGAGAAAGAGACTTAGAGAAGGAGACAGAGAATTTTAAGCTGGGAGATACCACAGTATGTTTGAATGCCAATGGGAGAAAATAAGTAAAAGAAATAGGTGCTATATGAGAAAGAGGGTTTTGTTTTGTTTTTGTTTTTGTTTTTGTTTTGTTAGTACAAGAAATACCTTATCAGGGAAGCTAAACTCAGTCATACTGTACTTACTTCTTCTACATAGTTGGTAATAGCATAATCTAGTGAAGATTTCATTTTCCTTCACCTGAACTTATATACACATTATGTGTTATCCACCTATAAAACTGGCTAGTTTTACAGTGCTGACTCAATTTGCTCATGTATTCCAGTTTAGTGCCAAATTATGTTTATGAGTACAACTATTTCATCTATTGTTACTGAACTGACCAGTATATTTGGAGGGTGTGAAAGGTGCTTAGAGATAAGAACTAAAGAAGAATAATTCCATTTAACTGACCTCTATTTAAAATTATTTTCATTATCATTCAAAGATTTTTAATCATTTTATGATAGGCAAGATAAAATTATTAAAAACATTTGAACTCTCTTAATTTATCTCCATATGAATATTCAGTGTATTCAACATCATATGAAACTATGAGCAAAATGAATAGAAAGATTTTCAGAACAAGCTACATTTTAACTTGCCATGAGCCACTCCATCACTTACTAGCTTCCTGCAAATAAAACTAATTACTTGATACTCAATTTTCCTTTCAAAATAGAGTATTCAATATTTCTTAAAAACCTATGTCACTACCCTACTTGTGTTTAAAAGAAAACACAGATTTTCTTTTAAAAACCTATGTTACGTTTCATAAATGTTGAAAAACAAAAACCACCTTGCAATATTTTTTAACAAGATAGAGATTCAAAAGAAAGCAAACATGAACAATTAGTCTAAATATATATGATTTCTTCAATGGTGCAAAGTCCTGTTTTGTTTTGTGAAGATGCTTTCTCCATTGCTCCATATCCCTTACCCTACCACAATCTTCAAGGCTACTGGGTGCCCTGGTGAATGGAAGCTATCAATAAATGCTAGTTTCTTTCAAAATACTATGATTACAGCTATTTTATATTAAAGAATGTGGGACAAAACTATACAGATTGTCTTCATAGTAAGGAACATAGTGTACATTTATATTTAAATAGAATATTCATTGCATGTCAACTAAAAGGTTTTATATGTGTTCAGGTGAAGTACTTCAAAATTTAGTGATGAATCTAATTGGTAATCTGAAAATGTAAAATCAAGACATTACAGAAAGCCTAAAAGATTTTGGAAACACAAATAGCATATTTATTATATAATTTTATTTTAATAATTGGACCCATTGATTTAAATTTAAAGTTACTACTACTGAAGTAATAGTTGAGGATTGAAGAAAACAATATTAAACATATACTTAAAAAATCTAAAAATAAGTACATACCAAGCTTTCCAATTTTGCAGCTCTCCTGCAGTACTTTCATTTGACTTACAGAACATTTTTATGATCAGTTGATAATTGTAATTTATTACATGATATTCATTATTTTTGTGTTCGATTAAGTCATTCAGTAATGATAACAGCATGATTATTTGGATCACAGATAACTCTAATTCTGAGGACACAGCAATGAACAAGATAGGCAAAGTTTTTGCCTTCACAGACCCTTTTAGCAATTTTCTTAGAATAGCTTCATACTATATAATACAGATCTTCAGAATAAGTGTCAGGAATCTTTACTTATAGGTTTACTATAAGTTACTGTAAACTTCCTATATAACTTTAAACATATCATTGAAGTTATTTTAGGATCACCATCACTGTTTTGATTATCTCATAGGTACGTTGGGTAAAAACAAAATAAGAAATTAACTAATCCCAAGTGCACATTCAATGAGTTTTGACAAATGCATAGTGTGGCAACTACTACCATAATTATGATGTCAAACATTTTCATAATGCCAAACAGATCTCTCATGCCCTTTTGTAGTCAATTTTCTCCTCTCAATCCCAACTTCTAGCAATCACTGATTTCAAGAAGCAGTTTTCTAGGAATAATAAAATGTGTTTCTATTTTTCTCTTAGCTATGCTTTTGTGCTGAATCCATGTTATTGCATGAATCTACTTTGATACTAATATAGCCACTCTAGCTTTCTTCTTTTCATTGCATGAAAAAACATTTTTAAGAAGTGTTTTTCCACAGAGGAGGTGAAGCAAGATGACCAAATGGAAGCTTCCATACTTTCTGCAAGAACACCAAATTGAACAACTATCCACACAAAAAAAAACACCTTCATAAAAACCAAAGATGAGGTGAGCAACTACAGCATCTGTTTTTAACTTTATGTCACTGAAAGAGGCACTAAGGAGAGTAGGAAAGACCATCTTGAATTTCCAACACCAACCCTCCCCTATCTTTTGGCAGTGGCCACATGGTGCAGGGAGTCTGTGCACTCGGGGAATGGAGAACACAGTGACTGTGAGACTGCATTGGAACTCAATGCTGCCCTGGAACAGTGGTAAGCAACACTGGGCAGAACTCAGCCAGTGCCCACAGAGGGAACACTTAGACAAGTTCTAGCCAGAGAAGAACTGCCTATTCCAGCAGTCAGAACCTGAGTTCTGGCAAGCCTTGTCACTGTGGGCTAAAGTGCTCTGGGGTTCTAAATAAACTTGAAAGGATGTCTAGGCCATAAGGACTGAAATTCTTGGGGAAGTCCTGGAGCTGTGTTGGAATCAAAGACAATGGACTTGATGGGGCACATGACCCAGTGAGATACCAGCTGGGATGGCCAAGGGAGTGCTTGTGCCACCCCTCCCCCAAACCCAGGCGGTGCAGCTCACAGCTGCAAGAGAGGCTTCTCCCTTCTGCTTGAGGGGACGAAAGAGTAAAAAGGACTTTGTGTTGCAACTTGGATACCAGCTCAGCCATAGTATGATAGGGCACCAGGCAAAGTCCCGAGGTCCACATTCCAGGCTCTAGCTCCCAGATGACATTTCTAGACATACCCTCGGCCAGAAGGGAACCTGCTTCTTTAAACAGAAGGATTCAGTCCTGGCAGCATTCATTACCTGCCAACTAAAGAGCCCTTGGGCCCTGAATAATCAGCTGTGATACCCAGGCAGTACTTGCTGTGGGCCTTAAGTGAGACTCAGAGATGTGCTGGCATCAGGTATGACCCAGAACATTCCCAGCTGTGGTGGTTATAGCAAGAGATTCCTTATGCTAGAGAAAAAGAGAGGGAAGAGTAAAGGGGACTTTGTCTTGCAGCCCCAGGTACCAGCTTGGTCACAGTGGTACAGAGCACCAAGTGGGCTTTTACTGTCCCCAGTACTAGGCCTGGGCTCTTGGTCAGCATTTCTGGACCTTCCCTGGGCCAAAGGGGTGCCTACTGTCCTGAGGAGAGAGTTTCCTGCCTGGCAACATTCACCAAAATCTGACTGAAGAGCATGTGGGCCTTGAATGAACATTGACGGTAGCCAGGTAGTACCCAACATTGGCCTGGAGTGGTGGTGGCCACAGGGAGAGATTTCTTTGCTTATAGGAAGGGGAGGGAAGAGAGGGATGGACTTTGCCTGTGGTTTTGGTGCCAGGCCAGCTGCAGTAGGATAGGGAAACAGTTAGAGTCCTAAAGTTTCTGACTCTAGGCCCTGACTCCTGAATGGCATCTCTGGACTTGCCCAGAATAAGCAGGGAACTTACCACCCTGAAGGGAGGAAAAAAGATGGGCTGGTTTTGCCACCTTCTGTTTGTAGAGCTCTAGGGCTTTCAGCTAGCATACGTGGTAGCCAGGCAGTGGTTACCACAAGCCTTGGGCAAGGCCCCATAGTGTGTTGGCTTCAGGTCTGACCCATTGCAGTCCCAGTAGTGCTGGCCAGAGGGGTGCTTGTGTTATCCCTTCCCCAGCTCCAGGCAGGTCAGCACAGAGAGAGACTCTGCTTGGGAGAAAATAAAGAAAAAGAACAAGAGTCTCTGCCTGGTAATCCAGAGAATTCTTCAAGATCTTATGCAATACCAACAATGTAATACTTTTACAAGTCTGTAAGAGCCACAGCATTACAGGGCTTGGGGTGCACCGTGAGTAGATATGGCTGCAGTGACCAAAAACTTTAAACACAAAGTCCAAGTCTCAGGCAGGTTGTGGTGGCTCATGCCTGTAATCCCAGAACTTTGGGAAGCCGAGGTGGGAGGATTGCTTGAGCCCGGGAGTTTGAGACCAGCCTGGGCAACATAGCAAGACCCTCTCTCTAAAAAAGCCAAAGCAAACCCAAAAAAATAACAAAGCCTAAGTCTGAACACCTGAAAAGCCTTTCAAGAAAGATGGGTACACACAAGCCCAGATTGCAAAGAATACAATAAATACCTAACTCTTCAATACCCAGACACTGATGAACATCCAGAAGCATCAAGACCATCTTGGAAACCACATCCTCACCAAACAAAATAAGGAATCAGCGACCAATTATGGAAAGACAGATATTTGATTGTTTAGATGGATTATTCAACATAGCTGTTTTGAAGAAACTCAACAAAATTCAAGATAACACAGAGAAGGAATTCAGAATCCTAACAAAAAAATTAACAAAGAGGTTGAACTAATTAAAAAGAAACAAGCAAAAATTCTAGAGTTGAAAAATGCAACTGGCATAATGAAGAATGCATCAGTCTCTTAACAGAAGAATTAGTGAGCTTGAAAACTGGCTATATGAAAGTACGGTCAGAGGAGAAAAAGGAAAGCACAATTTTAAAAAATGAAGCATGCCTACAGAATCTAGAAAACAGCACCAAAAGGGCAAATCTAAGAGTTACTGACTTTAAAGAGGAGGTTGAAAGATAGGCTTAGAAAGTTGATGCAACAGGATAGTAACAGAGAAATTCTCAAGCCTAGAGAAATACATCAATATATAAATACAAGATGATAATAGAACATCAAGCAGATTAATCAAAATAAGACTACTTTAAGACATTTAATAATCAGACTGCAAAAGATCGAGAATAAAGAAAGGATCTGAAAAGTAGCAAGAGAAAAGAAACAACATACAATGGTGCTCTAATATATCTGGGAGCAGACTTCTCAGTGGAAACCTTACAGGCCAGGAGACAGTGGCATTATGTATTTAAAGTGCTGAAGGAAAAATACTTGTATCCTAGAATAGGAATAATACTTGTATCCTTTTATCCTTGTGTTTTCAACCCATTGAAAATATTCTTTAAACAAAAAAGGGAAATAAGGACTTTCCCAGTCAGACAAATCTGAGAGATTTCATCAACACCAGACCTGCTATAAGAAATGCTAAAGAGAGTTCTTCAATCTGAAAGAAAAGGATGTTAAAACAATAAGAAATCATCTGAAGGTACAAAACTCATTGGTAATAGTAAATACACACACAAAAATATACTATTGTAATAGTGGTGGGTAAATTACTTGTATTTTCAGTAGAAAGACTGAAAGATAAACTGATCAAAAATAATAGCTACAATTTTTCCAGTTTTCAGGACATAGTATAATAAGATATAAATACAAACAAAAAAAAGTTAAAAAGTGGAGGATAAAGTTAAAGTGTAGAGTTTTGGTTACTTTTCTCTTTACTTGTTTGTTTGTTTATGCAATCAGTGTTATGTTGTCATCAGTTTAATAAAATGGGTTGTAAGATATTTTGCCAGCCTCATGGTATTTCAAATCAAAAAACATACAACAGATACATGATAAATAAAAAGTAAGAAATTAAAGTATACCACCAGAGAAAATCACCTTCTCTAACAGGAAGATGAGAAGGAAGGAAAGAAGTAAGAGAAGACCACAAAACAACCAGCAAAAAACAAATAAATAAATAAATGTCGGAATAAGTTGTTACTTATCAATGAAAACATTGAATGTAAATTGACTAAACCCTCCCAATCAAAATACAAGAGCACCTGAATGAATTAGAAAAACAAGACTTAATGATCTCTTGCCTACAAGAAACACACTTCCCTTGTAAAGACACACATAGACTGAAAAAAAGGTATGGAAAAAGACATTCCATGCCAATAGAAACCAAAAAAGACTAGGAGAAATGTTTTTACATCAGATAAAATAGATTTCAAGGTAAAAACTATAAAAAGAGACAAAGGTCAATATATAATGATTAAGGGGTAAATTTAGAAAAAGGATGTAACAATTGAAAATATACATGCAACCAACATTGGAATACCCAGATATACAAAGCAAATATTATAAGAACTAAGGAGAGATAGACTCCAACACAATAATAACTGGAGACTTCAACAGCCCTCTTTCAATGTGGAACAGATCATCCAGACAGAAAATCAGCAAGGAAATGTCAGACTTAATCCTTGCTATAGACCAAATATCTACTAAGATATTGGCAAAACATTTTGTATTAGTTGGTTCTCACACTGCTATGAAGAACCGCCTGAGACTGGGTAATGTATAAAGAGAAATTGACTCACAGTTCCGCATGGCTGGGAAGGCCTCAGGAAACTTACAATCATGGCAGAAGGGGAAGCAAACATATCCTTCTTCACATGATGGCATGAAGGAGAAGTGCTGAGCAAAAGTCAGAAAAGCCCCTTATAAAACCATCAGATCTTGTGAGAACTCACTATTATAAGAACAGCATAGAAGTAACCACCCCATGATTCAATTACCTCCCAGCAGGTCCCTCCCACAACAGGTAGGGGTTATGGAAACTACAATTCAAGATGAGATATGGGTGGGGGCACAACCAAAATCCATATTACATTTCATCCAATGGCTGCACAGTACACATTCTTCTCCTTAGTATATGGATCATTCTCAAGGACAGGCCATATGTTAGGCCACAAAACAAGACTTCATAATTTATTTTAAAAATGGTACTATAGCAAGTATATTCTCTGACCACAAAGGAATAAAACTACAAATCAACAAGAGAACTATGAAAACTATACAAACACGTGGAAATTAAACAGTATAATCTTGAATGACCAATGGCTCAATGAAGATATTAAGAAGGAAATTGAAAGATTTCTCAAAACAAAAAGTAATGGAAACACAACATACCAAAAATCTATGGGGTACAATGAAAGCGGCACTTAGAGGAAAATTTATAGCTAAAAGTGCCTACATCAGAAAAATAGAAAAACTTCAAATAAACAACCAAATGATGCATCTTAAAGCACTAGAAAGGCAAGAGCAAGCTAAACCAAAAATAGTAGAAAAAAAGAAACAATAAAGGTATGAGCAGAAATAAATGACATTGAAATGAAGAAAAAAATACAAAAGATCAACAAAAGAAAAAGTTGTTTTTTGATAAGATAAACAAAATTGACAAACTTTTATCCAGAATAAGAAAAAAAGAGGAAACACCCATATAAATAAAATAAGAGATGAAAACAAAACATTACAACTGATACTGCAGAAATACAAAGGATCTTTTAGAGGCTACACTACTATGAACAACTATATGACAATGAATAGGAAGCTGGAAGAAATTGATAAACTCCTAGACACACAAAACCTACCAAGATTGAAACATGAAGAAATCCAAAACCTAAACAGACCAATAACAAATAATGACATGAAAGCCATAATAAGAAATGTCCCAGCAAAGAAAAGCCTCAGACCCTTATGGCTACACTCCCGATTTTGACCAAACATTGAAAGAAGGACTAATAACAATCCTACTCAACCTATTCCAAAAAATAGAAGAGGAAGGAATACTTCCAAAGTCTTTCTAAGAGGCCAGTATTACCTTGATACAAAAACCAAATAAAGATACATCGACAAAGAAACAAACAAACAAAACTACAGGCCAATATCTCTGATGAACATTGATGCAAAAATCCTCAGCACAGTATTAACAGACTGAATTCAACAGCACATTAGAAAGATTATTCATCATGACCAAGTGGGATTTATCCCAGGGATGCAGAGATGCTTCAACATGTGCAAATCAATCAATCTTATCAACAGAATGAAGGACAAAAACCAAATGATCATTTCAATTGGTGCTAAAAATGGATTTGGAAAAATTCAAAATCCTTTCATGATTAAAAAAAAACTAAAAAAATTGGGTATAGGAGGAACAAACCTCAACACAATAAAACCATAACAACAGATGCACAGTTGGTATCATACTGAGTAGGGAAAAACTGAAAGCCTTTTCTCTAAGATCTGGAACATGTTAAGGATGCTCACTTTCAACGACATCATTCAACATACTGCTGGAAGGTGTATATAGAATAGACAGGCAAGAGAGAGAAAGAAAGAAAGGTCATTCAAATTGGAAAAGAAAGAATCAAATTATCCTTGTTTGCAGATGATATGCTCTTCTATTTGGAAAAACCTAAGGATTTGAACCAAGAGTATTAGAACTGATAAACAAATTCAGTAAAGTTGCAGGGTACAAAATCAACATACAAAAATCAATGGCCAGACATGGTGGCTCATGCCTGTAATCCCAGCACTTTGGGAGGCCAAGGCGGGAGGATCACCTGAGGTCAGGAGTTTGAGACCAGCCTGGCCAACATAGTGAAACCCTGTCTCTACTAAAAATACAAAAATTAGCTGGGCCTGGGGGTGCATGCCTGTAATTCCAGTTACTTGGGAGGCTGAGGCAGGCAAATCACTTGAACCCAGGAGGCGAAGGTTACGTAGTGAGCTGACATCATGCCACTGCACTCCAGCCTGGATGACAAGAGTGAGACTCTGTCTCAAAAAAAAAAAAAGTTAGTATTTTTATATGCCAACAGTGAACAATCTGATAAAATCAAGAAGGTAATCCCATTTACAATAGCCACAAATAAAATTAAATACCTAGGAACTAACTTAAAGAAGTGAAAAAGCTCTACAAAGTAAACTAAAGACATTGATGAAAGAAATTGAAGAGGACAAAAAAATTTGAATGATATTTCATATTCACAGATATTTCATGTTCACATATTGTTAAAATGCCCATACTATCCAAAACAATCTACAGATTCAATGTAATCCCTATCAAAATACCAATGATATTCTTCACACAAATAAAAAAAAAAGCATTCTAAAATTTATATGGTACCACAAAGACCCAGTATAGCTACCCTGAGCAAAAAAGAACAAAACTGGCAGAATCACATTACCTGACTTCATATTATACTACGGAGCTAAAGTAACTAAAGCAGCATGGTACTGGCATAAAAACACAGCATGAAACATGGTACTGGCATGGTACAGCATGGTACAGACACACAGACCAATGGAACAGATTAGAGAACCCAGAAACAAAACCAGATATCAACAGTGAATTCATTTTCCACAAAGGTGCCAAGAACATACATTGGGGAAAGGAATTTCAATAAATGATTCTAGGAAAACTGGATATCTATATGTGGAAGAATGAAGCTAGACCATTACCTCTCACCATTTACAAAAATAAATCAAAATTCAAGAGTTAAATTTAAGACTACTAACTATGAAAGTACTAAGAGAAAACATTGGGAAAACTCTTCAGGACATTGGACTGGGTAATGATTTTTTAATACCCCAGAAGCACAGACAACCAATGCAAAAATTGACAAATGGGATCACATCAAGTTAAAAAGCTTATTCACAGCAAAGGAAACAAACAACAAAGTGAAGTTACAACCCACAATATGGGAGAAACTATCTGCAAACTGTGTATCTGACAAGTGATTAATAACCAGAATGTGTAAGGAGCTCAAACAACTTTATGTGAAATAATCTAGTATTCAATTTAAAAATGGGCAAAAGAGATGAATAAACATTGGTGAAAAGAAGACATATCAATGAAAAACAGGTATATGTAAAGTTCCTCAATGTCACTGATCATCAGAGAAAGACAAATCAAAACTACCATGATATATCATCTCACCCCAATTAAATGCTTTCATCCAAAATACAGGCAATGACAAATCCTGACGAGGATATGGAGTAAAGGGAACCCTTGTACACTGTTGGTGGGAACGTAAATTAGTACAACCACTATGAGGAGAACAGTTGAGAGCTTCCTCAAAAAACTAAAAACATAACTACCATATGATCCAGCATTCTCACTGCTAGGTATATACCCAAAAGAAAGGATATCTGCACTCCCATGTTTATTGCAGCTGTATTCACAATAGCCAAGATTTGGAAGCAACCTAAGTTTCATCAAGAGATGGATGGATAAAGAAAATATGATACATATATACAATGGAGTAAAGACGCCTTTCTACTTTTTTTGATTTGCAGTTTCTAAGAAGAAGTCTGTTGTCATTTTACATTTAATCCTCATTCATAAAGTGTTTTTTTCCTCTAGCCCTTCCAAAGTGTGTTTAGCAGTGTGTTTTTTGTTTGTTTGCTTGTTTGTTTTTCTGAGCTGAAAAAAGAATGAGATAGTGTAATTTGAAACAATGTGATGGAACTGGAGGTCATTATGTTAGGTGAAATAAGCCAGGAACAGAAATAAAAACTTCATATATTCTCATTTATTTGTGGGAGCTAAACATTAAGACAACTGGACTCATGGAGACAGAGAGTAAAATGATGGTTACCAGAGGCTGGGAATGGTAGTGGGGATGGGAGAAAGGGGATAGTTATTGGGTACAAAAATATAATTAGATAGAATAAGACCTAGTATTTGATAGCAAAACATGGTGACTACAGTCAATAATAATTTATTGTGCATTTAAAAATAACTAAAAGAGTTTAAGTGGATTGGTTATAACACAAAGAAATAATATATGCTTGAGATTATAGAAACCTTATTAACCCTGATGTGATTATTATGCATTATTTGCCTTTATCAAAAGACCTCATGTACCACGTAAATATATACACCTAGTATGTGCTCACAAAAATTAAAAAATTTAAAAATATATTTTTCCTTTTAACCAATTTTGTTTTTAAGTGGGTTTCTTTTATGCAACATATATGGCGTTTTGCTTTCTTTAATGCCACCTGATGATCTCTGCATTCCAACTGAACTGTGCAGTCTCTTTATATTTAAAATAATTGTTAATATATTAGGGTTTAGATGTTTCATTTTGCTAGTTGTGTTTTCTTATTGTTTTATTATCTCTTCCTTCTTTGAAGTGAGTTTTTAAAAAAATTCTTCTTTTAATCATTCCATTTTATTTGCACTATTGGCTATTAGTTATATCATTTTGGTTTAGTTATTTTGTAGTTCCTTTAGGTCATAGGTTGGCAAACTTTTGTTCTGTAAAGAGCCAGATAGTAAATATTTTAGGCTTTGCAGACCATATGATAACTGTTGCATCTACTAAATTCTTACATTGTAGATGTAAGAGGCCATGCACAACACATAAACAAGAAAGGATGGTTGCTTTATTTAGCAAAACTAGTGTGCTATTATTTCTCACGCTATAGAGTTTACAATATACAGCTTTAAGTTATTACTCTCTACTCTGAAATAATATAATACCATTTCACATGTAGTAGAACAACCTTACTACATTATACGTCAGTTTTTCCTTTCCTGTTATTTCAGTTATTATAGCCAGACATTTTTGCTTCCATATGTACTAAAAACCACACAATGTTATAAACTTGCTTTCAACAGTAAATTATCTTTTAACAAAATAAAAACATAGCTTGCATGTTTACCTATATATTTACTATTTGGTCTAGATCCATAATTCCACCTGGCATCATTTTTCTTCTGTTTTGGGAAAGCCTTTTATCATTTTTTTGTAGTATAAACAAATTCAGCATTTGTTTGTCTAAAAATATTATTTGCCTTCATTTTAGAAAGATATCTATATTATATATAATGTTATAGGTGGGCTATTTTTTTTCCTACTCTCAAGATGCCTTTCTATTTTTTTGTTTTGTAAAGTTTCTAACAAGAAGTCTGTTTACATTTTACCTATATTCCTCATTCATAAAGTGGTTTTTTCCTCTAGCCCTTTTGAAACATTTTCAGCAGTTTTGTATATTGTTTCTTGGCATTACTTATTAATATGTATTTATTAGTATTTATATTTTTAAATATTTATATTGCTTGGGTTTCAATGAGGTTCTTAAATTTTAGGTAGAGTTCTCATCGAATCTGAAAAAATTTTGGCCATTGTTTCTTCAAATATCCATTCTCTTCTCTCCTTTTGGAGTCCAGTTACATGCATGTTACATTAGTTGATATTGTCCCACTGGTAACTAACATTCTATGTGTTCTTCGAAGTTTTATTTTCCCTCCTTCTCTCTATACTGTATTTCGGATAGTCTATTGCTATGGCTTTATGTACATTGATAGTTTTTTCTGTGGTAGGTATTCTGATGCCACCCCCATCCAGTATTTAACTTGGAATACTGAATTATGCATTTTTAGAATGTTCAATTTGGTCTCTTCTATCTTCAGTTTATTTCCTTATCATGTTCTTGTTTTCCTCTGCCACCTTGAACATATAGAATATATTATAACTATTTTAAGATCTGTGTTTTCCGAATCTGTTTCTGTTGATTTATTTTTATACTGGTTATGGGTCATATTTTCTTATTTTGCATCCTAGTCCTTGATTTATAAAGGAGTTAATTCATCTATTTCCCTTTCCCTGGGGAACAAAGTTATACGCTTCCTTTGTCCAAAGTCTGCACAATATTGTTTCACATTTTTTGTATTATTTCAGTTGAGAACATAAATGATGGTCAAAATCAGAAGTTTCTCCCTGTTGTTTTACAGCATTTAGAAAGCTCTTTCTTTGTTCTTTTGTTGACTATTTATACTCAACCACTCAACCCATAATAAACTGTTAAAAGTAAAAAGTTCACTCAACCAACTAACTTATTTCAATAACAAAAAAATTTTATTTGATTCAAATTGGCCTCTTTTTTCCTACACATGTGCCAAAACACAGCACTTGAATTTCCAGTTGTAAAGATTAAATATATGTATAAGTGCAATTAAGTATGGTGAGAAATTATGCAAAATATTGGTGTCATTGAAAAATTAATGCTCTAGGAAGGATATGATACAACTCTATAAAGTAAAACTTTATATTTTAATTTAAGGAGATAGGAACAATTTATTGCTCAAATATTTTCATTTACTACCTATCATTAACTCATCAATTACCCTTTTTGAATGCTTTATTGATTTATCTATTAAGAAAAAAGATTAGTTTGTTTACTCCTAATAAAGTTCTATGAACAGAATGAGATTAACATAAATCAAACCCCATGTATTCATTCTTGTGTTTTTGAGGGCCAACCCTGAGAGTTCTGGAAATATAGAATTATACAGAATATAATTAATTTTCTGGGGAAAATACACACACACTCATTTATATTAGGAAAAGCTAAATGATATATCTCAAAAAACAATAAAAATCCAGTGCCAATTCCTTCTGAAATAGTAAATTGTTAGTGAAGTCATTAGCATGATCTCAAATACTTGTATTATTCCTTCCAATTATTAAAAGTTGCAAAAAATTATAAAAGAAATAACTAGCCATAGTTCCTTTTCCCCAGTTGGTAATACGTTTTAGGATAAATCTGTGAAGAAATCTGTACTAGAGAAAAATATTTGATTTATTCGTTAAAAAATACGAAAACTTATGAGCTGAAAACAGAAGATGATGGTCTTATTATTACTACTACCACCATCACCACTACTATTACTACTGCTGTTAAATCTATCATAGTTTGAGTAACAATAACAATTCTTTCTTGTTAAGTTTGCTTATTTCTTTTGCATAAGAAAGACAATGACTAAGAACTAAGTCACCATGTTAGCTATAAAAGAGTTCTTGGTTACTCTATTCATTATTTTAGGCAAATTATAATTTCCTTGACAAAAAAATAAGAATTTCTCTTGGGTATAATAAAGGACAAGCCTAGACACTGTTAGTTATCTTGTTTTATTTAAAAGGATTTCTTTTTATTCTTCCCTTGGCTTTTCATCTTTTACTAACAGTATGAAATTTATAACAATACACGTCCAAATCAGCTAGTACCTATTATCAGCAGTCACATCAGGAAGATTTACTTGCCAATATATACTACTAGAAATACCATTTTATGGGCTAATCATAAAATCCATCAATAGATAACAAAGAGCAATGTTCGTGAGCGTGAGAGTCAGTCTAAACAGATTATTGAGGAATAATGTTAGTTATTAACAGAAAAAAAATTATTCACATTTGCAATAGAGTTTATAGATTAAAAAATCTTTTCACTTGCATTCTATTATTTGACAATTATAACTAACACATCATACCCCTGGGAAATACTTTATTATCTTCATTTGATGGTGGACAATAAGTTCAGAGAGATGTGACTTGCCAAAGAACACACGGCTTGTCCAACTTGGAGGTGAATATATTTTAAAAATTATATTGAAGAAAGTTACAAAAAATTAATTAAAAGCAAGCAGAATGTGTAGATTGTCACTTTAGCTGTTTCCTCAAAGCATATGGGTCCTCATATTTCACCTCCCAATCCCTTGGAGCTAGATGTGTTTGAGAACTAAATTTTTCAGATTTAGAAAATATTACTGAGCATATAACGCATAATGTGTAGCATCCACAGTAGGGTTTGAAGGAGCAGAGAAATTAATGGTTCTGCAGTAAAACATATATGTTCACAATAAATAGGATAAGTAAAGGATACTTAATCATTTCAGGTAGTTTGGATCAGTTTCCATATCCAAACACATTTTAGTGCCAAACTTACTTAAAACCTTGGTTTCAGAAATTATGGATTTTGGAATTACAAGTGAAATATTGTGTACTTGTATTCTAATGCAGAATCTTTTGGGAGTAGGTATATGTATATCTCAGATAATAAATGCATGAGAATTTGTATGACTTGATTATTTCAGCCTAACCTGTATATCAGAAAATATTAACAATTTTAATAGTGCTATACAGTTGCAGATAAGGTCAGAGTTTCAGTTCCTCCTGCATGTTAATCACTCTGGGCAAGGCATTTAATGTCTCATAACTTTGTTTTAATCTCTCAAAAGGCAAATAAAATGTGTCTCCACTATTTCATAGTTGAGTTTTCACATAGTATTATATAAGCATAAACACAAGTATAAAAATCTTGCCCTTCCTTTTGGAACTTATCTCCATATTTTTCCTCAACAACTGCCAATTATTCCATGATCATAAAGCAATAATTTCTATAGTCAAGCATCAGATTTTCAAAATTTACTGAAATCAAGTTTATAAACCTGGTACCACTGAGCCATTTTTTAAGCCTGGTATATCCTTTTACTCCCCCCAAAAAAGCTAACAGTTCTGCCAAATTTTAAACCCTGAAATCAATCATGAAAAAATTAAGCCAAACAAAAATGACATCCTTGTAAGCTGTGGTCCATGACAGCATTTTCCATAAATTATAATTTCACATTATTTAATTTTGGTTTAACAAAGGTAATCTGAAAAAACTTAATCAACAACAGTGTTGACTGCTCTATGATATTAGTGACAACTTGTATTTTAAAGTGTTTGCTAACTCTTTGAAAAAAATATTAGCAATTTAGTGACTTAAATTTTTAAATATTTTTCAACATTTCCTTATGAGTTTTTTGTGTTATTTGAGATATAATTATTTTTCTTTAGACAATATAAAAATAAGATTCCTAATACATCACTTGTAAAGCACCATTTTCCTCAAGTTTGACAGTTTCACAGGTGATTATCATGGAAATATATATATATATATATATATCCTTTGATCTGTTATATATATAAAAAACAGTGTTAGTGTCAGAAGCGTTTGAACCAAAGCAATTCCATCTTGAATAGGGGCTGGGCAAAATAAGGCTGAGACCCGCTGGGCTGCATTCTCAGTTATAATCCTTTTAAGAATATAATCACCTTCCATGTAAATTAATTGGCAGATAGCTATTAGTGGATTTCTAAAATGACGATCTTACTTTTTCTTTTAATTTGCTTCTTAATGTAAGACATTAAATGTGATTATATTAAAATTATTTGTCACAGATGAATCTGGACTACATTTAAGTAAGTATCATATAATTATGAACTATATATGGAGTCCTGACTACAACACATTTTAACTGTATGTCTTTGAGCAAAGTCTTTAACTTCTGAAAGTCAAAATTCTGAAAGGTAAAATGAGATACCTATCAAATCAGGGTTATAAAGAGTAACAAGAATATACACATAAAGCACCTAGCATAGTTCCTGGAGTAGCACACATAGCATGCTATGCATAGAGTAGTGCTAACTTAATATGTGGGTTTTTTCCTTATTCAAAGAAACAGAGGCAACTTCTCTTAAACTCTAATTCAAAGACTAAAATTTCTTCCTAAGAACATTGCCTCATGTTGAGATTTCAATAATAAACAAGAGAAAAGGGTAAATATGGAATACCTTCTATTTGATTCTTAACTTGCATGATACTAACCCTATCTGAGTTCCTGGTTTACCATGTTACATATTTATATACGTAAAATAAAACACCTTGTTTATCATTTGGTTTTCCTTTGACTGGACTAAATATCTTTTTAAAGTAAAATTCATACACTGATAAATGATATATTTTAAATGTATAATTGCATTATTTAAGCTTTGCATTATTTATTTAAGCTGTGTCTATAGTGTCTATATGGCAATTATGGATCATATATAGGAACTGAACAATTATTGAGACAGATTGGCACTATATGAGATAAAGCAGTATTTGAGCTTCAAAATTAAAGTTTTTGAAGATTTTGTTTCTAAACCACATACACTAAACAAATTTTATAAGAACATTTTGGTTTACCTGTGGCCAATACAATCAGTTACTTGTCAATGCCTCAAATTCATTTTATCTCAGGCACTAGAATAAGATGATAATTAGAAGGCTACCTGACTTAGGTTCTTTACTTCTAACATGAAAACACAGGGTCTGGCTCAGAGTTTTTGTGAAAATTAAAATTAAGATAATTCATGTAATGGGTTTAGCACAGTACCTAGCAGACTCAGCAAACGCTGAAAATTTTTAGCATTTTATCTTATCATCATCATTTAAATTTTCTGTAGGAGATCAGATGTATCACTAGTTTCTACTAATTGACCTGTGAAGCAAAAATTCAATTCTTTATTAAATTAGAACCAACTATATTACTACTAATGGCAAGAAATCACGAGTCCATATATACAGTAGTTTTTAAAGAGCATACCATATCCCACTGTAGAAAGACCCAAGTGTTTCATTCTATTTTTCACAAGTTCAGCAAGCTCTTGTCTTTCTGACCTCCTGTAGAGGTTCAGTCGCTGCTGGGTTATTTTTTCAGCTGTTTTACCAGAGTGTTTTGGGCCTTTTCTGCTCAGTCTTCGGGCCCACTGCATGCTTTTTCTCCGCAGCAAGGGATGGTCCGACTGATCACTGGATGTTGAGTTGCGGTGGTTGCTGCGGTGGTGCCCTTGTTCTTTGGAGTCTTTGGTGTCTTCCCACTCTTCTACACTGATAGATATTTGAGACTTTAAAGGAAATAGATATTGATAATTAGATACTTTAGAAATAAATATGGCTTGAAGTTGAAATAATATTTTATTTGCTAATATATTGTTATATTTCTACTCAGGAGAGTTTTCACAGAAAGAGCAAAATCAGTCTTTGATTCTAATTTTCCATTACTAAAAATATTAAAATGTATGTTTCCTTGAACGTACATATAAATCAGGCAAAATAAATACCTGTATCCTCTGGTACAAATTTTTATGAAAGTATTTAATTTTTAGGCATAAACTTTACTTAGCATACATAGTTATTTATGATATTACTAGCATACAGTTGTTTGAAACATACAAAACCAGACATTTTACAACTTTATCCAAATAAAATCCATGTAATGGACTTTTCTAAACCTATTACAAGTATTTCACACTCAATTTAAATAATTAAGATAACTATCTTAGATTTGGAATTAATGTTGTTTTTAAATTATTGCTTTTTCTAAAGACAGCACTGGCATGAACGTTATAATATGTGAATTTTTAAAATTCTCTCATATGCTCCAGAAGAAAACAAAACTCACTTTTTAACTCATGCATTTATTATTAACCATATAAAGTGCTTTTCTGACTAAAATATTAAAACATAATTCAGGAAGTATTCTAAGTATTCTGAGTGAAAATATGTTGTAAATATTAATGTTTCACAAATATACTGTAGAATTACAACTCAGACTTAAAACAGGCTGTTCTCCATAGGAGGGAAAAACAATGAACAAACTCACAAAGTCTATTATGACTTACTCTTTTATGACTAAATTTGATTTTTAAAGTAAGATGCTCTCCTTTGATTTTAAGCCTTTAATAAGCAATACTTACTGTTTCAAAATTGTTGCTTTTCATACTAGGAAGTCATATGAAATGCAACACTGATCAAAGAAGAAAGTCTTACTTTCTAAAAACATGCACATGCAAATGAACAATTTCCTGAATACTATTGTACTTAAGAGCAGCATTCATGAATCTGTGAACTGTGTTTCCCTTCTACGGATGGAATCTTGAACTTCAGTTATAGCATGCATGTGTTGCTGGCTTTTAAAGTAATAGAATTTAAATTACCAATTTAAGTAACGTCAGGAAGTAGATCCAATAAAATCCTTTAAAAGTGAATATAAATTATACAGGCTCAGTCAATGCTTTATATACAATTCCCAGTGGCAAGCTATGAAATTCTCTCACACTTAATTTCATCCAAAAATTCAAATACTAATCCACATCTGTTTCAAAACAGTACTATATCAGAGGGATATCCAAAAAATCTTCATCTCTTCATTATAAAATAATTGAGATTAAATGATTTTAGAAACCATATTTTATCTACCAGAACTTAATTTCTAAGCATTAAAAGTTTTTAATACCATGGTTTAACAATAATGAACATTTTTATAAAATTTTAACTCTATTCTCACCTACTTGATAATGTACTAAAAATTCACTTCTGTGGAAGTAAAACACATAAACTCTTAAGTAATACGTACCACCAACAATAATATCAATATGTATTTAGTAATATAGTTGTACTTTGTAGCAACAATGAAAATATGATATTTCAGTCATATTTAGAGACTTGCTTGCAGAGTTTAATCATAATCTTAAATTTATTTGAAGTGATCTTTTTGTTCCTCTTTCTAGTCATAAGTCCCTATGAGTGATAGTTTGATTTCCTACAAATATGTGGAAATAATAATCTTGCCAAACCAAACATTAAAGATACTATGTTCATCTAATATCACTTATAATTCAAGTCACAAAACCATAAATTAATAAAAAATTTTAAATGGGAGCATAGGGATTCACTTCTTTTCCAAGTAGGAGATGAAACACTGATTTTGTGAATGCTTTTCTTAGCCATGTGTATCAGGCATCATGTAAAGTATACATCTACAAGATGAACTGAAACCTATGTATACATTAGTTAAGCAATATTTAATAGCCTATTCAGCATTATTTTGAATACCCCCAAGAGAAACTGTCATAGTTTGTACATAAAAATCTGTAAGAATCTCATCTTTTTTTTCAATAATTCCATAAAATAAGTAACATTTCTTTACTAACCTCACTTTAACTACAGTAAAAAGAAATGAGAAGAATTTGAGGGTTAATTTTAGGAAATCCAAACCCAAAACACATCAATTGCTCTTTACATGTTTGGAATTTGCATTCTTTTCTCTTTCTTCCAACAGGACATAATAAAAAGTACATTAAGTTTATATGTATAATATACACAAATTTGAGTTCTGTTTTGAATGTTTCCTAACTCTTTCTCCACAATAAAACTGCATAGCCCCTATAAAAAAGTGAGGATAATAACAGCCATCTTCTATTTGACAGAAATGTGAAAATTCATATCACATTAATATATAAAGAAAACATCTGTCAACTGTAAACTTTCACATATAACAATAATATCATTAATATATCCTTGTAAAATGATCCACAATATCAATAACACTAGCAACAAACGTTTATTACTCTATTTGTTGGATATTGAATGTGTGTGTGTGTTTGTGTGTGTGTGTTTGTGTGTTTTAATAGGAGGTCCATTTATAAATATACTTTCCTGATGTCATTTCTTCTTCTAGTTGTAACTCTCCTGTGTTTTAAACATGCCATCATAATCTAGTGGAAATAGTATAGTGCTGGATACACAACAGTGCCTTTATAGTAGGACCTTCTCCTGAACTCAGAGTCACAATGATAGAGTGGTTAAAAGCAAGGTTTTAGCATCAGACCTGAGTTTAAATAACAGTTCTACCACTTACCAGTTTGCCTTCTTGGTTATGTAATCTAAGCTCTTTAAGTTTATTTCCATTTCCCTCTCTAAAAAATTGTCATTCTATTATTACATTACTACTTTGCCTATCAAATTTTTCTGAAGACATAAAAGAGATAATGCATGAAAAGGCATAGTAAGATGTCTGTCTTAGAAAACACCCAATAAATATTCATATTTTATGGCTTATGACCTTGTATAAAAGGACAGTAAAAGGAAGAAAATAATACGAAATAATTATGATGGGTATGTAAAAAGTGAAAAATGGGGATGAAAAAGAGAGGGAATCATTCATATTTTGGGTGCACTTTTCTCTATCACTAGACTTCTGAATAAATCAAGATGCTAAAAACATATTCTTGGCTGTAAAGATTTCTTGGTTAAAGTTTAGTAAATTTAAACAAAAACAAATTTTAAAGTGAAAGTGAATATTTTTCATTCTGCACAGTTTCTATGAATTATTTTGTACTTTTCCATGGAATAACTACAGAACTCTGACTTTTCTATTGTAAGGCACATAATATAATCGTTAACTTGAAAAATCAAAATTTAATACTAATGTTTGTGAGAATGACGAAAATACATTTGCATATGTAAATGAAATGCTTCTGGTAATATATACAGTTCAATAAAGAAGTGAAAAATTGATGACTACTCCAACAATTTCCATACAAATTTAAAATATTATCATTTTCTAAAAGTTATATTACTTCCTAAATATTTATCATACTTAATATGATTTTTAAGGCTAAAAGTATTTCTTCACATGAATAATAATTAAAAACACAAAAAATAAGAAAATATTTCTTATGCCTAAAATAGCTGATTATATTATAGTTTTAAGGAAAGTAGAAAGTGTCAGATACACTAAATACATCACTCTTTTCCCTACTCTTCACACACACATCAAAGTGACTCAATTCAACCTCTTCTTGATTTTTTACTGAACAATTATTCACGTCATAGGTTATTGAGCAATCTATAGAACAATGTAGTATTTTAAATAAATCAATTCACTTAGTAGTTTGAAAATGAGTGTTTGTAATCTGGACTCATGACTCCCTTAAGGATAGTTTTACAGACTTCATAGTACTCTAAACTGTGCTATTTAATTTATGATTGAAGTTAGAATTGTTGTTAAAGAAGAAAAGAAAATGAAATCACTAAAATGTGCTAGTTTAACATTTTCTCAAAGAATCCTTATCTGATATTTTCCATTAAGTAAAGGTTAAATTATAAGAATACTTGAGGGATCATCTAAATTTAAATATATAAGCACCAAGGCTTATATATTTCAGTGACTCTGAGTTCACTGAAAGCTTATTTTTATTTAAAAAAAAATCTAAAGAAAGATGTTTCACCAGTTTCCAAAGCTCAATTTAATATGTACACGTGGTCTGTGATCTATGCAGAGAAAGAAAATAGCTAGTTACACTGTATATTGATGCATTTCCAAATTAATTTTGGAATCAAAAAGACAATTAGAGAATAAACAATCTTATAGTCTAAAAAATGTTGAATTTGGAATCAAATAAATAAGCTGTGTTTTCAACCACCTCAGGAAAATATTTTATGACCTTAAGCAAATCATTGAGATTCTTAGAAAATAATGTAATTTTAGACAGGAAAATACCCTGTCTTCATGACAAGAAAACACAAAATTTATAAGAACCTAGTATTTAAACTCTAAAGCAAATTTAAAGCCAAATATTTACTAAAGAAATTCATGTTCAAATAATAACATTTTTAAAGCCAATAATTTGATGGAATGACAAAAATTATTTTAATCTTTGATTTCCTTTTTCATACATAAAAATAAGTTATCTCATCTGTGTGGTCTCTTAGGTATCTTTCAGTTCCACCTATATATAATTCTTTTTTTTTTTAATTTTACTTTAAGCTCTGGGGTACGTGTGCAGAACGTGCAGGTTTGTTACATAGGTATACATATGCCATGATGGTTTTGAAAATGTGGCAGATATATACCATGGAATACTATGCAGCCATAAAAAAGGATGAGTTTATGTCCTTTGCAGGGACATGGATGAAGCTGGAAACCATCATTTTCAGCAAACTAACATAAGAACAGAAAACCAAACACTGCATATTCTCACTCATAATCGGGAGTTAAACAATGAGAACACATGGACACAGGGAGGGGAACATCACACACTGCGCCCTGTCATAGGGTGGGGGGCTAGGGGAGGGATAGCATTAGGAGAAATACCTAATGTAGATTGCTGGTTGATGGGTGCAGCAAACCACCAATATATAATTCTATGAATATAAAACATACTCGGAGTAGGTAGAACCTCTATTACCTCAGCATTCCAATTCTATAACTTCAAAAGGCAAAATTTATGTATATGTCCAAGTGAAAAAAATATCAAATTATCTATTAAGAGATAATATTAAATAACCCACAAATTCATGCTAGTGGTTTTTCACTACTATCAAACGAAGCACCTCTTTCTCCATCCAACCTCATCTACATTTTGGTTAATTATCTCTAAAAGATAAATCAAATATAGTCACTGTTATATTTCTGGTTATTTCCATCTCCTTTTTATGATACATTTTTAAATGTACACATTAACTTGCACATTTACACCTCTTTGATGACTTGGTTTTACTGCATTGTGTGTATATGTGTGTGTGTGTTTAATTCAATCTCTACTTTCTACTTACACTTTGGTCTCTGTGGAATTTGGAATCTAGCTAATTTATTATCTTGGCATTCTTTCTCATCCTGCTGGTGATTTTTTTTTCTTGATCTTTCAAAGCTGTCATTTGGAAACAGCTGGTTTATAAGGCTTCAATTTCTTAATGCTTTTCCTATTGCTTTAAGCACAGAAAAATCTTATGTTTTTGTTCCTGTTTTATAACACTGAATATTAATATCATGTAACTGCTAACCACTTGATGACTGCCTGCTCTTAGAACTTAAATAATGTATCTGAGTTAAAAAGAACAAATTGAGAGGGGACTTTTTCATTGTTTTTAATGGTTTGTCTTATTATACTAGAATTCTGGTGATGTAATTCATAAATGGGAGGATGACAGGCAGAAGGTATATACATTACTTCCTGAGTTTTCATTACTTATTTAGAAATTTAAGTCTTCTCCATCAGCTCAAGATATGGAGACATTCATTTACCATATCTCATCATAAATAGTCTGCCTCCATTTTTGACATTAGACTGCTGACTGCTTTCAAGTGCCAACACTCTTCCTTTCCCTTTTGCCCCATGGATGGGGAAGCTGGTAAGTCCCAGTCTATATGTAGGACCTCACTCCAGCCCCAATATATATATTTTTTTAATTTTAAAAATTATTTATTTATTTATTTTAAGACAGGGTCTTGCTCTGTTGCCTAGGCTGGAGGGCAGTGGCAGGATCTCTGCTCACTGCAACCTCCACCTCCCAGCTCAAGCAATCCTCCTGCCTCAGACTCCCGAGCAGCTAAGACCACAGGCATGGAGCATCACGCCTGGCTAATTTTTGTATTTTTGTAGAGATGGGGTTTCACCATGTTGCCCTGGCTGGCCTAGAACTCCTGAGCTCAAGCTATCCTCCCATGTCAACCTCTCAAAGTGCTGGGATTACAGGCGTGAGCCACCATGCCCAGCCCAGCCCCAATGCTTAATCGTGATGAAAGCCAAGCCAGTTTCTTTTCCTTGCTCTTTCCAGCCCAAGCCATTTTTTGACCTGGTTGGAAGCCTGCCTCACTCTCCATGGAAAGCCTCATTATATGAGTTGTAGCCCTTTCAATACCCTCTTAGTGCAGGTGTGCAATCATCAGTCTCAACAGGACTGGATTTGGGATGGTGGTTGGGTATTATCCCATCTATGAAAGGTAGTCTTAACAACTGGCACAGCAAGGGGTATCTAGGCAATGACCACCACCACTGGGGGTCTCTCTTCTTATGTTTTGCCTTGTTAATTTGTTGTATTGTCGAGACAATTATGCTGTTTGAGTTTTTTTCTGCCCACTGGCAAGCATACTTTAACCTGTGCAAATTTATGCTGCATTTGCTGAGTCTTTCCAAGTTTCTGTTTAGAATTAAATGAACTTAATGCCTGGAAGCATCAGTAATATTTAGGAACGGGAGTTTGGTAATAGCTCCATGTCATGTGTCTTAGCCCAGACCTATCTTTGTGTCTAATATTGAATCAAGTGGTTGGTATCCAGTAAGAAATGTGGCTGACACTAGGCACAGGGGAATAATTCCTACTGTGTGATCACTGGTTGTATGTCTCAACCATGCATCAGCCCCCATTCTACAGTGTGTCCTAGGAAAAATACCTGTTACTTTGTGCACTATACAGGTCCATTGGGTGGTTGCTTGTATGGAAGAAGAGCAGTTACCATGTGGAATGCTGAGGTTCACACTCCTAAAAGGAGATAGCTCATGTGTCCACCCCAAAAAATGCTTCTGCTACTGTTGCTGTCTATGCCTCCATAACAGCACAGTTCCTGATCCCCACAGTTATAGAGAAAAGCAAACATGGGACTCTGTGGCATACCCAAGAGGTTAATTCAAACCCAACTTCAATCTAGGGAACTTAAAATCTGATGAAGCAACCATTGCCATCAGGGAGGCCCATAACCCTGATGATACTTACTTGAGACTCTCTGAAGGAGGCTTGTAAAAATGAGCAGGATAGAAAATAAAAACAAAACAACAAACAAACAAAAAACAGCACCAGCCCCAACAACAAAAACAAAACTGGATATAGGAGGAAGAAGCAGAAAACTGGATACACAGGAGAAAACAAAAATATAAACAGAAGTCTATAATTTGTCCCACTTGGAAATTCTTAAATTACTTGAAGAATTTATAAAGGCAGGTAAGTTTGCTGAATGGTGTTGTGCCTCTACAACATAAGCTCCAAATTAACTTATATGTTTCCTGAGACGCACCCATTGGCAAAAGTTAAGAAACTTAATCAAAGTTGAGGATTGAACTATAGTTATCACTGGAGATGCCACTAAATTTAAACAAAGTACCCTAAATATGGGAATTGCACTAAAATAAAGGTACCTCCCCTTACTCTTATGGAGGTGATTATCACATATAAAATACAGGGCAAATAAATATACCTTATCTTAACCATCAGAATTACTTTCTGGCCTAAATACTCCATGGTCATAACAGATATTGTCTAAAAATATCCCATAGTAGACATGGATGCTCTGAACCAATTAATGACAAATTAAAGTAAATCAAATCAAATCTTTGACATGTACAAGTAGTTTGACAATATAGAATCACATGCATTTTCTGTCTTCTCAATATAAGTAGTTAATAAGGACTACAATAACTGGAACAAGGAACCCCTTACCTAAGAACTATTTAGAGAAGGGGTAATAGTCACCACTGCTTCTCCTTTTAATAGTCAAATTTGGCCTGTTCTTAAACCTGAAAAAAATAAATGGAGGCTGGTAGTAGATCATCCAAAGCTTAATGCTGTGGTTCCACATATTAAGGCCACCATTACTTGGTGACACTACTGACTCCTTTCAATCAGCAATTTGTAAATACTTTGTAGTCATAAAGTCATAAGGATTTGACAAATATGTTCTATTAAGTGCCTCTTTTGATAGCCTCTTACACTCCTAAAAGGAGATAGCTCATTTGGCCACCCACAAAAATGCTCCTGCTGCTGTTGCTGCCTATGCCTCTGTAACAACACAGATCCCGATCCCCACAGTTACAGGGAAAGGCTTATAGCTTTTCTTTATCTTCAAAAGAACTCAAAATTCTCTACCTGACTACACATAGAATACTTAAACAGTCCTGCTGTCACAAACAATCCCTCTGCAGGCAGATCTTTACTGCATCCAAGTTTCTGTGGGAAAATAGGTATGACATTACATTGATGCCATGCTCTTCCAAGGAGATTCCTTTGACACACTCATTCAGGATGAATAAACATTCAAAAAGGAGCTCACAAGAAAGAATAGACCATTGTCTTATACAAACTGCAAGGCTCCCCAGTGTAGTCAAATTTCTGAGCATTATTTGATCAAAGGCTACTTCATCACTGACACGCTCGAGAAACAATGACCTGTCAGTATCCACAATGTTAAGACAAAACTAACATTTTTAGGCCTTTTGGGGTTTCGGATGGAAGATATTCCTCATTAACAAGTATCACTTTTTACTTAAGCCCATTTATGCTCCTACTTGCAAACTGGCCCACACTGAATTAGACCCCTTAAAACAGAAGGCTCTAGAATCTCTCCAAATTGCAATTACAATAGGCAATCACATTGTTCACCTCTTCTACTGCCTCCTGCATCAACCACAGTGGTGCTCGTGGGCTTCTGGTAGCAAAAACTATCCTCCTTGGTTACATGCTATATACCATTAGAACAGCAACTGCTGGTTGCATACTGAGCTCTACTGAAATCAGATGCCCTGCGCTCAGGACTGTGCACTCAGTGGTCCACTGTGCCTTTGGTTATGAAAGCATCACCCTGCAAGTCTGACATAGCCACCAAAGACTCTATAGGAAAGGGCCAAACTTGGGCATAAGTCACTTGCAGGAAGGAAAAGTTTCCCCTATCCTCAGCCCCTTGTCATATGCCATGGTACTTGAGCATGTCACTCCTATCCTAAATCCCTTGGCTACCTAGGGAGCCCCTTGGGATTAATCAAGTGAACAGTGCATGGATGGTGGTATTGTGTTAAATGTGATGAAGCTCACTGGAGAACTGCTGCTTTTGATCCCTTAAAATGACAGACCTAACAAAGGACAGGACCCAAAGGTTAGCAGGGAATCATTTGAGCACTAGACACCCTGGATAAAAACAGGTCCCACTTGCACATTTCTACAGACTCTTGGGTCACTGCCTGTGGTTTGGCCATCTGGTCCAGCCAACGGCAGAAACAATTCCTAATCCAAGGTTGCCCTCCAAGGTAAAGAACTCTGGGAATCCCTTGCCTCATACATACACAAAATAATAATCAAGGTCACACATGTCTTTACACATACATATACACCTACACATTTAAGACCATAATACAAGGCTCATCAAAACAATTCTTACCACCTTCTATATTCCAGACATCATTGAAAGTGACCAAGACATGAATTTCACTTTTCCAAAATACACAATGCTGTGCTTTTGAACAAGGCATTTAAGATAACTTTCATCTCCCTACTAACCACAGGCTACAAGCTTCACGGAGCATTTTATTAAATGAAACAAGGCAC
Source organism: Homo sapiens (assembly GCF_000001405.40). NCBI lineage: Eukaryota > Metazoa > Chordata > Mammalia > Primates > Hominidae > Homo > Homo sapiens. The sequence continues at coordinate 118,201 of NW_025791754.1, forward strand.
ATTTCAGTCACCCATCCAACATCACGAGTGAACTGTAACAGTGTCTCACTCCAGTTTTGATGTTTGACTGCTGACAGCTTTCAAGATCCAATGCAACCTTCTGCCCCAGATTTGAGCTAGTTGATAAGAAAGCCTGGGCACTTCTTCCTTTTTCCCTAGCAGGAAGTTTATGCTCCTTATGCATGAGAAACCTCACCCAAAACCCAGCCCTAAACATGATAAAGGCCAAAACAAAAATGATCTGCTTCCTCAGACCTACTTAGGAGCCCATCTTGCTCTCCCCACAAAAAAAAAAGAAACTCAACAAAAACTCTTGGGGCATATGTGGCATCCTCAGTTTTAACATCCAAACCAAATTTTGGGTGAATTCTCCACACTGCCTCTGTGGAGTGGTAAAAATTCTCCTCAGAACTATATCCAGTTTATGTATACAATCATTAGATCTAGGTAAAAAATAATAATAATAATAAAGAAATAATGCAATACATGTCCCATCCACTTAGCACCTTATAATCTGTGAAGAAATCAAAGGCGTACAATCATAAACAATTACATAATAATTAAGGGTAAAATGATAGGTACCAAAATTAATGACAGAAGTGGTACAAATAAAATTGTGTAAAGATGGAATTAATGTAAGTGTGAGCAGATCTGAAAGAATGATTCTATGTTAAGAAAGATATCTGTGATTGACTTTAGCAAATATATGTTGAGCACTTGTGCAAAGCACATTGGATACAATAATAAAAACGTAGGCATGATTTCCATACTATTTATTTGGTATGGACTATAGTGGCCCAATGGTCTGGTTTCAACATGCGAGTGTGTGTATATGTGTGTGTGTGTGTGTGCATGTACGTGTAAAACCTACACACTACAAGGTAGGCCAGAGGGGCTATCACTCAATCACCTTCAGTGTATTATAGTCCAGAAGTTTAGAGGTAAGCTCCCAATTTCAAGTTTTATATCTCAGTATTTTCAGTTGTGGACTAGTAAGCAGAAGAGAAATTAGGAATTAAGAATATGGGACTATATACAAAAATTAGCTATCATGGAGGCCAAGGAAGAAGTCTTTTTCTTGGAATGAAATGAGGTGTTGGATATTATCAACTAGCTCTTACTACAGCCTTTTTTTCCCCTGTAATCTACCTGCCATAAAAAATACCTATTGTTATAAAGACACTGAAGAAGAGGAGAATTGAGAAAATGTTATTAGTTTATTTAGCAATGCTTATGGCGGAAGTTTCAAATACAGGTCATGCATCTTGCATTCATACAAGTATGCTACACAGGTTACCAATGACCCTGAGAAATAAATTTTCCAAATAACAATTTTCAATATTTAAGGTTTACAATCCTTTTGTAACGTACTCATAACTTTTGAGTTGTGGTGTTCAGAAATTTATTTTAAATACTTAATAAAATAGCCTTAATTTTCTCATGTTTCTCCATCATATGACTCCATTTATGTCACTAATACTATTTTTTAATTGTTTTTCTTATGAAATCAGACTATTTCTGTTTTCTTTCACTGTGCAGTAGTGGGATGTTTTTTATCTTTTCTAAAGGTATAGAATTGCTTTTCTTTTAAAAGTTAATGCAAATTTTAAAAATAATATTATTAGCACCAAAATTATTATTGATGTAAATTTGATAACTACTTTTTTGGATCTCAAAACATGTCTTTACCCATCTACTATTTATTTGGTAGGGATTATAGTGGCCCAAGGTCTAAATCAGCCTAGCCCAAATCAAGACTGATTTCATTATAATTAATTTTTCATTTGTTAGAAAATTAAAGAACGGTTTCTGTAACCAAAAGGTTCATTTTATGTCTAAATGTCTAGAAATCACATCACCAAATATAAAAACGTATTTGCTTTCTACACACAAAAAATTAAGTATGTATGCTTAGGTTTGTATATATTATGCATATTTATATATATTTGTAAAGAATATTGCTAGACAGCTGAATCATGTTAGACTCTATAATTGACTTACAAACAAAATCAACAAAGAGAAAAGCATTGTATAAACACACAAATTCAACGTACGCATACAGGCAGTCAAATTGTATGCATCATTAGAATCACGGTTTCATTGCCAGCTCTGTTAACTTAGCAGTGCAATTTATAATTTTCCAGAATTACCAAAATATATAGTCTAAAGCAATGGTTTCAACATGCATGTGTGTGTATATGAGTGTGTGTGTATGTGTGTGTGCGTGTAAGTGTAGAACCTATACACTATAAGGTAAGCCAGTTACTGAAATATATAGACTAAAGCAATGGTTTCAACATGCAGGTGTGTGTGTGTGTGTGTGTGTGCATGTATGTGTAAAACCTACACACTACAAGGTAGGCCAGAGGGGCTATCACTCAATCACCTTCACTATATTATAGTCCAGAAGAAAGGACCTAACTGTGAAGCTTTCAAAAGCCAGTACAGTGATTCTAATGTGAGTACAGCACCTCCCCAACCATACACAAAAGATTTTAAACACACACACAACCACACACACACAAACACACACGCACACACACATAATTCCCTTATCCTTTGCAGCATCTGAGAACCAATGGATAAATAAGCCTGTGGAAAGAAAATTTTTATGTTACATGCAATGCTTTAATTAAAGAAAAGAATACTATAAGACCTGGTAAATACAAATATTTGTATTCTTATGTAAATAGTCTATCTAAAATAGTACTATGGATCTAAATATACCACTGCTTACAGATCATGACTTCCTTATGAAGACCTAGGGAACTTAAATCAACTTTATAATTTTCTCTTCAGTTTTCATTTTGTAGACTAGCAGCCATTTGACAGGGAGCTGTGATTAAAAGCTTAAGTTACTTTCTGTGGCAGTGCTAAGTACAAGAATGATCTTTAGGCAGTTTAAGACGTTAAGTGGACAGAAAGCCATGACTACGTAGTTAAATTAAGTCAAATAAATTGGATGCATTAAATAGCCTCTTGTTAGTAAGTGTGCCAGTGAAACTCTTATTAAGTTAAAGTAGGTAAATAATGAAAGTAAGAAATGCTTTCCTGGGTTTGAGAATGAATGAGATTAAGAATCAGTAGAACTAGAAAATATTAGGAAAAAATTATAAAATAAGGTAAGAGAAAGATTTAAGAGTACAGTTTTTGTTAGAGAGAAAGTGAAACAGAATTACAGATGAGCTCAGACTCATTATGTCTGCGAGTGTGTGTTTGTGTGTGCCTATCTGTGAATTAGGATGCATCGAAGGTCAGTGAACACAGCTGTGCTTGACTAATATGAAAGTACTTAATCACGAGAATACTTACTTTACATATTTTATTTATAACTTTAAGTGAATTGACATGAACATTCTCTGAGGTGGTATCATCCACCCAAAAACAATGCACCAATGAAGAATGATGAAGTAAGATCTACGTTACTCTATGAGCTTTGCCACAGAATTACTTGCTTTTAACACTGAACAACTCACTCCACACATCTCTGCCTTTCTTCTACCTTGTGAAATGATAAGAATATGTTTTTTACTTAATCTTCACTCTGCTACATATAGCCAAAGTTCAGGCACAGCTAGTAAAAGGAGAGGGCAAGATTTAAACTCAGATCATTGTGTTCCAAGCCCAGTGCTAATTGGTCAGGCAAAATAATTGGATAAGTGACTTGTCCAGGAATGGGACAAGAGGATAGAGTAGCTTAAAATCCAGCAATAAAAATTTTTATTTGAAATAGTAGGCATCAGATATACACTACGGATTCTTTATCATGTGAGTAAAGAAAAATGATCATCAATCTGGCTGCACTATGCAAGATATTGAAGGGAAGAAAGTTTTGGTATATTAAATCCACCAAAATTAATTAAATCGAAGAAAGGCCATGAAGTTTTTATGTCAACCCTCTGAAAAACCTTTTTTTTGCTTATGTATCTTAAGTACTTACCTGGATGCATTTGGTGCCTAGTGTTACCCAATAAATATTTGTAATTCTGGTAGATAACAAGATGGAGAGGATCTTCCAGATAAAGTTTATGTATTTGTGTTTCATGTTAAGGAATTAGAACAGATAGAGCTACAAACCCAGCTTTGCCATCTATCAACATAGATGACTTGTTGAAACCACAGGAAGCGATTAACGCCCCAAGGTGATGTGTAGAAAAGACCAAAAAAACTATAAACATCTTTTGTAAACATGTGGTTTATTTCACTCAGCGTAATCTTGTCCAGGTTCATCCATGTTGTTCTCCTTCTCTCAAAAAGTCAAATTCATGGAAAAAGAGTAGGATGGTGGTTACCAATGGCCAGAGGATGGGGGAAATGGGAAGATGATGGTTAAAGATAACCTTCTGTTATAAAGTGAATAAGTTCTGGATACCTAAAGTACAGCATGGTAACTACAGTTAATGTATCATATGCTTGAAATTTGCTAAGAGAGATCTTAAGACGTCTCACTATAATATTATTAAGAATATTTACATACACCATGGTTAAGTAAAACATCTTCTGAAATAAATCAGTCTGAAATCTATAACCTTTTATGTCTAATTAGAGAATGCACTAAGAATAACATAAGGGTTCTCCTGCATAGTAAAGGAGGTCTACTCTAAAAAGTTGAAAAGCAAAAGAAAACTAGTTTTCTAATCACTTTAAAAACCATGATAATATCTTGAAATATCTTTCATTATTAACTTTAATTAGCACACAAATATCGAAACAAATACTTCTTAGAATTTAATCTTTACAATGGCAAATTCCAGGAAATTTACTGGGGAAATATAAGTACATTAATTTGAAAAGAAAACATTTATATGCATTTAAGTTTAAATGATTTATTTCATTTTAATGTCTGAGTATTAAATTCAATATTTAATATTATTTTTCTTTAATAGCTCTGAATTAATATATTACACCATTTGAGGAAAGGGAAACAAACAGAAAATACTTACTTGTGATGCTATTTTTCGAGACTGACACAACGGGAGGGAAAAAGAAACACACAAAACACAGTTTAAACAATGACTAAACAATAGATGCATGCCAACAATCAGTAACAAGGACAAAATGTAACATATACCCACATAACAAAATCCAATTGCATGCATATTTCTCGTATGGCTTTTGAACAAAATTAGATAAAGAATAAGCTATTATTTTTAAAGATTCAGTCTTGTTAGATTGTTTTTGTTTTGCTGAAATTGTCTTCCCATTGTAATAGTAGAGTGTTAATGATCGGCAGACGGGACAATGGTTATTCCACTATGCACATTTTTGGAATTTACAAGATTTATTCACTATAAAAGTAGCCATAATCCAGGGTAACACATTCCACAAATGTACTCCATACACTATAAATGATATTGGTACATTAATATGCTTTAAGTATAAAAGTTTGATAGAAAAAGTGGTGCTTGTAGAAGAAAATAAAATAATTGGTAGTAGCTTATAAAGCTACTATAGTCATAACAGAATACTTGATATAATTATTGACATTCTATAATCATTATTGGTGTTAATATTTGTACTATTTTTTAATTTCAGATCTTACAGTAAGATTGATTTTTTCTCCTACATACATATGTAATTAAGTTAGTTGACAGAAATATTCTGAGCTTTCATATTGGCTATGGAATCTAAACTAATTGATTTCCTTAATCAATGTATCATAGCTAAGTAGGGGTTATAAATAAAAATCATGCTGTCTTATTCTTCAAATTTAAAGAACAATAGTCTATTCATTTTTGAATAGGTGGAAGTAACATTTTCAAGTATATTATTTGATGTAATATAACTTGTAATATAACTCCTCTAGTGTTAGTATTATAAGTATTATAATAGTATTATCTATAACTGAAAATATAAGAAATGCATAATAAACATTTGATTGTGGGTTTCTTGAAACTATTTCAGGATTCCTTACACATGACACAATGGAATAAATGTTGTTTGAGAGAATAATAGCAAAGAATGGACAGGTAGAATTTTACAACCAGTCAATCCTAAACCTTATTAAAATAATCTTAATGAGATTTTATAATAGGTAAATTTGTATCTTAATAATATATTTTAAAAGCTACTTCCCATTGTAATAGTAAAGTGTTAATGATTGGCACATGGGACAATGTTTATTCCACTATGCACATTTTTGGAAGCTACAAGATTTATTCACTATAAAAGTGGCCAAAATTCAGGGTAACACATTCCACAAATGTACTGCATACACTATAAATTATGTTGGTATATTAATATGCTTTAAAAGATGTTTTTCTGGTTCCTAGTAAAATGTTCACTGGTTATAGTATACTTCAAACAAATGAGATTTTCTGCACACTGGAAAACTGGAGGCAAACATAGGTCTACCTTTTCTTAACCAAAGGACAAATATGCTTAATAATTCAGAATTGTTCAGATTTTGGAAAATTAATACTATGTTATATGCTATATAGTAGCTAATACCCCCAGTGGAACCTAGGTAGCCTTCATTTTCAAAAATTAATATTTCTGCAATGAAAAGTATAAATATTCACTCTCAATGGAATAAGTAAACATTATAAATAATCTCATGAAAATTAAGGTGACATTTTGCCACTAAATGACTTCAGGGAGCCTTTTGACATTTTATACTTTTATATTATGGATTGAGAAGGAAAATACTGATCCTTTTTGTCCACTAAGAGTAATATGTGTCCCTGTCCTTCCTATATATGTTGTTCGAACCAGGAGTATCTGATGTTTGTCAAAATTCCCTGAACTGAAAACACATAGATAGTGGCAGAAGTTCTCCTGGCATGGAGGGCATATGACTAATTATGAATGGGCAGTTCCATCTCTACTCTGCTTTCCATAGACTGATTTTCCAGCCACTGTGTGCACCCTCACTTTACTTTCTGCTGTGTTTGTGTGACTTCTCCTTTCACTAATCTACATCACACCAGAAAAAAATGAGATAGTATTCCAGGCCTTCTATAAATGTTAATAGTTTTGATTATCAATGTTCTTTACCAACGTTTGTCTTTTTAAAAATGTCAGCTAAACATTAGGCAGTGCTTTCCCACTCCCACAGCCAAAGCAGTTATATCAGAGATATAAAAAATGATAACTTTTGTTTTCTCTACTCAGAACATGGAAAGATGACAGGCTGGAAAATGATGTGGCATGAAAACCTGCATCTGCCTTTAAAAGTATTTTTTTTTCCATGAATAAACCAGAAAGCAAAGCCTAAAGTCTTTATATTAGTTTATCCTTATGTAAAAAGCTGATATTTAATAAATGTTCTTCATAGTACAGAGTAGAATTTAGCATTTAAATGTGTATATACTAAAGAAATAATTAATGAATGGGTCTGATATCACCACATTATGCCTTTACATCTGTTAGTGCTTTTTACTAGTTATACATGCATGGTTTGAACAGTCAGAAAATGTTATAGCTGGTTTAGAAAAATAGCAGCTTATAGCATAATATCTCTTAATTCCCTCTCATAAGACCCATCTACTTTTGCCTCTTTTAGTTGGTTATGTTGTTCTTTCTCTCTCTGTTTCTATAGAATATGCCTGATTATTATTTCATGTTTTTTTCAGTTTCTGCTTTTATCTATTGACTTCTCACTCTGCAAGAAGAGTCATTAACAGTCTTTTCCATATATTCCACTACCTTTGCCCTCATCATCTCAAAATAGTTCAACATAATTTTTATTGGATCAAAATTCAGGACATACCATGACTAAGTATACTTTACAGATAAGATATATAGGTATGTGGTTAGTATTCATTTCCTGCACACATTCTTTCATTGTTGATAACGATGTTATATTCCTAAGGTCAGTAATTGCTTTATTGTATTAATTGCTTTGATATGTAATTAGATATATGCAATAATTCATCCTGAACTCTTTGGCAACTTTCTAATATTAATTTAAAACATTGAGATGCATCAGGATTAATCTTCCTAAAGAATTCTCTCTGAAGCCTTCTGACCTGCTCTAGGTCTCCCTTTATGCTTGGGGGTCTTTACATCACCATCCTATTGATCCTCTTTACTTCATTCTTGTCGCTGGTTTCCATAAAACGTCTGGTTTCCTGCAGATCATTATTTCTCCTTCATTTTACTCATTCATTCTGGTGGGAGTAGTTTCCTTAGACAGCAGACTTGGGAAGGATATTTTTGGAGAATATATATATTTGATATCTGATTTATTCTACTCTTACACAACTTTGCTTTGACTGGATAAAAAAATCTAATTTGAAAATAATACTCTTTCAAAATCTTGAGAGCATTGTTTCATTTTATTCTGGCTTGTGGTATTGCTGTTGAGAAAACCCCAATAGTACCTTGTATGTGACCTATCGCACGTCTCCTGCTCATCTCTCTGAAAGATTTTAGGATCCCCTCCTTTCCTTCAGTGTTTTGAAAATTGGTGATGTGATTCACTGTTTAATTCACTGTTGTGGACACATGGTAACCCTTACCATTTGGAAACTAACACACTACTGATTTTTCTAGAATTATTACAGTAATATTTCTTCAATTTGTATGCATTTCCTCTTTCTTGAAATCTTGTGATTCAAATCTTAGAACTCCTAGACTAATTCTCTAATTTTATCTTTTCTTTACTCATTGTCCATGTTTTGAATTCTTGCTCTAGTTTATCAATAACTTCCTGAACTTCATATTATAAGCTTTTTCACTTCTGTTGGGAATTTTTAGTTGTCTTCTTCTTAGAGTAAATGACTAATAAGTTAACTGAAAGCTCTGGGTGAGATTCTTTTTATTGCTGCATTTCATGGTGATCTGGCTGGATTACAAACTTAAAGAATCTCCCACATCTGTATTTTTAGGGCCTTCCACGTGGGTTGGTCAGTTTCCCTAAGAAAGAGTCTTTCAATCTGCTGAAGTGTAAAGCGTACAGAATGTATCTTTTAACTTAGCGTTCAGAATTCAGTGTGATACTCCTAGCCCTCAACTCTTTCCGGGGTCCAGAGGCCACAGACCACTTCCATAGACTAAACCTTTAATATGTGTTTATATGGAGAGACTGACAGCAGCAAAGCTTTCTGAACTGTTGAGGAAAATTGAGATCTGACAGCAACCTAAGCAAAAATATAGACTCTCCAATAGTAATTACTGAAAGAAGTTTCTAATTCCTGAAATCTAGTGTCTTTCTTTAAGTTCAAGTAAGAGAACAGGGCCATTTTGAACACTAATGGTTATTTAAATTTCAAAACTTTGTTTTTGAATCATTTCATATTTGAGAGACATGGTGAACTGTCAGAGTCAATTTTATTTTGTTAGATCCACTAAGCTCTTATTCTGCGTTTTTATATAATCTTAAAAAAATAATGTTTTATTCTTTAAATACAAAAAAAAACCTCAATGTCTTTATTGGGTTAATATTTAATTGATATCCCTTCCTACTTTTTTAGTTAAAGATTAATGTAAGAGATATGCACTTTAATGGTATTTTTTTCATCTTGCAAAGCTATGAGCAAAGATAGATATTACTCATCATGGTATCTAAAATCTCCAAATTCAGGAAGCAAATAATATACTCATTCTTTTAAAAAATGACCAAGAAAAACAAATCTTTTGCAAGATGAATTTTATCCTTTCATGTATCAGACCATAATTACTATATAGATCAACATATTGCTATTTTTTACCTTATTTACCAGGAAATTAAAAATAGAAGTCAGGCTCAACTGTAGCACTCAGTTTATGCTAGTACAGTAACACTAACTTCTCAAAACATTTACGACAAAATATTTTGTTGTAAAAAGTGCTTGATGTTTCTACTGTTTATCTTTGTTAGTTGCCTCAATTCTTTCTACAATAGGCAGAATTTAATTTAATAACAATATGTGTGTCAGAAGATGGATTGAATTCAGTAGAGAAAAACAAGAGGCATTATTTTTATTTAAAACAGTGTCCTTTTATCATCCCAATGATATATATTTTTAATATAATCTAGATATTTGAGAATTTACAAGCATTTTAATGAGGTAATCTTTATTTGCTATGGGCAGAGTTGACTAAATGTAGTTAAATACTCCTTGATGACAATTCAAATACTCAGTATCCTTTTCCTATCTGCAATGTCAACAGCACAAAAGAAGTATTTTAATAATATATGAACATTATTATAATACATAATACTGACATGGACATGGAGTTGACCAAGGCCAGAATTTACTGCATTACAATTCCCAAAGCCTATATGTGAGACAAAAAATCAGGGCAACACTCTACTGTATGAAAGTCTTCTTTGTACTTGCTATGGTCAAATAAGAAATGATTTGTATACACTAAATATTTGTTCTCCATCACCCCACAATGCATATGTGAAAACCTAATCCTCAATGTTGATGATATTTGAAGGTGGGGCTTTGGGAAGGTGATTAGATCATGAAAGAGCCTTATAAAAGAGGACTCAGAGAGATCCCCTTCCCTTTCCACCAGATGAGAATTCAGTGAGAAGATGCCTATCTGAGAACCAGGAAGCAGGTCGGCAACAGACACGTAATCAACTGGTGCCCTGATCTTGGACTTCTCAGCCTTCAAAACTTTGAGAATTAAATTTCTGTTGTTTACAAGCCACCCAGTCCATGGTATTTTGTTATAGCAGCCTGAACAGATCATGATCGTGCTTAATTACTTGGGTATGAAAGCACTTGATCTTCTCTTAACCTTTAATTAAATAATATTGTTTTGAATCCAGTATTCTTAAAATTTTAGGCATATCTAGACAAACATCTTACATATTTAACTGTCTGGTTTGTTTTTCCAGTCAGTCATTCCTGATTTTCTCTTGATTTGTCTCATTCTTTGCAGTGTGAACCACAACCACCACAGGAAAAGAAAAACTCAGACTCAGGAGGAGAGACGGCAGCAAAACTCCATTAAAAAATTTTTTTTTATTATTATTTGAGACAGAGTCTCGCTCTGTCACCCAGGCTGGAGTGCAGTGGCGTGATCTTGGCTCACTGCAACCTCCGACTCCCAGGTTCAAGCAATTCTTCTGCCTCAGCCTCCCGAGTAGCTGGGACTACAGGTGTGCACCACCACACCTGACTAATTTTTGTATTTTTTTTTTTTAGTAGAAATGGGGTTTCACCATATTGGCCAGTCTGATCTTGAACTCCTGACCTTGTGATCTACCTGCCTAGGCCTCCCAAAGTGCTGGGATTACAGGTGTGAGCCACTGTGCCAGGCCACATAGCTCCATTTAACACTCCTGAAGCTAAAGTGACACCACCAAGAAGCAACTCAGAAAAACTAACCTATTTTCTGCTGGTAACTTATATAAGTGTCAAACTATAAATTTGATCAGCAACAACAAAAATCTACCCCGTTATCTTTATGCTTTCTATAAAGTTCTTTTCTATATAGGGATTTATTAATTTTGTCACTAGGTGGTTTAATGATCATAGAAATTACTGAAATGTATGTGTCTGATCTGAGCCTCAAAGTTGAGGTAATTTTGTATCAGACCAAAAAAAATGGCTGACCAAAATTTCTTTTTAATTTGTAATAACTTTGAAGTGTCTGAAGAAAAAAAAATTCAAGAATACAAACCATAATTTACATTAAATAATTTTATAGATATTGATAGAATGATGAATTCATCCAAAATCTTTATTTCAAAAAAGAGTCTGACCTAAAAGGTGATATTACACTAAGGCTATAAAAATTACTTAGAACAACATGAACCACATGAAGTGATCAAATCAAAATGCAAATATGTTTCGGGTGCATGAACTTACCAGAGATTCTCCTTCCATACTAACAAGATCAAGTTTGCTGTTAAATTTACTGAGGTTTACTTTGGGAAGATCTGACACTACTCTTATACTCAGAGTTTTCTTTTGGCTTTAGAGTGGTCACCAATCTAGAGATTGAGAAATGTGAATTTTAACACTTACTAAATTATCTTTGCTTTGCTTCCTTCAAAATGCTAATATATGCAGTAGGGGTATACATTAGAAATCTAGGTTGCTTGCCCTGAGAACTTTTCTTATGTGTCAGAACCTCAAGGTTATTTGTAATTAATTTGCTTCCTGATAATCTTCCAAAACAGCTAATCCTAGATCTACAAAAGTCATCTAAAGCCCAACATCCATAAACTTAGAACAGCCCCTTAGCCAACAATATTTTTTGGAAGACTGACATAGTTTAGTAAAACAAATAGTTGAAAAAAAATTTGGTTCTGAGATTTAACACTACGTATTCAGGTAGCATTCTTTTTCACTTTCTCTTGCATTTTTTATAAATCAGTTTATAAGCTTATGAATGATTGCACTCATCAGATTAAACATCAAAACAAGAATATTTTGTTATTTCCAAACCTCAGATGTAGTAAGTTTCTGAGACTCAGTCCTGTAGATTCCAATGGGAACATCTCCAGTAGAAGAACACAACTTCTGATAAAGTCTGGCATAAGTTCTGATCCATAAGTCATCTGCAGTGATTTTCATCTATAACACACACAAATTATTTACATATTAAATGTGTCAGAAATAAAAACCTAGTGGTAACTTTACATTTCTTTATTTGCTTATTTTTGTGGGGGGCAGGGTCTCACTCTGTCACCCAGGCTACAGTGCAACGGTGCAACCATGGCTCACTGCAGACTCAACCGACATCCCTGGCTGAAGCATTTTTCACTTCTTAAAGGGAGAAATTATTAGTATTTGGAAATCTCCAAGTAATATTTCATGCTTATCCATGTATTAAATTTATTTATTATGCATCACCAAACTTAAGAAATCCGAGTACTCAATTTAGGGCAGTATGACATTATATTAGTTCGTTATCAGTAGGCAATAGAGCACTGGTAATTGACTGGGAAATGTAAAGCATATGGAAACTATTTTGCATGCTGCAATAACTGGAGGCTGACACTGGTATTTAATGTACAGGGTATGCTGATGTTACCAAATGCGAAGTGCAAAAGACACTCTAGCACCATACTGACTTGTTCCACCCAATGTTCCAATAATGCCTATATTGAGAAAGATGAATAGTAGAATAAGCATCGTGATACCAGACAGGAAACAAAAATTGTAGTGCCCCTTTGCTTCTTGTAAATCTGAACTGTTACCAAATCATTTCATTCAGCATACTTGGACAAAGTATACTTATCTATAAAACAAAGGAGTTAAAAAGCATGATCACCGTTTTTGTGGACAGTATAGTATCCTACGGCAGTTTCAAATTGCCAGTTAACAAAAAAAAATTCATTCAACATTTTTTTTTTTTTTGAGATGGAGTCTTACTCTGTTGCCCAGGCTGGAGTGCAGTGGCGCGATCTCGGCTCACTGCAAGCTCTGCCCCCTGGGTTCACGCCATTCTCAGCCTCCCGAGTAGCTGGGACTACAGGGGCCCGCCACCACACCCAGCTAATTTTTTGTATTTTTAGTGGAGACGGGGTTTCACTGTGTTAGCCAGGATGGTCTCTAACTCCTGACCTCATGATCCACCCGCCTCAGCCTCCCAAAGTGCTAGGATTACAGGTGTGAGCCTCCACGCCTGGCCAAATTCATTCAGCATTTTACACAAAATGGCTATTTATTATGATTATTAAGTAAAAATAATATGTTTTCCTTGAAATTTTTAAAGGAATTTTAAAAACTCAAATGCATCTGGATTCACAATACAAAAAATAACACATGACATAGAAGAATTAGCAAAGTACACGGTAGATAGATTTCAGAACCTTCTATCACAACTATCTTTTATTCTAGAGATTATTAACTTACAGAACAAAGAAACCCAGATCCTGGTGTAGTGTCCAGTCCCAACAGAAGTCTCGTGATAGAAATCATATAATCCTTCACAAATGACTGCAATATAAACAAACAAACAATATATAAATGTATATTTATATATAATGTGTATGAGATGTGTAGAACAGCTAAAAGTGTGAACATCTGACTTCTAAAAGATTATTTCTCATATCACATTTTTAACCCTCCATACAAAAGTAAATTTAATCTATCTTGTTAGTATCCTAGATAAACATGTACAGTTAAGCTGTTCATAAGGAAACACAGGAAATAATTTTTGTCTAGAAATATCTAACTATGCTTACATTTTATGTGTGTTATTAGGCATGATAAAAAATTTTTAGAATTTTTAAAGCAAAAACCCCAAATGAAATGATGACTATCATAAAAACTTGAAACAATTAAAACAAATTTTCAATGAAAAATTTCAGTCTTTTTTTAGTATTAAGCTCTAAGCTAGTGAAGTAAATTTCTAAACTATATTTATCATTTATTATTGCATATTCTTTTTCCACAACACTTCATGATAAAATAGGGCCTTCTATTTATTTATTTATTTATTTGAGACAGAGTCTTGCTGTGTCATCCAGGCTGGAGTGCAGTGGCATGATAGCGGCTCACTGCAGCCTCCGCCTCCCGGGTTCAAGTGATTCTCCTTCCTCAGCCTCCCAAGTAGCTGAGATGACAGGCATGCGCCATGGCGCCTGGCTAATTTTTGTATTTTTAGTAAAGACAGGGTTTCCCATGTTGGCCATGCTGGTCTAGAACTCCTGGCCTCAAGTGATCGCCTGCCTTGGCCACCCCAAAATACTGGGATTACTGGCATAAGCCAACACACCAGGCCTAAAATTGAACCTTTAAAAAATTAAGGAGGTGGCTCATGCCTGTAATCCCAGCACTCTGGGAGGCCCAGCACTCCTGGGAGGTCCCAGGAGATCGAGACCAGCATGGCTAACACGGTGAAACCTTGTCTCCACTAAAAATACAGAAAATTAGCTGGGCGTGGTGGCGGGCACCTGTAGTCCCAGCTACTTGGGAGGCTGAGAATGGCGTGAACCCCGGGGGGCAGAGCTTGCAGTGAGCCAAGACCACGCCACTGCACTCCAGCCTGGGCAACAGAGCAAGACTCCATCTCAAAACAACAAACAAACAAAAAATAAATAAAATGAAATAAATAAATAAATAGATAAATAGAATCATTGCATTTCCCTGGGGTGACAGTGCATCTCTTATATTATTGGAAAGGTTGAAAGCTAGAATAGTCTTTACAGACACAGACCATTTTGTTAGTAAGCAATTAAAGAAAATGTGACTGAAAATAATTCCCAATCATTCAAGAACCATTGACAGTAGATCAAAAGTCCCACTGAAGAGAAATTATGCTCTGGATTTTACTAATTCAGAAGTCCTCTACTTAAGTGTTTTTTAAAAAAGCCACAAAATAGTTATGAATTAATGCCAGCAATTTTTTAAAATGAAATAGAGTATATTCAGTAAGATAGAAAATAGTACAGCAAATTATGAGCAGAAAGGGTAAGTGTTGTTAATATTTTGTTTCAGTTATATATACATACACATCTACACACACACAAATGCAGGTATGTATTGAAATGCAAAATATGTTTACTGTGTCAAAATTTAAGACTTTAGGCTGAGCACAGTGGCTCACACCTGTAATCTCAGCACTTTGGGAGGCCAAGGTTGGCCGATCACCTGAGGTCAGGGGTTCGAGACCAGCCTGACCAACATGGTGAAACCTCGTCTGTATTAAAAATACAAAAATTAGCCAGATGTAATGGTGCACACCTGTAATCTCAGCTATTTGGGAGCCTGAGGCAGGAGAATTGCATGAACCTGGGAGCTAGAGGTTGCAGTGAGCCGAGATCGCACCACCGCCCTCTAGACTGGGCGACAGAGCAAGACTCTGTCTTAAAAAAAAAAAAAAAAAAATATATATATATATATATATATATATATATAGTTCTAGTTCACTCTTTCTTCCGAAGTTTCAGAAAATCATGCAATTTCCTGTATCTCTATTTATAACATAAACGTGAGGCAAAAACAAAGAGAAAGAAAAAACTACTGCTTTCCATTTCTATAGAACAGTTTTTAGAACAGTTTTTCTTCTATTTAACTTATACATGAGATTTCCTTACAAGATTTTATTTAAACAGAGGATACTGTGGCTAAAAAAATCTTAAAACTACTGGTGCATAATGGTACCCAAGCATTTGGCTCCTATTGATATAAAATCTTCAGTTTCAACACTGCTCTTCAAATAAACCATCCCCTGCAATTTAATCTCTTTAAGAGATCAGAAGTATGTGTGTTTGGTAACAGTGTTTGGAGTGGGAGCCCTGCCTCCTGTAGTACCCAGATAATATGTCTGGAAACTTTAGGGATAATAGGGGTATTTATTCTACTTTGTTGTGTTTGCTCCAGCTCTCATCTGACATAAGCAGATGGTTCCTGACGTTGCTAGAGGCATAATCATGGGCAAAATTAGCCCAAAGTTCTGCAGAAAAGCTTTAACTTTCTTTGGATTAGTTTGTTCAGTCAAGCAATTATAGAAGACAGTACATAAATAAGCAAAAAGAATAGGTACAATAAAATGCTGAAATGCTTAATTTGAGATTAATGTTATCAAATAATTTAAAACTCTACGAATATTTCTTTCTTCTTAATGGAAATATTTAGAGATTGTCTGATTACTTGAATCAGAAAAAATGAGATATTACTGCTATTCAGTTTCTGGCAGAGACAAAAACGATGATATTAGTGTGAACAAACACCTCCACAAACCTCTTAGCTATGATAAAATGAAAAAGTTAACTTGGCATTCAGGAACAAACTCAGTGGTTTTAGTTGTTGTAGTCTTTTCATATTTTTCTAAAATAGGCAATAATCAGCAGATTCTTAAAATGTCCTTAGTTTATCAGTTTATTGACATCAATTTGGTATTTTATTTCAAACCTGGAAAAAATGTATACTATAAGGAATGCTGTTTTTATTAAGTTGGTAATTTTTTTTTACCTTTTTAAATCCAGTAATATGCTTGGAGTAACATGCAAAATGTACTAAAATGTATTAAATATATTAAACACTGCAGGGCACTGGTACAAAAGAATGCCTGAAATAATTTCCATAGGTTATTTTTAAAAATAGTATTTTTCTTACAAAATGTTTCATAGGAGCATTTATGTCATTAAGTACATGAAATAAAATACTGAATTACTTTTGGAGCCAATTTTAAGTTAGTAGCTGCATGTGAAACACTAGATGTATTATTCATTTAAATAAAATCTAAAACAGAAAACAACCATTTTAGAGAAAATAAAAAGAAATATTGTATACCTGATACAGCAGAGTGTCCAACATACTGATGCTAAACACCCTCCCAGCAGCAAAAGGCAGTCGAAACATAAAGGCCAAGTTAGAGCCTCTCTCCCGTTCTTTCTGTTCAGAAATTTGAGATAGAAAAATTTGTGAGCATTCCACATTTTATGCATTTCTGCCTCAGTAAATTGTGTTGACATACGTAAAAAGTTCTCATCATATGGTTCTTAGCTATAAATGTGTCATTACTTCACTGATAATCATATTTTTTAAACTGCCCTTTCGTTTTGCTAACCACATTTTCTCAGTTAAAACACCCAATAGTGAAGAAAGATCAACATTTTTTGTACATTAAGCATGTATTTACTCTTCATACAAGAAGAGACATCATAATGGAAACAAATAAAAATCATTGAAAAAAATGTGAAAAAAAAACTAACGTCACACGATGTACCATAACACTGAACACTGTAAAGAAGACCTGCTTTTAAATATTCTCATGGGTGAGAACAAAAAAATAGGGAGGTAGGCACCTGTTATGGTCTGAATGTTTGTGTCCCCTCAAAATTCATACATTGAAATCCTAATCCCCAAGGTAATAGTATTAGGAAGTGAAGCCTTTGGGAGGTGATTAGTTCATGGAGGTGGAACCCTCATGAATGCAATTGCCTTTTTAAAAAAGAGAAACTCTTTGCCCCTTCTACCATGTACCATCTATGAACTAGGAAATGGGCCCTCACCAGACACCAAATCTCCCAGCACCTTGAATGTGGAATTCCCAGCCTTCAGACAGTGAGAAATTAATATCTGGTGTCTATAAGCCACCCAGTCTACAGTACTTTGTTCTAGTAGCCCTAACAGACTAAAACAGGCTTTGTACATCCAGTAGTCTCTAGCTGTCCATCATCTTAGTTTCATTTCTCCACCTAACTGATAAATTGCATCTGGTATATCAGTTTGCAACTAATCTTCTGTATATCACACACACACACACACACATACACACACACACACACACACACACACGTTGTTTATGTATGTTTGAATGCTTACGAGTTGGGGGGTGATATGGTGTATGAGGGTTTCTTTTTAAAAATTCTGTTGCAATTTTTTTTTCCTTTAATAAATGAAGGTAAGAGAGCAAATGTCAAATTTGTTTAAGTTTAGAAGAGTTTCTTGAGAATGTAAGTTAAGCTTCTATTTAACAAATGGTAACCTCAAAAATTCTAGTTTCTTTTGTTGACAAATTCCCTTTACTAGGAAGACTGATACAGCTGAAAATAAGAAATCAGAATAAGATACAGAAAATAAGAAATCAACCTTCACTTCTTGAGGCAACAGAAGCAAGCTCCTGTTTCTAATGTAATAAATGTGTGGGTTCTCGTGGAAGGGAAGCCTCCCATCTCACGTGTATCTATAGTGTCTGTCTAGTTGAGATGACTATCACTATAAGAGCGTCTTCACTTGAGATACAGGGAGAAGGTAAGGCAAAGGATAGGAAAGCGGTTCCACATTTTTGTCTATGTCTATGAAATCCTAATATATTCTCTAATTTATAAACCTAGGTGTGAAGAGTGCTTAACTTGAACAGCTCATGTGAGTGGCTTGCAGATGACTGGAGTTAGCTGTTCTTATTGTGATACAGCTAGGTTTTCCCGTGAATTTGAGGACAAACCTAGTTCTCGAGGTGTAACAAGTATCCTGGAGAAGACCAAGCCATGATATGTTAGACCCAAATTAAAGGGAGTAGCCAGAATAAAGTGCTGGAACGCCTGAGAATTTGATGTTACATTTACTCTTCAAAACAAACAAACAAACAAACAAACAAACAAACAAACATTCCTTGGTTCAATTACATTACCATTTCACACACTATATTTTTCAAATACAGAACAGTTTTTTAACCTACAGTGCTTATTCCTATAGGAAATGAACTCTTCCCATCTCCACACATCTGAATCCTATTGATACCACCTTAAACAGCAACGCTAATTAAAATTAATTCCATTCACTATTAAAGTCCCCAAACACCAATGTATTCATTTGTGCATTAAAGTAGTCACTTAATAAATATGCGTTGAGAACGTACTTTGTGTAGGGCATCAATCATCCTCAGTGCTAGGAATACAGAGCTCCTATATAGAACTAACAGTATCTTATCAGTTAATAGAAGTATTATGTGTTGAATATGGGCCAGGAGCTAGTTAAACAAACAGGGATATTTTCCTTGTCTGCAAGAACTTACACTGCTGTGAATGGTAACAATAGCAAAATAGGCAAAAACACTTGGGTGAATATATGTAATAATTAGGCAGTAATACATACTTAGGAAGGGCACCTAGCTTATTCTTTTAGTAGAAAAGCCAGAGAGCTGAATTAGAGGTGATGTCTAAGTTGAGACCTAAAATTGAGTAGAAATTTGGGAAGAGTGAGTGTTAAGTTGAAAGCTATAAGCAGAATGTCCAGCATGTTCTCTAGTGGAAGTAAAAAAAAATAAATAAATAAAAAATAAAAAAATAAAACGCTTGAGAGACTTCAGGAACTACAAACAATCCAATAGCATAGAGTTTAAGTATATGGGTTGAATGGAGAGGTCAGAAATGAGACTAGAGCAATAAGTTTGGACTAGGTCTTAAAGTACCAAGATATGTTTTAAGGTAATGGGGATGCAGTTAAGAATTACACTGAAAAATAATGATATAAGTTGAGATTGTCTAAGAAATAACAGGACATATGGTTACCCTACTTTGAAACCATGTTAAGTATTTTGAATTTCATCTTACAGGCAATGGGGAAAAACTAAAGTGTTTTTAAGAGGAGGAGTGATACGATTATGTTTTTAGGATGCTCACTTTGATGACAATGTGGAAAATGGCTTGTGAATGAGGAGGTGGCATGGGAAAATTGAGCAAGATAAACTATAGTGTTAATGCAGCAATCCTAGTGAAAGACGAATGTACATTCTACTGTGGTATTTGCAGAAACAGATCTTATTCAGAATGCATTTAGACATTCAATTTTAAGAGGATATGATGATTGAATTTGGTACTAAAGTAGAGAGAAGATGAGGATGATACACAGGTCTCTAGATAATGAGGCAGATGATTGCACCTTCTGTAAAATAGAAAGTGTGGAGGAAGATCAGATCACAAGTTGATTTGGACTTGGGTTTTGATGCCAGTGGACAGGTCCACCTGCCAAAAATATGGATCATACAGGCAATACAACATACAATGGTTTGGAGCTTGGATTCTGAAACCACATACAATAGTTTCAGTCAAGTGTTTCCGCTTACTAATTGTATGATCTTTTACAAGTTACTTAAGCTCTCTGTTCCTCAGTTTTATAACTGTGAATTGGGATTCATATTGACATCTACATCCCACTGTGATTACAAAAAATAAACATAATAAAACCTCTAAAATTACTGTATATAGTAAGTACTTAAAAAGATATTTTTATTATCAGTTGTTTGAATATGCTAAATTATATATTACCTCAAGAACTTTGTATTTTTTTATCCTTCCTATAATGCTACTTCCCAGGCTTTTACTGGACTAGGCTGGTGTTATCATTGCAGCTAAAATATTACCTCCCCAAAGAGGTATTTCCTTATCACCTTACTTAAAACCTGTCTTTCTGCAGTTACTCTTGAATATAACCTGTTAAAACTTTCATAGCTTTTTTGAAACCTATTACACCTTGTTTATGTTTTTAATTTATTAATAATCTATCTCAGCTAGATCCTATGTTCCAAGAGGGCAGAGACCATGATTTTGCTTTCTGTTACTTACACAATGCCTAACACAATGCCTGGCACACAGTCAGTGACATTTGATTGGAAAAATAAATAAATTTTTTCTACTTATGTTAGCGGCCTACATCAAAAGACAATTTATTGCATAGTTTAATGCTTAGAACATTCATATGCCAGAAACAAGAAACAAACGTTCGAGGTTCACTCAATACCTCTATTTTGTCACTTTGGTTATTTAACAGAGGTTTGAGAATGTGAAGAATTGTAATGTCACAATATGCAAAGCTTTTTTACTTTACTATGTCTAGTTATTGGGTTTTACAATAAATGTTTCTGCTATTGTTGCTAGTATAAACATACACTATGATTCCTTTTTGTTAAATTTATCATATTTCTTTTCTAGTAGAATTCTGAATTCAATTGAAGTTTTACTGATGATATTTTTTTCCTAACAAATACTTATATAAGTATCTAAAAGAATACCAATGACATTTAAATCATTAAAGATTTCAGACACTTTTAAATGTTTGGTCTTACCTACTTTTCCATTTGTTTTATTATCATGAACATGTGCCTTTCTTGGAAGAAGGAATGTGTTTCTGGCAGAAATTTTGTTTCCTTTAATCTGTGTCCATCAATACCATATGGAATGAGATGATAAAATTATTGGATTTAACAGAACAGTGTGGGAGGTAAAAAAAAAAATCAAGAATTTTATTGGCACAAATTACTGGTTTCTATCCCCTATTTTCTCAACTATAATTCTTTTACATTCCTTCATTCTTTCCTCTGGACCCAATCATAATGTAATTCCTAAATCTAGTGGTTTTTGTCAGCATTCATCCTACTTGAACTTTCTTACAGTGTTTGACAAACTACATTCTAATTCTGGAGCTCTGTCTTTTCACATCACTCTATCTCAGCTTCCAGAATACTCTTGGACCCCTTGCTCATTTTCTCTGATTTGTCTTCTTTCTAGACTCTCCTTTATGAACCTCAGGATAAAGTCCTTAGTTAAACTCATCTTCCTTGTGGTTCTTTTTAACCTTCCTTATGGCTCTCTAAGCCTTACATTTCTTAAGGCTTTACAATTATACATTTATGTGCACAACCTTCAAGTATATCTATGCATATACATATATATGTGTGTGTGTGTGTATATGTATAGGTGTATATATATATATACACACACACACACATATATTTCATCCTGTTCCTGAGCTTCATTTATATATCACCACTTATTTTTTTACTTATGTACTATAATTTTAATATACTTAAATAAATGTATCATTTATCTCACTAAGGTCAGTTATTTCCCAGAATTCTCTCTTTGTTTTTAATCAATATATTCACCCTAACAGTCCTAGACCAGGTCTTTATTATCTCATGCCTGATTTATTGAAATAACTTACTAACTCTTTCCCTTTTCCCCATAATGTCTCTTTTCAGATAAATACAGAAATTTCACATCAATTTCATAAAAGTACAAGTCTGACGATGCCACCTCCCCCATGTCCTCATTTAAAAACTTGCCATGACTCCCCATTCACTGCATCAAAAACTCCAAAGACTCAGCATTCAGGGCATTCTAAGGTCTAGCTCCCAAACTGCTTTCCAGGATGACTTTTCAGTACTTCCCAGCAGACTATTAGTAAGTCAGATGATTGACTATTTAGCTAAATACTGAAAATTTCTTCCTCAT
Organism: Homo sapiens; assembly: GCF_000001405.40. Classification (NCBI taxonomy): domain Eukaryota; kingdom Metazoa; phylum Chordata; class Mammalia; order Primates; family Hominidae; genus Homo; species Homo sapiens. The sequence continues at coordinate 140,777 of NW_025791754.1, forward strand.
ATTTGGGTTCCAACTCACTGTGGGTAACAATTTCATATAAGAGATTTCAAAACAATCTCTGCAGGTCAAAACTCTGTTTCAAAACCATCTCTGCAGGTCCTCCTCATCCTTCAAAATACGTATCATGCTACCCACTCTATGAAATCCTTTCGTACAAGCACAGTGATGCTGCCCTTCTGCTTGTGTGAATCACTCTGCATGTATGATTTCCTGTCTTTTTGTTATTAACTTTCCTTACAGAGAGGAAAAAAAGATTTTTATGACACTATTTTCAAAACCTATTGACTTTAAAGTTATGTAAAAAGTAAGATTCCAAGCATCTGATTCCATCCTGATAAAAATACATTACACAATTACTTTCTCTTTTAATTCTGGACAATGAAGAATTTGGATTAATTTTATGAATTGCACTTTATCATGCTGAATTTACATATGAGAAATAAAAATTAGGGATGATTAATACTTAGTATTTCCTATCCAGTTAGATTTTTGTGACACTATCATTAACCTACCTCTCTGTGTCTCAAGAAAACAACATATGGCTAGAAGTTACAAACTGGCAGTAATTAGTCCAAATCTGAACTACAGAGGAGTTTCATTTGGGCTGCCTAAATTTATTGAAGTTTAATAAGTTCCATCATTTAACATTTAATATAAAAATCTGCACTTCCGACTTATTTTAAATTTGGAGAACCAGATATCATAGGTCATGGTAGCAACTGGCCAGAATTTTTCACTTCACTAATTTACATTCCTTACTTCCATTAAAAGGCTCTTATTTTACACTTCGGAAGATAAAATATTTAGAAATTAGTCTAGGGATCTACTAACTCAAATTCTGCTTAAAAGTAACTTGGGTGAATAGTAATTATATCAGAAAATAACATAGTAAGTAATCTAAATATATATTTTAAATGTGTCTTAAAAAATAGAACATTTCTAATTGACTACAAAATATTCCATGGCTTAGGAGACAATTCTAAGCAATACAACTAAGAAATATTTCTCAATTTACTTTTACGAATCAGGCACTGACCTAGGTTCTTAGCATACAAAAATAATTAACAAAACTTTCCAGTTCTACAGGGATATATACTTTTACTGAGGACACACTTAAAAATCAAATATTGCAAGGTCATGTATAAAAAGCATTTGACAAAATTCAACATCCTTTTATGATGGAAAACTCTCAACAAATAAGGCATAGAAGAAATGTACCTCAACATAATATACGCCATGTATAAAAACTCCACAGCTAACATTACACTCAATGGTAGAAAGTTAAAAGCTATTCCTTCTAAGATCAGGGGCAAAGTCAACGTTGCCCATTCAAACAACTTCTGTTCAACACAGTATTCGAAGTTCTGGCCAGAGCAATCAGACAAGAAAAAGAAGTAAAAGGCATCTAAATAGAAAAAGGAAGTGGCCGGGCGCAGTGGCTCACGCCTGTAATCCCAGCACTTTGGGAGGCCGAGGCGGGCGGATCACAAGGTCAGGAGATCGAGACCATCCTGGCTAACGCGGTGAAACCCCGTCTCTACTGAAAATACAAAAAAATTAGCCGGGCGCCTTGGCGGGCGCCTGTGGTCCCAGCTACTCGGGAGGCTGAGGCAGGAGAATGGCGTGAACCCGGGAGGCGGGGCGGAACTTGAAGCGAGTGGAGATTGCGCCACTGCACTCCAGCCTGGGCGACAGAGTGAGACTCTGTCTCAAAAAAAAAAAAAAAAAAAAAAAGGAAGAAGTTAAATTGTCTCTGTTTGCAGATGCCATGAACTTACAGTATATTGAAACCTTAACTACTCCACCAAAAAGCTGTTAGAAGTGATAAACAAATTCAGCAAAATCAACACATAAAAGTCAACAGTGTTTCTTTACCCTAAAAACAAACTACCTGAAAAAATAATTAAAACCAGTCCCATTCACAATAGCATAAAAAAAAAATACTTAAGAATAAATGTAATCAAAGAGGTAAAAGATCTTTATACTGTAAATTATGAAACACCAATAAAAGAAACTGTAGATGACACAAATAAATCTAAAGCGTTATTGTGGTCATAAACTGGAAGAAACAATATTGTTAAAATATCCATACTATTCAAAGTGATCTTCAGATTTACTGCAATCCTGATTGAAATATCAATGTCATTTTTCACAGAATTTTGATAAAACAGTCCTAAAATTTGTATAGAATCACAAAAGACCTCAAACAGCCAAAGCAATCTTAAGAGAAAAAAACAAAACAAAACAAAACAAAAGAAAAAACAAATCTGGAGACATCACAGTATCTGACTTCAAAATCTATTACAAAGCTATAGTAATCTAGATAGAATGGTACTGGCATAAAAGCAGACAGGAAGATTGACCAATAGAACAGGATAAAGAGCCCAGCAATAAACCCATGAATTAATGGCCTATTGATTTTTTTAACAAAGGTGCCAGGCCACACCATGGAGAAAAGATCATCTCTTCACTAAACTGTGCTGGGAAAACTGGATATCTGCAAGCAAAGGCATGAAATTGGACCTTATCTCATGCTATATGCAAAAATTTGGACCTTATCTCATGCTATATGCAAAAATCAACTCAAAGACTTAAATGTAAGGCCAGAAATTGTCAAACTATTAGAAGAAAACATAAAGGAAGTATTCCACAACATTGCTCTGGGCAATAATTTATTGTCTAGGAACCCAAAAGCACAAGCAACAAGAACATAAACAAACAAATGGGATTATAACAAACTAAAAGGCTTCTGCACAGTCAAAAAAAAAAAAAACAAAAAAACAAAAAACAAAACAATTAATGGAACGAACAGACATCCTATAGATTAGGAGAAAATATTGGCAAATAATACATTTGATAGGGGGCTCATATCCAAAATATATAAGGACTCAAACAACTCAACAGCAATAAAACACATAACTGAGTCACAAAAAAGACAATGGACCTACAGAAACACCTCTCAAAAGAACATATATAACCGGCCAACACGTATAGGAAAAGCTGATCAACATCACTGATCATCAGGGAAATGCAAATTAAAGCTACAATAAGATATCACCTCATACCTGTTAGAATGGCTACTATCAAAAAGACAAAATAAGTGTTAGCCAGAGGAGTGGAGCAAAGAGAACCCTTTGCACTGTTGGTGGGAATGTAAATTAAGGCAGCCATTATGTTTTGTTTTTTTGTTTTTTGAGACTGAATCTCGCTCTGTCGCCAGGCTAGAGTGCAGTGGTGCGATCTCAGCTCATTGCAACCTCCAACTCCCTGGTTCAAGCGATTCTCCTGTCTCAGCCTCCCGAGTAGTTGGGATTACAGACACGCGCCACCATACCCAGTTAATTTTTGTATTTTTAGTAGAGACAGGGTTTCACCATGTTGGCCAGGATGATCTCAATCTGCTGACCTCATGATCCACCCGCCTTGGCCTCTCAAAGTGCTGGGATTACAGGCATGAGCCACTGCGCCCGGCCAAGACAGCCATTATGAAAAACAGTATGGAGTTTCCTCAGAAAACTAAAAATAGGCATGCAATAAGTAATCTCACTTCTGGGTATATATTCAAATAAACTGAAAAAGTATGTTGAAGAGATGTCTTGCATGCCTATGTTCATGGCAGCCTTATTCATAATAGCCAAGATATGGAAGCAACCTAGGTGTCCATCATCAGATTAACGGATAAAGAAAATATGATATATATATATATATACATAATGGAATACTATTTTGCCTAAAAAAAAATTATGTCATTAAAATTGAATTCATAGTAGAGAGTACAATGATGGTTACCAGAGACTGGTGGAAGGGCATAAGGGGATGTTGATCAAAAGAGTGCAACGTTTCAGTTAAGAGGAAAAAGCTTAGTGATCTATTGCAAAAAAAAAATGCTAACTTCAATAAATAATAATGTATTGTATATTTCAGAATTGCTTGAAGAGTTGATTTTAAATCTTTTCACTACAAAAGTAATAAGTATGTGAGGTCCTGGATTTGTTAATTAGTCTGATCTAATCATAACACATTGTAAATATATATATGTGTATATATGTATATATGTGTATATATATAAATGTCACACTGTACCCAATTAATAATTTGTCAATTAAAAATAAAAATATAGAATAAAAGAATAAAACATTTGTACTTTTTAAAATGATAATTTGGAGAAGTTAAAACCAGTGTTCTTTCTTGTGCTTTTATAAACTATAAAATAAGCTATTTGTACCTATAATACTTAAAAACACAAATAAAGGTAAGTTCTGTATGACTTATTATTGTTCAAAAATTGTAACTCTTAAGTTACAACTATAATTCTAAAAATAACAAAAACAGGCAAAGTCAACATTAATATTCATGATAAGGTAAAGTCTGAAAACCAAAAAAAAAAACATTGTAAAATGCAAGGAAAGAGATGGAGAATTCGAACCACTCAAAATGTCTACAGAAACATTTGGCAATCCCCATTGGGTGAAATTTTTGAACAGAAAAGGTTAGAAAATAGTCTTCATATAAGAATTAAGGAGGATATTCCACTCCTTTTAACTACAGTATAAGTGTAAAAACTAGGTTTTGAGTAAGGCAAAAAAATTTAAAAATAATATTTTTATTGAGCATACAAACCATCATTCAAGATATTAGTTTTAAGTTAGGAAGTCTTATTTTTATTGAGCATAAAAATCATCATTCAAGAGATTAGTTTTAAGTTAGGAAGGCTATAAATTTAAAGATAATATTTAAATATCTGAGTCCTTAGAAGATAAACAAAGGATGCATAAATTTTTTGTGTAAGTTTTATGACATGGAGGGTTGTCAATGTAAATTATATCATGGTTTTGAAAGATTAACAGGAGTGCATATGAATGACTCATTGCTGAGTCTAGACTACTTTGTTGTTTTGATACACCAAAACTGCTCCATATGTTACACTTCTAAAATACTGCTTAAATCAGTTATAATCACATGAGCATATGATGAATTGCATTCAATAATGGGTCCCACAGATCAAAATCACTTTCAAAATAAAGAATGAAATTCTATATAAATATACTATTATCTGTTTGATGTATTAAAGATAAACTGTCCTAAGTTTAGTTTTATGATTTGATGACAGTTTGAAGCCCCAAGAATTAAGTTGAAAAATATTACATAAATAAATAAGAAAATATGATAGTTATAGAAATTACAAAAAATGAAATAGTCAAAGAAGCCAAAGAACATACTTTTTTCAAAAAGAGTTAACAGTAATTTAAATGCATCCATATTCAATTAATCTGATACAGTTTGATTATAACAATGAATATATTACAAATATGAATAAGTATACGGAGACTATAATTTTAGATTCCTAATATATTACTGGAAGGAATTTGGAAGGACTTTAAATACAAATGATACAAATTCTACATCTTGTGGAGAAATTTATGCACTGAAAATAGTAAACTAATTATTTGAACATTTTCTGAGCCTGTATCCAATTAGTTCAAGCTAAATATAATGACAGCATTCAGCACAGAATCTCTCAAGTAATTCCTCTACAGGTTATAGCAACAAGAAAGATACTTAAAATAAACTCACAAATAAGTGTCCATTTTCCCAATATAATAAATCAGGTACTCTGTTGGCTTTAATGTTTTGAAATGTTTTTTTATTTGACTTGGGCTGTGAAGTCAAGGGTTCCTATTTCAGTTCTCTCTGCCTTGAAATGGAAGGCTGAATAAATGTACTGTACTCTCTTTGACTCTGAATTCAAAAATGAGTAGTGCCTTGCAGACTAGCAAAACAGAATCAAATAGTGATGGACATACTTATTAATGTAGAGGAAGAAATAATAAGCAAGAAAAAAATCATTGGTTTCATGTCCTTGTCTAATGTGATATTCATTTTAACATTTCAAAAAGAAAGCACACCCAAAAGTAACCTTTGTCATCCTAGATGATACTTTCTTTTTTGTGACTTATAAGCATTTTTATTTCTTTCATTTATTGAGAAGTGAAATAAATTATGCAATCTCTCTCTCTTTCTCTCTCTTTCTGTAGATGTGTGTGTGTGTGTGTGCATATGTTTATGAAAAGACAATTGTTGGACTTCCTAAGAATAATAAATAGTTAACTACTGTATTATAAATTATTTATTTTCATAAAATGATTAACTTCATAAAATTACCACATTCTAATAATTTAATTTTATTAACTTAGTTACATAAATTCATTACTTTTCTGCATTTAATATTTTGATTTTAATGGTTTTAACAATTTGCTATACATTTTCCTCTTCACAATAGACACATATGCAGCAGCTGTGTGGCACTCTTCCATGGGGAGCTAATTACACTGAATTTGAAGTGAATGTATGCACTGCATTGTCTTAGTAGCATAATGTGAAGACTTTGGGCTCATTATGTACAATCACAATCCTATAAATATTATTAATAGACAAATTTATACATTAAGATTGTTATCCATATAAATTGTATTTATAACTTTTCTAGAATAGATTGAACAATGTTTTTCCTCATTTAAAGAAATAGAAACTCATTAGCCTTCTTTTCAAATTATTTTTGGATGAATATAGAGACAAGGTAAATATTTTCTTAAAAACAGGATAAGAATCTTTCTTAATGAATCAAACTCAGTGTTGGCAGGTAGCACCAAACTCCCACTCAGCTGTTCCAGAACCTAGATTATGAATAAAATGTAGCTTAAGTTGTCTGGACAGAAAAAATTAGTAGGACAATGTGCTTTTGTTTGTTTTCATATATCTGTGTCACCCATCATATTATAAATTCTATGTGGTTTATTCAATGTTGTAATGCCTAGAATTCAGCAAGGCATTTGGCTCGTAGTATGTGCTCAGTAAATATTTATTCACTTGAGTTTAAATTGAGAATGTGTAAATTTTGCCTTCTTACTATTCTATAGTGAAAATATATTGAAAAAATGACATTTTTACCATATTTCTCCCAGAAGATATCTCCAATCACTGGTAGAAATTCTTATCGTTTTGTTCTACCACTGACTATAAAAGTAATATATAACTTATAGACATGACTGTTTGCATTCTGACATAAATTCTGTTGCATCAAGCGTGCATCCTACAATTAAGTGCAATTGTGACACTACCTGGAGTTGGCAAAGACTCCACAAGTTAAGGGGCTCAGTCCCAGAAGACTGCACCCAATTTAAACACCAGCCATAAGTCCTAGGTACCCTCAAGCCAACTGTATTCCTGCCCAGCCAGCTACAAATTTGGGGCTTCCCATAAACCCTCAGATTCAATAATTAGCTAAAATAACTCACAGAACAACAAAAGCACTATGCATATGATTACAATGTTATTATGAAGAATATAAATGAACAGTAGATGAAAAAGCATGTGGAGGAAAGTCTTAAAGGGTCTCCCAATCACAGGAACTTCCGTGACTGTGATGTTGGGGTGCCCCATTCTCTCAGGACGTCAACATGTTCGCCAACCGGGAAGCAATCCAAGCCTTATTTTTCAGTTTTTATTGAGGCTTCATTATGCAGGTAAGATTAATTAAATCATTAGCCACGTGATGAAACCCAGGCCCCAGCCCCTCTGCCCTCCTTGGAGTTGAGGGTAAAGGCTAAAAGTGTCAACCTTTTAATCAGAGCTTCCTTTTTCTGCTGCCCACACCAGCTTATAGAGGTGCCCCTCCATAAGTCCCTTTGTTACCATAGCATCTAGTATGGTTGGAAAGTATGAATAACAAAAGACACTCCTATCACACAGAAAATTACAAGGAGTATTGAAGTTCTGAGCCAGAAACCAGGGACAAAGACCAAGTATTTATTTTTATTATACCAGCTAGTTATCTCAGATTTTCATTATTTTGCTTCTTACATCAGGTGTAATTATCACATGATTGTATATTGTGATTATGACCATCATTTGGGAATGGTGATCATTCAAAAGCAATTTTAAAGAAAGCAGTCTTGAAGCAAATTGTGCACAGATACACACATTAATAAAAGGCTTTGTGAAATACATCAAAGCAAGAGAAAAGAAATAAGCCTTTGGAGGAAAATGAGACAAAAATTTCCCTTTTTTTTCTATTGTTGTTTTCTTTTCCATTTCTTTTCCTCCTTGCCTTCTCCATCTCTATTTAGCTCTTCTACTGTTGCCTGTTACACCTGTTACACCTACTTTGTTGGGAGAAGGTGTCAATGACATTCAAACATGAAAAGTATCGCTGACAAAACTGTAGTGGTGATGTAAATATCCAAGACAAGGATAACGTAAAAAAAAAATCAGCAAAAAAAAGTGGGCAAACAATAAAAGAAAGGTCAGATGAAAAGGAAAATGGGCACAAATGCTGTTACCAAGATGGCAGAATAGAAGGTAACCTGCTCATTTCTCCCCAAAACAACAAAATGCTCAACATTACTAATCATAACGGAAATGTAAATCAAGGCCACAATGAGACATCATCTCACCCCAGTTAGAATGCCTATTATCAAAGTATCAAAAAGACAAAAAATAACAAATGCTAGCAAGGATGCAGAGAAACGGGAACGCTTATAACTGTTGGTTATAAGAATGCAGAGTAGTACAGCAATTATGGACAACAAAATGAAGATTCTTCAAAAAACTAATAGAACTGCCACATGATCCAGTAATCTCACTGCTAGGTATACATCCAAAGGAAAGAAAATTAGTATTTCAAAGAGGTATCTGCACTTTCATGTTTATAACAGCATCATTTAGAATGGCCAAGATATGGAATTAACCTAAGTGTTCATCAATAGATGACTGGCTAAAGAAAATGTGATATGTATACACAACGGAATATTATGGATCTGTAAAAATAATGAAATCGTGTTATTTGCAGCAACATGGATGGTTTCTCTTAACATAACAGTCATTATGTTAAGAAAAATAAGCCAGGCACAGAAAGGCAAATATAGTCTGAAAAACCTTTAGTCTTTGTAAGCTTTAATAAGCATAAAAATCTTCAAACTTTCTCAAACTTGTATAGGCATGTAGCAGGCTACAAAAATTACACAGGCTGCAAGGAGTGTATATTTCTGAAGTTACATAGGTAATGATGGCTTGAGAAGAAGCTTGAGTGGAAAGACAGGGGCTACAGAAGACAGTGGAAAAGGGAGCTCCTCAAGATGGCAAGGAATAGTCAATGAACTTCACAATATTTTTCATATTGTTGTTATGAACTAGTTATCCTTCCGTGTTTTTAGCTCTTTTGATTTCTCATTGAAGGACAGTGTTGTGGTGATGGGATTCAGGACATGCTACTCCAAAATATGTCAGCTTGACATGTGAGAAAATAGCAGCAGCAGGATGGACTCTAACCTTCTCTCACCCCTTCTTCCCTGAAGCAGGCCATAAAATTTAGCTGACCTTCCACTGAAATTAGGTCATAAGATCCTCATTCCAGAGGGCTCCCCCTCTACTCAGAGGAGGGCAATGTCCTCATATCTGAAGACAAAGAGATGCCAAGAAGATCTGAAAAATAGGCCTTGCTAAGTCACCTCCCTAATTTATTACCATGATACCCCCTTTGTCCAATAATAATTCTGTACAGCTGTCCATGCCTAGGCATACAAATACACAGATTCCCTGTTTCTTTGAGTCTTTATTTCTGAAGACATTTGTCACATAAGATTTATGTTCAATACATTTGTTATATTTTTCTCTTGTTAATCTGTCTTTTGTTACAGGGACCTCTGCCATGAACCTTGCAATGGGTGAGAAATTTTTTCTCCCCTATTGGAGCTCAGAAACTAATACCCCAAAATATAGTGCCTTGACATGCTGAACAGAATAAGAAGCCTCTCAAGATCCCTCTGACTCCCCACCGTCCTACAACCTCCTGTCAGTCCTCTCTCTCCCAAAGCACAGGATGAAGTTGTTCTCTGAAGTTCCCTTATTGGCCTAAAGTCTGGACCTGCCAAAGAAGAAAACAATTACTCTGGTCTCTTCTTTGAGTTTTCATTAACTAAGCTCACATCACAGGAAGCAAGACTGAAGTCTGTCAACACACCTGAACAGACTTTTGTCACAAACCATTGTCTGCTCTGTGGGCCCAACCGATTTTGTCCCAGGCCATATTATATGTTCCTCAAGTCTATTGAATTTCCCTGAAGATCATTTACTATGTGTCCCCCCAAAATCATTCATACCTCCCGTCTCCCTTTCCTCTAGAAAGAAAGTATATAACCATGTGTACCCCATTGCATGGTGGGGCAATCACTTGGTGATTCTCTCGCATGCACACTAATAAATTTGCATGCCATTTCTGCTATTAATCTGCCTTTTGTGAGTTTCAGCAAACCTCTGGAGGGCAAAGGGAAAATTTTATCCTTACCCCTATATCCCCTACAGTAGATATTCTTCACTAAGTAGCTACTTTCAGAAAATCTTTACAGAGTATTACTTCTGATACCAGTGGAAACCATATATTAATATTTATTAGAATGCAAGGTCTACAAGGAAAACATCAAAGCTTAATCGTCACAAAAGTAAAGTAATTGGGAATAATACAGTTTAACATTCCACACCTATCCCTATAAATCCTACTTCTTAAACATGAATGAAGACCACTTAGTAGCAAAATAAAAGTGTGAAAGTGTGTAAGCAGCCAAGCTGGTGTTTATTTCTGATTTATTTATTTATTTATTTAGAGACATAGTCTCTCTCTGTCGCCCAGGCTGGAGTGCAATGGCACAATCTTGGCTCACTACACCTTCCACCTCCTGGATTCAAGCGATTCTCATGCCTTAGCCTCCTGAGTAGCTGGGACTACAGGTGCACACCACCAGGCCTGGCTGATTTTTGTATTATTAGTAGAGACAGGGTTTTACCATGTTGGCCACGCTGGTCTCGAACTCCTGACTTCACGTGATCCACCTGCCTCAACCTCCCAAAGTGCTGGGATTACAGGTGTGAACCACCACGCCCAGCTGTGATTTAAAATCTTAATTGTATTTCTAAAGGTGAAGGTCTCACCTGTGAAGGTGCAAGGGCATCTACTTATAGATAGATGGAAACAATATTCATAATTGTTTGGAAGAATAAAAATCCATGTAACCCTCAGCCAACAGTAACTATAGAAAATGCTACTGATTATTTAAATATTGGAAATAGAGATCAGTTTTCTAATCCTAAAAATCTCCTTGCACCCAGAATACAAATATGGAAAGATAATTAAATACTGTGTTAGCTGTCATACCAGTAAATATTACTGATTAAAAAAAAACCTTGATTGGAAGATTTACCATATCATTCATGGAACATTATTTGATAGGGCTGCCATAACAAAGTAATATCGACTGGGTGTTTTAAACAATATAGATTTATTGCCTTACAGTCATGGAGGCAAGAAGTCTGAAATAAAGATGTTGTCAAGATTGGTTCCTTCTGAGGACTGTAAATGAAAGATCTGTTCCAGGCCTTTCTCCTTGGCTTATGGAAGACTATCTTCTGTTTCCCTTCACATTGCCTTCCTTTAATGTGTGTCTGTCTGTATATCTAAATTCACCCTTTTAATAAAAATGTCAGTGAGCCATAAATTAGAACCCACACTATGGTCTCCTTTGAAGTTGACTGCCTCTCTCTAAAGACCACATCTGTAAGAGTTAGGACCCCAGCACAACTTTTTTTTTTTTGGATGGGGCATGAGATTCAACCCACGAGACTATAAAAGACTAAAAAGTTTCTACATTTTTAAATTTTTAAGTTTCTGAAATTAACTTTAACATAATATGGTAACAAGTGGATCAAAGAATTTTCCACAGCTTTATAACATTCAAACTATTTATTTTAATCCCACTTCCTCCAGCCTTCCTATCCCTGAATAATTTGGAAATATGTTGATGTATTGAGTTTCTTTTTTCTTCATGGGAAAAATCTAAAAGACATAAGGACAAATGCAAATCTTAAAAAAAAAAAAAATACCCTGATGACAAAAGTCCCTTCCCTTTTCCTTGGAGCATTTTCTTTAGAAAACTTGTAATTGTAAATCCTTTCTCTGTCAAAAACTTGTAACTGGAAATCCTTTCTCTGTCCCTGAGATGGATGCAAATCTCTGAAAAGCTGAATAAACCTCTAGCCAGTTTTGCATTCCAGGAATGTTTTTCTTGTGGGCCTTGGGGTATCTTTTTGAAATGTGAACATCAAGGAGGAAGGCAACTTGTGTCTCTCTCTTTGGGAGTTTAGCCTAGATACCTGGTATTAAATTGTGCCTTCTTGCCTGCTGCAAAAATATTAAGTTTTATTTTTCCTTTGGATAAAGAGATATATGTAATTGACTGGCATATATACCTCATATTTTTCTTCTTTTTCCCTAATGCAATAAGCACACAAGCATGTCAATACAAATGCTCACAAATACTGAAATTACCTTCCACAATTATGACCTTGCTACGTCAACTGACTCGTCAACAACTAGAATGCACAGAATGAAATATTTATTAGTGACAATATCAACAAATATAAAATGTATCGTTATGCTTTTAGTACCATTTATTTGAGTACTAATTATATGTCAAATGCAGGGCTAAGTGTTTTGCATAGATTATGTGCTGTAATCTTTATAATGACCCTACTATTTAAAATAGCTCCTACCACTATTTTCCACATAAGAATCCCAAGGCTACGAAATAATTTATCCAGTTTCCATTTCTCAAAAGCAGTGGTGAATTGGACCAATCTGACTACAGATCCTGGCTTCTTCATCACAAGTGATTCTACCTCACTTCCCATGAAGGAGGCTGTACTACTACATCATGCCAGCACGGATTCCTGCTGGTTTTCTGATTATTTGGTTTGCTTTCAAGTCTGAGTCAATTTAGCCCTGCTTGCCATCTTTTTTTATGTTGCTAAAGCAACGTGGCATAGTGGAAATTTTCTGTCCTGAATATTAATAGCCTTACATATGCCTTGCTGAATTGAACTGGTAGCTGTATAATCTTGGGAGAGGTATCTATCTAGTCTCAAACTCAGTTTCCACATCTGGAAGCAGGGCACAACAACAATTTCCCTGTGGCCATAAAAAAGCAGGGTAAGGCTCTATAAACATCACGTGTGTGACTAGCTTTGGATAAATCAATAGATGAGGGTACAGACACAACCTTACTCAACAATATGTTTCCCAGGAATTAGGACAGCATCTGGTCTGTCATAATTGGTAATTAAAAGAAATAACTAACCAAAAAATATAAGGCATCATTTTCTCTACCTCTTATATTGTTATAAGAAATGAAAACAGCCTAGATTTAACTATTTATTTATTTTTAGAAATGGGATCTCACTATGCCACCCAGGCTGGAGTGCACTGCCATGATCATAGCTCACTGCAGCGTCGAAATTTTGGGCTCAAGGAATCCTCCTGTCTCAGCTTCCCAGGTCACTCTGATTATAGGCACGAGCCGCCACACCCAGGTTAACACATTTTACATGTATAAGACTGGGTCTTTTTTTTCCTTTCACATCTAATTCTCTCAGTACACTACTATTTAGTAGTAAGTAAAAGCTGAGTGCAAAAACCATCTACACCCACACTCAGCCTGTATACTGAAAATGGAAACCAAATCTTTCTGACCATATAACATTACTTTGCAATTCCATTGTCTCTATTAGCATTATCCGGATCTCTTCCCAATCCCAGTCAAGTCCCTGTTTTGAAATATCATCATTAAATTAAATTCCAGTTCTCAGTATATTTTGACCTTGTTTTCCTCCCTCTGAGACCTTGCCAAACTTCTACTGGGGAGGTAGTCTCCCCTACCTAGGTAAGCAATAAACTTAGCTTTATGTCAGGTTGTATTGGTGACATCTGGGAAGCCAGCATTTTCATGACATAGCAAGTAAGTGAGTATACACATTTCTGTTGCATTTAATTCTTTCACAAATCATGTGTTTAATACTTAATAATAATAGAACAAAATATCTCCATCATATTTACCTGTGATATAAATCGTTCAAATCTGTCAATTCACATTTTTAAAAAAATTATCAATTAGAATTTCATCTCCCAAATAAAAATTCAAAACAGCATTTTAGTTTTACTATCTCATGGCATTTTTTTTATATATTTACAGAGTTAATTTCTGAATAAAGATGGTTAAATCTAATTTACTTGATAATGTGGGGTCTTACCTTTTCCAGTTTTGAAAGAGCAAGAGAGTAACAGTCTTTGGCTCTGAATTGCATGAATCTCATGTTGGCGGGGTGAGTTAGCTCTGTGATAATACTGAGACTGGAAAACAACCTACATTTCAAAAGAACATTTGCATTACACTAACAATCCAATATGGTATTTTTTATAACAACATATTTATGAGTGAGTGATTCCTAGCCTTGGGCATAAAACTATATCCAATTACAACAGCAGGCAGTGCCACATAAAATCTTCTATACAATGCAGGAAAAATGAAACACTATTTCCCGAAGAATATTTTAACAGACATTTTAGCACAATAAGAAAAATAAATTCAGTAATTTGGCTTTTTTTAGACATTTTCTCTTTACAATTATGGAACAACATAGAAGAAACTCATAAAGCTGATTTAAGAAGTTACAAGGTTACTTTGTGGATGGTATTGAAACAGAAATCTATAAAGATAAATAAGCTGATTGGCAAAAATTTCACATAATGAGCTTCTTGTCTACTATGTGAGCTCTTTCATGTCCTATGGCTCCTTATTCTCATAGTGGGCAATTTTTAAATGTCAAATCTTGCTACAACAAACTTCTGAGATGAGGAAATAATTTATGTAAAACTTCATTGTAATTAATTGGGGCCAAGGCTAAAGCATTGATAGTGTTCCCCAAAAGTATCCTGAAATTTTTTTTCACAGGTCCCATGGCTTCATATTAGCTTTCTTCCCATTTGACACTCTCTCAAATATATACCAAAATGAGCACACATACGTACACGCTCACACAAGATTTCTTTCCCCCAGAGAAAAGGGGCAGGATGATACCACAATAAATACTTTTTATTTTTGCTGTTGTTCATGATCTGATCCTTACCTGATATCTATGCATCCCTGGTAGCTTTCCTTGTTAAATATTTTGGTATTCTCTGTGGCAGCCACTTCTGTGATAATCACCTTTGTTTTTCATATGATATGTCTTTAAACTAAGTTATGACCACTTAAAATTCCCATCACTAGGTTGAACTCATCCCTTGAACTCAGGGACTAAAACTGACTGCAAATATGCAGAATATAAACAGCCTGTTTGTGTGGCTCAGGAACAAATCAGCTCCTTCTGCTCTCAATTTATGAATTTATGAATTTATGCTCATTCAGTCATGAGGGTGCTGTTACTTCCATGTGCCCGAGTGCTTGATGTGGTACATGCTTCTTTTAAGATGGGAGCCCTGTCCTTGAGCTCCAGCATTACAGACGAGTTTTTACCTTTCCTCAGGTCCAACTCTGGAAGGTTGATGGATGATTTGCCAGGAATGCTCCCTCCTGCTGGGGAGAGTGTGCCCACCCTACTGCTCTGCAGCAAGCAGGGCCTTTCTTAGCCTTCAGACCAGGCTTCTCTGATTATCTGCCTCTCAGGTGTGTTTACATTGGGCTTTAGTCACCATTCAGGTTAAGACACTAACACATTCTTAAGAAGAGTTTTGGTTTTTTTTTGTTTGCTTGCTTTTTTTTTTTTAGAGTTGTCTGTAAAACCTAACACGCCCTCTTGGCCATTAGCACAAATGGACTAACATTGGGCCTTACCTAATCAAGGCCTTTGAGAGCTAGGATATCATTGGGTATTTTGTGAAATCTTTTAATAAAATTCACAAATTATAAGTATATACGTATTTTTCTAGGGGTAATAAATTGTGGCTGACTAAACAATCCTAGTTCTTAATCTTCGTTTTGGTAATAAATACTACTGTAGTTATTGATTCAGGTAAATTGTAGTAATTGTTATTAAAATAATATCAGGAAAACAACAACCACGATATAATTTCTTTTGCTGACTTTTAATGTTAAAAATACAGTAATTTTATTTGTGCAACTGATAACTTTTTCAATAGTTCTGTGACCTTAAATTCATTACAGAAACTCTAAATATCAGATTCTGCAAAGAAAGGATGTAGCAAAGCATGAAGCTAGTGGCTACATACAAAAGGTACTGTTTCTTAGTTAAATCGGTTATTACTATTTTCTTAGTTTTTAAAATTTTTCTGATGTTATTTCTGCCTGAAATGCCATTTCTTTTCTGTTTACTTTTCTCCTGAATCTCTATACTACGAAATCACTACCAATATTTAAAGTGGCTCTCAAATCCATTCAAGATGAAACTTAAAAAATTTTTAAACTCAGAATCATTCTCTCCAGTTTGGCTGCCCAGTATCTGATTTATTGATTACACTACCTGTTGGCTTCTCTAGCTACCTGGTTGGTTTTATTCATGCCTTAGCTCTCCTAATAAATCATAACAACTAGAAAGCATGGTTTCCCTCTCAAGTGACTATAACCTTATATTCCTTTAATTAACAAATCTTTGTTAAACAATTTCTCAATTCATGTTTGTGCATTTGAGATTAAATCTTGATGAAGAGGGCACTGAATTTAATTAGAATAGTTTATGGAGAAACATTGTATTATCCATATTTCACATGATTTTCTTTTAGCAGCTCTATTCTCACTCAAAAGTCACCCATGATAGTGCATTCAATAAATAAAAGTTATTTTCTCAAAAACTCTTTAAAAATTAGAAAAGTGGCCTGATGGAAAAAAAATGTCAATTGACTTTTGGCTGGCAAACTCCATCTGGTAGGCCTGGGAAATGCCACCAACTGCCAAATTTCATACCATATGGGAGTTTCAAAGTATTTATTTAAGAAATATTTTAAAATAACAATGTCACTAAAGATATTCACCATATATGGTTGTCACAGACAAAATTCCATCATCTGGGGAAATAGAAACTAAAATGAAAAATAGGACAAAAATGAATCAATGAGCACAAAGCCCTATAAACTCATGCAGACAACAAATCCCACATTCATGCACTGAACTTTAAAAAGAAAAATTAACGGATCTAAGGTTCTCCTCTTTGTCTTTTCCTCTTTTTTTTCTCTCCGATGGGTAACACACATCCATAAAACAATAACTATAAAGCACGGCTCTAAGAGTTGTCTATGTAAGATTAACTCATGTAATCTTCACATCAGGTAGGAACCCTCTTGTGTTTCCATCTGTATCCTCTCCTTCCCCAGGAAGAGCTGAGGGTGCCTGTCTCAACCCTGACTCTATCTTTTCAGTGTCTTTAGATGTGTACTGGTCTGTGCCAAGCTGTGAGGAGAGATAAGCCCTCTAGGACAAGTCTTGTGGTTGTCCAGTATGTCTCCTCACCATGGTTCTCAAGGGTGGATTTTAAAAGCCCACTTTTGCCTACACCAAAGTCACATCTTCCTGCCTAATATTTTTATCTCTATCTGCCTGACTTCTTTGGATCTCAATAGTTTCTAACTTGTGTTAGAAATTGAAAGGGTCACATCACCTCTTCAAACTACAAAAAACTACTCTATGATTTACCTCCAATTATTAGTTTATAGATGAGGAAACTGAGGACCAAAGAGACAAAATAGTATGTTCAAGGTAACATTCTAGTAGGTGGCAGGGCCTGGGTCACACCACAGCATTAGGTTCTGAAGCTTCCCCCACCATTATAATAAAGAGGAAGATAGACCAGTGTAAGGAGACACAGATGATCCAAATAAAATAAATTATTAACAATATCTAGCAATGGATTCATGTTTCCTATATTAAAAATCAACTCTTTTAAAAATAACGTTTTATAAATTACTTCAATTTAGCCTTAATGAATAATTATCAAGTTTTTACTATTAGAAATTTCTGGTCTCCAGGAGATAGATAAACACATAAAGTAAGATTCCTGACTTTAAACACTATAATATAATAGATGAAACAATAAAAATTCACCAATTATAAGGATATATGTATTTTTCTAGGGGTGATACATTTTGGCTAACAAAACACTCCTAGATTAAGTAGCATTAAGACACTAGTGAATGGATAAATTATGAAGAACATTTAGGACAGTGTTGAGATATCAGGCTAGAGATAGAATTTATGAGGAAAACGTAGCTACAAACTAATGAAAATCAAGTTTAACTTTTGGAACATTTTTATTTCCCTTAAAAATATGTATTTTATCTTTGATATAAACCAGTATTCTCACTTTGAATCAAGTTGTGGTTACCTGGATTCTTTGGTTTATTATTCTTTTATAACACATTTTATCAAATAGAAATATACACATATATGTAGCTAGAAGTATTTGGGGTCTTAATAAAAGTGAGTGAAAATATGGTTGAGTGACCCAGTCCTTGTATTTGAGTGGCTTCTGGAGTTGAAATTAAATAAGACAACATAATTTACGTGATGTGCCTCCCATTTCTGTTCTACATAAATGAACCTACAACATTTATGTTATTTTGGACTGAGAAACTGAAAGTATTAGCTAAGCCTGCCACCTAGTGAAAAATCTAGAACTAATACTTACATAATGAAACACTGTATGTTAACCCCCTTTATATCCATAGACTATTACTTGTATTCAGTTATAATATTTTATATTTACAAATTTGGTTGTCTAATAGATTTATTTAGTCTCCTTTGAAACACTAACACCATAAATCTATTTCTGGGTCTTAATATAAGCTAAACACATTTTGCATGTAGAACATTTTAGAATTAAAATGAAATAATACGTCTCTTTTCCCTGGGCACTAGAAACATAATAGAGCAATACTGTAATTAAAAAAAGAAGATATAGTTTGTTCTATTTAAAACTTTTCTACAATTACTTCGTGTTCTGACTCAGTGATGTAAATATAATTGTGGAGATGTGTAAAATATCTATGGAAGAGTTCTCTGCCTGCATTAATTTATTCAATAAATATTTTTACTAACCAATATAAAGATGAAAAACACACCATATATTCTATTTCACAGGCTACTGGGGGAACTCTGAAACTAGCTGTATTTGTATCATAAAGCAAAAAACACAAATATAAGAATATTGGAAAATGTTTATGACACATTATTCAAAATATTACCTACTGAGCTATATATTACACTATAAATTCTGATTTGCCATGGTAGCTGGAAATAATGTTTTTAATTAACAGGGGGTATACATTAATAGGAGGTATACAGACACACTTAGATACACATAAAACACTACTTGGGATTTTTGGACTGCAATTGACTATCAACACTAAAACAAGTATAAATGTATGTAATCTTTCATAAATAATTTTAAAATACTTCAGGGAGTCTGAGTTAGTAATAAATGACAGTATGATAAATATAAGGAATCCTCTGTATTCAAAAATCTTATCCATGTAAACCATCACCAATCTAAACATTAAAAGTGGTTTTCACTATATAAAGATATCAATCTTGTATTTATACATGTTGAGTATTTTAAATTATTTACTTATGGTTATATTATTTAGAAATCTGTCATTTTCCATGTGCATGTACATGTTGTTTCCTTCGTAAGATTATGACTACTTGTGCCAATCTAAGACAATATTCTTTTCTTTAAAAAAACAGAAACAAATAAACAAAACTTGCCCTTCTATGCTCTTATAGTTGTGGCAATACAGAAGTCTTTTAACTGGTCGGCTCTCACCCACTCTTTCTTTTCCTGAAACAATTCTCTACATTGTACCTGCAGTTATCTTTTAAAATTTCTTTATTCTTCAATGATTTCCTATTATTCTTAAAATTCAGACCAACATATGAACATACTTTACAAAGCCATGAAAATATGGCTTCTAAATTCCATTTCAGCCTCCTCGCACCAGTCTTCCTCTTGCTCTGCTCCAAGTCCTTGAATAGTCACTACCAGGATCTCAGAGCTTCGTATATGCTGCCGCCATATGGAATGTGCTGTACCCATCCTTTTGCCCATTTAGTCTCTCTTCACTTTTCAGGTAAAAGATTATCAGTTCCTCAGGAAGACATTCCCTGACCCATGGGACTAGAGCAAATATTCTTATTATCTGAGTCTATATACAATTCTACATATTTTCCCCAATAATTGCCACAGTTATAATTCTCTAATTAAAATTTTAAATGACTGGCTTAATACCTTCTCTGTTAGACTATTAGTATTCAAAGGCCACCAGCTATGTCCACCTTGTTCATCACTGCAGCCACAGCATCCTGTACAATCCTGACACTTACTAGATGCTCAATAAACCTAGGGGCCAAGCATGATACATTAACAAATCACAATTGCAGGCATGGCCACAGAAGTCATCCTGTCCTACTATAGATCTAATGCAGGAGTTGCTCCATTCCAACCAGATAACAATCCATGACCTGTTTCAATGTTTCCATTGACATTGCTCATTATCTTACAAGTGTGGTCAGCTAAAGTTCAGAAAACAAAAGCAAAAACAGCAACCAAAAATCTTTGTATTAAAACAAAATCAACCCAAGGGGACTTCTCAACTAGGTCACGCCTGGACTTTTACCATACAAATTCTGTACCCATTCTGCCCTAAACATTATATTCTGTGTGCTCTCCAGAGAGACTTTTTTTCCCCAGCTCCTAGGTAAAGTTCTCTTGTCTTTCTTGACACTCTGGTCATAGCCCTGAATCTGCCATTTTTTTTTTAATTCCTAGATGGGCTAAGATGAGACACTAAATTTCTCTAAATGTTTATTTCTTTCTCAGTAAAATGAAAATAATGACAGATGCCAGTGACATGCCAAACAGCCACCAAGTGGGATATTTTGGTAGATCAATTTGACATAGACTTTTTACTGTGGTTGTTTCTAATCCAAAGCACATTTTGTTTTGTGGGTTTAAACTTTGTTTAGATATTAGTACTTGTTCATACAAATATGAAAACATGAAATGTTTTCCAATTGTAATGATTGTCTTGTTAGCTAAATCTTTAGAAGGATACATTTAAATTTGAAATTGAGGACTTGCTTTTCTTTCACTTTTTAGCAGCTCTTTGTACTGGGATGGCTTACTTGAGTGTCTTCTTTTAGATGTGTAAATAAAAACCCTTTTGGGGAGAGAGGTACAACAGGATCTAACCCGAGGAAGATCTTATCTCCTTATTGTCTTTGATATGCAGAAATACTGTGTAGGGAGGCGAACAGCCAATTGCTTAGGATTCAAGGAGTCTTCTGAGTAAAGGAGTGGAGATACACTATTCCTCCAGGGAATTTGGAACCTCTGGACTGGAGGTAGTTCCAGAGAAAGTTTGCTGCTTTAAAGGCCTACTAAGAGTGTCCCCTCCGCGAGAAAAATAAATAAATAAATAAATTTAAAAAATGATAAAACTCATCATGAGAGAAGGAACGAATCAGGGTAAGTGATAAATAAAAGGCCTGTCTAGGTCGTTCTAGGACTCTCATGATGTCTGTAATTTACTTTTCGAAACACTTCAAAATAAACAATGTGATACGTGCATGCATTGGTTTAAGTTAAATACCAGGTGCAGCAGGCATTCTATTTCATCACCTAAGCTTTGGTTTTTAATCTGAATGTTCACACAACATTACTTCTGTTATCTGTACTTCTATCAAAGTCTTAGGCCTTACTAATCAACGAATTAGAAATTGGCTCTTGATTGAGAATATTAATGGTGTTCTTTAAGATACAAGGATTGGCTGAAATATTTTAAAGATACTATTCCCGCATGCATAATTAATGTATAAGAATTTAGTTCTCTTAGAGATGGGGCCCAAAGCTTTAATCCTAAATAGTCTGATATCCAGCCATTGTGATTGGATTTCTAGTTGTCTGATGCTTACTGATGAGGGTAACTGGATCCTACCTCTGGAATGTTGTCATCTGCCTCTAAGGAATTTCATGCAAGGTGGTGGGTAGAGAACCTAAAAGGAGAGAAAACTGGGAGTAGGAGGAAGAGAGAAAAGGGAGAGAGTTGAGATCAGTGTCAGTGTGTAGTAGATAATCAGTAATTATCCATTGAGGATTTCAGTGCAGCAGTGATTATCATGACTGATCATAGATTTGAATCTGGGTAAGGAAGGGAAAAAGCCCTCAGGTGACTAGGGTAAGTAAAAAGGTAGTAGGATCGGTGGATGACAGGTTCCAGTGTGGTCAAAGGACTATTAAGAGTTGAGAATATTAGAAGAAATTAGATAGAAAATGAGTAGCACTACTCAGAGTGTTGAATGCTAGAAACTGAGAATGTGGAGTGTAAAATTATTCATAGTTCAAGGTTTAGGCTATGACCATGAGAATGGGTGGTGAAGGTCAGATATTCAAAGGATCATCTAGGTAAGATTGTTGAAATCATCAATAATTATGATAATCAGGGTTGGCAAGAGTCATAGTAAATCAGGAACTAAAATCTCCAAGGAATGCAGAAGAGTGATCTGGAGGATGATAATTAACCACATCTGTAAAATGCAACTCCCAAGTCTGTGTGATTTTGGTCATTTATGAGCAAAAGTGATTCTTCTTATATCATAGAAACCTATAAATGTCTGTCTTACTTTTTATCATGTAAAACTAGCCTAGCTTAGCATACACAGATTAGCAGCTTAACACACAACACAAAAAAAAAGTTTCATATAATTTTTTCCTAAAAAATACTGTTATATACTTAGAGAAATAATAGTAATGTCATGATAGGGCATAAGAAAGGAAAGAACAGAGGTAATTTCTTTGCAATTTGGGTTTTTAATAGTTCTTTTGAAAAATTCTGCTCAAAACTATTCAGTCTAGATTACTATATATATACCATAAAAACTATATAATTTTTAAAATATACTGCTGAAGACAGATAAGCCTAATAGTTAAGGTATCCAAAGTTATTAATTCATTCATTCATCCATCCATTCATTCATTCAACAAGTGGTAATCACATCTTCAGCTAGGTACTCAGAGTAACATAGCCTTTGCACAATTAGTTGCCATATATGTATCTGTCCATGATTACTATGGTGAGTTAATTTGTTTTAAATTACTAATTACAGCCTTTGAACCTCTCAGTAAGATGGGGATTTATTATTTCCTTGGAATCAAAATAATTCATCCAGAGAATATATAATAAAAGTTAAATCAATAGAAATGTCACCATAATAGAAATAAAATTCATGGTAAATTGAAAGTTTAAATAACATGTTTAATTAAAAAGACCTAGGATCCTCTTTTATATAATTAGCTTTTGCCAAGCATGGAATCAAAAAGCATGATTTTTACCCTACTCACTAGCTATAAATCTCATCCTTGAATTAATTTTCTACCCTGTAATTTTCTTTTATATTCTCTAGAGAAAAAAAATTTATATATCTGTAATATTTTAAACAAGTTCTATATAGTGTCTTTTAAAAATGTACTGTTTAATACAGCTCACTAGTTAACTAGTTAGCTATATTCTAAGTGAACTGCTGCATTATAATAACTTTAAAGTGTGTATTTCTTCTTCTGGAACAAGAGGTTCTTATGCAAATTCAGTGTAGATTTTCCAGGTGCTATGACAGATTCTTTAAATAACTGATCTCTAATCTTTACATTAACACTGCAAGGTCGGTTATTTTCTGCAGCATTTTATAGATGAGAAAAACTGAATCTTAATGAGGTTAGGAAGGTCACAAAGTTAGTGACTGTCAGCTGGAGCCTCTAGGATATACATTGTGCCAGATAAAGTTTGCTGCTGTATAGTCCAAGGTCAGTGGCTTTTCCCTTCTGCCACATGGAAGTGATAATTATACTGCTAGTAATATTAATAGCTAATATTTATTAAGTAATTAAAAATGACCAGGTATGTGCTAAGTAAGGCATTGCATGTTTCTAAATCTTTAATAATATTGTGATTAATATATTGAGATGTAGAGAAGAAAAGTAATTTGCCTAAGATCATACTAAAAATAGGCAACTTAACACAGACACGCATCTAGGCTCTCTCCTTTGAATTTTGAACTCAAATTAGAAGGCAAAATAATTAACCTCAATATATGCTTTACTACAATATGAAAGTATGAAAGTGGAGTGAACATGGATGATGAGAAAGTTGAGATTGTTTCATTTACCTCTGTAATTTGGTAGCTCACGTATTTTCTTCAGGCTTCTGCAAAACTCATACAACTTAAAAAATGGTCTTTTGGATATTTAAAATTTCATATGATTTTAGGGAGAATTGTTCCAAGTGAAACAGATGCCTTGAATGACAGACGAGTTTGACTTTACTTATAGCATGGCTCTTTCTCTAGTCAGGATTGTTTACTCTTACCCAAAGACAACCATAATGGGGATTCATATCCCCATTAAATTAAATTCAATTAATTAAATTCAATGGGTACATTTAATTAATAAAAGACAGGAAAACAGTGAAAATGATGTCATGACTTTGCTCCTAACATGGGTAACTTACCTGTTCACAGCTGTGCAGTCTTTCAGTCCTAGCTATTCAGTATGTAAATGCAAATATTTGGTCACTGCTAGGCTTAATACCAATACGAGAACATGGGCTGCTTGTCAAAACTCATGACTACTAGTACACATGATTTTCAAGAATTTGCTACTGTTAAACTATCTGAGAAAATAGATATATCATTCAATTTGTTTTATGAGAAGCATTACTGATCTGGTGTTAAAAATTTAACTTTATGCAGTGCCAGTCATGCTCAATAAACATTTACTTTATGAAAAAAATGAATAAATGAACATAAAGTTGGTGTGTCTCATGTTCATTCCTCACAGAGTCAGTGTCAAATATTTTACCAATGTTTAGCACAAAGTAAGTGGCAAGGTTGGATGATTCAGCCACTTACCTGAAGAGTGTCTGCACGTTCACAATGGTTTTGGCATCTGCCATGTAGTCTTCCTCGGCACTCATGGTGCTCTCTTTATCCACAACCACCATATTAGCAGCAAAAGTCACTCCACACCTGAGTAAGTCATCTAGGCTTTGATAAAAATCAACAGAGAAAAACAAACATTAAATAAATCACAATGTTATAATCAGTGCTAAAGTCTAGCACTATCCCCTGTGCTTATATAAGTTGCCTTTAGAGGTGGCTTTTACAGAGTGTGCACAGGTAGCTATTAAAGGGAATTATGATACAATATTATCTACCAATATGAAATAATTTTTATTTTGGGTACTTTACATGTCATTAGATCTCAACTGTTTCAAAATATGTGTGTTAAAATATTTTCTTTAATAATTTTTATTAATTATATACATGAAATATGGAATACATCCATTTTGCAATAAAATAGAGCATATTAGAAATTTGTTTTTACAGTTAACATACTACTTCAAAGACACATTTACTTTTTTTTACTTCTAAAGTAATTTTGGTAAGAGAGGAATAAATAAGTGCTATGTTAATTTAGATGGTCAAGCTTAACGAAAAAATACAAAACTATGAAATGTTTATTTTTAAATGTTTATTATTCCTTTATGTAAGACCTATGTGCTATAGATTGGTTCTACACAACCAAGAGCATATAAAATATACAAATTCTGTTGTATGCAAGCCTACTGTTTAGCCAGCCTAAGTTTTTGAGCAAGTGATTGAATAACCCGATTTCTTTGGCTGGATGAAGTAATTGCTAAAGTAGGAAACACATACCTGTGAGCTAAAATAGAGTCAGTCTTCTTCCCTATCACTGACAAAAAAAAAAATCTTACCTATCATTCTCCCAATGAATTAAAAGAAAATGTTTATTTACCGTTAAAGCTGAAACAGGGAAACATTATTCTCATTGCCTCTGCTTCATGCAAACTAGAAAAGTAGAACTGAATTGGATAATGGAGACTAAACTTGAATGAGTACAAGAATGTTCTAGGTACAGAGTTGATTGAAGACAGATAAGAAAAGATAGGTTAATTGATTTCCGTATCTTCTGATTTATAATAGGATGTTTAAAGCTTAAAGAGCAGTAGTTTCTCTTAGGTTTTTAAATTGAAGAGTGAAGTCCCTGAGGATCTTTTCCAAGTGCATGATTGGTTGAGTTAGCCATGTCACGTTAGAGGGAATTATTTTCCTTTTATGGGAAGGCGGGAGGCAGGATTTCTTACTCTGTTATTAGGCGACAGGGTATTACCAAAGCCTTGAGTCCAAGATCCCCAGGAGTAGTCCAGAAAAAATATTTCGCTTGAATCAGGAACAATGGTCTGTGGCAGAGATTTTATGGCTAAAACTGTGGAAACAGAATGTTATTCCAAATAAATTTCCTATGATAAGAGGGGCCAGGACCATAACATCCAACCACTATGATGACCTTCAAGTTTAAATGCCTAGGGATACTTGGGTCTTTCTTTTATTCAGGAAATTTATCATAATTTTTCTTAATTTATTAAAGTACATTAAAAAAGAAAGAGTTAGATGGAAAATGAATGTGTTATGGCCCTTGTGGACCATCAAAATGACGCTTAAGTCATATGTCTTCACACCACCTTATCATAATTTTACATCACTTTCTCATATTTCAGCTTTCACAATCTTTTTTCTTCATTAATAAAACATCTCCATTATAATTACCTATATAGGAAAAGGAAAGGATAGGGCAGTCGAGGATAAGAGTGACTGGATAAGTATATATGCATAGAAGTGAAGATAGGAAAGATGAATAGTTAATCATCAATCATTCAATGACGTTGAAGTGAACATTTGACCAAAACTTCACTTTGAGAGTACCTGTGCTAAATAGCTGTTACCTATACCCACGTGTGTCGGTTAATTCCAGTCTCAAAAATACTGGCTGTTATAGTTTACTCATAACCTTGGCAAATTATCGTTACATATCAATTTAAATCTATATAGAAAGTAGATAAATTTGGAATAATATTTCTGAACCATGTGGAAGCTTTTTAATTATTTTCTGCTTTAAGATTATATTATTATTTTTCTATTTACTACTGCATTTATTTTTTTTTTTTAAGTAGGCTGCCAACTTATTCTTATAACTCCTCTCCATCATAATTTCTGCAAGGCCATTGCCTTATTTTTCCCTCAGCATGGCTGCTTTACACAGTGTGGCCAGCAGATGGGAGCACAAGAAAGTCAATCTAGATGGAAAACAAGTTATAGGGATAATTGGCAAAGCCTCCCTTTCTATCCCTCTCTAAGACCCCTTTTTGCAAGGACTAGAATGTGAAGTACGTAAGTGTAAAGAAGTGTTCATGAATGTGTTTTAATTCATTCAAAGAGGTATTTTTAAAGAAAGATTTCAAATACAAGCAAAAGAGGAGAATTGTTAGATGAACATAACTGTCCCCAGACCAACAATTATCAATTCGTAGCCAATTCTGTTTTATTTCTGTCCCTAGGAATTTGATCCTTTCAATTATTTATTCTCTCACCATAAATACTTGTACAGAGGAAGAATCCACTTCATAGTTTGCATCAGAAAAGGTATATGGGACGTTTATTCTTTAGCTTTTAGATATACTGTTTTTCTAATAAATTTTAACAGAACACTATTACCTCAAAAGATTTCAAAAAAGATGATTGGTTATAAAACATGTGTAGAATTTAAATAGTAATTTTAGTACATCTAACTACAGTTTATTTACTTGGTTAGTATTATCATAACTGATGAGGTAAATTATATTAACATAGAATGGAGGCTAATCATATTTTAGACTGTTTGACCTTTAATGTATCCACAGCACTAAATACTTTCAAAGTTGTAAAACTGTGTTTTCTTCAACATCTACAGGATAAAATGTAAGTGTTAAAGTTCTCAATTGGTAAATTTTAGCATTTTATTTTGAAGGCTCTGGCTGACATTTTTTAGAAGTGGAAAAGTAACATATATTATTTCAAGTATATTAGCGTTTTGATCTTTTATTTTTATATATATTTTTAATGTCACCATAATACATGTATAAGAATTTGTATTTAATTACTAATGTATTAAACACATATGACCTTTTCATTAACAAATATTTTAGAAATTATAAACTCTGACATGTGACCAAAGTAAACTCTAAAGGAATTGCTCCAATTTATAAATCTAAGTTAAAATGAGCATTTCTAAATTATTTCAAAGTTTCCAGAAGTTATCGTAACGCTATCAATGCATCACAATATTGCAACTTTAGTTTTCTCTACCACTATGTCAATAGTAATAATGTTGTTATAGATGACACAAAACTAAAACAGCATTAGAAACTGAGCAAAACTGACAAAATTGACATGCAGCAAGATTTGTTTTAATTCAACAATAGATTACTACTCAGAAAGTTTAATACAAGATGTATAACACGAGAACATAAGCTCTACATGCAAAATATATCATATTTGCAATACTGACACGGCAAATTACACTCATCATGCAGTAACAAGGCACAGCACATGACAAACCACAGGACACTACACTAGTTAGTGTGCCAAAGATTTTGTCACCTACTTGTCAATAGAGCCCACCATGTAGTAAACCATTGGAAACCAACAGATTGCATCCAGAAAATGCATATCTGGCCTAAGTAGTAGATGGGTTACAAAATGAAACACAATGTCACAACAGTGGCAGCACTTCTAGGGAAAGGAAGTAAGTTGACTTAGTTTGCATTTCCAAAACTCAACACTGCTGACAAAATTAATTTTCAGTGCTTTTTTTTCTTAACATTAACTAGAAAATGTCATTTGCACTTGTTATGAATCATAAAATGCCCTCAGAATTATAAAAACAAGTTGTATTTCAGCTTTCTAAATCAGAAACATTATCGCATAATTCTACAAAAATACAGAATTGATATTCTTAATTATGACCAAGAAATCTTATAAATAAATTTAAAAGTTATCCATGCACAGGAGGCCTTGTAAAATAAAAAAACTAATGCATTTTTTTAGATGATCTAAAGCAATGGGTACTAATGCCTCTTAGTGAGCAACTATTAAGCATGTCTATTAAGAACTACTTTCTCTAAGGGATATATGTATAATCACAACATGCCCTATATAATATGTCAGTATGTCAAATAAATATAGTATATATGCTCATGCAAAATATGTATTATATAAAATTATAGTGAAAGTAATGCATTTTTAAATTTATTGATATACTCTCTATATATTATTGAGGAAACATTTATGACTGAAGTCTTTACTTATATACATATTTGAGGAAAGAACCATAAACTGGAAAGCTTCCTTAGAAACTGCTTAATCTATTGTATTCATTTCACAAAGTTATTAATTCCTTCATGTATCTATTCACTCAGCATATATGTATCCAAACATTTTATTTAATAGACATTTTAACACATTCAGGTATATGCAAAAGAATATCCTGTTAACTTGTAAGAAATAAAGAGTTTTAAAAATTATGTACAAAATCATACAATTCTATTATATATTTTAATCTGTAAAAACAAACAATATGTTATATTTAGGAGGCAGAATTGAGGAACATTTCACAGAGCTGATATTTAATTTGAATGTTAAAGGATTAGTAGGAGTTTGTTCAGCATATGAGGAGGAGAAGAAAATTCTAGGCCAAGAAAACTGGTACCTACAAGCCTCCCTGGCTAGATGAACTTTTTGTTCTCTCCCTGACTTATTTCTCTCCTGTTGGTCATCCTTCTAGCTCTTTACACTCTGAAGAAAAAGAATGCTTAATACAGCAAAACATTTAAAGAAAAAAAAAAAAACTTGTAAAGAATACCATTATTTTAATTTTGATTAAATTTCTCCTATCATTAATTTTCTTTGTAGTCATTAAAATGACCCAATAGTATTACATCTTACGAATGTACCACAATTCATTCTTAAAATCTTCAGTTACTTATTTTGTAAGTTATTTTCACTTTTTTCTGTGAAATACTGCAGTTATCAGTTCTTTGCAGTACCTTGCTATCGTATTTAACACTGGTATTCACATCTTCCGAAGACCTTATTTTCTTTTTTTTTTTTAAGCATTGATTTTTTTTTTATCATTATCCCAAAACATTTATGGAAGGGATATTAGTGGATCACAGCCTATAAACAGTTTTAAAGATCCTGATATATGTTTTCAACAAATATTATAACCAAATATACACTCCAGTAGCAGTCTCTGATAGTGCCTTATGGTAGAGATTTCTAGTTATACTCTTTCTAGGTACTGTCCTGCTTCTTAAAATTAGCAGGGCTATTTTAATTGCTGATTCAAAACCCTCCACATCTCTCTCACCCTGTCTTGTAATTGGAGAAGCACATAGGAGGATGCAGGTACCACAAGAGTGGGGCAACACTGGGCTGTTGCGGTGATCTGAAAAATCCCTTCGCCTGTGTCTTGAGGTCACTGTGGACAAAGTAAGTCTTGATTTTATGCCAACCCTTCTACTAGAGTTAAAAATGAAGATAAGGCCTTTCTATTTTGTTGCTTTGTCTAGCAGAGAATATAAAAGCTAACTGGCCATCAAATTTAATCATTGTTATGCTTTAAGAAACTCATGAATTTCAGTCACATGCAATTCTACCACAAATATGTACTTACAATGGGCAAGCAATGTGCCAAATCCTTGGAAATTGCTTTAACATCTGTATTGTGGTAGTATGGTTCATCCTTACATGAATTCAGCTATGTTACAAGGTAAATGAAGTCACCTGAACCCTACTAAATATATAATCCTGATGAAGGATATCTAAGGTAAGTGGTCTATTATGCCGTATTCTTTGCAAAATTTAATTTAGCATAATAGATAGATTCATCTACTACAGCTATTGAAAAAAGGTGGCTTAAAAGGAAATCTGAAACATAAAGAATAAATAAATTGTGCATTTACATGTATTATGCCAGCTGACCTAAATACATTGTCAACAGTGTTCATGGCACCGACCTGTTTAGTAATTGAGTAACATAAATGATATTATAGGCTCATAATAAAACAATTTTTTAATCATTGGGAGGCAGCTAATTGGCAAGCACAACCTTTACATTGGGAAGCATTATTATTGAAAAACATTAAACAAAAACATAAAACATTCCTAAAACTAGATGTCCTTTTCCTACATTATGTCCCCAAAGTACTGATGAAGAGTTTTATATTTAAAAAATTATGCAGTAGAATAAAATGTATGCATTTTAAAAAATCTGACTGCTAAACAGAGAAGGCTTATTTACGTTGGGAATTACATTAAGGAAAAGTGGTGACAATGATTGACAGATTTAACTACATAGCTCATTACAAACAGATTAATAAGAAATAAATGTCGAAAAATTGTTACTTATACAAAATTTGTAGACCACAGTTGCTTAATATATAAAGAAGTATTTGATAATCAATTAAAAAGGTAAACATGACAAAAAATAGATCCAGGGAAGAATAAATATACATGAATCGAAACAAAACAAAAAAACACAGGCTGAAACTAACCGGTAATAAACAAAATAAAAATTCAACAAACACAAAAAGTAACTGATGTTAGTAAACAGAAGGAAAATGAGCACATTCATTAATGAGTCTTAACTGTAATTCTATTAGAAAAGATGACGACTTATGAGCCAAAAGCCTCATATTCTTATAGAAATTCTCATAGCAAAAGTTGCCATCCAAATATTAGTCAGTGACTGTTAGGAAGTAAAAAAGGTTTGCAAATTTGTATGAATTTGTAAAATTCAAGGCCATTATTTTGTTCCCATTTAACTAATAACAATTAAAAATTAATTTCTTTATTTCAAGTTCAAGAAATGAGCATAGCATGCTTTTATGAGCACAGTTTATTTTGTTAACATTTCCTAATTCCACTTTTAAGTACTTTATTCCTTGCTAGACAATATGAAAGTAGTTTAATTTTAGCTACTTAAATAAGTGTCCTTTTTTATTAATTGGGTTTTCATAATCCGTCCATCAGTTTGAATAGTGACAGTGTTATTTTCTTGATTGGCAGAAGAAAAAAATGATGTTTCTTATCTTCCTTTTATGAATCAGATATTGCACTAGGATTTTATATACATTATCTACATCATCTCACAATAGCTTTTTAAGATAAATGTTTTAACCATTTTACAAATCAGAAAAATGTGGCTTAAAAAGACTCAGTAACATTTAACAGACCTATCAAGAGCATAAATTTAGAACTTAGATCTGAATAAGTCTAAAGTTTGAATTTTAAAAATAAGAACACTGACATCAGGGATTTTATCATTACTTTCAAAATAAGCTGAAGTTTACTTGGCACCATATGTGGAAAGAAGATTGATTTAATGAATGGATAGTGTGAAGAAGACCTTGATAAATATTAAGAGCAAAAGCCTGGATCTTTCCCTTCATCCTTATGTAGCTTTGGATAATATATTCTAGCTTTTGACTTGCTTTTCTATCTTTCACATGAGATGATGTTAAAAATGACTAGATGACCTTTAAGGTTGGGGTGGTAATCAAAATATTTAAAATCAGTATGGCACAACAGACCAAACAGAACAGATGGCCAGCCAATCAGAACTGACACCAGCTCTAATGAACCAGTACCAACTGAAAGATGCTTTTCAATATGACTGAGTTTTATTTAATTACCATTTAAGATCTAGAAAGGTTTATATTTGAAAACATTGTGAACACTTATTTTGGCATATTATGTGTATGAATATTATAAATTTAATTTACATTTTAAAATCCCATGCTTATTACATCTGCTATTATTTATTTCTGTTATATTGAATTAATTGCCGTTTCGACTAATTTTTAAAAATAGCCACATACTGAATACTATTTTCAGCTGTACTCATGTGAATTTTAAGTCAAACCCTCAAAACTAACTAATAATTCTAGAAGGGTATGCAATCATCATTGTAGGAATTCCTATAATATGGAAATATTGTAAAGAAGAAAGCCTCATTTTTTTTGTAATATTGTAGGATGGATTGCAAAGTGCTCTCCATTTCAGAGCAACAGGCATCTAATTGTTAAAAAAAAAAAAAAAGAATTGCATAAAACTTCCTGGACATTGTTAATTGGTGTTTAGTTTTAGTTTCCTCATTCTTAACCAAAGGAACAGAGGACAACAAATAAGAATATTCGACAATACTTTCGGGAAGTACACAGAAAGCTAACAGATTTTACAGCGTGAACTTTCAACCTAACCCTTTGAAATAAAGTCAAACCCTACAAGAATTATTTAATAACAATATAATGTGGATTGTTGGATTCCCAAATGTAAGCCATTAGGAAGGCAAAGGGAACTTTTAATGCAAAAATAAACCAAAGTTAAGATATATTCTTGTTTTCAAAAAGTATGAGCAAGCAACATGTATTTTTTTCATATATGAAAACCCTGTAAGTTGAAAGAAAAATAAAACAGAAATTTCATAGAAAGGTCTAATTCAAAAACTGACCATGAAAAAGGTCATTCACCTTCTTTGTGTCTCTTTTACATCCTCTTAAAATAAGAGACAGTGTTGTAGCCACCTCACACAGCTTTCAGTTTATTTAAATGTTTACATCGTAATTTGAGATTTTAAACTGCTTGGCACATCTCTCTAAGACTAAATCATCACTGTAATGTAAATATGTGACTTGTGCAACTAAAATGTAAAGTAAAGTGTGTAGTATGATGACTGACATGTAGTAGTCATTGTAATTATGAACAGAGGATGGAGGTAAATAATATTAACTTTATTGAATAATCTTTATGGTCTTATTCAGATGAATTATTATCTGATAAAAGCCACATCTATATTTATAGAGAAATACTAACCAGTTGTCAGTAATTAAGAGAGGTAGAGTTTTCAGATTATTTTGTGATTGATCAAGGAATGAAGACTGTGTAGCCAGTCCTTGAACAATCACATAATTGATTTTATAATCCTAATATACAAATCAATCAATCATTCAGTAATCAGACATTTTTGTAACCTGTTTATTCAAAACCAAACAGAAAGGGATTGATTTGGTTATAGCTACTCTAAAATCTACATAAAACATACAAGTAAAACACTTCTTAGCTCCTGTCACCTGTGTGATGGTGAAAATGGAGACTTAGAGATTTGAAATAAGGTTACCTAGCAAGACTGAAGATTGAAAATGAGGAGTCCATCTCTGTTCATAGAGTGAACTCCAGTCCCAGATATGAAGAGACTGATTTTTGGTAGGGAGGTTTACACATCAGGACAAGAAACTTTATCTTGAAATTATGTGAAGAGGAGGAAAGTACAGTTTTGTCCTTAGTCCTATCAGAAAGATGCTGTAAGCACAGTTCCACTTTTTTCTCAATCCACTTCCTACCTTCCTGTCTGTAACCTGGTACCTGAATTGATCCAGTTTGATCCAAGCCATACAACATATAGCTACTCTAAGGCAACGTTTGCAAATGCCATTGTCTTAACTTCCACTTTCAGGGCAATGTACTCATCATAAGCAAAAGAAGCCAAAAGCTGACACATTTGAACTCACACAGTTAGGCATCCCTCCTGTGGCAGCTCAGCCAATTTCTTGGAGCTTCCTAGCAGAGATGCTTCAGAATTAAGATTATATTTGAAAGAAGTGATTTACAACCACTGTATTGCCATAGCCATCCCACAATGCAACTTTGATTGTTCTAAAATTTGTTTTAACAAACTTTTATTTCTTCTGAAATTTGGTCCAAGTTTCTGTTCCCCTTCATTTACCCTAAATATGCCTCAGCTTTCCTTAGATGCCAAAGAAGTATAGAAAAAGTCATTGAGTAATCATATCTGAAAATTCTTCAAATGAAAATTCTACAAGTGTGATAAATTTTTGGAGTTGATTATTCTTATAATGATGATTCTAAGAAAGTTGCATCAATAAGTATTTTGATGTTGGTAAAGTGAGAATAAACAACACTATAAAGTTATAATGTACTGGGCAGATGTCTCTCTTATGAAAAACTTTGATAATTTTGAAAGGCAGAGACAAGGCAACGGAATTTGGCCTCATTTAGTAATAGTTCATCTTGACATTTGCATCACATTGGAATGGATGAGGAGAGTGAGAGAATCCTAAAATATGGTATTAATCTAAAGACCACCTGCTACTAATTTCCAGTCACAGAGACGGATATTATAATTTTAGAATAAAATGGCTTTGACTGTCTCATTCAGTGACCCATATTTATATTTGCATAAGAATTTTGAATTGCTTAAGTAGTCCTATTTAACAAAAGTAAACCAATCCAATATTTTCCAAATAAATGCACAAGGTAAAGCATTACTTCTATTATGTCATAGAATGTATGGTTTAACAGTGGTCCAGTCATAATAACCTCTGATGATGCTTTGTGTTATAACATATAAAAATGGATCAGTAAATGCTTCTCTGATAATTAATGGTTCTTTAGAAAGACAAAAAAAAAATTGTCCAGTTTTGGCAGAGATTTGTCAGGCTAGTTGATTAATTTAAGGAAAATTGCAGTAATTATTTCAGTGGCCTATTTCCTGTGGTATTATGAGTAGATGACCACTTGCAAAACAGTTTTAAATAAAATTCTCAGAATATCCCAGTTTTAAGTAGTATTTATGAATATAATCATATTCAATGATATATTTTGTATCACAGCACAGAATATATCTCCCAATGAATCATGTACCATAATGTATCTGATTTAAAATACTACCAGAATATTACAGGCAATTATTTTTGATATACATTAACATACTATTAAAAACAGTTTATCTTGTTTGTGTATCTTAAAATATACTTACGGGTTATCCAATAGCAGTACTATGGGATTAAGTTCTTTCTTTGGTCTATAATATGCCCTGAGAGGAACAATAAAGTTATATAATCCATTTCCAGCTGTTTCAGCTGCAACTATAATTAGTTTATTTTTGAATCCATAGGCTTTTGCATCCTCATAGTAGTTATGTTGGCAACTCTAGAGAAGAGAAAGTATACATTGAAATGCCATTTGGATACTTCATTAAAATTTGGAGAAAATTTAAGCTATAGGAAAATGTAAAATTAATTGAACAATGTAAATCCTTATTTTCTAATAAATTTGAAAATAGTTACATTTTTCTGTGCCCATTTCTGCAACCTGCAGTAAGAAATAAAAGTGTGCATGGACAAGGAAAATGAATTGCAGGTTTGTAGCTTGATGTTGAAAGAGCCAACATTTTGTGTGTGTGCTTGTTCTATTGTAAACTAAAGTTTGCTGCTAGAAGACATCCAGGTATACACTTTTACAAATTAATTTTCTCTGACTTTCATTTCCAGAAATATAGTAATATCATAATTAGGTAACTTCAGGAACATTCCCAGTACTGAATGCTTAAAGCGATGAAGAAAATAAAACAGTGAAAAAAAAAACCAAAAAACAAAAAACCCCTAACTGTCTACATGCATATTTGAGCTGGCACGATAATGATTCAAATACTCTAAAGTAAAATACCCAATAATACCAACAAAAACAAGAACAAAGCATTACCAAAACTCATCGTTGGGCTAAGGGCATTTTGCTATTTCATGGAGTCTAGAATTTGACAGAATTAGCGTTGTTAACCCAATATTATTTTCAGATAAATTATCTGCACGGAGAACTGTTTTGATGTTCTGCTATTTTACCTTTATATGTCTTTATGTTCATTTCTTATTTATGTGGGTTGAGATTAGTTAGTTGTCTGGAACATTTATCACCTCTGGAATATTCTGATCTTTTTTTTTTTTTTTGAGACAGGGCCTCACTCCTGCCGCCCAGGCTGGAGTGCAGTGGTGCAATCATCGCTCACTGAAACCTCAAATTTCCAGTCTCAGGTGATTCTCCCACCTCAGCCTCCCGAGTAGCTGGGACTACAGGTGGGCACCAGCATGCTCGACTAATGTTTTTGTATTTTTGTAGATACGGGGTCCTGGGCTCAAGCAATCCACCCACCTCAGCCTCCCCAAATGCTGGGATTACAGGCACGAGCCACCATGCTCGGACACCTCTGGAATATTCTTTGCCATTATTCTTGAATAAAAAAATTACAAAACACTGCTGAAAACAAAGCACCATGAGTAAACAGAAATAATCATAACAAGATAACTAGACCCACAAAGACTACGAATTTTGTGATTAAATTCAGAATATAAAATGAGCACATTTAACATGTTTAAATAAAAGAAAGAAAGTATTTAAAGCCTGAGAAAAGAACAAGAGGCTATGTAAAATAACATCTAGCAGGTAGATATTAAAAATAATACCTAAATCTATTTCTCTGTATCTTCTTGAAGTAAAGAGTGTAACTCAAAAGATTATTTAAATTACACTTAAGATTCAGCCAAAGGGATCACGTGCGGGACAGAATGGAATACAGAAACTAAAATGAAAGGCAGAGAAGAAAAAAAACAGAACCTAGGGTGAAAAAATTAAGACTTGGAAGCTATCGTGAGAATATCTAACATTTATTTAATCAGAATATCTGAAAAAGAGCTAAGAGAGAATCAGAAAGAAAACTTATTCAAGTAAATATTGGCTGAGAGTTTTTGAGATGTGATGAAAAATCAAATGAGAAGATCTTAAAGCAGACACAGAGAAAAGAGCCACATCTACAAGAAAAAACAATTGGAATGGTAGCTGACTTTTCAGCCATTATTTGGAGCACAGAAGGCAGTAAGTACAGTCCTTAAAGTGCTAAAAGAAAAAAAAAAAAAACCAGAAAACTAAATTAACAGCCTGGACTTGCACACAAAGTAAACCATCTTTCAAGAATGAGACCAAAATAAAAGGAAACCATAATTAAAAGGATTCTCCACCAATAGAATCTCCTTAACAGAATTTCTAAAGGTGGTAATCTAGGAAACAGGAAAATGAATCCAGAAGGAAATTCTAAGGTATAAGAAAGAATAGAGAACAAAGGAAATGGTAACAAACAAGGGCAACAAGTCTTTATTGAAAGGGTGCTTGGAGAATTATAAACAGAATCTGAAGTAATATAAGAAATAAAGTCACTCAGAAAGAGATCATGCATGCAACAAGAATAGTGTTGAGCTGATGTTTGGATCATCAAGAATGTCAATATTTATAAGATAAATAAAGGAAAAAATAACTTTCCCTAAGGAGATTTAGAAATAGCTCAATTAATAGGGAAACAAAGAGCAGAGAACAGAGAATTTAGTGTTCATGAACACTGACCAGGACACCAGCCCCACTGATACTGACACAGAATAAATTGGATAAGGCAATCCCAACTCACACACTTCACAGACACAGTAGAGTCAGCTGCATAATCCCATACTGTTCCTAAAATCCCAAAGTGGGTGCTCATTTACATAGCAGACCACCTTCTATCAGTCTAATGCTACCTAAATAACCAATAATTCCAGGTATCACTAGACAATCAGCAACACCCAGAAATTTTGCTTCATTAATATGGTAAAGAGACAGTTAATAGTCCTTTGATATTAAAATATCCTCTTATTGTGCCTCCATCAATCCTGTTCTCTGAAAGTTTAGCTTTTCAGTTAGATTGGGATCTCTGTTTGGAGATAAATTATTTCCACTTTTTTGTCTCCTAATATTTTTTTCTACTTTAACTGTGCATTTAAAGAAATAAAAACCAGAAGTGAATCCAGGTTTTGTGGTGACTGAAGCATATATTATTTTAAGATTTATCCATAAAGAAAATAACAACAATATTATAAATAATATTAGTCTTAAAAGGAGTCAATGTGGGGGAAGGGCCTTGAAATTTAGGATTTATTAATGTTACTGAAAATACATAGCTTGCCAGAAATATCAAGTGCTTCATAATATTAAAATAATAAGGACCGCATATATATACACATATATATGTGTATATATGTAAATATATGTGCATATAGGTATATATATGTATATATGTATTTATGTACATATATGTATATATGTGTATATATACACTTATATGTGTGTGTGTGTGTGTGTGTGTGTGTATTCATCTGGGCCCATTGAAATGGATAATTCTGTTCCTCAAGACATATATATATATATATATATATATATATATATATTTGAATGAGACCAATATATATATTCAGTCTTGAGGGACAGAATCTCATTTGAATGAAAGCAATATATATATATTTGGTCTTGAGGGTCAGAATCATCCATCTCAATGGGCCCAGATGAATATTTCAGAGTAATGGCAAAGATTCTCAAAGCAACTTCAGGGAAACAAAGGCAGGAATTTTCTAATGTTCTGTAAATCTTCTTCCTCAAGAGTGACAGTAATAGTCAAAATTTATAATATTTGTCATATAAAAATAATAGCAAGAATATATTAAGCACCAACTCAGTTATTAACTTTCTTGCACTTCATTAAACATGCACTAAATTATATAATCCCTGTAAGAGCCTTATGAGGTTCATATTAAAATAATATCCACTTTAAGGATGAGGAAACTGAAACTTGGTGAAGTTAGTTGCCCAAATTACATGACTTGTAAGTGGAGAGCTGAGATTTTTAACTGTAACTTCAAAACTTAATGTAAAAGAAAAAATCCCTAGCTAGAATTAGTGGCAGATCTGAATCTCCAGGGGCAGTAAATATAAGGTTCTTCCTTTTATCAGTTTTGTTATTCTTCAAGAGAATAAATTCATACCAGTCAAGCCCAATGGTTATATTGTGAAAAAAGATAAAAACTCTAGCATTCTTAGAATTTTTATCTTTTGGACAGCTTCTCTTGGACATCCAAGAATGACAGTAAAATTTTGAGAAAGGAAATATTAGGCAAGACTCTAATATGAGCTTTCACTTTAGTCATAAATGAATCTTTGTGTCTAACACATGGACTTACTCTTCCCATCATGTCAAGGGATTCCATAATGAGATATAAAGTAATAATGTTAAAATAAATAATGCACATTTGACCCAAGTGATTTTTGGAGACTTTGGTTGTTGAGGGTTCATAGGGATGAGATTTGGTACCTTATTTTTCTCTTTAACAACATGACTAGCAGATCCAGTAGGCTAATATGGTAGAAGACTAAAGCATTTGGGTAATCATTTGTGCAGTTAAAAATGTAAAACTGACCACTTTATATAAATTTACATTGGAAAAGATAATACCAATACCCCTTAAACATATTGTAATCAAAATGCTGTACAAATTACTTAAATTATGTAACTATAAAATGCTATAATTTTATTTTGTAAACAAAAAAGCATCAACAAGTACTTACCTTGTCTAATCTTAAGCAGCAAAATGGTACTTTTTCATGAAGGAGATGACAAAAAGTGGGTGAACTTCCTATATATGGAGAATAAGGTGGGTAACCTTTAGCATACCTGTAAAATAATACAAAATATTACCCTTGGATAAGGCATGCAAATTTGAGAAATTAAGTTACGACCATGTTCCTCTGTTTTAATAACATTATAATCAATACCTCTGTGTTGCAATTATATTTTGATAAAGAGGTAGTTAAGAAGAGAGGTAGGCAAACTGTGGCCCCAGGATCAAATATGGCCCTCCACATGGTTTTGAAAGGGTTGTTTCTGCATTTTAAAATGGTTGGAAAAAATCAAACTAGTATTTCATGTCATGCGAAAATTATACGAAGTTCAAATTTCAGTATCTATAAATAAAGCTTTATTATAATTCAGCCACACTCATTCATGTATGTATTGTGTATAGGTGTTTTTGTGCTTTGGTAACAGAGTTAGTAGTTGCAACAGGGGTCAAAAAGCCTGAAATATTTACTGGTTGTTCCTATTTATAAAAAGTTTGTTAACTCACAGCTTAGAAGATTTTCATTTTTAAAAAATAAATAGTAATGGTAATTTTTACAAAATACATTTAAGGCAAAATGCATTATTATGATTTGCTCTATCAATATTCATTAGCCATAACTACATAACCGAAATGGAACAAATAACTGAGCTAATTGGTTAAAAACATAGTTTTTGTTGTAATCATACTTAAAACATTATCAGAGAATTTAGCTTGCTGACTTTTAAAAAACAGCCAACAGCATATTTCGGCTATACTGACTTTCAGAATGAAACTTCTAAAACGTAGCAGCATAAATGAAAATTAGGCAATAAAATAAAATTTAGTGAAAATAATATTCCTTTATCCAATAAGAAAGTGTTTGATTTTAACAAATTTACCTGCTAAGCCATAAAATTTCTGACCTAGTTAAAACTATTTTATCTTAAAGAAGAGATGCAAATCAGCATTTTCAGGAAATAAAGTTCGTTGGCTAAGAGATAAAATTATAGGGTAAAATTTTGTAAATTTAGAAGTTGGTAATCTCTACAATTACTCAACATCTCTTTCGTTTTTCTAGAAATAAGAAAAAATCTTTTACCTCTCAATTTTTTAAGAAGTGTAAAGAAAGAATTTCAGTCGCACTCCAAAACACTGTTTCCTGTGAAGACACTGGTTGCCAAACCTATCCCTGTTCCCATCCTAGATTCCAAATACATTTGAGGACTTTGACCATTAATGTCTTTGAAGAGTAGATTTGGTTTTGTGGGTACACCAACCTTTCTTACAGTATTTTTTTAAGTGTGAGAAATTTAAACAAAGAATATTTTCAAGCTTCAATGACACTGAAGTTCTTCTTAGTTCAACATTACTTGAATTTACATTTTATGAAAGACACTGGAAGAAATGTCAGAGATTATGCTGCCAATGCCACTACTACCCGTAATATGACTAATAGTAATTAATACTAATTGAACGCTTACTCTACACAAAACATTGTTTTTGTATAAACACTTTTTCTCCATTATCTCAATTAATCACTAATAGCTTTCTGAAGTAGTAATTACACTCAGTTTACAGGTAAATAAATTATTGGCTAGTTTTTTTTTTTTTTTTTAAGACAGAGTCTCACTCTGTCGCCCTGGCTGGACTGCAGTGGCAGGATCTTAGCTTACTGCAACCTCCACCTCCTGCGTTCAAGTGATTCTCCTGTCTCAGCCTTCCAAGTAGGTAGGATTGCAGGCGCGCACCACCACTCCTAGCTAATTTTTATATTTTTAGTAAAGTTTGAGACCAGCCACACCACGTTGGTCAGGCTTGTCTCAAACTCCTGACCTCAAATGATCCTGCCATCTCGGCCTTCCAAAGTGCTGGGATTACAAGTGTGAGCCACTGTGCCCAGCTGCAAGTTTTTTTTTTTTTTTGTTTGTTTGTTTAATTAAAGTCACTTGTACACAACCAATATAAAGTGGAACTGGCATGGCAAGCAATGTCCTTAGTACTCCACAGTCAAGCCTGTGGACTGCTGTGTTTTCCTGAAGAATGACAATTTAATATGTGGAATAAGACATGCAAACAAACTCTACTGCAAGCTACAATGTGATTAATACTATATAGATTGGCGTTCTATTATTATGGAAGCCTAGAAAAGGGAAACAGTACTCCTTTTATTCATACATTTAAAATAATTAATGAATAGTGTATGAAAGTGCTGAACACTGAGATAAGTAAGGAAAGCTTAATGGAAGGGGCTGTGTTTTCATTTCATTGAATAATTGATTGAACTTCAATATGGATGTGCAATAAAGTAAATTCAAAGTATAAAGTACAATATACTATAAAAACCATACAATTATGAAAATGAAGC
The DNA here is from genome assembly GCF_000001405.40 of Homo sapiens. Lineage (NCBI taxonomy): Eukaryota > Metazoa > Chordata > Mammalia > Primates > Hominidae > Homo > Homo sapiens. The sequence continues at coordinate 183,229 of NW_025791754.1, forward strand.
TTATATCTTGGGAACACTGATTTTTTTTTCCTTGAGGATAAAAGATAATTAAGAGCAAAATGAGACTGGAAATATATGTTGAAGCCAGAAACTTGAGGGCTTATAATGCTCTGCAGTCAAAAGAGATACTGGCTACTAGCAGTGCGTTTTGGTAGAAGTATATAGGAATGATTCTAGGATGTTCAGAAGGAAAGATCATTAGCTCCTTACCTATTGGGAAGGTATGTAAAGAAAATACTTAAGGACATTAGCACAAAACCCAGTAATCTTACACCTTAGAGTATCTGAACATACTCTAAGTTTGAAGACATTTCTTCATCTGGTGTAGTTTCATCTTCTGATTGGTCACTTAGAAGATCACATGTTTGAATCGATGATGTATCTGCAACCTCTAAAACAGGAGCAATGCTAGGTCTTCTTATTTCTTTGCTTCCCTCTGTAGGAAGAGACAGGGTAGGGCCACTTGCTGATCTACAGCTTGTATCTTGCAAGTCTATAGCCACAGTACCTAAAACAATAAAACATGAAAATTTATCAAGGCGTTTGCCATATTGATCACTAGTGTTGAAGGTTACATGAAATATGAAATATAATAAACACAATAAATATATATATAGAGAGAGTATATATTTATGCGTGTGGTGTATAAGTTTAGTTCTGATAGCTAAATATTTCTTTTGCACACAGGCATTTTCCTGGACAAGAAAATCTCTATTTGCACAAAAGTGTATTTGCAGAGTGTTGTTCTATGGCACAAAACATAAGATTTGTAAAATCCTGAAGTATATAGAAACTTAAAGTGAAAAAGTATACCCTGATGTTTCAATTTATATTTATTTAAAATTTATTCTTTTGTTGTTGACCATGTCCATTTTGTGAATTTTTCATTATGTGTTTCCCCTCTTTGCTTTTTCTTTTATTTCTTTCTTTCTTTCTTTTTTTTTTTTAAGACAGAGTCTCGCTCCAGGCTGGAGTGCAGTGGCACAATCTCGGCTCACTGCAAACTCCTCCTCCCAGGTTCAAGCGCCCCCTTTTCTATTGAGCTATCTTTTTGTAATTGATTTATGACCACTTTTTAAAATATCGGAACTACTAATATGTTATACTTATTTTGTATTAAATGAATATTTATTGAGTGCCACATATGGGGAGCACTGTTCCAGGTACTTGAGATCTGTAGAGAAGACAAACAAAGTTTCTACAAGATGAAACCTGTATGTAGCAAGTAGACAAATAAATGGATAATTGTAGACAATAATCAGTAGCATGCAGGGAGAGGAATGGAATTTTTATTTGATAGGAGAGAAGGCCACTGTGAAGTTAGGACATTCGATTTTTGACCTGAAATACAATAAGGAGCACACAAGTCATGGAAGTACCTGGAGGCAGTAAGAATGGCAAGCCCAAGCCCAAGTGGCTTAAGGTTATTGAATACTTGAGGCATTCAAGGAATAGAAGGCAGAAGAAGCAATTCCCTTTGTGAATTTTATTGAAATGTAAAAATTAATTTTAATATCTATTTATGAAAAATTGAGGTTCCTCTCCTTCTGGAGAAAATAACGATGAAAGGCATCATATTTCATAATTACTTATTTCATTTATGTACTCAGTGGCACCTGGTCATCCTTCTAAAAGTTGCTAGTCTTTGCTTTGTCCCATTCTTTGAAACAATTACAGTCATGCATTGCTTAAAAAGGGGGATATGTTCTGAGAAATCTACCATTTGGTGATTTCTTAGATATTCAAACATCATACTTACACAAACCTAGATGAGGTAGCCTACTATCCTAGGCTATATGGTACATAGGCTATATGGTATAGCCTACTGCTATATGGTATAGGTATAGCCTACTGCCCCTAGGCTATATGGTATAGCCTACTGCTCCTAGACTACAAATCTGTACAGCATGTTACTGTACTGATTGGTGTAGTCAATTCTAACACAATGGTAATCTCAATATAGAAAACATACAGTAAAAACATGGTATTACAATCTTATTGGGACCACCATTGTATATGCTATCCATCATTGACTGAATTTATGCAGCGCATGACTATTTAAAATTCTACTTTCCTCAAACCTCTGGCCTTCCAAGCTTCTTCCTCATTATAATAACATGAACTGAAGAAATTTTTACCTTATCTCAGCCCTTCACTTCCATAGTGATTTTTTAGACCTTGTTATAACCAATAAAAACAATGTTGCACACATTTTTATGCATTCACCCTTTGATCACCACTATTTCTTGTTTGTTCAGGTCACTCTCACTGATTTCCTAACACTAGCTATGATTTTACCATGCTGGAACTTCAATTCTACTGATGATACCAGAGTTTGTCTCTCTCATTCCCTTGATGCTCTCTCTTCTCTTCTTAACTATCTTAAATTCCATGTTTAAGCATTATGATTATTTTCTTGCATATACCCCTGGATCCCTTGATACATTTTTGCTTCATTCCACCCTCTTGACAAAATAGAACCCTGCTTAAGTTAAACTCTCCATGTTCCCCATATCTATACCTATGCAACTGAATACACCCAGACAGTTTAGCTCTTGCATCATTAATAGTCTCTCCACATTGTCTGTCCTGATTTTTGGCAGTTTCACCATACACATAGATGATCCTTCCAACATTCCAGACTCAACTCCTTGTCCTCTTCTCTAGTAATGGCTTTTTCTACTATCACTCTTCAGTCCTTCACTCTCATGGCCACACCTTAGCTTTTGTAATTATTACTTGCTGCACATCATCTCTCCTTCTGGCATCTCACTCTTTGACACCTGTACCTTGGCTTTCCAGCTCTTTCCCTCTTGATTTTCACTGGAATTAGAATCGATTAATCCACTCTCCTTTCAGTCTTTTCTAACCAAAATACATCTTTTCACTTCCTTACTTAAATTAAGTTCCATGGCCTATAATTATATACAATCTATTATACAAACCCTCAATCTCTCTGCCTTCCTTACTTGCTTGTACTTTCAACACAAGCTACAAATCCATTTCTTTTCTCCGTTTTGCAGTCAGACGTTTTAAGAACTGTCCAGACCTACTGTTTCTAATTTATCTTCTACCATTCTTTCCCAAACGTAGTCCAATCTAGCATTGTCCACCACCACTCCATTGAAACAGCTCTTATGAGGGTGAACAATGATCATTGCATTGCTAAAGTCAATTGACACTTCTCAGTCCTTATGTTACGACCTATCAGTACTTGGCTTTCAGCCATGACCTATCAGACATGGCTTTACATGGTGTTGTCTTAATGCACTTAGCTCACTTGGATTCCAGGACACCTCACTCATTGGGTTTTCCTACTAGCCTGCCAGTAGCTCCTCTTTGGTCTCCTTTGCTGGTTTCTTCTCATCCCCCTGATACTTAATCTTAGTATACTGCAGAGCTTTGTCTTTTATTTTTTCCTGCCTGTACTCATTTCCTCAAAGACTTCATTTGGTCTTATGGCTTTAAATATATACATAAGATCAGAAATACAAAATTTACTTTTTCAGCCTATCTCTCTCTCTCTCCTGAAATCTAGACTCTTACATACAACTTCCTGTTAGACATCTTCAAGGTGTTCCAAAATACTCTTTATCTTCCCTTCACCCCCGCAAAACCTGCATTCCCCCTAGCCTTTCCTCTAAATTTATGGCCATTCTCTTTCCCTAGTTGCTTAATCCGAAAACCTTATGTTTCTTCACACTTCTCTTTTTCTCACAGTTCAATTTCATTTTGTAAGGAATCCTGATTATCCTCAAAGTACATGCAGAATTTTCTCCTTCTTACCACTTCCACTTGAAAATAGTCTGATCCTTGCTCCAAACCATCTATGTTCAACAGCAGCCTGAGTTGAGCACTCAGCATAGGTGAGATCAGGTCAATGGCTCTGCATAAAGCCTTGCAATAATTCCCACTTCACTGAGAGTAGAAGCTGCAATCCCATATGGACTTAAATAAGCCCAACAGGATCTGGCCTCTTTCTACCTGTTCGTCCTCATCTCCTACTATTCTTCCAGCATTCACTGTGTTTGAGGCACAAAGGGCCCTGTTACTGTTCCTGGAGAACCCCAGCCAGGCTCCCACTTTAGGGCCTTTGTACCAGCTGTTATCTCTTTCTCCAGACCTCCACAGGACTAATTCCTCATTTCTTTCAGGTATCTGCTCAAACATCACTTTCTGGCCTACTAAGCACTTCATTTAAAATCTGCTCCTCCCAAAAATTAATTATCTCCTATACTAGCTCTGTTTTCTTCTTTTAGTTTTTCCTTTATAACTTATAACCCACTAGCATATTAAGTAATTTACTTATTTTTTTATATGTACTTTGGTTATCGCCTGTCTTCTCCATAATAGAATGCAAGCTCTATGAACTAGGGATCTTTGTTTCTTCACTAACGTTTTATCACAAACACTTACACGAGAGTTCTTGGTACATATTAGGTACTCAATAAATACTATTTTGGGTACATATTAGGCACACAATAAGTACTTTTTGAAGACATTAAAAATGAATATTGCTACTGTAGAATAAAAATAAGTAAATGACAAATAGGATTACCTAAGAAGGTCTAGGTAAAACCATGGAATAGTGTTTGGAGGGAGTGATATTTTGACTAAGATATAAAGAATTAGAAGTCATTACTTAGGGAATGTTGGGGTGTGAGGAATAGTTCCATCAGAGGAAACTTAATGTTTTAAGGCCCATTGGTGAAAAAAATATATTAGTGAAGATTGAAAGAAAGTGAGTATGTTTGGAGCTCAGGAGAGCAGCAAAGAGGTGGTAAAATGTGGAGCTAGAAAAGTCAGAAAATATCACTAATAAAAAGCCTATAAAGAAAATGATGAAGTAATTTATTTTCTAAACTAGGATACTGCAGAGTAAAAGGGGGTTCTTTTAATAATTACATCAGGACAATTATATAAACTGAACAATCCTAAGAAACTGGAACATTCCTAAGAAAACTAGGATTGCCTAATGCAAACAAGAACTTTTGGTTATCCTATTTATAAGTTAAGTCACACTACAGAATTTAGACTTTTTTTTCCAATGGGTAGTATAAAGCAGGTGATTTGTTCAGGAAATGATGCTATCAAAATTATATTTAAAAATTTTTACTCTGGTGGCAGGATGGAGAATTAAGTGTAGAGTGGCAAGGCTGGAGGCATGGAAAAAAGACAAGGTTGTTGATCCTGCAGTTCAGGGAGAGAAGGATGGAGGCACAGACCACGATGATGTTGGTGGTGGACATGGAAAAAAACTGAATGATTCTAGGGGCTATTTACTGACCAGATTTAATAGAATTTGGTTAATGATGAGGTATGAGAAGAGCGGGTGGTGAAAAGTCAGAATGGTGGCCTTACAGATCAAAGGATAATGGTGTCATCTGCTTTTTAGCAAAAAAAAAAAAAAAAAAAAAAAAAAGGAGAAGGAGAAAAACGGTGTTGAATGACTGAATGAGAGTGTAAGGATCAGTTTAATTTGAATATGCTGTGCCAGTTTTTCCCACAAAATACTCAAACAGAAATAACTAGTAGACAGTTCGCGTTGCTGTAAAGAGATGTTGAGTTAATGCTTTAGACAGAGGAATAATCAGTTTACGGACAATAGAATCCATGAGAACAGAAGTGACCACACAATGAAAATGAATGTGCACAAAGCAGAAAAAAAGGCATTAGAGTGTTTCAGGAAGAACATGGTCAATATTCTTGTCATATACTGTGAAGACAATCATTTTAGATGTAGTGACAAAGAGGAACATGGTGACCTTGCCTGAATAGTTTCAGTGATATGACTGCAGGTGTCAGATTGAACTGGGTAGAATCATGGACATAGGACAACAATAAAATTTAAAGCCTGCCACTAAACACAACACTTTGGAGAAATTTGTCTCTGAAGTTGTTATCATGGAAGGTTCAAAATTACAAGTGTATGGTGCACACAGAGATATGAAGAGACACACACACACACAGAGAGAGAGAGAGAGAGAGAGAGAGAGAGAGACAGAGACACAGAGAGAGAGAGATCAGCCAGTGATTCTGAATAGAAAATGAAGTTAGGTAATGAGGAGGGATTAAAGAGTAAAGTCTCTGAGGAGGAACAAGGGCATGGTTCCTGGAATAAATGAATGTATCAGTATTAGTTAAAAATGACACATTTTCCTTGTGACAGATACTAAATGTTTGTAGGTTTGTAGATGGTTTGGAGGCCAAACCGTAAAGAAATTCTTATTTGCATGGAGGTATTTTTTCTTTTACCTTTCTTCTTCTGTGTCATAGAAGCCAAGTTCAGTGGTGAGAGTGAGGTAAGAGATGGAAAGAGAATTTTGAGAAAATGAAGAATATTTGAAATAGCCTCTCTTGATGATAATTACAAAGAGAACTTACAAAAGAAATATAAAAGTGTGTGGTGCTTTATATATAATGAGAAATATAAAATGATTGTTGATTGTGTTTTTGTAATATCTTAGATTGAGGTTTTTTTGGACACAGAGTCTTTTTCTGTTGCCCAGGCTGTTCTCAAACTCCTGGCTCAAGCAATTCTTCCACCTCAGCCTCTGGAATAGGTAGTATTATAGACATATGCCACCACAGTAGGCTAATATCTTACTTTTTAAAAAATTCACAACTTAGAACTGTTGTCCTGTATACCTAGTCATACCTAGTTTGTAAAATGCAGCATGTTTGAAATTTTCTTTAAACTTTTAATAAAAATTTAAATGCATTGGTATTTATCATTATTTTTTATTTTAGAAATAAATTAATGATATTTCAAATTTGTTTATACTTACCCATGCTGGCAATTATGCTATGTACAGGTAATCTGGAAGGTCCATGATAAAACGACCTGGACACATTGCTTTTTCTCTGCTGGTCTTGGTTTTTAAATGCTGAATTCTCTTCTTTGGTAATATTAATATAAAAGCATATGTCTGTAGAATTCATAATGTATCGAGGACCTGGATTCAGCAAAATGTTTTTATTATCCTCCCTCCTAACACCAATCAAGCAGACGCCAAACCTTAATTTAAAAAAAAAGAGAGTTTGTAAGAAAATTAGTAAATTATTGTAAGGCTGAGGAAAATAAAAGCTTTAAATAATAGCATTTTAAAGCTTGAAATGATCCTAGAAGTTCAAGATCCTCATTTTTACAGGAAAATAAACTATGTGCTTAGTGTGTTGTAAAACCAATTTAGCTGATTATGACCACTATAAATTTACATTTTAATGAAAATGAATGGAAGAACATAAGAAACATGAGTGCATGTATACACTAAGGGTAACATTATTTTGCGAATTTTTACAACAATTTTACTTTGGTCAAAAAACATAAACAGCATATCTTACTTTGGTTAAAAAAAATAAATAAAAAGCTTAAAACTATTGGCCAAAGGAAAGAAACTTACCCATGGTCACCTGAAAGAGAACCAGGGTCCCTGAATTTATCACAGTTGGTTTACTTTAAATTTTAGAAAAAATATATATATTTAAATAGTCTTAAATAGGTATGTACTTAGTCAGAAAAAAAAAGTAAAGTAGAATACAGAAGCTCCTTGACTTATAATAGAGTTATGTCCTGATAAACCCAGCATAAGTTGAAAATATTGTTAAATAAAAAATGCTTTTAATACAGCTAGCCTAACAAATATCATAGTTTTAACCTAGCCAACCTTAAACATACTCATAACACTTACATTGCCTACAGTTGGGCAAAATCATCTAATACCAAGCCTGTTTTATAATAAAGTGTTAAATATCTTATGTAATTTATTGAATATTCTACTGAAAGTGAAAAATAAAATGATTGTATGGATACTGGAAGTATGGTTTCTACTGAATGGCTATTGTTTTGTACCATCATGGTAAAAAAATAGTAAGTCAAAGCATCATAAGTTGGGGGTTCCTGTACATTACATAATAGATTAGTTAGTAGACTATATACGTATATTGTAAATCCTCCAAAATGTGTCACATTAAAACATTTAATACAGATAATATGTTATTTTCATTATATACATACATTTTTACTTCTTAAGTAAATCCTTTTTTTTTCCAAAAAGGAAAAGAAAAAAAAAGTTCTATGTTTGAATTGGAAGGTAGTTTTATTTATTTTTTAACTTATTTCTCAGGCCAAAACAAGGGCCACCATCAGAGATTTTTTTTTCAAATGTACAGTTTTTAGAAATATTAGTGTTACTTTGTTTTAGTTCCTAATCAACATCTTAAAATTCAGATCTGTGAAGAAGATTTTCATATGTATGTAAATTCTTAATGGATTAAAATATTTTAAAAAGACTTTAAAAGTGGCTAAATGAAATATTCCTACTAAATTATAATTTACTCCTGACTGTCTTATAGAGACCATACAGACACCAGGGTTCAAATGTTTCAACATTGGGGAATATTGTGACAAAAATTCCGGAATGCCTAAACACATGAACACAATATGCATTCTATTTTTGAAAACTATTTTCACATGATATGCTTGACTGATTGATATTTTAATTTTTCTCTGAGGCAGAAACATACTTTTTGTGTGCATGGAAAGAGGCATATGTAAAACTCTTTCCTTCATATTCAGCAAAAAATGTACTTTCTTCCAAAACAATGTGGTAGACTTCATTCCCGGAGCATCTACCGTACATCTTCTGCCATTGTTCTGGCGATTGCTGGCCTTCTCTGCAACACAGGCACACACACATACACACACACAAAAAGAAAACACAGTGAATGTGGTTAAAAAACAGTTGTTATAGAACTGTTTCTCAACTGTGTAAGAACTGGCAAGCACAATCCAAAGGAGCATCTGAGTAATGCTTTGAAGTCTGAAGATGACATTATATGCAAGAGTTTCTAAAAAATTTTGAATACTATATATATATATATATATATATATATGTATATATATATATATGCTTGAGAAATGACAGTTTTGTAGAAAGTGGGAGTTTTCCAAGATCCAGCTAATGAAAAGCTTTACTCTCACAATGAATCAATGAGATACAGGATTTTAGTCTCTCTTTATATACATATCCTATCATGTATATCTTCTAAAATTTGTTGTACAGTCTCCATAATATGGCCAACGTTATCTTACCTATGATACCTGCGTGGCTGCTGTAGGTATTTTATTTTGCTTTATACTTAAAATTACAAATTTATCTCAATTTATCTTTGATTTTATAGAAAATATACCTTTAGTTTTTGTTCATATCGTAGCAATAACTTTCTTCCAATTGTATAGCAGTCACGAAAAGACACTTTTCTTATTTTAAATGTAAGGATCTCTCCAACTAACTGAATATTCTTGTAACCACAAAATTCATGTTGGAATCCTAATCCCATTATGATGGTATTTGGGAGTGTGGCCTTTGAGAGGCAATTAGGTTATGAGAGTGGAGCCCTCAGGAATGGAATTAGTGCCTTTTAAAAAGATGCTAAAGAGCTATCTTCCCGCCATGTGAAAATACAAGTCAGCAGTTTAAAACTCAGAAGGGGGCCCTCACCAGCACTGGATCATGTTGGCACCTAGATCTTGGATTTCCAGCCTTCAGAACTGTAAGAAATGAATTTCTGTTGTTTATAAAATGCCCAAGCTGTGGTAATTTGTAATAACAGCCTGAACTGACTAAATCTCCAAAAGACATCCCACAAAAGTATTTTTATAAAGAAGATAATTTTACCACAAAAAGTACAATGTCTTTTGTTCTGGAACGTTCTGCGCTGCCCGCCTAACTCAGTGGCTTTAGAAATATATTAAAAATTCAATTTATGAGAAATTCATAATGGATATATAAATAGGTTATTTCTCATTTTATATAATAAATTCATTTACCTTTGCTGAATAACACTTATGAACTCTACAAAAAAGCACATTTTAGAAGCAATATGATAAATATATAAAAATCAAAATAATTTATCATAATCTCTAATCAATTCTTAATGGATCAAAACAGATCACAAGACATTACAACCATGTTTAGGACTTTAAAGGCCATTTTAAACTGAGTATTGTCTAAAGGGTTATTAGGAAGGTAACATTTGTCAATATTTTCAAATTGTCAATAAGCTTTAAAAAATATCTATATTTTCTAAGTATGCCTCATTGCTGCCTCATTCCTTCTTAAGTATGCTTAAAGAGTTAAGAGCCTGGGCCCTGGAGTTTGATTGTCTAATCTGAGTCCCAACTCTATAATCGTGTTTTGTTTTGTTTTGTTTTGTTTTTATTTTTATTTATTTGTGTGTTTTTAGAAGGAGTCTTGCTTTGTCGCCCAGGCTGGACAGCAATGGCACGATCTCAGCTCACTGCAACCTCTGCCTCCTGGGTTCAAGCGATTCTCCTGTCTAACCTTCCCGAGTAGCTGGGATTACAGGCACCTGCCACCATGCCCAGCTAATTTTTGTATTTTTAGTAGAGATGGGGTTTCACCATGCTGGACAGACTGGTCTTGAACTCCCAACCTCAGGCGATCCGCCCGCCTTGGCCTCCCAAAGTGCTGGGATTATAGGTGTGAGCCACCGCCCCTGGCCAAACTCTACAATCTTTTGTGAGTTATTTAACTTTTCAGTGATTCTTTATCTCTTCAGTGACAAACAGTATCAGCTTCATTGGGTTAGATAAAATGAGGTAACACAAAGAAATCACTTGGGAGATGTTGGGATCAGAGAAAACACGCAGTAAATGTAAGCTGCCAATATTACTCTGATGTTACATCTTCCTCATTGCTAAATTCCGGAGCTATTTTAAATAAACCTAGTCGACTTACTAAACAATAATGCTTTTAAAACCTGTGCCCATTCTTCCATAATGTTAACGTATTTTTGGAAGTAGGAAAACAACAACATAAAACAGTTTTGATTTTTGATTGCATATGACTACATCTAGCTACTACTTCCTAAGAATGATTGTCTCTGGTGGAAAAAACGTTCCCTTTGGCAAACAAAAATAAAGTTATTTTTGTTTTGTACCACATTACTATTTAGCAAGATGATACTTGGCAAAAACAGAATCTATCTGAAAGGCTGAAAATGTATGAGATGGTGCTGGTAATTCATCAGTATTTGTTTGAGATCCAAAAGCCAGCATGAGGTCAACTAATTGTCATGCAAGGGTACTAAAAGCTATTCAAGAGAATTAGAAATCTAATTCCAGAAGCTGACAGGGGAACACAATGTGGTAACTTGGAAGGGAACAGAAATGGATGGAATCGGACTAGGACAGTTCAGATAAATTTTCTTAAATAATTTGCTTATTGCCTTGCTATTTTATGCTGGCACATTGCCCCTCAGGCAGCATCTTTTTTTAGGATGTCATTTCGTTGGAATTTTTTTTTTCTTTATGATTTCTTCAAAACCTCTAATAGTTAACCTGGAATCTCTAAATTAATCTAATTGTCAGTATACAAACTTTGTTATTTTCATCGCATGTTATTTGCTTGAGAAATGCTAGACATCAATATTACATCTAATGCTGATGTGTATATCCAGTCCCCACTCATTAGCTAATACACAAAATATTTATTGAGCACCTGTGAAACGTCAGGAAAGGCTTTAGATTCAAAGGTTATGGCAGTTAACAAAAAAGGTAAAAATATCTTGTCTCATAGAGCCACTAGTGGGAGAGGGCCAACAATAAACATGAAAAAGCAAATTGTGTTGTGTTTAGAGGTGATAATTGTGGGGAGAAAAATAAATCAGAAAGGGAGCTAATATTTTAGCAGGTAGAATAAAATGTAAATAGTGTGACTAGGGAAAAGATGATATTTGAGTAAAAATCTTGAAGAAGGCAAGAGAGGTCTGGGAGAAGACCATTACAGGCAGAAGTAGCTACAAGCACTTCCCTGAGACAGTTAATGCTTGATGCGGCTAAGGAAGAGCAGGGAAGCCAGTTTAGCTGGAATTCAGGGAGGGGGAGAAAATGGGGCCACAGAGGTAACTAGCTGGGAGGAGGGATCATGTAGGACTTTATAAATAACTGTACTATGGCTTTGACCTTTCATTGGGATGACTTGGCAATCATTGGAGATTTTTGAAGACTAGTACAAAAGGTCTGATTCATATTTTATAAAATCCCTCTGGTCATTGTGTTGAAAACAGATTGAAGAAGAGACAATGACCAGTGAGGGGATTATTGCAATGATCCACCTAGATGATAATGGTTTGGATCATGTTAGATTCTGGGTATGTTCTGAAGGCAGACTTCGAGAATTTGCTAATGGAAGAGAAAAATATATAACAATCTTAAATATTCTTAGTCACAAGAAACATGGATAGATAAACAAACAAATAAATATACATATAGATAACAGTGAAAATGCAAGTCCCAGTGCTTACAAGACATCATGGGGAAATCTTAAATACAAAATGTTAAATAAAATAATAGTCTGCAGATTCAGCTTTATAGCAAACTAAGTCCTAGAAAAAGAGAGGAGATGTCAAACAGACATAGTGTATGTGAGGTTTCACAAACATTTGGCATGTTTATTTTTTTAAATCTGGAATACTAGGTACATGGGTGTTCATAATAATATTCTTATACCTTTTGAATGTCTGAAATATTTTCTAATAAATAAAAAATAAAATGCATCACAAAAAGGCAAAAAAACTCCTCCATGATTGGTACCAATAATTAAAGCTTTTTGTTTGTATATTTTTCACTGCTTCCTTGCTGTGTTTCAGGGCAGCATTTGGTCTACATTACATAAGCTTCCCCTATCCCCTACTTACTAATATTTTAGGACTAATATTTTCTCTAGGCAGAAAGTAATCATTTTTCCATTTCTATGATGAATGTATTGAATTTAGCTTTTTTGAATATCCACCCAGTTACTCAATGTATTGAATAATCTATCTTTTTACTCACTAATTTAAAATAACTCCTTTATCAAACACCAAATTCCTAATTATCTGTGCCTGTATTAGAGGTACATATAATTTCTAGCCTGTTAATTGATTCTTCTCTGTGAATTCACTAATAGCACACTATTTCAATTATTGTAACTGCACATTATTTTTAAGTATATAAGATAATCCCCTCTCATTATTATTGACCTTGAAAATTTTCCTTGCTTGTCTGATTGCTTCATTTTATCATATAAAATCAGCTTATCTATTTTAAAAAAGAATGTTGTGTTGGTATGATTGTTGGGATGGAATTAAAATAATAAATTTGGATGAAATTGACATCTTTATGTTAGCAACATATTATACCTTCATTTGAATGCTAATTACTCTTTATTTCTGCCACAACATCTCACCCAACACCAATTGCAGCAGAATGTAGCAGTGGAACCACTGAGCCCTGTTGTTTACTTTGTTTTCTGGAGGATTTCTGGTGACTAGAACATGTTCTAAGACATAGTAGATGTTCAAAAATATTTATTTAATGAAAAATTTTATTTTCCTGGTAATCTATGAGATATATGCTTTTACCCCCATTTCACAGATAAAGAAACTGAGGTTCAATGGCTTTGATGATCTTGCCAGCATGGGTAGATCAAATAATTCAACCCAGACACACTGGCTAAAAAGCCAGCACTTTGTTCAGGAACGTCAGTTCTGAGGAGCTCCAACATTCAGTGTGAATGTTGCTGCTGTTTTATTTCCATTCTTGAGGCTACTAGGATATTAAATGCCAAGTTTTTGTACCTTTATTGGTAATGCAGGACATTTTACATCCTATAGATCTATCTAAAAATCATTAATTTGTCTTCAGCTTACAGTTCTATCCCAATTTTCTATTTTTCTTATATCTTACTTTTTATATCTGGGTAGACTTAATTCAAGACTGATTTTGAATGAGGGAGAAATAATTACATAAATAAATAGTACATTTCCAAACTTCTTATAGCGGCAAATCTTTTAATTCTATCACCCAGGTGTGATTTGTACTCACCTATTTGTTTATTCCTTCCTCCATCATCAATTCTTACACCTTTAAAACAGTCCTAACTCACTTCCTTGTTTCCAGTGAATGCTTTCACAAATCCTTTTACAGTAATGTAGTAAGAGTAAATTTCAAAATCTCAAATTATTTCATGTCACTCTGCCATTGAAAATGCTAAAGGGCTTCCTTCTTCCATCTGATAAAGTTAAACTTTGAAAAATTGTCATTACAAAGCCCTGCTCACCTGTTCTATGACTGTCTTTCAGGTTTCATCTGTTACTTCTGTCTGCTTTCTCTTATGCACATCAGCCATTAGAAGTCTTTAATTTGTCCTGAACAAGACACTGTCTCTTATGTCTAGGATTTTCCACAATACTTTTCTCTCTACCTCCTATGGCGTATCCATTCTTGACCCTCAGCTTAATCATTACTTCCTCAGTTTTGCTGTAGTGTACTTCTCCTTTCATAATACTGTAACATTAAATTGTGTTAATTAATTCTTAATATCTTGCTTCCCTGTGAAATAAGCTTTATGAGAAAAGGGATCATGTATTGTTTACCACTATATCCCCAAGACATGACATCGGTTCCGACACAGAGGAAGAGCTTAATATATGTTTTGTTAAATGAACAAAGAATAATCTAACAATGTTCTTCATGCTCAATTACTAAATGTTCTGCTTTTCTAATTATATAATTCCTTTTGCCTTCACCAGAATAATGTTTAGGTCTAATGAATTACTTTCTCTATGATAAATGTGTCATTAGAATTAAAAAAAAAAAAACTGAGTTTCATAATCACTAATGGACATGAAGTGAATTTAATATTATATCAATTTAGTGTTGTAATTAGATAAAAATAGCAGCAATAAAAACATAAGAAATATTATGGACAAAAAGCGTAGAGTGGGAAGCTCATCGAAAATTATGAAAAACCATTTAATAAAGATTTAAGATGTGTTTACAGCAACTAAATGAACATTTAGGAGAAATAAGAGGCTTGTGTAATTACTAACTGTTAACCTTGAGGTACACTCCAACCTCTAAAATAGTATAATCTGTTATCTACTTCATACTCTTGTGAGACTGTTCTACTATATTGACTAGTCATTGAATAGTAAAGAATCCTTCCTAGCCAAGTTTATGTCCACATTTGTTTTCAAAATCATTGCTAGCTACAGCTACTTTTAATGATCTCGGATTTTAAAAAAAGTTAAAAAATAACAGAATATGGAGATGAAACATTATATTTTAAAAAACCAAATGGAGTACAGAAGAACAGTATATGTTTAATATTTGAAAGAATCCCGGCCAGGCACGGTGGCTCACGCCTGTAATCCCAACACTTTGGGAGGCTGAGGAGGGTGGATCTCATGATGTCGGGGGTTTGAGACCAGCCTGACCAACATGGAGAAACCCTGTCTCTACGAAAAATACAAAACAAAACAAAACAAAAAAAATGCCTGGGCGTGGTGGTGCATGCCTGTAATCCCAGCTACTCCAGCCTGGGCAACAAAGGAAAGAAGAGAAAGAAAGAATCCCCTAGATCTCTAGTCTCTCTGAATAAAGGGGCATGCTGTAGAGTTCATGCACCCAACAGCCAATACCAGTCAAGAGAGCCTTAGAAAATTTTTGATGAGACATCTTGGAAGGAAAAGAAGCTTGTGTTTATTATCCTTGACATTTTTATGCCCTCAACAAATGTCTTAATGGAAAAAAATTAAAAGGAAAGGATATTGGAAGACAAGTTGATTGCTTGGGAAAAAGGAAAAAAGCAGTCTAGTGAAGTAAATAAATTACAAATTCCGTGACTTTGTAGCCTTCAGCCATACAATTTCAGATCTCCCATTCCTATCATTTAATAATATTTTAGGCAGATCCCATTTCTTTAAAATCACATTGGAGCTCCATTTAAATCCAACCCAGGCCTATCAAATTTGAAGCTCCAATCTTACCAGCTCAGGCTTGTTCTCCCTGGGCTGTCGCTGCTCTGCAGGCTAATTCTAACTGCCATCATTGTTTTCTATGAAGATGGTAACCACATGATGCCTATCTTATAGAGACATGAAAATGTTTTTCGGGGAGTGAGAGGTGGGCCTCTGTATGACATCACTGGTAAGCAAGAAACTGCATTCCACTCTTCCTTATTTCCTAGCGGTACACCCTATAGACTCTAGCTTCTTCAGCTGCCTCACTTTGTGGAGTAGATGGGGTACTAGAAAGATAGGTCAAACCTTTTTATTTTATTTTTTTATTATTTTTTATTCTTTTATTTTTTTATTATTATTATACTTTAAGTTTTAGGGTACATGTGCACAATGTGCACGTTAGTTACATATGTATACATGTGCCACGCTGGTGTGCTGCACCCATTAACTCGTCATTTAGCATTAGGTATATCTCCTAATGCTATCCCTCCCCCCTTCCCCCAGCCCACAACAGTCCCCAGAATGTGATGTTCCCCTTCCTGTGTCCATGTGTTCTCATTGTTAAATTCCTATCTATGAGTGAGAACGTGTGGTATTTGGTTTTTTGTCCTTGCGATAGTTTACTGAGAATGATAATTTCCAATTTCATCCATGTCCCTACAAAGAACATGAACTCATCATTTTTATGGCTGCATAGTATTCCATGGTGTATATGTGCCACATTTTCTTAATCCAGTCTATCATTATTGGACATTTGGGTTGGTTCCAAGTCTTAGTTATTGTGAATAGAGCCGCAATAAACATACGTGTGCATGTGTCTTTATAGCAGCATGATTTATAGTCCTTTGGGTATATACCCAGTAATGAGATGGCTGGGTCAAACGGTATTTCTAGTTCTAGATCCCTGAGGAATTGCCACACTGACTTCCACAATGGTTGAACTAGTTTACAGTCCCACCAACAGTGTAAAAGTGTTCCTCTTTCTCCACATCCTCTCCAGCACCTGTTGTTTCCTTAATTTTTAACGATTGCCATTCTGACTGGTGTGAGATGGTATCTCATTGTGGTTTTGATTTGCATTTCTCTGATGGCCAGTGATGATGAGCATTTTTTCATGTGTCTTTTGGCTGCATAAATGTCTTCTTTTGAGAAGTGTCTGTTCATATCCTTTGCCCACTTTTTGATGGGGTTGTTTTCTTCTTGTAAATTTGTTTGAGTTCATTGTAGATTCTGGATATTAGCCTTCTGTCAGATGAGTAGGCTGCGAAAATTTTCTCCCATTTTGTAGGTTGCCTGTTCACTCTGATGGTAATTTCTTTTGCTGTGCAGAAGCTCTTTAGTTTAATTAGATCCCTTTTGTCAATTTTGACTTTTGTTGCCACTGCTTTTGGTGTTTTAGACATGAAGTCCTTGCCCATGCCTATGTCCTGAATGGTAATGCCTAGGTTTTCTTCTAGGGTTTTTATGGTTTTAGGTCTAACGTTTAAGTCTTTAATCCATCTTGAATTAATTTTTGTATAAGGTGTAAGGAAGGGATCCAGTTTCAGCTTTCTACATATGGCTAGCCAGTTTTCCCAGCACCATTTATTAAACAGGGAATCCTTTCCCCATTGCTTGTTTTTGTCAGGTTTGTCAAAGATCAGATAGTTGTAGATATGTGGCGTTATTTCTGAGGGCTCTGTTCTGTTCCACTGATCTATATCTCTGTTTTGGTACCAGTATCATGCTGCTTTGGTTACTGTAGCCTTGTCGTATAGTTTGAAGTTAGGTAGCGTGATGCCTCCAGCTTTGTTCTTTTGGCTCACAATTGACTTGGTGATGCGGGCTTTTTTTTGGTGCCATATGAACTTTAAAGTAGTTTTTTCCAATTCTGTGAAGAAAGTCATTGGTAGCTTGATGGGGATGGCATTGAATCTATAAATTACCTTGGGCAGTATGGCCATTTTCACGATATTAATTCTTCCTACCCATGAGCATGGAATGCTCTTCCATTTGTTGGTATCCTCTTTTATTTCATTGAGCAGTGGTTTGTAGTTCTCCTTGAAGAGGTCCTTCACGTCCCTTGTAAGTTGGATTCCTAAGTATTTTGTTCTCTTTGAAGCAATTGTGAATGGGAGTTCACTCATGATTTGGCTCTCTGTTTGTCTGTTATTGGTGTATAAGAATGCTTGTGATTTTTGTACATTGATTTTGTATCCCGAGACTTTGCTGAAGTTGCTTATCAGCTTAAGGAGATTTTGGGCTGAGACAATGGGGTTTTCTAGATATACAATCATGTCGTCTGCAAACAGGGACAATTTGACTTCCTCTTTTCCTAATTGAATACCCTTTATTTCCTTCTCCTGCCTAATTGCCCTGGCCAGAACTTCCAACACTATGTTGAATAGGAATGGTGAGACAGGGCATCCCTGTCTTGTACCAGTTTTCAAAGGGAATGCTTCCAGTTTTTGCCCATTCAGTATGATATTGGCTGTGGGTTTGTCATAGATAGCTCTTATTATTTTGAGATACATCCCATCAATACCTAATTTATTGACAGTTTTTAGCATGAAGGGTTGTTGAATTTTGTCAATGGCCTTTTTTGTATCTATTGAGATAATCATGTGGTTTTTGTCTTTGGTTCTGTTTATATGCTGGATTACATTTATTGATTTGCATATATTGAACCAGCCTTGCATCCCAGGGATGAAGCCCACTTGACCATGGTGGATAAGCTTTTGGATGTGTTGCTGGATTCGGTTTGCCAGTATTTTATTGAGGATTTTTGCATCAATGTTCATCAAGGATATTGGTCTAAAATTCTCTTTTTTGGTTGTGTCTCTGCCCGGCTTTGGTATCAGGATGATGCTGGCCTCATAAAATGAGTTAGGGAGGATTCCCTCTTTTTCTATTGATTGGAATAGTTTCAGAAGGAATGGTACCAGTTGCTCCTTGTACCTCTGGTAGAATTCAGCTGTGAATCCATCTGGTCCTGGACTCTTTTTGGTTGGTAAGCTATTGATTATTGCCACAATTTCAGATCCTGTTATTGGTCTATTCAGAGATTCAACTTCTTCCTGGTTTAGTCTTGGGAGAGTGTATGTGTCAAGGAATTTATCCATTTCTTCTAGATTTTCTAGTTTATTTGCACAGAGGTGTTTGTAGTATTCTCTGATGGTAGTTTGTATTTCTGTGGGATCAGTGGTGATATTCCCTTTATCACTTTTTATTGCATCTATTTGATTCTTCTCTCTTTTTTTCTTTATTAGTCTTGTTAGTGGTCTATCAATTTTGTTGATCCTTTCAAAAAACCAGCTCCTGGATTCATTAATTTTTTGAAGGGTTTTTTGTGCCTCTATTTCTGTCAGTTCTGCTCTGATTTTAGTTATTTCTTGCCTTCTGCTAGCTTTTGAATGTGTTTGCTCTTGCTTTTCTAGTTCTTTTAATTGTGATGTTAGGGTGTCAATTTTGGATCTTTCCTGCTTTCTCTTGTGGGCATTTAGTGCTATAAATTTCCCTCTACACACTGCTTTGAATGTGTCCCATAGATTCTGGTATGTTGTGTCTTCTCATTGGTTTCAAAGAACATCTTTATTTCTGCCTTCATTTCTTTATGTACCCAGTAGTCATTCAGGAGCAGGTTGTTCAGTTTCCATGTAGTTGAGCGGTTTTGAGTGAGTCTCTTAATCCTGAGTTCTAGTTTGATTGCACTGTGGTCTTTTTAAACTATCGGTTGTGCTTCAGGAAACTCACGCGCAAGAGTATGGGCTGCTCCACAGCAGTCTCTACTCCCTTACTTGTCATCTCCCTGACTTGCCATCTCCTTCTCTTTTTCCCCTCATGGTCAAATAATCTCAGGAAACTACATAAGCAGATGTCTAACTGGCAAATGAGATATTAGTTCCTACTGCAGGCAGACATCCTATTTTCCATGAGTAATAAGTAATTTTTTTGGACCTCATCTCACTGGGCTGGGGGTGGATGCATAACCACTGTGCTCCTCTATCTGTCACCCTCTCCGATCATCTCTTTTTATAGAAGGGTAAGAAGATTAGCAAATAAAATACTTGAATCATTTTTGTCCTCAGTTTTGGATTATAATCACCAAACCTGGGGCAACATGAAGGTTCCTCTCAGCATAGTAACTATTGGTTAGAAAAAAACAAACCGCAAAAAAGCTGTTTGTTCCCTTCTGTTTATTGTTTCCAAGGTAAAGATATTATCTGTTCCATTAACTTTTGGATTGTGTGTAAATCAATTTGTACAATTTTTTAAAACACGAGTTGCATATTTCTCACTTAACAATGATTGCATTTTCAAGGCAAATGGGTATTTATTGGCAGAAAGAATTAACTCACATATTAGTCTACTATACTTCAAAATAATCAACCAAGTGGAATAAGGGCTGTTAGCTAATAAGTAGTTGGATCTGTTTTTTGCGGAAATGTATTTCAATACAGACCTCTGAATGCAGTAAAAGAACCTTATATAGTTTTGTTTTTAAGAGTTTCCCCACATCAGTTTTTCCAAAGGGAGAAATAAAGGATTTAATTGGAATTTCCTGTCCTAGATACAATATTTTGAAGTCTTAATATGTTGCATACTCTGTTCTTATTTCAGGATATGCTGTACTACCCTGTTCAGTAAAGTAGTCCCACTTTAATAAAATAGCACAAAATCTTATTATACTGATGACTTCCTACGTTTTTATGAACCTGTATGTTTTTGTGAAATTCATATTAATAGATGTTAGAAAGTAGAATTTATTTTTTTTAATTTTCATATTTTCTTTATGTATATAAGAATGCCATCACACTAGAGGTAAACTAAAGAAAAGCCTTGGTGTTATGAAGCACTGCCTTTAAAATTGTAAAATATAATCATTAGTGGGAGTCTACCTCTTTCACAGCATTGTTTTAAGCACCTCTACACTGTAATCCTTGGATTTAGTTTGCTAGTACATTTTGTTCTCTTTGATCCTAAATAATGTAGCTAAACAGATGATAAATAATTTACTTCAGATTCACCAAAATTGACACAGATTTTCATATTAGTTACTTTTATATATTTATATTTATTATCAAACTAAGTTATCTTTGCATCAATGGGAATAAAGAGCACCTTGTCACAAGATAACTTTAATATATAATTCATTCTCCACCATGTAGTAAAAGTGTTTACATATATATAACTACAGAAATTTTTGCATATACGTAACTGTAGAAATATTTTGACATTTTTGGGAAAGAATTTCATTCCAGTTTGTACTTAAATAAGATTAATGAGTTAAATATAAATTTCTTTATTGATATTCTATTTTGAAGAAGATAAGAAAATGTATTAATTCACTATATTGATTGCAAGGAGATTTTAAAGGTCTAAAATAAGTCACCAAAGGGTTTAAATCTAATTAAAATTAATGCACTTTATTTAATTCCATAATCTATGGAAATAATGTCCATTTGGTTGCAATCAGTTTGTTGTTTGTATACTTCCCAGGGTGTTTTTTTGCACTCATGAATTACATTATTTCACAATTATTGCAAACTTTATTTAAAAATTAAAATATTTAAATGGTATTACAATTTTGCTTTTACTATCAATGTTAGGAATCCACAGTTTAGCCACTGTAGGTCAAATAAATAATTCTGACAAATCGTAGCCAGTTTCATTGGAAAGGTAAATATAATTTACGGTACGGGGGTATGTGGGGTACACAGAAGCTTCCAAAACAGATGAGTTTACAAAATAAACAGCTAACACATAACTATGTATTATATGAACATTTATTCTTGTAAGTCTGCAGATAGAACTGACTGTACGGATGCAGAATATCTAGAAAGAAAAGTACTTGAGAACTCCAGATAGAAGTAATAAAAAAAAAAAGACACCTTGGTCTACTAGGAAGATGCTTATGAATTCCAATTCTTGAACAGCAGAACTGCCCCAACATTGTAGGTCACCAAGCATCAAATTAGAAATCTGAGTTCTAAGATTAAAAGTTGCAGACACAATATAAAGCATGGTAATCAATTTTCTACCACCAGGTGGAACCGGAAAGCTGTTTGCCATTTTCAGGATAAGAAAAATGGCCATCAAAAGTGGAGAGAATAGGAAAATGCTAAATAGTTTTCAAGCATTATTGACAGTGATCATAAACAATGAACACCATTTTGAAAGGCATCTACTTCAATGAGAAATAAAAAAAGGTGCCAAAGTTAGATTTTAAAAGTTGATTGTACATGAAAGTAGCTTAAATTCACTGCCCTTAACGTTGGTTTCTCCTTCAATAACTCTCAACGGGTTTTTTGAAGTGTTCATTTAATTCCTGTTACCACCACACACAAAAAATACCCTAAAATTGTGTTAAGACTTTTCATCTACTTTTTAAACTGTCAGGTGAAAAAATAAATTCACTTGTAATACTGGAGCTGCATTCTCAGCTCTTTAACTCCATTATTAAATAAGTTATATCTCACTGATTTTCAACTGTTCTACTTCAGCATTAATAAAATTTTATAGCTACATTGTACTTTCCCCTCTCTCACACAGATCACAGCCTGCTTGCTTAGTGAATACCATATGCTTCGCTTCTATTCAAGTGCTTCATGCCATTGTGCATTTATATTACATTGCTATATCTGTACCTTTAGTTTAAAACATTGTAGTGAATTTCCCAGGCAAGATATATTCCATAAATATTAATACTTAGACATGTAGGAACTTACAAAGCTCCTATTGCTGTTATTTACATTTTATCATTTGCCCTTTAAAATAATTATAACTAGGACATTTCTGCTGTCTCTCCATGTTGTCATTTGATTTCTTCTCAAGTAATTAATTCTTACCATAACTAAAAATAATCTTCATTAGTAAAATAAAACCATTAGGGGAAATTTGTAATACATTCCAAATACATATAAAAGCAATATTAAATTTCATCCTGCCCTGCACTTAGTCTGAGTAATTGTCTATTAATCAGACTATTGGTCTGATTTGTGATCACAATGTATTCAAGCTTATATTCCCCAAAGTCCTAACATGGTACCTTACATAGTATGGATGCATATGATGATTATTTATAAAATGACTAAATAAATGACCAAACCATAATAATGTTTTAACTCTTAATTAAATGCTATTTTCTCATTCATAGCTTAAATTTTGATCAAAAAAAATTAACAACACATGCTTCCAAATCCTGAGCTTACTTCAGAGAGTTTTAAGGTATCTCTTAATAATATGTTACCACATTTACTACCCTATTATTGTAGGTACTACCTATTGACCTCCTCCTGTAAGATATAACAGAAAAGAATTTTTTCACAGTGAATTTCCCCAGAGTTGCTTATATAATCATATTGCTATTTTTAATTTCTATTTTTCAATGTTCTGACTCTAGTGTCTACAGAGCAAATTTAGTAAAGTAAACACATAAGTCAGGCCAGATATAGGATATAAGGAGTGTTCAGACTTGTGGTGAATTGGTTGTTGGATGTCTACTGAACCGCAAATTCGAAGAAAACAATTCAAAAGGAAAAAAAAAATGCTGACACCATGTTGGCAGCCAAATAAAACTTATCTACTGGTAGAATTTGTTTCATATGCAATCTCTGATTTACTAGGTACTTTTTAACTTACCATACTTAAAATTATGTTTCACTAACTATAGACAGAGTCTTGATTTTCTATTTTGGAACCTGGGGATGATATTAGCTACCCTCTTCATTTCCATATCTTCTCATTTTTATTTCAATATTTATTTGTTAAATCTTGAACATCGTTGAAGTTGTAAATATTGGTGTTTTGTTTATTAGCTATAAGTCTATGACTTCAGATTTAAAGTAGAGAGCCTGTGAGCAGTGATTACATTATTATGCGGATTGCAATAGAGTTCATTGAGAGTCAAGTGGAGGGCTTCAATTATATGACCTTATCTGCAGTTCCCTGAGTTATCCAGAAAGAATGTTCAAATAATTTCTCTTTACTTACTGACTACTTATTGCTCTATATTATGACATGTTTTAATTTGCTTTATCATAAACTCTTTATTTCTTGGAGTTTATGGTTTTGTTTTCCAGCTGGGAGAAAAAACAGATGCATTCCATTTGATATGTTGTTTTTAATTTATTCCAATCCCTTGTGGAGACTGAGTGCCTGACTTTTCTAATTTGGACCCCTTTTCAGTGGTAAATTTTAGGAATCATTGGTTCTAGCTGTGGTGCAGACATGTGGCCTGGGTTCCAGCAGTCAGATACAAATATAGGTGTTTGTTTTGGAATTGAGCTAAGGGAGGAAACAGGCAGGGTGGGAGGCATCCATTTTGTTGCAATGGATGGCTAGTAGAGGTAGTATTGTTCTGGGGGCTTTTAGAGGCCAAAGCTCCTTTATCTGGTTAGTTGCTTGGTGTGGTAGTGGGAATTTTTTATGCAAGTTTAACATAGAGAGTAACTTTATTGCTTTCCCAATGACTCTGTGACTATATTCCTTTATATTTCTCTTTATACTTAAAACTAGGCAATGGGTAGTCTTGTCTAAAGTTTAAAAGCTCTAATCAATACTGAATTTCTTTTTCCTCTTTCCTTTTCAGAAAATTTTCTTCATCATTAGTGTTTTTATAATTTGGCAGTGCTAAGTATCTAAGAGTGGTTCTTTTTTATTTATTACGACTCACACTCAGGAGACCCTAACAATTTACAGGCTTGAGTCTCTCCTCTTCTCTTATAATTTCTAACTATCATTTTCTCTAACCTCTCTTGGTGGAGCTGCTACCAAAGCAAATATCATCTCTTCTGGATTGATCTCCTGTGCTTCTAGTCTTTTTGCTTGTATATTCCAACTCTGCATTTTTATCTAAAATCCTAAATATTTCTATGAGATTATCTTCCAAAACAATTTTTTTTTTTAAATTTCAGCAATCACTCTTTTAATTTCAACAGGTCTTTCCTCTCCATTTCTCCACCACAACTCCTGTTCTGTTTGAATCTTGCTGGGAATAATAATTATCATTATTTTATTTTGGATTTCTGTATTTATTTGTTATGACCCTTTTATCCCCTTAATACTGAAGACAAAATCAGCACCTCCAGAATCATGTTCAACAGAAATTTAAGTTAAATATTTAAGCCTGTGGAAAAACAAAATCCATAAGATTTTATTCCTTTGAATAATCATCACCACCCTTTATAATACTTCAAAATAGTCTTCTAAATTATTGTTTATACTACTCTACTTTTCAAATACATGCTTGAATCTCTTTTTAATGTACTTTGTTTTCACTTACTGAAACTCCTTGTTTTGAAAATATATATTTGACTCTCTTTTTAAATATTATAGTTTTGATTTTTTTAAACAAATCTATGTTTACTAATGAGTGTAAGTAACACCCAACCTTAGCTATAGACCCAAAACAATTTCAGTACAACAGAACAGAAGTTGTTGCTCTCCTTTGGCTGGATATATTTCTCTCATCTCATCCTGCATGCTGATATTCAGCAAATAACAAGAGCCATATTTCAAATTTCGAGTACAAGATATAAGGACATTAAATGGATTCCTTTGTCTGTGAATATGATGTGTTAAATGGTAGGTTTTACCATATAGAAAGCAAAAAGAAATTAGACTACTCAATCTGGGGCCTCTCAAATACCAGATTATAGAGAACTGGAACCCAGCTCCAAATTATCTGCTAAGGTGGACTTCGTTTTATTTAAATTATTCTAGGAAAAGTTTTATTTTTCCCGAATGATAAATGTCTAGCCAGACTTAACTGCAGGGAAATAGTACTGTGATTAATGAAAGAGGTGTAAGTCATCGTTCAATATACATAACTTGAATTAATATTTGCCCTCTTTTTCTAGGCACCTTGTACCCTCAAAGTTTCATCGGGGACTGGCATTTTGTCTTACTATATCACCCTTTAAAGAAAGTCTGGGCCGTGATTTCCAACAGAAAATATTGCTTTGTTTACTTTCCATCTCCCAGAAATTCATTCAATTCTCACTTCTTCTATTTATTTTTCATCAATAAAAGCTTATAATTTATTAAAAATTTCTTTTTCCTTGTATCAATGGAGTCTCATGAGAGAGAGCAGATAAATGCATATGGTTCATAAACTACTTGGAACCAGGGCATAGACCCAAAGAATAAATCATCTCAATCTTTAGTGCATCTTATTTCATTTATTTAACTAATATTTGTTGAAGATGCATGTGTGAAAAACATTATGGAAGGTTTAAAGATAAGCAAGATATGTTCTCTATATTGAATGAAATTACAACCTCATAAGTAAAGAAAAAAATGAATAATACCTGCTCTGGCAGAACATAGTAAAATCTATGCAAGTTCATAGAAGGAAGAAATCACACTGAATTAAGGAGATTAAAAATATTCATGAAGAGATAGAATTTTTGATTTAACAAAACCTTCTAGGAAGGCAGAGGAAACAGCATTAAAAAAAGATGTAGAAGGCGGAAACCACAAAGTATATTTAGGATCATGTAATTTGGAGTACATGCTATATATAAGAGAATCAAGAGATAAGGATACAAAAATAAATTAGTACTAGAGCATAGACAGCCTTAAAGAATTAAGGCAGATATATTTAAATCTAATTTAATAATGAATGCTGAACTATTAAACACTTTCCAAGCATGGGACTGCCAGACAAGGGTCAACATCCAGATTCCTCAAAATATGTTTAATAGAATACTTGTTCCTGTTGACCTTTTAATGAGTCTGCCTAGGAAAACATTTCTCAGTCAAGTAGATTTTGGGATACATCAAATAAAATGCCTTTCCATATAGATTTTTAATACACATTGCCTTATATTTTTTAAAAAGTAAGATTAAGAACTTACTTTTTTATTATTTACTATTACTATTATTTTCTTTTCCTGTGATTACCTCCACTCAGATCTCCAGCCTTGTAGTAGGTTTTTTTTTGTTCTTGTTTGTTTGTTGCCACAGGAGAAATGGAGAAAGGACAACTGGGGATTGCATATCATCTTTCTTAATTCCCACGACTAAAGAAGCAGGCTTCTGTGGAAATGGCAGAATTATTTGCATAGAGGCAACAATAGCAGTTGGTAAATGTGTTTCAGTAGAACCCATGGTGTCCCCACCTCCAGGGTGTTCCTCAGCCAAGTGTGTCCCCCAACAATTCATATGTTGAAGCCCTATCCCCCACCCAGTATGTCAGAATATGACTGTATTTGGAAATGGGCTCTTTGAGATGTGATTAAATTGAGACTGTTGAGGTGGGCCCTATTACAATCTGACTGGTGTCTTCCGAAGAAGAGGAAATTTGAACACACAAAAGACATCAGGAATGTGGGCGCAACAGAGGAAACCCCATGTGAGGACACAGCGAGAATACAGCCATCTGCAAGCCAAGGAGAGAGGACTGGGCAGAAACCAAACATTGATCTCGGACTCCTAGCCTCCAGAACTGTGGAAAAAATAAACTTCTGTTGTTTAAGCCACCCAGTCTGTGGTAGTTTTCTATGGCAGCACTAGCAAACGAATACTATGGCCGCAAAGATCCATGTAAGTTAGAGCAGAATAGTGCAAGGTGGGAGAGTTTTAGAAGAGCAAGTATTAACCATTATGTAGTATCCTGATGAAGTGAAATTCATATCCTACAGAGGAAAGAAAGGGAATGATATGGGATAGAAGTAAGAAAAAGGCCTTTCCATGTTTGGAAATCCACTCAGCAGAAAGTTCCACATTTCTTCCCAGGACATAGTTAGTTGAACAGCAGCCTATGGAGCGGATATGCAGGGGCATGAAGTAGGTTAAAAGAACCGGTTGAGTTAGCCAGATAAGAATCACCACAAGCAACGCCCTCTCCAACAGACACCAGACACACACACACACACACACAAAGCATCCTACACTCCCTGCCCACACAAACAGAGGAAGATGAGAGTTTGCCATAGATAGTGTCTGTATATATCTTTCTCATACATCCATTGATGAGGTAATGGATATGTCCCGAAGGTTACCTGAGGGAGCCTAAGGAGACACCAGAATGATGCAATTAGACAGCCAGAGATGACTGAGAAGCAGTTGGATCCCAGGAGCCCATTCATAAAAAAGCTCTGTGAAGTAGTAAGTAGGGCAGATGTGTGTCCTCAGAACAAGCAGTAGGCATTGGACTTATGGCTCACCAGGAAGCTTGCCAGAAGATGACATTAGCTGTTGTCAGCAGCTAGATAATAAGTAGCTACACTGTCTACCTGAGAAGTTTATGAGACCAGAATGAGTCATGGACCCATTGATAAAGGGCGCTTCCCCACTTTGCTGCAGTCAGAAAGTCACCAGGTAGCTGGTGGTGTGGGGTAATAGGAGTGGGAAGGAGATGTGGGGTTTGGAAAAGAAGTCTGTTAATACTTTCAAATCTGACTGAAACCACTCAAAAACATACTTTAATCTATTAATGAAAACAGAGGCTCAGATTTAAGAAAGTTATATCAAATAAAGTTCAAGTTGTATATGCCAACTAACAATTAGCAAATTTATAGCAATCAATCACATTAAGACTTTAAATTGTGTGTGTGTTTGTGAGTGTGAGTGTGTGTGTGTGTGTGTTTCACTCTAAAGGGAAATCAAAATGCCTCTCATCCTCACTGGTACTCTATTTTATCCACCTAAGGAGGAGGGTGATGGACTAGATTTGCCAGGTTACAAAATATAGTTCTCTGTCACAGTTTTTGAGTGTGAAACTTCCAAGGGAACTAAAAATAGTTCATTTGAGCATGCTCCCCCACTTTTTTTGTTTGTTTGTTCTTGCTTTCTTGCAGTCAGTGTGGTAATTATAATCCCTATTACTTTTGAGAAACTTTCTCCTCCTCCCTCATGACCGCTGATTCCCTGGGGCTTCTGTGAGGAGTTTAGGATTAAAGGGAAACAAAGTCTTCCTGTCTTCCTGTCATTACCTCCTTCCTTGCTTTCCTCCTGCCTTGTGGTCTTTCTCAGTCCTTCTTTTCTGGTGATGATAAATGACAATGGATTTTTATTTTCCCTTATCACAGTGTTTAGAATTGGAGATTCTGGATGCCGGAGCATGACAGACAAGGAAGATCTCATGGCTAATTTGCATCTGAGTTCATTAGCCTAATGGTCAGAGAAACATTGAAGGCTTCTGTCTGGTGTAGTTCAGATCCTTAAAAGTTCTGCTTGGAATTTGGGTTCAAGGCAGTAAGAGAAAAAAGCATTGCTTTACCTGACATTTGCTGGCCTTTCTTTTCTTCCAAATACATACTTTCATAAAGGTTTTGCTGAGGGAAATCCTCCAGTCAAAATACTATCTCCAAATATTTAAAACCTCCTCGAGTTAAGCTAAAATGTTTTAAAATAAAGTTTTAATTCCTCAGTCTTTCTTTGTTGAAGACTTGAAATTTTAAAGAGTTTCAGGCAGTCATTTTGTAGGATGCTCTCAATATTTCACATGATTAGAAAATGTTGGCAGGAATACCAAAGTAACTTCTTAGTGCATCATATGAAAGGCAACATGAAAACATCTTTATTGATTGTGGTTATCTTGATCCCTTGGTTTAGATGGTGTCTCCCAGGTTCCTCCATGATAAAGTTACAAATTTTCCCTTAATAGTTATTAACTATTTTAGGGAGGCATGTCAAAAGCACACAATTATACTAGTTCTCCTCAAACTTTCACCCCTAATATTAGTACTCATTGAGGAGTCACAATTATTACTGTAGTGTTTGCCTAATGGTGACTTCATATTTTTCTCTTTCCTTCTATATTTATTAGAATTCTTCAGTAAGAAAGAGCTATGCCTTATCCCTTATTTACTTATTTATATTAGTATGGACTACTGGATGTTTATTTTATTTTATGGGCTAAAACCTAATATCATTATTTATTTTGTGGCCCAAAAGATTCCATCTTAGCCCATTAGGACTTCCTTCATGTTGTTTCTTTTGACCAGCCCCCATATAATTCTGAGCAATTCCTTACTTTCTGCCACCACAACATTTTTCAGGCTTATCTTGTATTTTCCCTGCCCCATTCCTGGAATCAACCAATACTCCAAGGAGCCCTGGATATTTATATTGGAGGATGATGTTTACCAATCAAGATCTGAGCCTTAAGTGTTGCTAGGATTTGAATATGTTCCCTAAAGTTCATGTGTTGGAAACTTAATGCCCAATGCAACAGTGTTGGGAGGTGGGGCCTAATAAGGCCTTATTAGTTCATAGGGCTCTGCCTCATAGAATGGATTAACATCCTATGGCTGGAGAATGGGTTTGTTATAAACATGAGTTCACCCTCCTCATTAGCTCCCTTTACACATACTGTCTTGGCCTTCTGCCTTCTGCCATGGGATGACACAGCAAGAAGGCCCTCACAAGATTCTGGCCCTGAATTTTGGACTCCCCAAGAAAATAAATCTGTCTTTATAAATTACTCAGTCTCAGGTATTCTGTCGTAGCAACACAAATTTACTAAGACATGTTTGCTCATTGCTACTGAGATGTCATTGCCTCTGTTCTGTCTCAGAGACATGGCCAGGAATTGTAAGTATATATACTAGCAAACATACATAGAGGCACATCTGTATTTCTGTATCTATCTTTTTTGTTTATATACATTGAAAATCATGAGTTTATACTGATTCCAATCTCATCCACAAGAACTGTCACAAATTGGAGGAGGTTAAAGAGAAATAACAACTAAAGGCAATGCAGGATCTTAGAGTTGTGGAACAGAAAATAGACATTAATGAAAAAAAATAAAATTCAAATAAGGCCTATAATTTAGTCAATAGTATTGTATCAGTGTTAACCCCTTCTTTTGATAATTGCACTATGATTATAAAAGATAAATGTTAAGGGAAGTTTATGTATGGAAAGCGTATGTGTGAACTCTACTGGTTTTCCAAATTTTGTGTAAGTTTAAAATTGGTTCAAATTAAAAGGTTTTTAAAATGTCATTAAAATATGTTTAACCTAATATTTCCAAACTTCCTTGAATACGTAATTTTATTTTTCAGGAAAGGTATTAACACCCATCCAAAAACAATAATTTTGCCTTGTAACACAAATTTGGCAACCATATGAAATTACAGAATCACTTTTTATACAGCATACACACAAATTAATTACATTGCATTTTGGCTTAATGTGTTTCTACTGTGGCTGCAGATTTTGCAAAATTATTCAGCAATCTCTCTGGTGAAATAGTTTTTTGAGGAATCCTAAAATTCCCTTAAGCTTAAATGCTCATGATAGAAAACTGAATAAAACCACCTTTCTGTAATTTTACACTTAGCAATTGAATACAGGCATAATGAAATCTTGAAAGCTAAGCAAACAAATGTAAATCAGGTATTCTGTTTTTCTTTTCTATTTTTAAAGATACCAATTACTTTGAACACAACAGATAAACTTAACAGCTAATGTTTATAAGAATTTTCATTTCACAAAGAGCATTGCAGCAATATCTAGATCTGCTGTTTGAACTTGTTTGTGAAAATAACATACTTTCCCAATAAGTTAATGAAGAACTTCTTTTGAAATAACCACCTCTGAGGAACATATTTACAATGTTGCAACTTTTTAAAATTAATTCTGCGCCATGTAAAAGCAAATTTGCTTCCCCTTACTTTTAATATATTTATAAAATATAGCATTGGAATTCTTAAATCTTTTCATCCATTCAGAGTACTTCAAATATACATTCATATCATAGACCAACTGATTAGTATTTGGAACCTTCTCTTTCTTTGGTCTCATAAATCAAAATAACGTTATTTCAAAATATCCTTGTAATAATGTGTTATCAGTATTTGAATCTAATAGCAACTATTATTTGCTTATACTAATAGAAGTTAACAATTATTTTCTCTGATACCTATATTTTAATCTTTATGTCTTCTGATTAATTTTCAAATAAATTTGTCTTATTTAAGGCCTCTTCAATAATTCTTTCTTCAATTCTTTATATTGTTCATTTCAAATGGTCACTAAAAACATACACCTTTTAAGCAGACAAAAGAGTTTTATACTTCCTGTAACTCATGGTGGCTTTCTTCTATAAAAATCTTCTATGACTGAATAATATATCACTTGAAAATAAAAAGGTTCAACATTATAGGTATTTAAATCACCTTTTTCTCAAAATACCTTTAATCCTAATTTCTGTAATATTTAAGGCATTGAATCAAAAGATTGGCCATGGTTAAAAACATGTTGTCGCTGTTCTTGCATCCTGTTATCTATTTGTTTGTTAATGTCATTGTTCCAAAAAAAATCTAAATAAAATTATGAACATTTATTCTCTTATAGTCATGAAATTGTGATGTTTTGGTATAGGCTTAGGAATATTCTGATTTAGATATAAAATACAAACATGCAAGGCATGGGACTTTTTCTTCTACTCCATCACAAATACAACATGTGGTTCTGGGTATCCTGTTTTGTCTTCTCCTGTCTCTCTCAAACTGCCAATTTTGACACCAAATTAAAAGATTGACTCTTACTTGTATAGATTCTGACTGATATAGATTAACAAAGCCAATGAGACAACTAAAGACCAATTACTATGGTTGGGCATGGCTACATAATTTTCAAAGTAATCCTGTGAGTTGACTTCATCCAGTTTCAAGGCTTTAAATGGGGTTTATATGGTCATGACAGCCAAATTTGTATGTTCATCAACATTCTTATAATGGCCTAGGAGACGCTACATGACCTGGCCCATTGTTTCTTTTCAGATCTCAACTTTTACTACCTTTCTCTTCCTTCACTCTGCTCTATTTATGCATGTCTTCTTTATTTACTTATTTATTTAATTATTATTTTTTTTTTTTGAGACAGAGTTTCGCTCTTTTTGCCCAGGCTGGAGTGCAATGGCGCGATCTCAGCTCACCGCAGCCTCTGCCTCCTGGGTTCAAGGGATTCTCCTGCCTCAGCCTCCTGAGTAGCTGGGATTACAGGCATGCACCACCATGCCAGGCTAATTTTGTATTTTTAGTAGAGATGGGGTTTCTCCATGTTGATCATGCCAGGCTCAAATGCCTGAACCCACATGATCTGCCTGCCTCGGCCTCCCAAAGTGCTGGGATTACAGGCGTGAGCCACCACACCCGGCTTTTGCTTGTCTTCTTGATGTTCCTCAAGTCATCAGATGTGCTTGCATCTCAGAGTCTCTGCTTTTCCTTTTGCCTGGAAAACTTATATCTCAGATATGTGCATAATTATTACTTTAATTTGCTCAGGTCATTGTAAATACCAACTCCTTGATGAAGTCATACAATGACTGTATCATTTAAATTAAACCCACTGCTACATCCTTGTGCTCTTCATTGCCCTTCCCTACTTAATTTTTCTCCATAGCACTACTGCCAGCAGAAATATTTGTATTTTACTTGTTTATTATTGTTTATTTTGTCTCTCCAATTAGAATAAAAACTCCCCAAGAGCAGAGATTTTTCTGGTTTTTTAAGAACACCTGAAATCATTCTGTCACACAGTGAATATTCAATAACTAATTGCTAAATAAGTGAATAAATAAATGGATTAGGTAAAAATTATTATCTCAACTTTCCATATAATATGATTGAAAATTAAGTGGAGTAGGTTGGTTCAATGTTAATTGGGTTTGGCAGTTAATGAGTCAACCATTTCTGTCTGCCAAAACCAGTGTTCTTTCCTCTATGCCACATTTCCTTCCTGAATTTGCAACACGCCTACTACAAAACAGAAAGAATTTTGTTTGTGATTAGGATTTGTGATTCCTGAAGAGTATAATTTCAGCTGCTGCTTTACTGAGATAAATTTCTTTATCATACATTTTATAATAATAATCATATGACTTGTTTTGGTTTGTGACAGGAAACATTAAAATTCAGGTAAAGAACTATAAAAAAAAATCATGTAGTAACTATACCATAGGTATACGTAATATTTATTTTAGCAGAATGATTGCATCACCAAATTTGAGCTCTCTCTTTAATGACTGTCAATGACCTTCGTGGTACTTCACATGTAAAACTTAGGTGATCTCAGTTATTTGTATGATTCAATATATTCCCTTCTAAGATCCTTTGATTTACCATTTCGTTCGTATGATATTTAATCTAATGATTTTTAAAAAGTAAACATCCAATTCTAAATAAATGTATGCATATGTTTGTATGTAAATATATGTGTAGATGTATATGTACTTTATAAATATTTACATAACTAACAGATACAACTAGAATCAAGCCTACATTTGAATATGTGAAATATATCCTTTATGCAAAATATGAAAGCATAGTTTCTTTGCTATGTATAATTTTTAATGATAATCACAAATCTGTGACAAAATGACAGAAACTGTATTGACTACTCCAAAATGTTTTATAAACCACTCTTCCCTTGCCTTTCTCTATTAAAAAGCTATAAATCTAAAATACTTAATGTTTCAGGATGCTTGAGATATGTCTGGAAACATGTGACAGGGCTCTGACCAATTATATGTTAAAAGGCAATGAGTGGGACTCATGGAAAGCCTTAAATATAGCCTCAGTTGGCAATAATCTGCCCCTTTGACATTCTTCCATCTTCTTACCTAGAAGACTAGCCTGAAGCAGAGAATGCATTTTACGATTACAATAAGAGAATCCTGAAGGGTAAAGACTATAGGGTAAAGATGTTGGAATAAGAAAACAGAACAACGTGCTCTGATGACGTCACTGAGTCAGATAGCCTGCTCTGGATGCTGAACCCATAGTTTTTAAGGTGTAAACTAAACACCACCCCTACTTTCAGTGAGATATTACATTACATGGGGCAGAACACATTTTTAACTAATGCAATATTCCTTATTCCACAGAAATAAAATTAGTGTAAATCACCACTTGCCTCACCCATTACTTCCTAAGGAATAAATGATTTTCCCTTTATCATGCAGAAGCATTCCAGTCTCCGGATCTCATCCTTTACTCCCTCACTGCGTTTTCAATCTCTTTTTCTTTAGTGGTACTTAAAATTTAAACATTAAAAGCAAACAAAAATAGATAAATACTTGTGTACATAGAAAAAGCTTTCCTTAACATTTCTGTGCAATAGGACTTCCATTATTTTTCTTTCTTCGATTAATGAACAAACCTAATGAAGTAGCAATCTCCAACCACACTTCATTTCTTATCATTCCTTAATTTGTTCATATTTTCTCACAATAAGAAAATCCCCATTGTAGAAATTGTTTTTTCAGAAGTCCTCAGAGAACAGCCTCCAAAATGCTTGCTCAGTCTTAATCTAGAATCATCTATGTTGTTAACAATCCAGTTCCTTTTAGAAATCCTATCTCAGTGTTATTTTATTATGCTATACTATATTTGCTTTCCTTTTCTTCACTCTATTTCCTAGAATTAATAAATTCCTAGAAAATAGTCTCAAATTGTCATTTCTCCCAAATCCCTACTACTTCCTCCTTCACATTTGTGAGCCTGACTGGCACGATCCACCACCTCAGGAACCAAGCGTGCAGCAATTCCTACCACATTATGTCTTCATCAGAAAGCAAATACATCCAATATCAAACCACTTTTCCTTCTGCCAACTATGTACTTCATTATTTTCTACTGTCCAGTGTCAATAAGTGAGGAGATTTTCTTTTTTTCCCCCTCTCTCTTTTCTACACTCATATCTAATCAGTGGCAAACTTCTGTGAATTCTAACTAAGCAGTATTTTTCTTATCAATTCTCTCTTTTTCTTACCCCTCGATTATTACTGAGGTGAAAAAGATTACCTCATGGATGGGACTAATTAAGTATTGTGAAAACAAATTGAAAGACAAAGAAAATGAATTGCTAAATTTTTAAAATTCTGATAAAGCTGAAATGTAATCAGGATGGGCCAGTTGAATGTTAACAAACTGGACTGATAATCCAGCATTTCCTTGTGGAAATCATTATAGTCCATGTTCAAAGGTGATTTTTTCTAAAGAATAAATTTTTTTTTATTTATTTTTGTTTTTTTATTATTATACTTTAAGTTTTAGGGTACATGTGCACATTGTGCAGGTTAGTTACATATGTATACATGTGCCATGCTGGTGTGCTGCACCCACTAACTCGTCATCTAGCATTAGGTATATTTCCCAGTGCTATCCCTCCCTCCTCCCCCCACCCCACAACAGTCCCCAGAATGTGATGTTCCCCTTCCTGTGTCCATGTGATCTCATTGTTCAATTCCCACCTATGAGTGAGAATATGTGGTGTTTGGTTTTTTGTTCCTGCGATAGTTTACTGAGAATGATGATTTCCAATTTCATCCATGTCCCTACAAAGGACATGAACTCATCCTTTTTTATGGCTGCATAATAATCCATGGTGTATATGTGCCACATTTTCTTAATCCAGTCTATCATTGTTGGACATTTGGGTTGGTTCCAAGTCTTTGCTATTGTGAATAATGCCGCAATAAACATATGTGTGCATGTGTCTTTATAGCAGCATGATTTATAGTCCTTTGGGTATATACCCAGTAATGGGATGGCTGGGTCAAATGGTATTTCTAGTTCTAGATCCCTGAGGAATCACCACACTGCGAAGGACATGAACAGACACTTCTCAAAAGAAGACATTTATGCAGCCAAAAAACACATGAAAAAATGCTCACCATCACTGGCCATCAGAGAAATGCAAATCAAAACCACAATGAGATACCATCTCACACCAGTTAGAATGGCAATCATTAAAAAGTCAGGAAACAACAGGTGCTGGAGAGGATGTGGAGAAATAGGAACACTTTTACACTGTTGGTGGGACTGTAAACTAGTTCAACCATTGTGGAAGAATAAATTTATTTTCATTGAGAATAAACTTATTTTTGACAAGATTGCCAAATAAATAAAAATGCTAATTTAATCAACAATAAGACATACCACTGCCAAGAGCACAGAACACTCAAATGTAAATAAAGTGAGCGGGTCTGAAAAATGAGGAAAAAAATTGAGAAGCATTAAAATACAGAATAAACTCTCTAAAAATATAAATTACACAGTTCTATGAAGTCATCTAATTTATTTATGACTGACAGATCAGCTAGAACTGGAATTAACATAATAACAAATAGAAAAAGAAAATGTTATATTGTAAGAGTTTTAATCAGCCTTGGGAATTGTATTAGTCAGAGTACTGGGTAAGTTGCTGGAGAGACCACTTCATGCCCACTAGGATGGTTATGATAAAAAAAAGCGCGGATAATTACGAATACTGCTGATGATGTAAAGAAAGTAGCATCCTGATATATTGATGATGATAATCAAAGTGCTATTGGAAAAATATTCTGACAGTTCCTAAAGAAGCTAAACAGAGTGACCATACGACCCAGCAATTCTACTCCTAGATATAGACGCAAGAAAATGAAAGCCTATGTTACACAAAAACCTTTTCACAAATGTTAACAGCAGCATTGTGAAAATGTTAGAAGCAACCCAAATACCCACCAACTGATGAGTGGAAAAATAAAATGTGATATATCCATGCAATGGAATATTATTCAGTTGTAAAAAGGAATAAAGTGCTGGTGCATATTACAATATGAATGAACCTTGAAAAACATTATGTACAATGTTCAACATTTGGGTGACCAGTACACTAGAAGCCCAATCTCTACCATTATGCAATGCACCCAAGTAACCAACATGCACATATATCCCCTGAATCTAAAGCAAAACCAAATTATTTAAAATTCTTTACGTTCATTTATTTACTGTATTACCAAATATACTAAAATGATTTCAGCTGAGCCTAATGGCTCAGGTCTGTAATTCCAGCACTTTGGAAGGCCAAGTCAGATGGATCACTTGAGCCCAGGAGTTCGAGACTAGCCTGGGCAACATGGCAAAATCCCGTCACTACAAAAAAAAAAAAAAAAAAAAAAAAAAAAAGCCTGGCATGGTGGTTCATGACTATAGTCCCAGCTACTGTGGAGGCTGCAGTAAATCTATAAAAGCAGAAATAGATTGTGGTTGCCTAGGGCTGCAAGAATTGGTGGGGGGAAAATGTAGGGTGATGCTAAAGGGTAGATAATTTCTTTATGTGGTTCTGGAATCATTTAATGGTGATGGTTGGATAATTCTATGAATATACTTTTAACATATTGAATTGTACACTTTAAATGGGTGAATTGTATAGTATGTAAGTTTTATTTCAATAAATCTACTATAAGAAGTTATTATGGTGGATGATAGCATTTACTGTGACACAGTTGTAAAATAATTTTGCAAGTCACTCTTATTTAAAGGAAATCCTTAATTATATAACAATGTTTTCAACAACATTGCTTTCTTTTTTAATAAGGCAAAATTCATTAGAGTATGTTGGGAAACGTCTTATTCTAAGGATCACTAAAATCTTTTTTTAACTTATGTGAAGTATAATTCTTTTTCACCAGGCAATACTGTTTGTCAATAAATAATATTTACTAGGAGATGCACAACGAAATTTAACTTCAGTCATGAGTAATGAGCTGTGTTATATAGTGTTTATGGGACTTATTTTATCACTCATGTATACAACAATGAAGTTGCCTAGATAGTCATCATTACAGTTGTCTGAGTCTGTACGAAGACGTTACGGAAAAATAATGAAGACACTTGATGAGTTCTATGAATGTTCACTTAATTGGTGTTAAAATAATTTTTAGTACTTTATTTAATTGCATCAAAATGACAAACACTTTCTGCAAAGAAGATAAACGTCATTCCTAATCCTGTTACATCCTTCCTATTGCACAGATTAAAGGCTTGTAAGTATATAGAATAGAAATATTCCTATTCACAACTTTGAGAAAATTGCTCCTAAGAAACTTTTACCATCCCAATTAGGCAGTCAGAAGTAAGACAGTAAAATCTAATTTATATAACACTGAGTATTTACTACTTTTAAATTAACAACTTATCCATCTATAAATAAATCTCAAAAAAGAATTTTCCTTTTTCTGGATTTATTTGATTTGACACTTCACCTAAACAATTATCAATTAACTTACTTAATATGAGTAATCATAACCACTAGCATAAGTGGAATTTACTTCGAAAATCAACATTTTGTCTGAAATATAAGATTAGAAATATGACAAGATATGAAATGAAGTACATTTGTCTCTTTAAATAAGAGCAATGACTATGTTCACTAGTTATATTTTCTTTGATCATCCTAGTCAAAAACAACTTCTGTATTTCATAAAACTCTATCAAAATAAACAAACAAGAATAAAAAAGGTTCTAATGGTACAACTTTCTCCAACCTTGAAATGCATATAAAAAGTGATTTATACTGCATTAGCTAATTTTATACAACTACTTTGTTATTATTCTATTATAAAATTGCCATTTTGACATCAATTGTGTACATTAAGCTTTCAGATAAAACTTACCTCAGGAACAGAAAAATTTGACTTTAAGTTCTTATACTAATAACTGTGAGAATCCTTTAATTAAATGTTTCATTTGCTGCAGAAGTATTCATCTTTAAAATAAAAATAATGTCCTAATCCTAGGCCTAACAAATGATGCCGGCACTTAGAATTTACTAATAAGTTGCAACAAACTATCTCAAGACTACTGAGAAAAGACAGCAAATTACTCACTTTTTGTATGTCTTGGATTCTTTAACATGTCTTTATTTATCTACCAGATAAAGATAACTCACACAAATTCAAGTATAGGTACATATCTAGCTGTATACGTAGGCCTTCTATATTTTTAAATCACATAACTGCCCTTATTGTTTTTTATATAATTTAAAAGGTTAACTTAAAGAAAAAATATACTTACTGCCCTCTAGAGGTATGAACCAGTAGTGTAATAAGTGTAGATGTTGCTGGGCATATACAGTTTAAAGCTAACATGGCGTATTTAAACTCTTCTTCACAAACAACATGATCTGTTTGAAATAAAATAGGTAAATTAGAATAATTTACCTTTGGAGAGTAATAAAATGTAAAAAATAAAACAAAATGAATAAAATGGTAAAAGTCTCAATATAAACATACTTGTTTTAGAGATGTTTTTACAAGTGCAATTTTATCCCCAGGAAATATATCTCCTAAGAAAGAGTACTGGAGTATGGGTTAAGTGATTGGCTTGGGGGTCACTCCTGTCTCAACAAATTTAGCAACCTTTGCTAAAATGCTTAACCCTGTCTTAACAAAATTGGCAACTTTTGGTAAAATGCTTAATCTTCCTATGCCTAGCAGGTGGGTTTGAGGTGTGGTCTAAAATATTTCAAATACTTTATAAAGTCTCCTTTTGTTCTGATAATTCTATAGTATAAAATACAACAGTACTGATTTAGAAGAGTACTGATATATCAAATTCATAATGACACAGCATAAATTTTAGAAAGTAATTATTAAAAGATTTAGCAGATAATATGTGCCTAGCATAGAAGAAATATATTTGATACTATGAAAATAACTGTAATATCAAGCAATAGAATTTGCTAAAATAAATTGAAATTAAAATTGTACTTTAACTCCAAATTCCTAAAAGTCATAAACCCAAAAGATGATAGGGTCCAACCAGAAAACATAATAAATGGCTGCTGAAATTCAATGACATAAAAATAATAGTGCTAGAAATGAGAGCACATGGGAAAGTGCAGGCCACATCTAAAGAGAATGATGCTACTCAGGCCAAGCATTGTTATGCAGGAATGAGGGCTCAGATGCCAGATATTCTATTTTCTACAGAAGTCGTGTTTTTAAAAAGTGATTAAATAGTGTTTATTTTGGAAAAAACAAAAACCTGTTTTCCCAAATAAACAAGTATAGCTGGTATTAAAAATAAAGAGAAGGTTTAAAATTCTAAGAAAATACATATTCTTAGGCAGAAAAGTAGCACTTTTAGCAAAATTAAGAAATAGAAGATCAAATTTGTCAGTGAGCTAGATCTATAAAATGAATACATAACACCATACAATTTATGAAGAAAGAAGAAAAGGTTACATGGGAAATGGTTTAGCAAATGCTCTGGACAAACATTGACTTTCGTTCTGCCCTGTTTTTATAATATGATTTAGTACATGAGATAGCATACTACTTTTTATTTTGCTTTCATTTTTTATTGTTTCTCTTTCACATTTTATGGAAGAAAATATATACTATGGATATATGTCAGGATTTACTCAAAAATACAAAAATATCAAGTTTCTACTGATAATCTCTCTCCCCACACCCACTTGTCAATATATTATAATTGACATAAAATGTTTTTGAAATACATAACCAGATTATTTATTGCTTTGCAGGAAAGGCAAGCAGATTCTAGATACAATTTTGAATGCAGGGAAGTGTACATAAGATTTGCAAAAGAAGAGTGTTTTTAAACTATCATTTCAATATTATCTCAAAATAATTTTGAGTGTGTATGCCCAATCTGTGAAAATAGAGTGACAAAACTGCTAAACCCGGAATGTTATTACTGTAGAATCATATGATATCAATACATAGGGAACCCATAAATTTCAAATCAAAAATTAGAACAGATGATCTGAGAAAAATATGTACATTTATTACCACATAGAATTGTTAAAATTTCAAACTGTAACAGAAAATTTGGAAGGTATGATTACCATATATGCAATGTAGCATGCAATTATTAACTTTTCCTTACTACAGTGCACAAACCATATTTCTTTCAGTAGGGGAATGTGAGAAAATGTGATGGATGTGTTATACTTTGAAAATATCTCATTGTATTTTCCTTCAATAGTTAAAAAAGTAAAAAAAATAATTAGGTCTCCTCCCTTTTCTTCAATAAATGTGTGCATCTGAGTTTGGGGGGCAATGGCTGTGGGAAGATTTTGCTGCAGTGGCTAATGTTTCAAAAACTGTACTAATCAGAGAAAATTAGAAGGAAGCAAAAGATTCCTACATTTCGATAGTCATTTTTGTATTTGCATGTGTCTTTTTTCTACATTTGGTAAAAGTTTTACAGTGTCTATCAGCCCTTTCAACAATAAGTATATGTACTACCATCAATGGTGGCAATTTTACACATAAACACAAAGTATGTATGCACTGTTCCTTTGTACACTGAATTATCTAGGGATGCAACTGCGGTGTAAATTAAGAGAAATTTTACTTTATTATGTTTAGCATTGTATGTAAGTCATTAATAAAAATTAATATATGATATGTATCAGTCAAAACCTAGCACCTTGTCATTGGTAAAAGTGTCTTTTTTTCCCACTGTCTTCTTGTTTATTCATGCCTGAGTGTTTACATATTAAAAAAACATGCTTTTTATTATTATTTCCATTTTTTCTCTTTCATATTAGAATTAGAATATTATACTAACTTTTTATACTTTATGTGTATAGATAGTTATATTTACTCTGAATTTCATTTCAAAATAGTGTAGGAAGTGTTGCAAAATATTTATTATAAAAAGAGAGTACTGGATCAGAGAAAATAACCATTTTTAGATAAATAAGTTAATATATAATTATCATGAAAGCCTTTGTTAGAACAAATGTAAATTCAGTACTCTTTTCATTAAGAAAGCTATTTAATTTCTAAGAATGGAAAATACAAGGAAAAAGATATGATATAATATTCAACTGGATAATAATCTTTATTTGCATGCATCACAGAGAGCTAAAACTCAATCTGAAAAATAGAACTGCTTCTATATCTAGACTTGTCCTCTTAGGTCCAAATCCATCCTTCCTCTTGGGACATTTTTTAGAACTAACCACTAATCCTCAGCCTGAATTAAAATACTGAAAATATTCCTTCATTCTAACTGCCCCTCATTTCCCAATACATTATAATAGCCAAAGTTTATGGATTATACAATCAAATTCCCCTCTCTTTCTTTTTTTCCCATTGTCATTCTCACTACTTACTACAGGTTTCTAATACATCCATAATTCTTAAGGCTCAGATATCAAATTTCAGAATTAAAAAATATTCAGATTTTAGAAAGGCAATATGTTTCATCTACCAGACACTATATAACATATCCAAGGAACAACCTATTCCTAAAAATATCATTGTTTCTGCAGCTAAATGTTTGAATATTTATACTAAGTAGAAAAAATAAAGGGTTAAATAGCTTCATGGCAGTTCAGTGCAGGAACTACCACCAAATAATTTCAGATAATTTCGTGTTTTACCACCAAGACTACAAAAATATTTTCATGTTGCAGAGATTCCTGGTTTTGGAATTACAGCTAAGGGATTGTGGACTGTTATTCAAACTCTGATGTTCTTTCCTCTAGGCTAACAACTTTCTAATTGGTTTTCATGTTTTCCAACTCTTTAGCATTCCACCTTGTAAGACTTGATTACATAATTTGGGTCACTCTTGACACATTCAACTAAAATAAAACCATCCCTATAAATTTTATTAAACCAATTAAAAAAGAAAGAAGGAGGAGAAATGAAATAAAACAAGCTTGCAGCACCATTCAGCATTAATCATTAGGTCAGCTTACTTTCTGACCCGCTTCCTCATAGTTGTTTCCCTATTGCCCACAAACCACATAAACACTGTCACAAGTGTAATCGAAGATGTAGGTTATTAATAATGTGCCATGACATTCAAGCAGGCTAAGAAGGGAAGACAAGACCTATGGGTGTAAATGGCAGTGAAGATTTGGTAGGGACAATGAATTGTAGGTCTTGTATGGTCAAAAGATAGTTGAAGTTCTTCATTAGAGGGAGTGAACTACAAAGATAGGAAGTGGTGGTCAGAGAAGGACACACTAGGATTGGAGATGACAGAGGAGTGACGTTTATTGGTAATGATATGATCTAAGTTACAACCCTAGAATGGTTGCTGAGCTAGGATGAGCTGAGCAAGAACACTGAAAGAATGGAAATTACAGAAACATTATTCTAGAACATCAAAAGAATCCTTTTCATGGGCATAAACATCATCAGATAGTATGACCAAGCAGTGTTGGAGAGAGTGACGGTGAGCTGGGAGAGAGAGTACATTTTCAGGTTTATCAGATACATTTTTTTTGGTGGGGGGGAGAATTTCAAGTCAAAAACTGCCAATTTTTATCAAATAATTTTCTAATTAAAAATAGAAGAGACAGTCACAAAATTTAGATAATATAGAAATGCATACTGTAGAAATACATCAATAACAGTAACTGCTATTTTTCCCTACTACCCATTTTCCTCTTTGTATGCAAAAACCACCTACCTATGGAGAGATGTTTAGAAGAGGTGGTTGAAAAGGGCAAGTATACTAATGTTTGTTCACAGCACCTTGCTGATTTTAGTCAGCAATACATAGAGAGCTGATCTGAGGTAAGAACTGATCACTTTGCAAGCAGAAAGA
This sequence comes from Homo sapiens, assembly GCF_000001405.40. NCBI lineage: Eukaryota > Metazoa > Chordata > Mammalia > Primates > Hominidae > Homo > Homo sapiens. The sequence goes on from NW_025791754.1 coordinate 227,340, forward strand.
GAAGGGAATAGAACTCTCTTAAGTAGTACATTGTTTGCTTGTGATCAAAAATCTAATAAAAAGTATAAAAATGAACACTTGCAGAATTGAAAAAGTGAACTGTATCCTAAATAGCAGGAGATGACATTCCCTTTCAGAGCCTTTATCAGAGGCCTCTAATTTAGACTTCCCAGCCAGACCAATAAAGACAGACCTGTGACAAAATCAGATTAAAGTGCAGTGCTGCCTTCACATTGAAACTTGTTTCAGATGATACCAAGGTATCCACCATTGCAAGAAAGATGGTGATATGGACAGGGCAACAAAATCCAGTAAGTCAGGTTTAACAAGGTTCTTAGAAAAGAACTTTGAACACAGTTACTGACACATAGAGAGGCCTAGAAGAAATCCACTCGAATTTCAACTTCAAGAGTGGCCACAGAGAATAGTGAGCCATGAATATGAATGGACAAAGGAATTACTCCGTAAAGAGAAGAATCAAGGTTTAATTAAGGAATTTTATATGTTGCTTTGGAGGTTTCTCAATTCGTGTGCCAAAGGACATACTATGGACCAATGACTACTGTGCATTTCCTTCTTCTGTTTTCCAAAAACCATTATTTTATTACAACTTTCTTCCTCTACTATTGTGTATCTGTATGGGGTAGTGGTCCTGGGACCACTTAGCAAATTTATTAATGTGCATATTGCTAGATTATTAGGAGCCACATCTAGATCCAACTTTACATTTTCCAGATATCCTGAACTTTGAGCTGGATGTGTCATTTGATGAAACTTGGAGTATTTGTCTTAGGGAATGGATGAGTGTTTTCTCATTTATTCCCTATGTCAAATACTCCAAGTTTTAGTGGCGCTATATGAATGCCATTTATAGTAGCCAGTAAATGGCTAATAGACATACTAAAAAGAAAGAAAGAGAAAATGAATACTGGGGGAGAGAGTAGTTTTAACCATAGTTCAAGCCTTTAGGCACCCAAGAAACCATGTACATTATGTATTATATATATTTATATAGACAAACAACATTATATATGTAAGTAATATATATGAAACAGCAATATAATATATAATAATTTAATATATAATACAATATGTAATATAATATCTACTAAATCAATATATAATATGTAAACAACATTGTATATATAATTATATATATATATTATATATATATAATGTTATGCATGGTTACTTGGGTGCCTAAAGACTAGAACCATCGCTAAAACTACTACCTCCCCCAGTATTCATTTTCTCTTTCTTTCTTTTTAGTAATAGACGCTCTTATTCCCCCCACCCCACTTTCATATTTTACCTGGATTCATGGCTGCTCTGGTAGAAATTACATATCTCAGTTTCCCTTTTAGATATGGCCACATTACTAGGGTTTGTCTGATGGGACAATGTGCAGAAATGGATAAACTCTGGATTACTTTTTGTATACAAAATCACTTTCCCTAAACTCTTTTCTTCTTGTTGGTGAGACAACATATGTAGCAAAAGCACAGCTTTGATTATGCAAAGAAGGACAACTCTTTATCAAATATAAATCTGTCATTTTTTTTCCTTCTAGCTTCTAATTCCCCTCCTTTGTTGAAGAAAGTGTTTCCTATTTAAAAATTATATGTGGCAGGGTGTGGTGGTTCATGCCTGTAATCCCAGAACTTTGGGAGCTGGAGGCGGGCACATCATCTGAGGTCAGGAGTTTGAGACCAACCTGGCCAACATGGCAAAACCCAGTCTCTACCAAAAATACAAAAAATTAGCCAGGCGTGGTTGTGCATGCCTGTCATCCCAGCTACTCGGGAGGCTGAGGCAGGAGAATCACTTGAACTCAGGAGGTAGTGGCTGCAGTGAGCCAAGACTGTGTCACTGCACTCCAGCCTAGGTAATACAGTGAGACTTTCTCTCTCTCTCTCTCTCTCTCTCTCTCTCTCTCTCTCTCTCTGTATATATGGAGAGAGAGAAGAAAATACAAGATATATGTACATGCATCTTATCTTGTATTTTCTTCTCATCCATTTAAAGTTTCTGTTTATTCTGACTTAGATCTTTCTTCACTATTGCTTGTTAAGACATAAGCACATGAGATCAAGTGGTCAAGTGGTATCACCAGTGAGTGTGCCAGGCCATGGGCAAATTTCTTAATCTGTAGGCCTAACAGGCCTTATCTCTAAAATGTGAATTACAGTAGTGTTTACCTCATAGAATTGTCTGAGGAAAAAAATAGAAAATGAGTATAAAATGCTAATTAGAATTCTAAACAAGTATTATGGATCATCACAATCCTGCGTTATTAAAATCAAAAGATAGATTTCAATAAACTATCTTGAAACAAATGCCAACAGTATACTTTTAAAACGTAAGTGGCAAAACAATATAGCATAATTCCATTGTTATTCAATTAAAAACATGGTCTCACTTTTGTAAAAATGCTGAATTCTGCAAGAATGCTCATGTGTATGCCTGTATGTGTGTCTGGATATGCACAGAAAATAGTGTGTAAAGATAAGCATCAAATTGTCAATAGAAACTGCCTCAACAGGTGGGAAAGAGTTTTAGAAGCATATGACTTTTAAAATAGTAGTATTTTGTGAGATTATTGATTTCTTCTTTGTTATTCTAATGTCTGTCATTTTCAGTTTAAAAGCTTCTAAAATAAAAAATTACAATTGAGATGCAAATGCATTGATAAATATGAATCAAAATTGTCTTCAAGTCCCTTTTACTTTATGAAAAATAAAATTGATAGTTACTTTAAAACAAGTCAGAATATTTTCTTAAAGGTCTACATCACCTTATATTCTGAGCTTTTGTGTGATTTAAAGTACTAGAAACCTCTTCCATGCAGTTGCTAGGTAACAGCTCTTTGGAAAACAGTAAATAGTGGAAAGTGCAGTAAACCAATCTAGTGCTGGGTTTTAATTTACAGAAATCAAATATCCTTTGGAAAATGGCTTTTAAATAGAAAAACGAACCAGGGTGGATTTTAAAATCTAAATGTTAGTCATTTTTATTTTATGGGGAAAAAGTTTATTAAATAGAACAACTGATTAAATTGCATTATAAAATCTTTCCCATATCCTTTGCTTATTAGATTCTATTTGCAAGCAAGAGTGGGTTTATTGCTACAAAAAATTGTATCTTTTTCTTATATGAGAATAGATAATGTCTTGCAATCAAGTGAGTTTTATTTTGATCCTGTTACTTTAATCAATAAAATAACCACTCGTGTGTGCATGCGTGCGCGTGCATATGAACACGTCAGAAACTTTGCCAATTCAGATTGTGAGGCATTCAACCACTAAATGGCTAAGAATAGATTTAAGTAAATCCTTAAAAGTCACTTAGTTTCACTAGATCTAACTATAAGAATGCTTATTAAATGCATAGAATCTAACCCAATTTGAGATTTGCAATTTTCTGTAAAACAGATTTATTTCATTTCAATAACACAAGTAAAAAGCACGTTTCTGTTTTTCCAGTTGCTTCAATACTTATTTTAGTACAATAAATATAATCTTTTTTGATGTTTCAGGCTATTAAATACTCAAAAGGGGGCTCAAATTTCCTCTACCCTAGTGCAGAACAGTTTTAATTTCATTAACCTCCTTTTCTTTTATACCTCTCATAAATACATAGCAGTCTTAATATTTTTGAAAAATTATTTTCCTCCAATTTCTTTAGGTTCTAACCAAGAGTATACTTTATCAGCTTCTGATAGTATCGAAGATACTTACTGAAGCTTCTTTTTAGTAATAAAATAATAATACTAAATAATATTTCTGCTTTCATGCTAAGTTATATATATATATTATTAAACCTCTCAAAAGTTCTATGATATATATTGTGTTAAGTAGTTTTCAGATAAGCAATCAGATATTCAGAACAGTGAAGTAACTTGGCTGAATTTATTACTTATTAAATTCAAACTATCTACAAAGGACTCTACAAAAGCTATACGACTCTAAAATTGATTAACCAGCACTTAAAATAGGTAACAGAATGTAGCAGTGTTTCCCTCTGTAGAAACCACTTAAAGATGACCACTTGCTACCAGATGAACAAATGGCTGGAGCATCCATTACACTGAACTGATGACTGAGAAAACACAACCACCAAGCTCCCCGAACACCTGTCGTGTAATAGTGAAGTTTGAGAGAACGTAGGCAAATTTGCCTTTGAGATCAGTTTCATTCCTTTTCAACCACAAAACACAATATTGTAGCTGAACTAAAATAATTTGAATGACTGATTCAAAAATATTTTGGAAGATTTCTGGAAGATTTATTAGTAGCAAATAAATACTGCAATAAATGGTAAAAAGAAAGTAAATGCATATGTATTAAGAGGATATACAGATACTTTGCCTGCTCTGAGGGAATGAAAAAAGCCTCACTTAAGGAAATAATGTTTAACCAAATTTATTTATTTATTTATTTATTTATTTATTTTTGAGATGGAGTCTCCCTCTGTCCCCCAGGCTGGAATGCAGTGGTGCGAGCGCGGCTCACTGCAAGCTCCGCCTCCCAGGTTCATGCCATTCTCCTGCCTCAGCCTCCTGAGTAGCTGGGACTACAGGTGCCTGCCACCACACCCGGCTATTTTTTATTTTTTTTTGTATTTTTAGTAGAGACGGGGTTTCACTGTGTTAGCCAGGATGGTCTCGATCTCCTGACCTTGTGATCCGCCCACCTCCGCCTCCCAAAGTGCTGGGATTACAGACGTGAGCCACCGCGCCCGGCCTGTTTAACCAAATATTTTAAAGATAATTAAGAAAAGTTGTTTGAAAGGTGAAGAAAGTATGCAGAATTTCGTAAAAATAAAATTGGAGAGGTAGGAAGAAACGGAAATGTTTACACAAATATATTAAGAAAGAAAGAAATCTAAAGATTAAGGAAGGAAAAATATTGCTGAGGTTGCTGATAGGGTATGAGGTAATTGGGCACTCAGCAAAGATATGGAAAGGAAATCCATCAATTATAATAGGAAAAAGCAGGAAGCAATAAGTGAACATAAATTAACATTTGGAAAATAAGTTGCAAAATTTAAGGAAGTTTTCATGTATTGGCTTCCCATATCTCTGTGTATTAGAAAATGAGATAAATTTGAAATAGTAATTACAAGAGCAAGAGAATAATTTGATTAAAAGAAAAAAACAAAAAAACACAACGTTAAGGGCCGCTTTGAGCTGCCTGAACATGAGTTTATGGTAACACAATCTGACCCACTGAGTATTATTGTTTTTCCAGGAGTGCCAGTCAAGGAGTGAAAAAAAAAGGATCAGCGTACATGGAATTTTGTTTGTTTGCATGTGTATTTACTTTTGATCAAAAGCTATGGGAAAAAAATGAAAAACAAAGGAAGTCAGAACACTGACATGTGGCTGACTGAATGAAGTGGCAGACTAGGGAGTTCAGGTTCCTTAGAGAGGGAAAAAGAGAAGAAATGGAACTGAGGCACAGGAAGACTCTAAACTGATGATGAAATGGAATAATGGTTCTCAAGCTATTTGTGATGAAGGGCCAGTTTTCTTTTTCTTTTTAATTGTAAAATAAAAAGAAAGAACAGGTCGTAACCCATTGCAAGCACATAGGCAGCTCATGCCATATGTGATTCACCTATGATTTTGATATAGCCCAAACTATGTATATGCTTAGTAGTCTATATGTTTTCCAAAGAGACAGTCCACTAATTATGCATTTGGATGTCATGGCAATGTCAAATCGCTATCAAAATTTCTAAAATGCTGCTCTCAATTGCTGTATTTATCATGTTGTAGCTTGATAAAAGTCTGTGGAATGAAACTGGTCTTTGGACCACACTTTGAATAACACTGCATTAGATGAGTTGATGAGGTGGAAGGAGAGTGTTTTATAGCACTGGGTGATTGAATAAGCAAAATGGAAAGAAGATTGAATTTGGATACTTTATGGGCTGAACAGTATAAATAAGACTGGAATCATCGGGAGTGATGACAGGGTCCAAGTATATCTTCTATTATACATCATTTTTACTGTAACCCTCAGGAAATTCGTGTCTTTAAATCAAAAAAATAAACTTTTGAATCACGCATTCTATGAAGACTAAAATGTAACCCCAGCACTTGCAGAAATGCTATATAAAGTAGGAAAATGTATTCAATGTTGCCCTGTGCTTGATTTAAAGAATCATTGGATTTGGAGTCACATGGCATGAGTCTGAATCCCTTGCCTGTAAGTATGTTAAGTCTTTGGCCAGCTATACCTTGCAGCAAATTAGATAAAAAAATGCATAGTTATTTTTATAAATCACAAAACGCTGTAATTCTTATGTAGTTAACAATACTATATTTTATACTTGAAATGTGCTGAAAGTAGACCTTTAATATTCTAACCACACACATTAAAAAGGGAACTATGTGAGGTGATGGATGTGCTAACTAACTTGATTGGGTAAATAAGTTCATAATGCATATGTATATCAAATCATCACATTGTACACCTTAAATTTATACAATTTTATTTATCAAATATACCACAATAAAGCTGTAAGAAACTAAAGCTGTTAACTTCAATTGAAGTGACTCAGGAAAGCATACAGTAAGCTATAAATCCTCATAACAAGTAAAGTTTTGTTTGATAAAAATAAATAATACATAGAAATGTGCATTTATGTGAGCCCACCCATACTCTTCCCTTACCAATGAGGAAAGATGCTACAATTTGCCTGATCCTCCCAGACCAAAAAAACCCAGAGCCAAATTTATGATTGTCACATATAATCTCACGCCTGTAATCTTAGCACTTTTGGAGGCCAAGGTGGGCGGATCACTTGAGGTCAGGAGTTCGAAACCAGCTTGACCATCATGGCGAAAGCCCATCTCTACTAAAACTAAAAATAAAAAATTAGCTGGGCATGGTGGTGCACGCTAATGGGTGTAATCCCAGCTACTTGGGAGGCTGAGGTAGGAGAATCGCTTGAACCCAGGAGGCGAAGGTTGCAGTGAGCTGAGATCTTGCCACACTCCAGCCTGCAGCCTGGGTGACAGAGTGAGACCCCATCTCCAAAAAAAAAAAAAAAAAAAAAATCTGTTAAAACTGTTTTGGCAACCATTACTCTGGACAAAATTATTTAAAAAAATAAATAAATACAATAAAATACATAAAATCATCCCTTGAATTAGGCATTTAGAACCCACTTTTTGGCCACTGGTTATCTTTTAGAAGTCTCGCATAACAACCTAATCTTCATTCCCTCTTCCTCCCAAATGTCTATTTTTATGGAATAAGAGATTGAGAGACCTTCAGACAGACAGACAAATAGGCAGATGCTACTATCAACTAGATATTCACTTAATAACCCAAATAAACTAACATATAAAAAAGATTGAAATTTCAGTTTCACCAAGAGAAATATGCACTTTAAAAGGAATTCTTAATGCAAAGTAAGCTTTATTTTATGAGACAATTGAGCCAAATGTTTTGTCTTGTTGGAGTCCTTACCTACTCTGAATTGTCCTTCTTCAACATCACCAACTTCAACCACCCCAAACAGCCCACACAACTCTTCAATATGATATTCACATCAGCAGATTCCAAAAATAAAATCAGTTTGACATTCCAATCATGTACTATCCACACACTATTTTTGACCTGTACAGCATACCACTGTACTGAATACTGTGGGCAATTGTGACACAATGGTGAGCATTTGTGTAACTAAACATGTCTATACATAGAAAAAGGTACAGTGAAAAGATGGTATTACACTCTACGGAACCACCACTGTGTATGCAGTATATTGTTGACTGAGACGTCGTTACGCAGCACATGACTGCATATAAAAAGCCAAATTGCTACTAATTTCAGAATATAAAAAATCCCTATAACTCATTAAAAAATCGCCAAACAGAAAATAAGGGCACAGGGATAAATTTTATATACAAATGCAAAAATTAAACAAAAAATACAAGAATGTACAACTCTGTGTAATAAATAAAGATTTAAAATTTTAATGAAGAATTAAAGGCAATACCACATATCTCTTAAAAGCACACATTCTGGAGACAGAGAATGTGGATTCAAGTACTGTCTCAACCAGTTAGTATGGCACCATTTCTGCATTAAAAAAATATATATATATATATATATTTTGGATCTGTTTCCTCATCTGTAAAATTGAAATGATAATATAATCTGTCTGTGGTAGCCAGCCTCCAGGATTGCCCCAAATAACTCTTACATGCTGGTATTCATGCCTGTGCTGTTCCCTCCTACATAGCAGAATGGGGATGAACCATATAACCATTAGGATATTGCAGAATAACAAAGTGTGATATCTAAGGCTATGCCGTAAAAGGCATTGTGACTTTGCCTTGCTCTCTTTTGGATCATCTGCCCTGGGAAAAGCCAGCTGCCACATCATGAGGATGCTCGAGCAGCCCAGAGGAAAGGTCCACATGTAAGAAACCAAGATCTCCTACCAATAGCCAGCACCAACTTGGGAGCCATGTAAGTAAACCACTTTGAAAACAGATATTCTACGCAAGTCAAGCCTTCAAATACCTGTAGTTATTTGATAACTGCAACTACACTAAATAACCTACATCTTCATTGTAACATCATAAATATCCAGATTATTACTTCTCCCAAATTCCTGACCCACAGAAACTGAGATAATAAATTTACATTGTTGTTTATACCACAAAGTTTTGGGATAGTTATGCAGCAATATGTAACTAATATACTAGCTTACGAAATTGCAATGAGAACTGAGTTAACCTATAAGTAGTGCCTTAGAACAGTAGCCCTTGCACAGGAAGCACTACATGTGTTGACTACCACTATTATTATAATAATTATTGTAGTTCTTATGTTATTTTTCTTTCTACCAAAGGGCAAAAGTTAATATTGCCCATTTCTTCAAAGGTAAGTAATATATTTCTGGAGAGCAAATTGGCATTGTGTATTAAAAACCATAAAAGTACAAATACCATTTAACCTAGAAATCCTACTAATCATATTCATCTTGGTAATATTTACGAATAGCTACCACTTTTTAAATTGCTTTATTTCTCATTCCTTATTTGAAGCAGAGTTAGCGTTCTCAAGAAGGATTTAGCTATTGACAGATTTATCAATTTAGTCCTTATGATTGATTATACAGCATAGCTTGATGGCTTAAATGAGAATTTGTTATGAATGAAAGTGGCTTTATGAAAATATTAAGTGAGATCGATCATGGGTTATAAAATGTAGCAATAGACTAATACATATTCATAAATTTATATATATTTCACTAACAGTAACTGATATTTTACTTCATGTAAACACAGTTTTGTAGTCTATATAAACATAACTTATAGTTATAATTAGGTGAATAACAATCTCACTGCTTAGATATAACCATTCACAAATTTTATCATGGTATTAATTATGCTTGATTATTTGGATCTTGTTAGAAAAATGAGAATATGCAAAAATCTATAAGTAAATTAAAAATAATAATCATCCACAAACCCATCTTCTACCTACTACTATATATTCCTTTATAAAGTGAATTATAAAGTTCTTCCTAATCTTATTTTTGCCTTGCCCCCATTTCCTACTATCCTCTATCTTGGTGCAGCCATATTAAGTGTTTTCAGTTCCTGTTAATTCACCATACCATTTTCTACCTTGGTTTCTTACTGTATGGCAACATTCAGGAATCACTCATATCTGCATTCATTTAAATATAACTAACCCATTCCTGTGTCAGTGTATAACTTACATGTCCCTTTGCCAAAATTCATCTATCATATCTGTATGTCCACCCTATTTTAAGCTTTCCTTGATGCCTGCATTTTTTTCCCTTAATAGCCATCTAAGCACTTTCTTGCTCAAACCATCTTTCCCACTAGAATGTAAGCTTCAAGAGGGCATGAGAGCTTCAGTCACATGATACTAAGAATCCTTTTAATGTTTGGCATTCTGTGTGTGTAATGGTATTGCTTTCCAATCTTCATTTTGCTGATGATTAGTGATATTGACAATCTTTTCATATGCTTAATGGTCATTGGTATATCCTTGTGTGTGTATAAAATATCCGTTCGATTCTTCTACCTATTTTTATTGGTTTGTTTGGACTCTTAAAATTGAATTGTAGGAGTTCTTTATATACGTTTGGATTCAAACTTTAATCAGATATATTCATTGTGAATATTTTCATTCCAGTCTGGGGTTCGCCATTCTTTGAAATTGTCTAGTGAAGAGTGGAAGGTTTAATTTTGATGAAAGCCAATTTTTCTTTTTTTTTTTTTTCTCTTATGGTTTGTGGTTTTCGTGTGTCTCAGCTAAGAAATATTTGCTACTCAAGTCTGTGAAAACATTCCTCTATGTTTTATTTTAGATATGTTGTAGTCTCACTTTTTACATTTAAGAGTATAATTTATTTCAAGTTAATATTCACTGTGTGGTGTGAGGTAAGGCTCAAGATATACATTTTTTCCAGAAGGATATAAAGTTGATCCTGAACTATCTGTTGAAGATTATTGCCTCTCCAAGGTAATTAACTTGGCATCGTTGATGAAAATATACAAGTTGATCTACTTCTGGGTTGTATTCTGTTCCATTGATCTATTTGTCTATCATTATGATAATTTCATGCTGTCTTTAATACTTTAGTATTACAGTAAAGCTTCACAACAGAGGTACTACGGATATTCTGACATGAATCTTCTTTTTCATAGTTGTTATGACTATTATCTTTACATTTTTATATTATTTAAAATAAGATTATTAATATTTCAAAGTGACAGCTATAATTTCAGTTGAAACGTATTGAATCTGTAGGTTAATTTGGATATAATTAACATGTTAAAATATTGAATCTTTTAACCCTTGAAGTAAGCTACATTCTCAGCTTATTTAGCTCTTTAAGAATTTCTCTCAGCAATGTTTATAGTTTCTTTATATGAGACTTGCACATATTTTATTAAATTCTCCCATATCTATTTCATACTTTTGATGAATTTTAAAGGTTATATTTAATTTAAATTCCTAAATTATCTTTACAAGCATAGAAAAATAAAATTGATTTCTGTATAAGGAAGATCATTTTGATATTCCTAAGTCATTCATTAGTTCTACTAGCTTTATTATAGATTCATTACCATTTTTAAAGAAATGTTCACTTAGCCTATTAATAAAGCTAGTTTTACTATTTCCTTTCTAACATGTACATTAACATTTATTTAATTTGCCTTATTGCACAGGTTAGGACCTTCAGTACAGTGTGAATAGAAGTAGAGCACACAGCTTTGACGTCTCAATATTAGAGTTTAGTACTCAGCCTATAAGCATCAAGTATAATAAAAATATGATGTTGCTTTTCTTCTATTTCCAGTATGCACAAATTTTTGTTAAAAACATTACTGATTTTTAAAATGCGGTTATTGCATCTGTTGATATGATCATATACTTATTTTCCCCTTTAATGTATTAATATGGTGAACTGCTCTGATTTTAAATGTTATATGACTATTGTAACCTTGGGATAAACCCAACTAGGTAACAGTATGTTCTTTCTGTATATTACTGAATTGGATTTGCTACTGATTTGTTGGAAGATTTTTGCATCTGTGTTCATAAAACGTATCAGTTTGCAATTTTCTTTTCTCATGATGTCTTTGGCTTTGGCCTAATCAAATAATGCCGGCCTTACAAAATCACTATAAATTTTTTTTTCTCCTCTCCTTTATTTTCTGGATATAAGCTTGTACAGAAGAGGTTTTATTTCTACCTTAATCACAGTTGGAATTTCCCATTTATTGATATGTCTAGTCATTTCAATTGGATACTGGCCAATGTGAATGTTATCTTATACAATGTTTAAAATGGGGTGCTTCATTTTGGTAGAATTAGTTTGATACCTTGAAGGTCTGCTGGATTTTTAAACTTTCAAGGGCAGTGTTAGTAGACAAAGTTCTAAGATGTCAAACCTCAAATGAGATTATAGATCAAGTGGATATCTTCACTGCAGACTGGTGAGACCTTGATGAGGGGAGCTACATAACCCATTCCTGGAATCATTACCCACAGAAACACAGATAATAGGTTTGTGTCACTGTAAATTGAAAAGTTAGTGGTAAGCTTTTATTACTGAAAACTAATACTGATCTATTTAGAGTACCCTTTGCTCTGGGGCTAAGTCAGTCTTACTAGCAAACTATGTATCTCATAAGATTTCAAATGCCCTGCTGATCGCCAAGGTCATTCTACTATGTCTGCTCAGAGTGTGAATATCTCCCACCCTGTCTGAGCACTGAGAATTGTTCTGCTTATGATTCTTTGGTTGTTTTTAGCCTGGCTTTTAGAGTTTCATTTTGTACATGTGTGACCTAATACTCAGAAAAAAATTACAAAGCGCTGTTTTTAGATTTCTGGTGCTCTTTTTTCTGTGTCACTCTCTCCTCTAGAATTTTTTTTTTCCACAACATGATGGAACATTACTTGTGTACTTGCAAACTATTTCATATATTTTGGCATATTTTTTTATTTTACTAGGTTATATTGTCACTTTTCTAAGTGGATCTTTTAAATCGTATATTCTGTATAGTACAATAATTACATGTTATGTGTCAAGCACTGTGCAATCACTGGACATATAAACTCATATTCTGGTGTTAAATAGACATTGAAATGACTATGAATCAATAAGTTCAGTACTCTAACAGAATTTATATTAAGTGTGAAGATATATGAAAAAGTGAGAGTAGCAAAGATAAAATGATTTTCTCAATCTCCCTTGGTTGCTGCAGTCAGCTGATTTTTAAGTCTACAGAAAATATATGGAATGTTTTACGTATATGTTCTCACTCCCCATTTCCATTATGATAGCACTCTCCATATCTTTCACCTGGACAACTATAATAGCTTCCTAAATAATCACTCCTATGAGGTTTTTTTTGTCCTCCTCACTGCACTCAACATTTCCCCTAGAGTTATTTTTTTAATCTAGTTAAAATTTTATGCCTTTACCGAATACTTGCATTATTCTCACACTACTTCTCCAAAAAAATCTTAGTAAAATTTAATTCACAATCACATGTACACACATGGATGCATACACATGTATTTGTGTATGTGTATGTGCACAATATGAAGTTCCAAGGCAAGGTGATTTGAGGTAATGATAGTTTTAACACCCCATTATAAGAATTGTCATCTCCACTTGCTGGCCATCCTACTGTTAAGATCTCATTCATTCTTTTTTTTTTTTTTTTTTAAAAAAAAACATATGTTAGGAGACTCTTTTCAAACCAAAACCAATTACTTCTGGGATAGGGAAACTAAATAATGAAAGCCTTAACTATCTATTGTAGGTGTATGAGATTGACTAAATTCATCAAGCAATATACAGTGAGACTAGAGCATAACTGGAATAATTGGTTTGATATACATGGAGGTTATGAAGGGCAGGAAAGGGGGGTTGTAAGGCTCCAACTAAAGCTCTATGTAGTAAGGATAAGCTCATTGGAGTGGTATTCTTGGGAAGTATATAAAAGTGCATTGACTTTTTTACAGGGTGACAGGTAAAGGCAATGAGACAAGCTGCCACTGGAATTGACACCTATTACATCTTCTTCATCATTATGTCACTAGCGCATAGAACAAGAAATTGATCATAGTACAAATCTAGAAAATGTTATGAAAAAGTATTTAAGAGTGAAAGAGAGCATACCTGGTCTTTTTCATAAGACATTTATATCAAGGAACTACTTGGCAGACTAAATACCATAGGCATAGGATATGATAGAATATGTCTGGCACTTTCTAAAAAAATAAGTATTATTTTACTCTGGTACTCAGAACCAAGAAATTGGGTGTTTGAAAATATACAACTATAAAAAACATTAATGGAGATAAACAAAAGATTATTTTAGTTAATTAAGTCATAAGTGGCCCACAAGAAAATGTCTCAAAATACCTAATATCCAGTGTCAATTTAATCAAATGTCAAGGAAAATAAACAGGAAAGATGGCTTAAACATCTTTTGCAATATTTAAATTTTTAAATTTTCATTTAAAAATAATCAACACCAATGTTAATTTCTTGTTTTGATTAAATGGATAATGGTTATATATACCACATTAACATTAGGAGAAGCTGTGGGATGTAGAGGGTATATAGAACTCTTTGCACTATCTATACTGCTTTTCCATAAATCTAAAACTATTGCATAAAAATTTTTACAAAGAAATAAAAAACATAAATGTGGTAAAAATAAAATTTTGAGTTAATACTGAATTTTAAAATACAGATTTAAGGAAAATCTGAGGGACAATTGATAACATTTGCATATAAACTGGATCCATAAAATTATTATTGACCATTTTAGGGGTAAAAATTTTAGCATTGTTATGTAGCAGAATTTCCTTATGCTTAAGAGAGCTCCGCTGATATAAAAATATGTGTGTATTTAGGTATGCGTACAAAGAGATTAGTCAAAAGTGGCAAAATGTTAACAGTTTTTGCAGTTTTTGAATGTAGATGGAGAGAATATGGTTTTTTTTAATTGTGTAACTGTTTTAAACAGTGTAAGTTTGATTTTTTGAAAGTAAAAAATAGTGAGGAATGGCATAAAAAATTAAAGATTCTCCAGACAGTGCTGGGCTTGAACATGGCCTTATGTTAAGTAGTTTCTGATGATCTCCACGATAATAAAAAAAATCAAAGAGAAAAGATTTCCATCCAAAAAAATGAGAATTTTCAAAGGCTTAATGTTTTATATTTTGAAAATATAACAACTCTAAGCATTATGTTCTTAAGTAGGTTGTAAAAATGAAGTTTAAAATGATGTCTATGTGGGTGTTATATGGGAAATGAAGAAATCATTCAGCATGAAAAACTCACACTTTACCATTTGGTGAAAGTCAAGCCTGCACATCCATATGTTATTTAGAAACAGCTAAGATGATTTCCAATATTTATATTGCTTGGAAATATTTTCCCACTCTCTTTCTTGGGTAGGAAAAAGTGATGCATTGGAATATCTAGTGATTTAGTACAAAATGGATGATGGCTAAGCTGAGCAAAACCTTCATTTTCTGGTCAAATCATTTCTCCAAGATATGTACATGTATGTGTGTGCACTTTAAATATTATTATTTTTATAATGGGAATCAAACTCTATGAATGATACATGTTTAAACAATATTGTCTGTGACATTGCTAAAAATACATTTACTTTTGCTTGGACTTTTAACTTCTTATTGTAATTAAAAATTATTTTAATTGTTAGAAGAACTAACTCCTACTGTTCTGGTATAATGTTGCATTCTTCTAGGCAGGTTTGAATTGCGAAGTACAAAGTATTTCATTCAGTCAACACTTTACTGTTGAGATATGGTTCTCCTTTTCGTGAACAAATTACAATCAAATTCTGTGATATATAAAATACCGTAACCAAAGCATAGAAAATATCTCAAGGGTAGCCTCTGGACTAAAAAAGAAGCATGGAAAGTAGATAATTCACACTTTCATTCACTCCTTTGTTTTTACATCCTTTACTCCTACTTGTGAGTGAAAATTTGCCAATTCGATTGTTATTTCTTCTCATATCTGTTCAAATGAAGTGGGAGATTTTCAGAGGACTCAACAGTTGAAAGAAAATTGGATGAGGAAGCTAAGAGAACTGAATATTCACAGACGACATAACACTTTATTGGGAAGATAGAGATATTGTGTTTATCTAAATTTAGCTATTAATTTACTCTTAAAACATGAATTCACCTCCCACTGATTTTCTGAGTAACCTCATCTGACTAGGAGACAAACAGCAAACTTCATTCAGCTGAAATTGATTAACTGGAGAGCGCAGTTTATTTTCAAAGTTCATTCAAGGTTTTTCAATGAAGAAGTTATCCTCCTAGTAAAGTACATGTTTTTTCTTTTTTGTTTTGGGGTGTGTGCATGTATGTGTGTGTGTGTGCATTTAATGATTTAGGAAATGCACAACAGAGAAGAAAATATGAAGTTTATTTCAGTCAGATTAAATGTTGAGCTACAGAAACATGTCTGATAACTAAACTGCTATAATATTGTGCCCTTTAATCGTGGTTTGCAACTGAGGAGGGGAATTTATGAAGGGTTCCACAACATGGAAGCATAAGGTTTCCCCAGGTGATTGTAGATCCGATATTTGACCCTAGAGAAGCTTTACTAGAATCGCTACACCCACAAGAGCTTGACAGAGAATACAAAATGTTACAAAAACACATTTTTGTATTAGTCATGTCTATGGCACGCTGCCATTGCCTCTGTCATATGTTTCAGTACCAATTGCCACTTCTAACAACACTATTATATTGGTGAAAAAAAGTCTCTCACTGGAAAAAAAATGATTTGACATAACCAAAGCCACGCTAACATCTGAATTTTGAACCATAAAAGGTGACACAAATTATTCACAAGAAAGAATCTTTAAAAAATAATGATATTGTGAGAGGGTATTGGAATTTGTATCCTGGTAAAAGAAAACGAGTTTAGGCTGACAATGGAGGTATGAAGATGGAGCCGCCTCCTGTGATACACAAACAGCAATAACTGTTGCAAATGTTCTGGGGGACATGAAGTGCAGCAGTAAGCTTATAGATACAACATGTGAATACCCAGAAAAAGATGAAAAGGGACTCTTTTGAAATAGCCTAAAGTGAGAGATGATAATGGCGTAGACTAGGGTTGTGATGCCGCTGTGGATTAGGTAGTACAACCGATAGGACAAGATGTGGGATTGGATGCAGAGAAGGAAAGCATGACTCACAGGTTTTTGATTGAGTTCTATACAGATGGTGCTGGGAATAATGGGTGAGAAACAGATTTTAAGTCAGAGAAAAATCAATAACTATTTTTAGACATCTTAATTTTAAGAGGGCTGTTAGAAATCTAATAAGAGATATTGACCATGCAGTTGAAGATTCAAAACTGAAGCTCATAGTGGATACTGAAGAAGAGTTTTAGTTTTGCAAATTATATAAATAGATGAGATCCTCTAAGAAAAAGATGAATAGAAAGAAAAAAAAACTCTTTTTAATTTTCCTTGTAGAGAATTTGATGATACATGGACAATGACAATTTTATTTCTTGTGTTCTGATGCTTATATCTTTTACTTTTTTCCAGCTTCACTGCCATTTTTATGATTTCCAGAAAAATACTGGATAAAAGTTGATTTAGTAGACACCTATGTTTGTACCTAAATGACAGCTTTTTAATATGTGATTATTAAATATAATTTTTTCTTGGTTATTTTGAAGATAACTTGTCTTAGATTAAGAAGTTCTTTGGTCCTAGCTTTCCAATAGATTTTTTTTTTTAAGTTTTAATTATGAATGAATGTTGAAGTCTGTCTCAAATACTTTACTACATTCATTAAAATTATGATATGGTTATTCTCTTTTAACATAATGATCTATTTCTGGAATAATTTCAACTTGGTGATTATATATTCTTTTATAAATATATTACTCGGTTTGTTTTCCTAAAATATTTTATATAATTTTTCAACTCTGTTAACCAATTAAGTTAGACTCTAAATGTTATTTCCAAAACTATCCTGAATGAGTTTCGTATCAAGGCTATGTTATTCCCGTTAAATGAGTTGGGAAGATATATTTTCTATTCTCTGAGAAAATGTGTGTAAGCTCAGAATTATATGCTTTTGAAATCTCTCTTATAAACTGTTTGTAAAACATTATGGGAGAGCCCAGTTAGTTTTCCTCTAAACAAGTACAATACAAATTTGTTATGAAGATGACGAATAGGCACTCAAGATATAAATTATACCAGTTGCTTAAAATAGCACTGGTGGCTTAAAACATCACTTACTGGTGGCTTAAAAATTAAAAAGATACTTCCAAGTATCCTTTTTAGTATTATAATGGCATGAGGGGGTTGTTTCTCATATCATCCCCATTTTACAACTTGAAAAACTCGAGCTTAAAGACTTGAAGAAGCCTGAGGTCATGCAGTCAGTACACAGGACAGCAACTACATCACCATGAAATGTCTCACTCCAGAATTCGCAGTTTCAATCATGTTATTTTGACAAATTTATTATAAAAAGGACAATTTTCTGAAAGTAAACTTTGCTTACTTTTTAAACATAAATTATAATCATGATTATATTTCCACAATTTAGGGTAAACCGAAGGAGCTATTTAAATAAATGGAAATGCAAATGCCTCATTTCATATCTTGTGAATATTGGAATCTACATATTTAATACCTATGAGAGTACAAGGACAAGAATATCATAAATATTGTCAAGTAAATACGATTTTAAATTAAAGTAATTATTATTTTATCACCAACAGTATTAGTTATCTACTGCCACATGACTAGTAACCTCCAAACTTCAGTGACTTAACCACCATTTTATTTCTCAAAACTCTGTGGGTCTGCATGATTCCTTGGGTTGGCTGGTAAGTAAGTTGGGAGCTGGACAGGTGAGGTGCTGGTATGGATGAGCCTCACTTTCCAAGTGATTTTTCATCCTTAGAGAGGCTAAACTGGGTTTCTTTATATGTAGTCTCTGAGCAGTGTTCCAAAACAGCAAAAGCAGAACCAGTATGACCTTTTAAGTCTTAGCTTCTGTTGTTACACAGTGTAAGTTTTGTTAGATTATATTGGTCAAAGCAAATCACAAAGCAAACCTTATATACAAAGATGGGGAAATAGATTTCACCTCTTCATGGTAAAAAGCTGCAAAATCACACGGCAACAGGGCACAGATATATACAGCATGGTTTCTTGAGGGCCATTATTTAAAGAATCTCTTACACAAACTAAGTGACAGCTTGATGCACTGCCTTTTGAAAGGAAAAGTCCATAATTTTTTAACTTCATGCTGAGATATAAAATATATGGTATTGTTTTGAGAGCTTCATACAGCACTCCAAACTCTTTTTGTGGCATTTTAATGAAACTAGGATGCCTTCATCTTTACACAATGTAAAAAGAGATCCTCTGAAATGTAATCTCAGTCATAAAAGAATGTAGGCACTAATAAAAAGAATTTCATCAGGTGTCAAAATGAGAAATATTGAGATAAATGGTTGGGATAGAATTTGTAAATAATCTATTCATTTTGAAGGTATTATTAAAATAATGACAAAATGAGAATCAGAAAATAGATTAATACAAATAGTCCGTATTTTTTTTTAGCAGTAGACTTTTTCAGCAAATTTGATCTCTCGATGGAAGCATACCAACGGCGTGCTAAAGGGAGAAAGAACTGAAGCCTGCTCTGAATTTTAGTTAAAATACACTCAAAATCACAAATTGTCTTTCGAAAATACATATTGTTTTAAGGTCTTGATACAATATCCATTCATAGAACACTTAATATGTTTCAGACATTATTTATTAAATCCTTACTATTAACCCTGATAAAACAGAGACATAATCTGTATGGCCTTTTAGTAGACAGGAAATAAGGCTCAAAATAGTAATCTGCCTACCTGTCTTAAGTGGTGGCACTCAAATTTAAAGTCATCATTTTAAGAGTTTACTTAGTGTTAATGTCATTACTGCCATTCAAAAATTTTGTCATAGCAAGTCATCACCATATATATTTAAAATTTTTCAAAAATATTTCTTTTCTTAAATAATAATAAAAATAAGATAGCCTAGTTACAAAGGTCTTTTTAATAAAAAGTTGGCATTTGATGAATGCTAATGATATACGTAACAGGTTGTAGATGGAGTACTTCACATATATTTTTCCATTTAATTTCACAAAGCCTTCTACAAAAGAGGCACTGTTATTTTTAAATTTCAGTTAAGAAATAGTCTTAGAGAGGCCCTAGCACCTATCATACTGTATAAATCAGAATCTCTATGATCAGTACTTTAGAAATTCTTCCAAAAACATACTAATGTGCAACCAGAGTTGGAAGCTATTACTTTAAATTGTTTGCTATACATTGTTAGGAAAAAAAGTGATGACATAAATTTGGGGAAGGCTAGAGCAAACTGAATAGCAACCATTTCATAATTTTCTTATCATTGCATCAAAATTCCCTAGTATTTACAATTTTTCATTTCAAAATCATACACTAACAGGTAAGAATTTTAAGATATGTAAACACATTTTCTGAAGGAAATACGTTTTGCTGACACATTGCTAAAATGTATTACATTTTAATGACTTTTGGAGCTTTAAACTTTTAAGATAGAATATAATGTAAAACATGGGATATTTGTGATTGTGGGGAAAACGTGCACTTGAATTACTGCTTAAATCAACATTAGCGGTTTTTTTTACAGAAGCATTTAAGAAAAAAAAAGCAAGTACAATTTTGCTGTTCAATTTTCTAGCAATTCAAAGTATAATCTCATGTGATCTGTCATTTTTAAAGCAGTACCTTCAAAAAAGTTCACATGCATCTTTTTCTTGAATTCTTTTCAAAGTCTATTCCCTAAATTAACTCTATTTACATATACCTGAATACATTTCAATGTATTAGTCTATTGCATGGTAAGCCTATGTGTGTATTAAACAATTATCTATAGCCAAATATCACCCATCTATGTGTAAACCTATGTATAAATGAGTAGATATGGCACTTGAAATTTGTGTCTATATTATGCATAAATCTACTACTGCTAATATATTTAGGCTTATTAAGGCATCCATTATGTTAAGGTACTAAAATCACCAAGTTATATAAAAAAATTAAGACTCAAGCAAAAGTATTATCTTGTCACATATTAAAGTGGATAAATCCTCTCGTATCAAGTAAATTAGTTTTAATAATCATTTTCAGTTCTTTAGAATCTTGAATACTTTAAGTTGCCACTTAGTTCAGAGACTTAACCCTTAAGCCACTATAGGAGTTTCAGGAAATTCAATGGATCTCATGCAAGATAAAAACTTACCAGCAAATTTGATGTGAAATTTATTTTCAGGCTTTAATATCTGGACATACAAAGGACAATTTGGAGCAAAATCTTTCACAGCCCATGCTCTCAAAATTGTTTGGTGATCCTGAAGTGATCAAAATAAAAACATCATAGCATAAGTTACAATGTTTATAACATATAAAGTAAAAGTAAGCAATCAGTTTGCTTGGTCACATCCATAGTTAAAACTTAAACATAAAAATTACTCTGAGGACTTGTTAAGGATACCTATTATTTCCATAGAAGAAGGTAGTAATAGCTAATTCAATCATAGCTAATTACTAGCACTTAGAATATTAGAAAAGATTAAGAGAAAAAATAGCTAGACAGACTTAAAAATAATTTTCCTAGAAAATTTCTGCAGTCAGAAGCTTTCAGACATGTAGCAAAACTAATAGTTTGTAATAGGAATTTCCAAGGAGAAATCAAAAATGTACATATAATAATAACATGCTTAGAAAATTACTTTTTTATATAATAGTAAAGGTAAAATAATTTTGACCTGTGTGTATGTGTGTGTGTGTGTGTCTGTGTGTGTACCTGTGTGGTATGTTTGAAGACATAAAAAACTCTTAGATATAATAAAATACATCAAAAAAAGTTTTTAAAAAGACACTTAAAGTAAGAAAAGGAATCAAAACCATGCTTAACACGAACTCCTTTACATAGTAGTCACCCCATAAATTCAATGAATTGAAAAAATCAAGGAAGATTATTAGATAAATGAACCACACAGTTAGCTAATACATTTTTGGAAAGGAAGCACAAAGGTGCTCTAGGGTAGCACTGTCCATTTAACAGTCACCAGCCACATAATTCTATTTAAATTTGAAGTAACTAAACTTAAACAAAGTTAAGAATGTAATTACTCAATCACACTAGCCACATTTCAAGTGCTCATAGTTGCACATGGCTAGTGGCTACCATATTAGAAAGTGGAGGTATAGAAATTTTTCACCATCACAGAAAGTTCTATTTGACAGCACTATTAGTGAAAGGAAAGGAAGATCCAAAATACAGATAGACACGAGGGACTGTTTATCCAAATGCAGATAGAAGAAGTTGTTATTTATGGTTGGAAACTGCTATAGACAGAATGATCATGTCCTCCCCAAATTTACATGTTGAAATCCTACCCTGCATTGTGAAGGTAGTAGGAGATGAGGCCTCTGGTAGGCCTCATCGTGAGGGCAGTCATCATGAATGGGATTAATACCCATATAAAAGACACCTGAGAGAGAGCTCCCTCGCTTCTTCAGCCATGTAAGGATGTTGCAAGAAGACAACAATCTAGGAACCAGGAAGCCAGTCTTTATCAGACATTGAGTCAGCTGGCTCCTTGATTTTGGACTTTGCAGCCTCCAGAATTGTGAGCAATACATTTCTGTTGTCTATAATCCACCCAGTCTATGCTATTTTGTTATAGCAACTCAAAACAAGATAGTAACTTTAAGTTACAAGAAAGTTGATGAATAGTAGTCCAGCATGGTTTACATGTACCATATGTTCCTTACAGGCAAATATTCAAATATCAGAATGAGCCCAATAATTCTACTAAGATTCATCAAGTGAATACTTGTTAATCAATTTTACATGCTTTTAAATCTGAGGTTTGAGGGTTATAGATAACTTAATGGAGGATTACTGTCATTTCTCTTTCACTAGAAGTACACAATTTTAAAGGAAAGGGAAAAAATAGAAAGTAAACCACTATATAAGTAAAAGGATGCCAAGTTATAATTTTTATTTTATTTTATTTCATTATGTTTAGTGTTGTGTTGAAGATAATGGGCCATTCTAGGGGTTTTAATCCTGCTTTATCCCTCAGTATCTAATTAGACTTGGACAAGTTAAATTTCCTCATTAGTAAAATGCAGATATTCTGTATCTTACAGGATTTCTAAGGTGAAATAGACAACACACATACACCTTTTAATAGAGGTTGGCAGTCAGTTATCGAAAAAACATAAGTTGTTTTTCTTATTATGTGTATCATCTTAGTAATAGTGAAGTAATATCATTAAGGATAAAAGATAAAGAACAAAAATGAATTTCTTAGGAAAAATTTAAAGTGAGACTTATCTGCTGACACCAGCAAGAAATGTAACATTAATAATAAAAGAAGAAATAGAAGAGGCCAGGACGTCTATCAATATGAAAGAATAAGCTCCTAATAAATTGTCCTTGCATATGACAACTATTAAAAAATCTATAGAACAAGCATACAAAGGCCCTAGTAAACGAACTAAAGTAGGCAGATTTTAGAGGAAAATTAAAACTTGGAGGAAGTATCTTGCATGTTATAATTTCCCTGTTTTTGCTGCTGTGACCTGAGGGCAGCTGTGGTTACCACAACAGCACAAGTTGGCTAAGACTCCACAGAAAACCTGCCAGAACAACAAGCGAATGGAGCCTGGAACAACCAGAGCCACCAGACACAGGAAAAGGGAGAGGCAACAAAGAGAAACCACAAATTCTGTGAATGAGTGTAAACATCTTTGGCTGACCTCTGAACCAAGAATCCATGGCGAAGCATAAAAACAATCTGAGCTGACATTTGTGAAGCACTACCAACCTCAATGGTGATGGAGTTTGCTTTATTTTGAGTTTAAGCAACTTAGCCTCTGCTAAAATGAGAGCACTAACATTATTTGGAAGAATACAGGAGAATCCAAGCCTCCGCAACATAACACAATATCCAAAATACGATGCAGTATTATTCAATTTATGAATTTCCAGAAAAATGTGACTTATTTGCATGGGAAACAAACAAAATGATAACCAATAGATGGTAGCTACTAGACAGTCTGAGATGTTAGAATTAGCAGAGAAGGACTTAAAGCTGCTACTAGAACTATGATCAGTAATGTAATGAAAAACATGTTTGTAATAAAAAAAAGAAAATTTCAGCAGAGTAATATAAAGTATTTTTAGATTAAAAAGCTGAAGTTTATGAAGAAACACATTCACTATATGGGCTTTGAAACAGATTGGGAATGACAGAAGAAAGGAGTCAGTGAACTTGAACATAGATCAATAGAATTTACCCAATTTGAAAAACAAAGAGAAAAGGTAAGGAAAAGGGAACAGAGTTCAGGAACTTGTGTAACACGGTAAAAAGGTCTTACATAATATAATTGAATTCCCAAAAAGAAAACAAATGAGAAAAACTAGCAGAAAATGATTTTAAGAAATAATGACTAGAAACTTTTTAATTTTGTAGAAGACATACACTTATAAGTTCAAGAAAATTAGCAAAATCTAAACTATATAAACAAAAAGATAACCATGCCTAGCCACATTGTATTCAAACTGTTAAAAAACAAAAATAAAGACAAAATCTTGACAGCACCCAAAGAAAGAGTCATATGGCCAAGGACTCTCATCAAAAATCCTGAAAGCCAGAAAACCCTGGAAAAAATTCTAAAGTTTAGAATGAAGGAAAAAAACTATGAAACCAGAACTTTACATCTAGCAAAAACTCCCTCAAAGAGGAAGGTGAAATAAAGGACTTTTTAAAATAAAGAAATGTACTTTCCTTATTCTAAAATAAGGAAATGTACTCCCATTGGAATCATACTACAAGAAAAGTTTAAGAAAACTATATAAACTCAAGAAAAATGATACCAGGGAGAAAGAACTTCAGAAATAAAACAAGAGTAACAAATGTTTAATGTTTTAATGACTATAAAAATCCATTTCCTCTTAACTTCTATAAAATATATAATCTGAATAAAGCACAATTTATAATATTGTTTAGTGTAGTTTCTAATCTATGGATAAATTATTATATCTAACAACAATAACATAAGAGACAGTAGAAAAGGAATAAATGCAAGTTTATAATTTTAACAAGTGGTATAACAATGATATAAAGCTCACTATGAAGCAGTAAGAATGTGTATTGTAATCCCTACAGCACTCACAAAAAAAATTCAAAAGGCACATCTAAAAAGCCAATAGGTATATTACATTCAGTGCTTTACAAAATCAAATAATAAAAAATGTGGGAAAGGAAAAACAGAGGAACCAAAATTAGAGGAAACAAACAAAACAATTTAGATAGAGCTATATCTAACCATATTAATAATGACATTAAATGCCAATGGACTAAACATGTTGAAACACAAAGATGTAGATAGCAAGAAAACAAACAACTCTATTTAAAATTGGGCCAGAGATCAAAACAAACATCTGACCAAAGAACGTATACAGATTAGAAGAATGAAAAGATAGTTAACTCATGTCATTAGAGAGTTGCAAATTAAAACAGTAAGACATCACTAAACACTTTTCATAATAGCTAAAATCTAAAGTGCTGAAAACACCAAATACTAGAGAGGACACAGATCAACAGGAAGTTGCATTCATTGCTGGGAGGGAATGCAAAATGATACATCAAATTTGGAATACATTTTGACAATTTCTTACAAAACTAAGTATACCCTAACCAAATAATCCAGCAATTGGGCTCCTTAGTATTTACCTAAGTGAACAGAAAATGTAGGTCTCCACAAAAACATGCATGTATGTGCTTAAAACAACTTAATTTATAATTACAAACACTTGGAGGTAACCAAGATATACTTCAATAGATGAATGGATAAACCGTGCCACATCCATACAATGGAATATTTGGCAATGCAAAGAAATGCACTATCAATCCAAGAAAAGACATGCAAAACCTCAAATGCATATTGCTAAGTGAATCTGAAAAGGCTACATACTGCATGATTACAACTATATGTCATTGTAGAAATGCAAAATTATGGAGATAGTACAGAGGTCAGTGGTTGCCAGGTTGGGGAAAAGAAAGGACAGAAGGATGTATAGGTAGAGCAGATAATATTTTTAAGACCCTAAAACTATTCCTTATGATATTGTAATGGTGAATGCATGTCATATTACATTTATCAAAACCCACAGAATATACAATATAAAGAGTGAACCCTAATGTAAACTATGGGTTTTAGTTAAATAATTTATCAATATTGGTTCATCAGTTTCAACAAATGTATCACAATAATGGAAGATGTTAAAAATAGGAAAATGGGGTGTAGGGGGAGAGGAGTGTAGGGGGTGAGATATGGACATTCTCTATATTTTTTGTTCCATTCTCTCTGTAAACCTAAAATGGCTTAACAATAACAACAAAAAGTCTAGTTTATTTTTTTAAAAAGTAAGTGAGAAAAGCATGATCTGTAGAGTCACAAACCTTGGGCTCTAATCTTCACTTCAGAGGTTACAAAAATGCATGAGTAAAGGGAAGTTACTACGGATCTGATTCTTCTTACAGAAGTTTTGGTTATTGTATAATGGATGTGTGCAACTTACTTTTCTTATTTATCTTAACCCTTGGCAACAGTTGACTTGTAGACCACTGGCTCCCTAAAACATCCTCGTTTGGCTTATCTGACACCATGCACTTGGTTACCCTTTGACATTCTTATCCCAAACTGAACTCATCTTGCTACTGGTAGTCCTCCCTTTTCCCAAAAGAAAATACTAATAGATACTAAATCTTCAGCTTCTCTGTCTCACTTACCTTGCATTTAGTGAGTTCTCAAATCTTGTTGATTATGCCTCTAAAGACTGCTCTAATAGCTTCCACTTTTCTCCAGCACCAGTGCCACAGCCTAATCTAAAAACTTGTCACTTCTGGCTTGGAGTAAGGGCAACAGCTCCCCAGTCAGCCTATCTCAAGCTTTATAACATTTTTTTCACTAATTCTGTAATCTTATCAGATGCAGTTTTTTCCAACTAAAATTCTTATTGTTGTACGTGGCTACTTAAAATCCTACAGTGGTTTCGTTTCTTTTGGCATCAAATTCAAACTTCTTAACAAGGCTTACGACAACCTTTATTAAACGTTTCCCAAACTATTTCCTCAGTCTTTGCATTCTTCTCTCTAGCGATAATGCACATTCTCCACTCATAACCAGCATTTCCCACCTAGGACCATTTGCCAAGAACATTCTTTATGGGCTCAGCCCTATTCATGCCTCTCATCCCTGCTAAAAAGTCACTTATCTAGGAAGCCTTTTCTTCTGACTACTGGTAAATTAGGATAGATGATGCTACTTGATCCCATTGTATTCTGTGAACAATTAACCCCATCTAATTTTTAGCATTTTTAAAAGTTGGTCCTCCCTAAACTATAAGCTTGATGAAGGCAAGGGCCATGTCTACATTTTGCTCACCCTAGCTTATCCCCAGAACCTAGCATTCATTTGCATATCACAGGTGAATAAGAAAAACAATATTTACTTCATATTGATAGTGTGAACATTAAATGTGATAATATAAAGAGAATTAGGCATATAGAAAGCATTTAGCAAATATTTCAATTCAATGGATGAATACAGGAGATAAAGTACCTATTCTGAAATCTTCCTTGTTTTATTCATATTTTATGCCCTCACAAAACAGAACAAACATCAGTAATTTTGAGTGGGTCATTAAGTGAGGAAAAAGGAAAAGAGCTGTATAACATGGCATAAATATCATATGAGAAATAGAAAAGAAAAATTTTCCTAATACAGATAATTAAACTAACAAAGAAACAAGATTTCACTTCATTTTTTTTTTTCTAAAAGCAGAAGATTGATTGATTTTTTAAAACTTTTCTTGGGGACAAATTCATCCTTAAGTAAAGTGCTCCATATTTCGAATCATAGAGTAAAATGTTTATTGTGATAACCTTAGAATAAAAATGCTGTAATAATAAAGGTAGGTAACTTGGGACACTACCACATCATCTGAGTGTCTGTTGCTACTGTGAAACAGAACATTTTACCCAAAGTCAGTTTGCCTAAAAATTAAATTAGTGAAGAATGAATGTCTCCATAAAATTCAACTTAATAAACTGTACTATCTAAAAGGTATTTGTTGTTCTAAGGACTTACAATAAATCACTTTACCTATGGCAGGAATTATTTTACTGAAATCCAAATAACCCATTAAAGAACTCAGACATTTTAGATGAAATTTTATAAATGAATTATTTACCTCTCCATAAATTTATAATTTTTATTAGACTCTCAAACAGAGTCTGTCATCTACACGTGATAAAACATTGGTTTGATCAAAGGCATCACTTTCCTTTCGATTTTTAATTTATAAAATACATCTGCAGCACTTGAAAATTGATCTATTTACCCTGCATACTTTGAGTATATCTTGCTAACTTATTCATTGGACACTTTATTTTTTAAGATTACTAGTATATAAAGTGAAACTGAATTGTAAAACTTAAAATAATACATGTAGATAGATTTGCCCAAAATTTATAAGCGATTGAGCAAACTAATCACAAACACTTATAAAATAAATAAAGAGTAAAAGAAGTCTTATGGCAATCTGGAGAACAAACCTGTCTTGAAAACATTCGAATGTATTGTTGTATAAACAATTCTTGCCAAATGTGATCCTTGCCCAGAGAACAATTTCTTCACAGATGGCCCTAGGAAGGCCTCACAGTAGATTGGACTCAAAAGCACCTTGAGGTCAGGGTCTATTTTGTTCATAATTAGAACATCCAGGTCTAATATGTAGACTGTTAAAAAGTATAAGGTTAGATTACATACACATATATCTGATAATATCAAAAACTGGAGGTAATTCTGATACAGAAGATTCATAGTATTTATCATCTATAACTAATTGACCTAACTTCATGACTGAATTAAGAAAATGATACATTTCATTGTGATTAATTGTAATTGATGTCTTTAGAGAAGTATGCTTCAAATTTGATATATACTTATTTTAAATACAAAAATAATTCAAAAGTGCTCTTAAATAAAAATACCTTAAAAGAAAATAGCCAAAATCACTAAAAAATTCTCCACCATTAAAATATGTGGCTGCATTTTACGATAGAATAGCTGGCTATCAGAAAGTAGAAAATCAGGCCAACTAGTTGTAGTCTAGTTAAACTATATTACTCACCCAAACCTATAGGCTCAACAGTGGCCTAGTCTTCATGAACAATCTACATCAAAGTCAAAAAAAAAAAAAAAATTAAAAGAAGACTTGGTCTAGCATTCTGGGCCTCAGCATTCAAACTTGTATGGCTGTAAATATAATTTTGTCCTCCTGCCAAGTTTCAGCAGAAGGGATTTAACAGTATATCTGGGACTGAAACATTACCTTGGGTTCTAGTTTTAGGAAAAAAAGTCCTTGCTTTTTCAATAATCTCTCAGGGACTGTAATTCTGCTTTTGATTCCCACTCTCGTGGCTGAAAATTTACCACTCCTTACAGATACTTAATGATAAAAACCTGCTTGCCTGTCGGAATCTGCATATATATTATCAAAATCTTACCAGAAATTTTGGGACTGAGCAGCAAGTCAACATAATTGCCAATTCAAAAGCCTACTTTTTGTCTTTCCTTATAGAGCAGCTAAACTCATTTTGTACTCTTTCTGAAAGCTGAAACACTGTATCGTTTACTAGTCCTTGGTCTGAGTTGGAGTAATTCATCCAGAACGGTACACTCCATAAATTGTATATTTTACTTACTTAAATCCTCTCCCAGGTTTTGAAGGAAACTTCCCTCAACACCAGATCCAATTCCAGATCTTAATCCTCTTGAATTTTCCCTGATCTAGTTACTCAATTTAACATAGTCACGACCACACTATCCAAAAACCTCTTGAAACTCACTGGTATACAAATGTCAAATGAATAGTAAAGTGATTCGTAAAGAGGTCAGGTTATCTTGACGGCGTGTAACTGAAGTCCAGGGATGTACATCTGTCAAAAATTTACCAAAAATTATTTCTGAGTGTACTAAAAACTCAGTTATATTAGGGATTTCAAGGTATCTTTTCAAGTTTAAAATTCTGTGATTTTTGAGAATGGTAAGAAAAATATTTTTGAAAACAAGTCACTAACCACTGGGTTGACTAAAGAGCTAAATAAAATTGCAAAATCTCCCAAAAGAATCTAAGGTACATTTCATTAGGGAATGACATAGTACAGATTATTATGTGCTTGTTTCAGTGCCTGAAGTGGATCTTCTTAAAACAAAACATACTTGAAAAAAACAGTGAAAAAGCTTCCACAGCAAACATTTTATTTCAGCTCTTTTCTCATGCTGTCTGAAGGGTACATGAAGGGAAATCACTGAGTGCTCAGTGATTGTTTGCTTTCTTTTCTAAGATACCATATGTTCAAAAATGCATGTAATAATCAAGAATAAATATGTCTTTGACATTTAAGAGGAAAGTCAGCAGCATGAGCCGGGAATAAAAACAATTTTTTTTTTTCTGAGAGTTACAACTTTAAAGCCTTGGGAGTCAAATACCTAAGATGCCTCAAAGTTTCTCCCCTCAGTGTGAATAAACATTAGACAGGTTTCCTCCTGACTGTAGGCCTCTGACCTCTCTTTACTTAGAACGTTTATTTTAGAAAATTTTCCATTATAAATTCTTTCTCTGCTCCTTTGGGATGTGAATCTTCTCTGTGCCACTTGCCAATGTTTCTCGAGGGCCTGGAGCCTCCCTCTGCCCTGATAATCTTAACTGTTATTTCACTAAGCAAATGGAAACAAGAAAAATCAACTTCCACAAGCTCTTTTCACTACATGGGGCCACAAACATACCTTCTATATATACTGTTTTCCCTTTTGTTAAAATGGACGAAAGTTTTACACCCTTATCCAAGAAAAACCTTCCACTCCTGCATAAGATCACATCCTATTATTTTCTTTCATGATCAATTTTGCCATCTTTGGTAGATATTTATCATATTTACTGGCCAAAATCTTTCCCACTAAAAAAAATAAGAAAAGGAAAAGAAGGAAACAAAGCTTGCATTGATCAAACATTACCCATCAGTTACTGCCTGATTTCATTGCACTCATGTACAGAAAACACTTTCAAAGTCCATAATTATTGTCTCCAATTCCTCTTTGCTATTAAATTTTAAACCTTTCTAATATAAAGATTTAAAGATATAAATTTCTCTTCAGATGCTGGTAAAGCTGCATTCCATACAATTTAATGCGTTGCATTTTCATCATAATTTTTCTTATTTTATCTTTTACCCATGGGTTACTTATGGATGTTTTGTTTTATTTCCAAATATTTGGGTATTTTTCAGCTGTGGTTTTATTATTGATGCCTCATTTAATTCAATTATAATCAGATAACATATTCTGTAGGTTTTAAATTCTCTGCTATATCTTTTCTGGTCCAGAATATGATGTATCTCTGTGAATGTTTCATGTGTACTTGAAAACTGGAATTCCATTTTTTAGTGTAATATTCCATATGTCAATTAGATCAAGCTGGTGATAGTGTGTTCAAGTTTGTTATTAATCTACTGATCCCCTGCATTTTTATACAGATTGCTAAGACAGAAGTGTTGAAAATTATAAGACTAACTGTAGCTTTTTACTCCTCCTTTCAGTTATGCCATTTTATACTTCATGTATATTGAGGGTTTTTTTTTATATGAAGCACACACACACATTTAGGAGTTTTTTTTTTTTTAATGCATTGATCCTTTACTCAATACAAAATATTCCTCTTCATCTTTGGTATGAGTTCTTGTCCATGATTCTTTGCTTCATATAGCCACTTCCACTTATATATGATTAGTATTTGTGCAGTGTATCATTTTCATCTTCTTATTTTTCTATTTATCCCATCTATTCTTTGTTCCCTTTTATTGCCGCCTTTTGCATTAAATATATTTATTGTTCCATTTAATCATACAGGTTTTCAAAATCTTTATTAACGGCCACCCTAAGGTTTACAACATACACCAGCATTTATTACACCCATCTTTCAAATAATACATAAAGAATCTCACTGCAGTATATTTTGTTTTTTTCAGTCATTATGCTAGAATGTCACTCATTTTACTTGTTATAAATCCCACAATAATTGTCATTATTTTTGTTTTAAACAGTAAATAATATTTTTAAAATTTCAAATTATATATATTTACCAACATATTTATCATTTCTGGCTTTCTGAATTTTTTCATGTGAATCCAGAGTGTCACAACACATCATTTCTATTTGCTAAAGAACTTTCTTCAACTTTTTTATAATGTAGGTCTATTGGCAGTATAAACCAAATTTCCTTATCTATTCATCTGTTAATGGACACTGTTTATTTTGATTTCTTGCCTATTGTGAATAATACTGCAATGAACATAGGAGTACAGACATCTCTTTCGCATGTTGATTTCAATGCCTTTGGATGTATAACAGGAAGTGGGATTTCTGAGTCATATGGCAATTCTATTTTAGGTTTTTGAAAAACCGCCATATTGTTTTTCATAGCTGCTTCACTATTTTATATATCCACAACCAGTGCACAAGGTTTTGAATTTCTCCACATCACCATCAACTCTTTTTATCTTGATTTTGATAATAACAATCCTAAGAGATATAAGGTGATATCTCTGCTGTTTTCGATTTGCATTTCCCTGATAATTAATGATGCTGATCATCTGTTCAAACGTGATACTTGTTGGCCACTTGTATGTCTTCTTTGGAGATATTTCCATTCAAGTCATTTGCCCATTTTTTAATCAGCTTATTTCCTTTCGTGTGTGTGTGTGTTTGGTTTTGTTTTTTGCTATTAAGCTATAGAAATTCCTTATATAGTTTTGAAATTAATCCCTTATTAGACATATGGTTTGCAAATATTTTCTCCCATTCTTCAGGTTGTCTTTTCACTTTGATTTTGTCCTTTGCTATGCATAAGTTTATTGCTTTTTTTTTTTAGTTTGATATAATACCACTTGTTTGTTTTAATAATGAGAACACATGGACACAGGAAGGGGAACATCACACACTGGGGCCTGTTGTGGGGTGAGGGCAGGTGGGAGGGATAGCATTAGGAGATATACCTAATGTTAAATGACAAGTTAATAGGCACAGCACACAAACATAGCACACATACACATATGTAACTAACCTGCACGTTGTGCACATGTACCCTAAAACTTAAAGTATAATAAAAATAAATAAATAAATAAAATTATACAGATCTCTAGCTCACCCTGCAGCACAAACGAAAAATATCATTTTTATTACCATTAGTAGTAGTCGCTAACTTTCACTGGGTGCTTACTACGCAATAAAATCTGTGCTCAGTGCTTAAAAAAAAAAAAAAACTTGTCTATTTCTTATTTTGTTGCTTGTACCTTGGTGTTATAACCAAGAAATCAATGCCAAGACCAAAGTCAAGCTTTTCCTCTGTTTCAATTTTACCATTTCAGATCTAAGTTAAAGTCTTTAAGCTGATTTTTGTGTAGGATGTAAGATCCCAATGTCTTCTCTTTCTTTTCTTTCTTTTCCTTCCTTTCCTTCTTTCTTTCTTTTCTCCTTCTCTCCTTTCCTCCCTCTCTTCCTTCCTTTCCCTTACTCCCCTCCTTCTTTCCTTCCTTCCTCATTGCTCCCTCCCTCCCTCCCTTCCCACCTTCCTCCCTCCCTCCCTCCTCTATTCCCTCCTTCCTTCCTTCCTTCCTTCCTTCCTTCCTTCCTTCCTTCCTTCCTTCCTTCCTTCCTTCCTCCCTTCTTTCCTACCTCCCTTCCTTCCTTCTTTTTTTCCTTCTGTTGAAGAGACTATCCTTTCCACATTGTGTTTTCTTGACAACCTCGTCAAAGATCAGTTGACTATATGTGCATAGGTTTATTTTTAGGCTCTTTATTAGTCTATATGCGTGTATTTATGCTGGTACCATGTGGTTTTAATAACTATAGCTTTGAAATATATTTTTAAATCACAAAGTTTGATACCTCCTGCTTTCTTCTTTGTTCTTAGGATTGCTTTGGCTATTCTGGATCTTTTGTGGTGCTATAATAATTTCAGGATTGTTTTTAACTATTCCAGTTAAAAAAAAAAAAAAAAAAAAAAACGGCCAGTGAGATTCTGATGGAAATAGTGAACACAGGATGTCTTTCCATTTTCCATTTATTTATGTCTCCTTCAATTTCTTGTAACAATGTTTTGTAGTTTTCAGTGTACCAGTCTTTCACCTCCTTGATTAAGTTTAATTCTAAGTATTTTATTCTTTTTGAGGGCTATGGTAAAAGAGTTATTTTCTGAATTTCCTTTTCAAATGGTTCATTGTTAGTGCATAGGAATGCAAATACTTTTACTAAATTGATTTATTAGTTCTAACACTTTTTTCTGGAATCTTTATAGTTTTCTACATAAAATAGTTCTCCCTTATCCACAGGGGTGGGGGATATATTCCAAGACCTTCAGTGGATGCCTGAAATTGTGGATATTACCAATCCCTGTATATGCTATGTTTTTAACTATAGATATGCTCCTATGGAAAATTTTGTTACATGATTTTTCTGAGTATATTGAGATGGGAATATATTTTTAAGTTCTTTATTCTGCTAATGTGTTTATCACAGTTATTTATTTTAGCATGTTGAACCATTTTTGCATTCCAAGGATAAATTATACTTGATAATGATGTACGAGCTCTCTAATATGCTGTTGTGCTGATGTGTTCTATAAATAATGAGCTTAATGATTATCTTAGGTTAATCTTAAACAATTTTTAATTAGTGATTCAATTTACAATGCCTGCCTTTCCTAACATTTCATATGATCTCTCCCCAGTGTTCTCTTTTTAATAATTTTCACTAACATTGTACACATTTATTTAATGTCAATTCTTACTAGTACGTAAGATGGCACTTAGGACTTAGTGTCACTTCTACTAGTAGATAAGCTCCATGAGAATGGAAATGTTTTACTGTTTTGTTAATAACTGTGTGTTCAGCTGGTATGTCCATGTTTGGGGTACAGAATACTCAATAAATATTTTTTGAATGAATACAGGAAAAGAAAGAATCATTTTTAAAAATGGAAATAATGTTATACTAGGGTACTTTTCCTTCCTTGTATAAAATACTATGTGCAATTCGGAGTGGGTTGCAACAGATTACATCAGTTAGCCTCCTAGAAATTTGAAGCTAGATAGACTAAGGCCTGTAAACATATGACAAGACAATAGAATAGTGAGTGGTAAATAGAAGCTCTACAAATAACAGTTAGCAGCCCCCTACCCCCCAGCACACACAAATGTACAGTATGGTAATCAACACATAAAATATATAGCTGATTTTGGAAATTTTGAGTAAAGCAACACGAAAAAGGAAAAAGAAAATGTAATCAAATTGATCACTGGGTCTTCAATAAACAATATGTTCATAGTCATGCAATTCTAAAAGTTTATTGGGTTCGACACTTAATCAATAAATAATGGCAGACATCCTCATTTTGTTTAGAGAACAAAAGGTAAATAGTATCAGTCTTCAAATGCACAAATGTAACTTCAAAAATGAAAATTGGGAAATGTAAAATTGAGATTGAAAGCCAAAGGAAAAAAGAGGTCAGAAAATGTCATTTTCTTACAGTGCCAGGATATAAAATAGATTAATAATTTAATGGATACAAAGTTAATATATTCTTTTAAGGGATAAACTAGGATGGAAAGGAGTAGAACAGAAAGCTGATACCAGAAACCATGTATACATGTCATTATTATTATAATATTTAAACAGTAGTACCACTTTTATTTTCAAATGTGTATGCCATTTGAATAGTAAGCTAAGCTGTTATCAACATGGGGACAAGTTTGTTGTAAAGGCAGAGGTTTGGGATTTGGACTAAACTGGGTAAAATTTAGACTCTGTCACTCTCGGAAATCTGTTGAACATCTCTGAGACTTGGTTTTCTCATCTATGAACAAATTGTGGTTAATGACATAAAATGCACAAAATGCTTGATCACATGAAAGTGACTTATTAAATGTCAAATGTTTGGATCCTTTTTTTCCATTTTTTATTAATTGGACTTGAAGAAAAATGAGCTAAAATATGTATACCAATAGTAGAAATGTTGACTAAAACTACAATCCTAAAAAATTGCAAGATTTTTGCAGATAACTAGCATTATGATATTACAAATCTTCAAATGTTACCATCGTATAAAAAAAATTCTGGGCATCTTCTTTAAAAAGCGTATGTCATGTGCTTTATTGTTTTAAAATAACATTAATCTAGAATAGTCAGAAAGCATTTTGATCACAATGAAATTACACTTAATAATTTTCCTAAATAATTTTGGCCATTCACAGAAAAAAGTGCTATGGCACTTTCAAATTCATGATTACCTACTGTTTTTCTAATAAAGAATACAAAATTTTATATAGACACACATTTATTTTTTGTAAAATATTGCTAATTCCACAGGAGAGTATTTGTAATGCTTATTAATTTTGCATTTTAATGTTATTCAGAAATGCCCCCCTCCAATCAGAAAAATATACACAGACCAATTCTAGGATTGTCAGTGTTTGCCTAGTTATTACATTGTCATTAAGACAACAAAATAACTTATTCAGTTAATTTTATAAATTCAGCAATAATAATTCAATATGTACTTTTAACAAATAGTGTGCAATCAATGTTTTTCAAAAGCTGTACCATACCAAGGAACATCATATATATAAAAAAAAGTTTCATAATGCATCAGATTGATTTAGAACAATATTGAGGAAAATCACTTCAAAGTTATGCCTAATATTAACAATTCAATTATACAGATTTTAAAAATATATTTTCACACGTAACAGATTATTCTAATTCAAAATACTATAAAAAACTACATTATACTCTGTACATTACAATTCTAAGACTTGCAGTATTTTTTAATAGTCAGAAAATACTGCAAGATTAATCAATTAAAAGTAATTTTTGGAAATGCTCTATCCAGAAATAACCATTTTAAAATTTATTCTAAATATGTCTTCCTTAAGAAATCATAAGCATTTCACTAATTAATTTCACATTGTTATTCTTGGAATTGAGGCTATGGGAAGAAAAAGAATTTTGTTTAATCTTATCAACCTAACAAATATTTCTCCAAGATTCCATGTAATTGACCTGATATTTTGTATTACTTTTTCAAACGAAGTAAAAGTTTTTGTTGTTGTTGTTGTTTGTTGTTGTTCTACTTAACTGTCTTGATAAAATGTAAAATATGCCTGCTTATTCTCACTACTTACCAGTGGTTTAAATACAATTTTGAACCATGTTGAAGAGTATGTAGCCTAGGAATTAGCTTTGATTGTTATACCTTGTAAGATGGAAAGAGAATTTCCCCCATGTAATTCTCCATGATTTTTCCATATGGTTCAACTATTTAGTGTGAGTGAGTTTAAGAAAAGGGACATCTGACAGTCTTTAGACAAGTTGGAGTATTTTACATCATGTAAGAACATACCATGATTCCAGGTCTTCTGGCCCTCCCAAGACACTGGCTGTGTACTGGAAGCACATAAAATGACAGTGACACTGGCTTGATCATATTAAGGGCAAATGTCAAAACAGTTCATTTTCTTCCAAATTAATATCCAAGAAAAGTTTACTGCATGTGAAATGATTAAATTGTAGCAGGACTGTTTAATCACAAAGGAGGAATTGCTTATTCTCTTCAAGAACAACTTACTTGGGGAGAGGCAACTAAAAGAAATGATCTGGACCAAGCTCTCATGTATTCACCATACAGTCCCTACAAAATGATACAAACAAAACAAGCAGACCTCGACATTTTGAAAACTGGAGAAAACATGCATTTATTAACTTTTGGGGAATCAAAGAGCAAAGATTTCTACTATCCTGATTGAGTTTACATCAAATGCTGGAGGAGGAGGAGTGTCCTTTGAGAGAACTGTTTAATCAACCTCTGTGTAAGACATAATGTAGTGTTTGCATCAGCAACTATGCCAGATCCTTCCTAAGAAACAATATATTACATGGGAGAATGTTAATTACCAAGCAACGTGGTGTCCTGTATGCTAACATTGTTAGCTATTTAGCATAATGCATAATTTGTCTACATCTTTATTTGAATCATTGTACTCACCTATATATAAATATATATATATATAAATAAATGGTTTAAAAAAGAGGTGAATGATACAGCCTATTGTTATGTCCGGATAAGAGCATATTAGGAATAGTCTGCTTTCTATTTTATAACCAAGTCCCTCAAAGTTTCTGTCTCTCCAAGGGCTGTAGACACTTCCATGAGTCCCTGTACATCCAAACATAAAACAATTAAAAGAGATTCCAGTCTTTGCCAAAGGAGCAGAGATACTGTACCACTCATGAACATGAGTTTTTCTTCCTTACCCTTTCTATCAAGACCTAAAACTCCACCCAGTTACCAGGACTCAATGACACTCTTGTTGTCCCTTTCTTCAAGATGTCCCAATTCTGACACTGACTTCCCTGCTAGGTTTTTAAGAATTTACTTGCTTTCCTTATATAATAGTGCCCCCATCCACAGTTTTGCCTTCCCACAGTTTCAGTTACCCAAGATTAACTTTGACCCAATAATATTAAAAGGAAAATTCTAGAAAAAAACAATTTATAAGTTTTAAGTTATATGCCATTCTAAGTAGCATAAAATCTCACTCCATCCCACCCTGTCCCACCCAGGACATGAATTATCCTTTTGTCCAGTATATTCACACTATATATGCTTCCCATCCATTAGTCACTTAGTAGCTGTCTCAGTTATCACATTGGCTCTTGAAGTATTGCAGTGCTTGTGTTCAAGTGGCCCTTATTTTACTTAGTGGCCCAAAGTGCAAGAGTAGCAATGCTGCCAATTTGGATATGCCAAAAAGAAGGCATCAAGTGCCTCCTTGAAGTGAAAAGATGAAAGTTCTCAAGTTAATAAGGAAAGAAAAATATCTTAGCTGAGGTTGCCAAGATCTATAGTAAGACCGAATACTCTATCCATGAAATTGTGAAGAAGAAAAAAGAAATTAGTGCATAGTATATATAGGGTTTGGTACTATCGGCAATTATAGGCATCAGCTGGGGATGTTGGAAAGTATTCCCCGTGGATAAGGGGGATACTACTGTACCTATTGACCCCTTGCTACTCTACCAAACTTTTCACGGCTATATATGCTACTTGTTTCACTAAACAGTTTTTCCAACTGTTTTTCCAACAGCTGTTGAGTTCTACCTGTTTTATGAAGCTTCACTTGGCATGCCTTATTTCTTCTCCTGATTCATAAGTAAAAGTAAGACAGAATAATTTAATCAGAAGTTTAGATGAAAGTTGAATTAAAAAATATATAAGTATCCATCCCCTCAATCATTTATCCTTTGTGTTACACATAATCCAATTATACTCTTAGTTATTTTTAAATGTACAATTGAGTTATTATTGACTATAGTCACTCTGTTGTGCTATGAAATAGTAGGTCTTATTCATTCTATTTTATTTTGTACCCATTAACCATCCCAATCTCCCCGTCACCACTCCCCCACTACCCTTCCCAGCCTCTGGTTACCATCCTTCTACTCTCTATGTCCATTAGTTCAATTGCTTTGATTTTTAGACCCCATGCAATGTTTGCCTTCCTGTGTCTGACTTATTTCACTTAACGTAAGTAAATGCATCTATTACATACCCACAGAAATTTTTTTTAAAACAATATGATCTATAGCAGAGGTCAGCAAACTATGAGGGCCTGGAGACCAAATCCAGCCTGCCACTTTTTCTTGTAAATAAATTTTTATTGAAAGACAAAAAGTACATATATAAAAAACACAGGCAGTTCAACTGCAAATTTACCCATGTTTATACTGACATCTCAAGGGTTATGTGAAGCTGACATGACAAGAAACCTGCTTACCTCCTCACAACTAATGGCACATTTTTCAAATCAATGATTTTTTCCTAGACCAAGACATATTCTAACTCACACTTAATTAAAAATGCTATCAAACCTATACATGTACATAGTCCAAAAAGACAAGTTCCATAACATATAAGTGCAGCCTTCTCTCTCCTTCCTACTCTCACACATATTTCCACTCCGCAGAGGCAGTCCCTTTACAGCCCTAAAACTGGGTATTCTCTTAACCTCCTTCCATATTTCTAACTATGATTTTATTACTATTTCCTGCTTTTCAATTTAAATTATAATCTACTAGCTTTCTATTATGGAACAAAAGAGTATAACTTTCTTCTCATCCCTCATTCTGAATTTCCCTTTTCCCATCCTTTGAATATACAAGTCATGATTCACTTAGCGATGGGGATATATTCTGAGAAATCCATCATTAGACGATTTTGTCATTGGGCATAGACTGTACTTACACAAACCTAAATGGTACAGCCTAGTATGTACTAGGCTATAGGGTATAACCTATTGATCTTAGTCGACATCATCACAAACACATAAGCTCTGCACTGCTAAGTTACAACAGCTATGATGTCACTAGGCAATAGGAATTTTTCAGCTCCATTATAATCCTATGGGACGACCATTGTATATTCAGTGTGTCACTGAAATGTTATGTGGTGCATGACTGTAGTTCGATAATTTTTGTTAAATCAATCTTCAGTGTTCACATTATTATGGCTGTTTTTCATAGAACAGCATGTTGAGTGCTATAATTATATTTCCAATCTTGAATGATCTGTTTTCCGTTCTAATTGTCTCTTTTGACATTTGTTAGTTTTCTAACCACTCATTGCTAATTCAGAATCTGTCTGCTTGGGCTACCATAAAAAAATACCCCAGATTTGGCTGGGCACGGTGGCTCACACCTGTAATCCCAGCGCTTTGGGAGGCCAAGGCGGGCAGATCACCTGTGGTCGGAAGTTCAAGACCAGCCTGACCAACATGGAGAAACTCCATCTCTACTAAAAACACAAAAAATAAAAATAAATAGACAACAAACAAATAAATAAACAAATAAATAATTAGCCAGGCATGGTACCCAGAAGGCGGAGGTTGCAGTGAGCTGAGATTGTGTCATTCAACTCCAGCCGGGGCAAGAAAAGCAAAACTCAAGTCTCAAGAACAACAACAACAACAACAAAAACAACTCAGGTT
Organism: Homo sapiens; assembly: GCF_000001405.40. Taxonomy (NCBI): domain Eukaryota; kingdom Metazoa; phylum Chordata; class Mammalia; order Primates; family Hominidae; genus Homo; species Homo sapiens. The sequence goes on from NW_025791754.1 coordinate 268,181, forward strand.
TGATGACTTAAACAGAAGACATTTATTTTCTCACAGTTCTGGCAACTGGAATTTCTAGGACAAGGTCCCAGCAGAGTTGGTTTCCTCTGAGGCCTGTGACATTGGCCTCTTTACCTGGTTACTTTATATGCACACCCACCCCTGGTATCTCTGTATATCCTATCATCTTATTCTCCTCTTACAAGGACATCAGCCATATTAGATTAGAGCCCACCCTAATGGCTTCATTTTAACTTAATTACCTATTTAAAAGCCCTATATCCAAATACAGTAAAATTGTGAAGAACTAGGAGTTAGGGCTCCAACAAGTGAAAATAAAAGGGGAGACAAAATGCAATCCAAAACCCCTGCCCAGAAGTGGAAAGCTCTTCTCAATACACTCAACCACATCAGGTAACGCCAGCTTGGTCTCCTCCCCAGAGGTGGCCTTCCTGAAGTTCTCCACTCCTCACAATGGTCTGACTGCTGGCACTGAGAGCCTGCTGTTTAGGGTCCATTCCATTCTCTCCTCTGTGCTGGATCCCCTGAGGCTACTTCTCCTTCACTCACTCCTTGTTTTTGGTAAACACATCTTCCAGCAGCTTCCAGAGAGTTGTGCATTCTTTAAAATCTTTAGTTTATATAAATAACTTCTTTCTACTTTCTTTTTTTTAATTTTTAATTTTTTTTATTTATTTTATTATTATTATACTTTAAGTTTTAGGGTACATGTGCACAATGTGCAGGTTAGTTACATATGTATACATGTGCCATGCTGGTGTGCTGCACCCATTAACTCATCATTTAGCATTAGGTATATCTCCTAATGCTATCCCTCCCCCCTCCCCCCTCCCCCCACCCCACAACAGTCCCCAGAATGTGATGTTCCCCTTCCTGTGTCCATGTGTTCTCATTGCTCAATTCTCACCTATGAGTAAGAACATGCGGTGTTTGGTTTTTTGTCCTTGCGATAGTTTGCTGAGAATGATGGTTTCCAGCTGCATCCATGTCCCTACAAAGGACATGAACTCATCATTCTTTATGGTTGCATAGTATTCCATGGTGTATATGTGCCACATTTTCTTAATCCAGTCTATCATTGTTGGACATTTGGGTTGGTTCCAAGGACATTTGGGTTGGTTCTACTTTCTTACTAGACCAAACTTTTGCCAGGATACAAAATTCTAAGTGAAAAAATATTTCCCTTCAGAATTTTGAAAGCATTGTCCCACTGTCTTCTGCCATTACTGATGAGACATCTGAAGACATTCCAATTTTCCACCCTTAGTTTTGAATATTTTCTTCTTTTTCTCCTATTGTTCCTCTTCCTCATATGCCTTTTCCTTTTTCCTTTGGCTTCTTCTTTTGTTTCCTTCTCCCTGACCAGCACAGATCTTTTCTAGTCCTTATTGTATAATGAGTGGGCCCTCTCAATTTGACAATTTTTGTGTGGAAAATTTGGGCGTATTATGTCTTTCATAATATTCTACCCTAGTGTTTTATAAAATCCCTTTCTTAAATTCCTACTATATTGATATTGCTTCTCTCTAACTACCATAATTTTCTCAACTTTTTAATTCTTCTTTTACACTATTTGGTTTTATTGTTCATTTTATTATTCTTCATTCTTCAATGTTCTTAGGTTTACCTTCTAGGCTTTTTATTAAATTATTCATTTGTTATGCTAGATTTAATTTCCAGGAGCTCTTTCAGGTTCACTGAGTGTCTTGTTTTGTTTTGTGATCTAGTCTACTATTCTTATTTTATGTATGTACCATATTCTCATGTTACTAGGAATATTTATTAAATATATACTTTAAGATTGATTTCTATTTCCAGAACTATATGGTATTGTTTGATTCCTCTGAGTTTCTCTTTTTGTGTATGGTTTTTGTTTGTTTGTTTGCTTATTCCTTCTTGTTCTTGTTAGAAATGTCCTCAAATCCCTATGTCTGCTGTCTGGTGTCTGAATACAAGCAGGAGTTAAGCACTCAAAAGAGGTTAGGAGTTGAGTGGAGGCAGAGAGCTTTTCTCACATAGATTTCATTTTAGAGTGATCAATGTTTAATATTGCACTGGGGAACACCAGGTTTCATATCTCTGCACACACAGACACACAGACACACACAGGCACACACACTTTTGATTGAATGATATAATGCATTTTATCTTGTGTTGAACCATTTCCCATGAGGAAACTCCTCCAATCTTGTGTCAATGTCAATAGAGATATGGACCAGGCTGTAATGCTTCTCAGAGTCATTTGGGAAAATCATATCACGTTCAGTGATATGATTACTCTTAATTCCCTTAATTTTAGCATGGTGCCTAGACTCTTAACTGTAGCTGGTGTTTCTGAGTAGAGTATCCCTGGATCAAATTCTCCAAATAGCAAACTCTTTTACCAGGATTAGGAAAGTAACCAGCAATGGATATGTACAGGGGTTCAAAGAACCTACTTTTCTTATAGACTTCTAACCAGTATTCATGTATTTAGTCATACATATAACCCTACATTCAGAGACATCTGGTACCTCTATTTTCTGAGACTGTTGAGGTTCGGTTGCAAAACGCAGCTTGCTTCTAATTTGTTTCCTGTCTCAACTTAAATTTTAACTTCCTTCACTGTTGACACTCATCTATCTGCTTTGTAGCTTGCAAAATTATTATTAATATAAAATTAGTATTGTCTCATCTACCAAATCTGTTGTCCCTATAGGTATAAATCTTCTTACTCATTTCTTCCAATTTAGTAGTGTCAGGAAAAAAAAGAGAATGCATTTGATTAACTAAAACCTTCCAAATTCACATTACAAAGGGTACTCTAGAAGGTATTATGTATTTATTTCCTAATGCTTACACCTCTTTTGCTACACAAAGATAGTACACATACTGAAAAACTGAAAGTAATTTAAAGCCAAATTACCACTCGAGGGGGCACAACACTCACAATTACATAAGTCAACCAAATATAGAAACACTTGATTATCTTCAGTTCAAATTCATTTCTTCAATAAACATGTTTGGAGTACCTACTATGTTGAACCAATTAAGAAACGATTAAAGTAGTGCTTAAATGAACTGATGAATCAGTCTGATCTGAATTAAGGTAGTAATTGTGAAGAAAGTGGGGAGCAGATACTTTTTCTCATATATATATTTCAAAAAATATTTTAAAAGTTTTCCAATCATTTTTTGGTCTACACTCTTCTGTTAGTTTCCTAGGGCTGCCAAACAAAGTACCACAACCTGAATGGCTTAAACAACAGAATGTTATTGTCTCACAGTTCTACAGACTGGAATTCGGAAATCAAGTTGTTGGCAGGGTTGGATCTTCCTGAGAGCTGTGAGGGAAGGATCTGTTCCAGACCTCTCTCCTTGGCATGTATATTGCCGTCTTCATGTTTACATGGTGTTTTCCCTGTATACGTGTCTGCCTCCAAATTTTCTCTTTTTATAAGGACACTGGTCATATTGGATTAGCGCCTACCCTAATGGTCTCATTATAAATTTATTACTTCTTTCAACACCTTATCACCACATAAGTTCACATGCTGAGGTACTAAGGGTTGGGACTTCAACGCAGGAATTTTGTAGGCCCACAATTCAGCTAATAGCAGCCCACTCCAAATGAAAGATGAGAAAATCAGTTTAAACATTTTAGAAATGGATAAGTAGTTTAGGTAAATTAGAGTGAGGACAACACAGAGCCTGCCCATTCAGGACTTACAGTCCTAGATTAATGTAAAAGAGTATGCCTATTAAGTGCTCCAGAAGAGAATAAAACGTATACCTGAAAGATCTATGCACAGTTTGCCTTTTCCCATTCTCTATAGAAACCACCAATTGTTCTCATTTGTCCACACATTGCAGATAATGGCTAGAGATGGAGTCATTGGCTTAGAAACACAGGAGGTAGTAGAATTTACTGAACATAAAATAATGAAGCACTTAAAAAAATTATAAAATAAAAAATTTTAAATATAATTTATACCATTATTTGCTTTATACAATTTAATTTAAAGTTTGATAGAACTGTGGACCTAAAAAATGCATCATAAATATCATATAAGCCAAAGGTTACCAAACTGAAATGTGTTTCAGAATTACCTGTGGAGCTTTTAAAAATACAGAGATTGTTGATTACCACCCCAAATATCTTGAATAGAAGGTTCTCAAATGCATAGTTTTGAGAAACTCTCCAATTGGTTCTAATGCCTGATCCATCTGCTTTGTCTTAAGGTTGAAAAAATTGAGGCCACTTTAACAAAACTACATATCATAAGACATACTTAATAAAAAATGTTCCAGTTCTGTTTATATATGATTCATTTTGATCAACAGATTATGAGAATATTCATAGAAACTATTTGAAAAACACTTTTGTTAATACAATCAATGATACAACTGTTCTTATGGAAAAGATAGCTCAGTAATATTTGTTTCCTTTTAGTAAAACTTTAAGGTCACCAATACTTAATGCTGGCGAATTTTTAAAAACTCAAATTAAAAAAAATCTTCTAAAATGGAAAGCACAACTTACTAAAAAAGATTTTAGAAACTTACAGATGATGTCCTATCCACTTCACAACGGCTACTGAGAATAAAACAGGCCTCAGCGTCATCCATCCTAAATACAGATGGAAAAACAAAATAATCACACACTGAAATATCTACAGGTTTTCTGAAAAATAGAATTTCAGTCTTGAGTCCATATATTGCACAAAATGTACATGTAGACCATGTATATCCTTAAGCTTAAATGAAAGTTGAATTTCTAGCAGATCATGACTATATCTGATTTTGAACAAAAAAAAATTTGCTATTGGGTTGTCTATTATAACTTAATGTTTTATGACAAAAGTTAATAAAAGCCAAATGTTATTTCTTTGTATGATTAAATATATTTTATATGCATGCTTTGAGTAAATTAAGGGGCTATATTGGTCTTTATTTTATGATTAATAGTATTTTAACTGTAATGTCTGAATCAAACTAAGAGGGGTGGAATACAGCTCCTCTGTATTCATAAGTAAAACTCTAGTTTGTATTTATACTTCCTGGAGATCATTCATCATCTTTTTCCAAGCCCCTTCCCCTCATACTAGGGTTCAATATTTCTTAAGTTTAGTGATAAAGACACAGTATATTTTAGTGTTTGATACATGATGTTCTAAGAGCACAAGAATGTTTATTTTCAAAATGAGGAATCATTTATCTCTGTGGTTCTCTGTGATAAAGTAAATATTTTCCAAAAAAAAAAATGGTTTCTATGGGGAGGAAATATAAAAGTCCTTGAAATAAGACCAAACCAAACAGTTCTGGGAAAATGTTGCACCATGGTTATTAAGATAATATGAGTGTTGGATAACTTTCTTTAAACACCATTTTCAACTAAACAATTCAAAACTCATGTAACTAACCTATGAAACTTGTTTGGAGAATCCTACTCCATGCTCTATGCATGAGGAATTGCACTGAAAAATGTATTAGTTTATATTAAATCCCAAATATTTTATAGGAAGCTAAGATTGGAAATGAACATAAAAATGGATACTGCGTCACTCTAACTTGTTTTTTTAAATAGCTTTTAGAGTATGACCAGATAGCTACCTCTCTCTCTCCTTCATTCCCTTCCCTTTTCTTTTATCACATGGAGGAATTCTTCTTGTAAATATGGTCGCTTTTACCAAGACATCATTTTAAGACTATTGGTAATAAATTAGTTACATTAATCCTAAATAGTATATAGCTTAGATACTAATAGCTAATACCAATAACTCAGATAAATTTGTTAGATGGAAAGAAGCCTCCATGTATTACACAAATTCATATTGAACATAATATGAATGTTATTCATGTTTATTGTGTGAAGAACTTAACTATCATACAATAAATTAAGAATATTGATTATCTACACCAATGAATACAATGATCTAGATTACAGTAGTATCTAAGCATCTATTTCTCTAGCACACCCAAATAATGAGTATAGATAGCAAACAGTAAACACCTAAAGCCAGGGTTTACCTGAGGTGCTGGGAAAATCTGATGACTTAAAGAACTGTCACATGTACAATGACCACAAATATAAAGTATTTAATCCACCAAAAAGATGAAAATACTCACAAAGAAATGTAATTTTCCAATTAGATAACACTCATTATATCCTGCTAGTTTCTCGTGCTGTTTTTTTTTCAGAAGTTGAATCATTGAAAAAAAACTCCATTAAATCGACTTTATTATATATAAATCAAAGGTAACATCAGAGTTCCTGACTAGGTATCTAGTCATCATTTGAAGGATTATGCAGCACAAAGGAGTCCAGAAGTCTGTTCCACAAAACAGTTGACTTTTCTTCTGTTCTTTTCCAACACCCACTAGACAGACACACACACACACATACACACACACTTGCACACACAGTGAAGACAGGCACAAATACACACCCGCTCATGCACACTCAGGTTATCCAGGAAAGAAAAAAAAAAGTATAAAGCACTTATGCTATTCAATTCAGTGGGAGACTTTTAAATCTAGAAGAGTATGCAGGACAACTCAAGGGTAAACATGAAGATATGTTTAAAACTTTAAAAACAGCAGAAAATATTGAGCAAAACCACTTTTGTTGAAGATACCTTCTGGCATCTGAAACTAAGGAGACTGTTTTGCAGAAACTCTGTTTCTGTGGTGTCCACGCTATGCTCAATAATACTCTCACTCTACTCATATGATACAACTTGGTAACTTGTGACAAATGTTTAAGACTATGTCACCTTTAAGACAAATTGCCTGGTACATGCACAAAAAGAAGAGGGTAGCTGAGGGTAGCTAAGTAAGTCCTGTCACCTTTCTGATTCCTCTAGTCCATGGCAACCATTTTTTCTCTGACCCCAGGCAACACAAGTGCTATGTGTCCAATACATAGTGCAAGCTCTTTAAAATGTAAACCCTAACTCACACTGCACTGGTATGTCACACCATATTTAGCCCACAATTTTTATATGTGGGATAAAAACAGTATTCGGGGATTTGGAGACTACTCTAACAGTGAGTCTGGATACCTCAGTGAATCTCTGACAGCTTAAGATAATTATTCTGGGCCACTTTTTTCATTGTGCTGTGTGGTCACAGTCTTCTGAACAGTTTTGCCTTGAGATGAGGCTGAAAAAGAGGAGTAAACACACTGATTTTATGATATATTTTTGACCTTTTAGTTTGGCCAGCAGAGGGACTAAGGCAAGAGTCTATACTCAAACATACTTTAACACATCTTGCAACACTGAAAATTGCTAAAATTTGGAGGAAAGAGAAAATATTAAGTCACTCAAAACTGTAAGCTGCAAGATGAAAGGCAGGGATACCTACTTTGCTCTCAATAGGTCTTGATCTTTAAGGGCTGAACCTTGAAGGTAGATAACTCGTTGGGACCACATTGGAATCTGCAGTACCCTTCGAACCTGTACATCCATTTCAGTAGGACACAAAATCACCACATAATAATCCTATTCAAAACAAAATGGGCAATGGAATAGAAACAAAAATGTTTTATGTTACACTACATAGAAAAATAAAATATCTAAGAAAAATTTGAAATATGATAAAACTGAAATGAACTTTTGCTAATAAAATTTCACATTTAAAACCTGGACATATATTAAATAGCAATTACACTATAATAAATACAACTGGGACATACACAAATCTCATAAATCAATAAATTCATCTCAACTTATTTCAGTCTTACTAAGACCATAAGGGAAGGTAATCAGTGGTTATACCTGGCACACACTTTCAGCTTGTGAAGGTTTTAGTTTTATCTACAGACTGATCCTAAAATATACATTGAACACCAGGCAGAAGCATTTAAGTATCAATTCATACTTCATTACTTTTAGGATCAAAATTGTGATAGCGATTTATATCATTTAGCTATATAATTATGAAACAATAATTTTGAACAGTTTCTGATGAATATTTGAATGAATAAGGATCCATAAAAACACTGAAAATACTGACAAAGTAAATTAAATGAACATGATATCAAAATATTACAAAATATATGGTCCTTTGGAGAAAATTACATCTGAGTGGTGAAACAGTTTAAACCAATGATTTATAGAAATTAAAATTCTCTGGTAAACATTCACCATTTTACTGCTGTAAAATATATCTACTAGGAATTTCTGGAGTTTAAATAATTCTCTACATTGATACTAGATAAAGTTAATGACTGTATGATATGGTTTGGATTTGCGTCCCTGTCCAAACCTCATGTTAAATTATAATTCCAAATGTTAAGAGAGGGGCCTGATGGGAGATGACTGAATCACGGTGGCAGATTTCCCCCTTGCTGTTCTCCTGATAGTGAGTATGTATCACCACCCTCTTCCTCCTGCTCTGGCCATGTGAAGACACACCTGCTTCCCTTTCGCATTACACGTGACCATAAGTTTCCTTAGGCCTCCCCAGACATGTTTCCAGTATAGCCTGTGGAATCGTAAGCCAATTAAATCTCTTTTCTTTATACATTATCCTCTCTCAGGTAATTCTTTATAGCAGTGTGAGAGCAGGCTAATACACCATGGGATCAAAATTTTCCCACAAATGGATTTCCTTTATGAGTTATGATAAGTAAGCTTGAAATTAATTAAATATAAATAATTAAAAAAACAAGTATGGAGTTGCTATTAAAAATGCAAGTTAACATATGAAAACAAAAGAATAAGAACCAAATGATTCTGCCATTTAAGATAGAACAAAATGATTCTATCATTTAAGAATCAATTATAAATTAGGTGTTTTAAAACACAAAAATATAGTATTTATAAAGGTCTACAAAATATTCACAAATCAATATTTCTATGTTTTGTAAGGAAAGGATAATTAGAAATACTAAGCATTGTCTTGAAGTCTGGAGTTATTCTACTTCTTGACAAAACTTTGTTGAGTAAATACAAGACCTTCAACAGACTAAGTGCAGTAAGCAGGAAAGGAGATTAATGCCATGGCCCGTAGCAGAAAGTGGAAATATTCAAGAATTTTATCTGCATAGACAGAAAGAAAAGTTTCTTCTTAATTCATATTCTCAATTCAGCTAGTTATTGTCCAATTTTTGGTCATGTATTGCTATACATATAGGATATATTTATACTTCAGGAAACAAAAGAAAAAAATGAAAGTCCCAGACTTCCACATTTCCATTAGCAATCCTTGATAAAATTCTGCAGTATTTTAACTGAGCAGATGATATTGAAATGGTTTCTTTCTTGTTTTATTATATTTTATCTTAAAATTCACTGTTCCATAAAAATATCATTTATGCTCTACCCAAGGGAGAAAAAGCAATCTTTTAATTCAAAGAAAAATTTTCTTGTAGCATTAACATTATTCCATCTGTCTTTCAGCGTAGATACAGAAGGAAACTTAAAATACTGAGTATTCCTCCAGCATTTTTTTTCTATGTTCCTGGTTATATTTGTGGTTCTTCATTTACTCCTTCTATATTTGGTTGTATAAATAAAAATCCTCCACAAAGCAGGCTGCACCATCAGTTAATTGACTTTGACAATATGTTAGTAGGTATGATCCAGTATAGCACATAATATAAGCCAAATGTACCTGGAGCCTAGGATGAGCATAGAATTCATTTAAAAAATCCATAAGTAAATCAATCTTCAGTGAGCTGACACACAGGACGACATGCTTTTCAGTTTGAGCTCTATGTCGACTATAGTTTCCTCCTGACTTTTGTCTCTCCATCCACAAATAAGCCAGCTGTTCAAACTGTAATATATTTTCCACATGTGAATGAAAAACACAGTAAGGAAATAAATAAATCAATGCAATACATCTATTGTTTATTAGGTATTTTCAATTTCCTAGATGGAACTCATTGAGATTCTAATTGTCAGTATTCCCCTTCAACGACAGACTTTTCATATAATTTCTACAGAGGCTGCAAATGTCTCCCAGGGGCTTCGGGTCTCTAAGGAAACATATTAACATGATTTTGCTATCACATAATAACAGGCCACTAAGAGGTTTGTACCTCTGCTTTATGTCCAGTAGAGCTGAGTGAAAGAGAAAAGCCTCATTGCTATTTTCCCACATTCTCTGTCAAATTCTAACCATATCTCATGCAATAGGAGTTACTCTTACCATAACACACAAGGCCACATTCTAGCTGTACAGTAGCCATTAACGGAGGAAAGTGAAAGGTGCAAGGGAGGGTATGTCAGGAAGAAAGACATGCATGAATTTATCGGAGCAGGAAGGCCATTTTTGCAGGTATTCTATTCAGATACATTGCGGCCAAAGTTTTGCAATGGAATATGCAAGTTTGATTTGCATTTCCCTATAGCCTGCTTCTGATCTGCCCACACATGGGCAGCCAGGGCTTATTATAGGAAAGAGTTAGAGATTGCATCTACTTATCTTTAATTCCATTTATATATCCATCCCTTTGCAACCTCCCTACTCACTCCCCAAAGTGCCACATAATATTTACATACCATGTTCAGACTTTTTTTTTTTTTTTTGTAGAGATGGGGTTTTACCTTATAGCCCAAGCTCATCTTCAACTCCTTGGCTCAAGCCATCCACCTGCCTCAGCCTCCCAAAATACTGGTATTATAGGCATGAGCCCTGCACCTGGCCCAGATTTTATTTGACAAACATAAGTAATAGATTTTTCTTCATTGCAGTGTATGACTTTGTGGTTTATTTTGAAGAACCAAGAGAAATCAACCCTTCACAAATTTATTTCTTTGATCTATCATCCTATAATTAAAAACTATGTTATTCTATATTTAATATAATTAAGTACCCTATACTAAAAAAAATCTTGAATGATTGAAATAAGATGAGTGCTGTCAGTCATGACTGGAAGGAAAAAAAAGCAACTCGGTGTTTCTAATAAAATGTAAAATGACATTTCTGCAGTAATTTATGTAATTGATTAAATGTAATGATAGTATGTGTTAGTAAATTAGTGTTAGATAAATAAGCCACTTTCCATTTCTTATTAAATGTGGAGGATTCAATTTCATGTCTCTGTACATTTCTATGCAATATAAGATGGTTTTGTTTACCTGTATGGGTAGAACCACAAGAGCAACACAAATCATAGCAACTACAAAAAGCTTGGAGGACCATGTTTCAGGAGTGACATCCCCGAAGCCCACAGTAGAAAACGTCACAATGCAGAAATAAAGGGAGTCAAAGAGATTCAGCTTCTTTCCTATTCGTTCCAGATGTTGGATCCCACAAATGCTAAAGAAACAAATATGCATTACAATTAAATCTTTCAAACTGGACACATAATTTCTCATCATTATTCTTTTGAAAGCCAAAGCACATTTCATAAAGCCATTTAATAGTCCCTCTTATATTTTACAATATATTTTTCTAGGAAAGATATAATTAGTAAGTTCTTGTCCTACATTGACCAGACATGATCTTATTTTGATTAATAGACAAAAGTGGTAGCTAAAATATCACACAGTATATTTGAGTAACATGCAAAATGAACAGATAATTTCATGGGTGATACACATAGACACTGAATGAACATCAACACAAGAAATCGCTACCTCTAATCCCTACCAAAATACCAAGTCTTTTCTTTTTCTTTTTTTTTATAATTTTTTTGAGACTCTTTTTCTTTTTTTATAATTTAGGAAGAAGAGAAAGACAGTAAAAGGCTTGAGGAGTTAACAATTGCCAAATGCTATGGTTTGAATGCTGTCCCCTCCAAAACTCATGTTAAAATTTAATTGCCATTGTACCACACTAAAAGGTGAGACCATTAAGAGGTGTTTAGGTCATAAGGGCTCCACCAACATGAATGAACTAATGTTGGTATCCTGGGAATGGGCTCCCTCACAAGATCGATCTCTCTCTCTCTCTCTCTCTCTCTCTCTTTCTCTCTCTCTTTCTCTCTCTCTTTCTCTCTCTCTGTCTCATGTGTGCTTTCTCTCTCTTTGCCTTTCTACAATGTTATGAGATAGCAAGAAGGCCCTCACCAGTTGCCAGCACCTTGATCTTGGATTCCCAGCCTCCAAACGCAATATAAGCCGATACGCTTCCATTTATTATAAATTACCCAGTTTCAGGTATTATTTTATGGCAGCACAAAATGGACTAAGACACAAAACAATTCTTAAAACAAGTCCTTAAATGAATCAATCATTTGTGCAAAGCTATTGATGAGGTGACAGTAAGAGAGCAGCGTAAAAGTTGTTAGATGTCCTCAAATTAGAAATGTGTTAAAATCACATTAGAAATAATGCTGCTATTAACAACAACAAAAAAAAGCAAAGTGAGACTATGAATAATAAAATGTGTTTTGCAATGTTGGAGGAAGATGTAAGATTTGCAACACAGCAATCAGTGTATAATTGCTATGGTTTGAATGCTTGTGTCCCCTCCAAAATTCATGTTGAAACTTAAATTCAGAATGCAACATTATTCAGAGGTGGGCTTTAGGAGGTGATTAAATCTGGAGCTCTCAAGAATGGAATTAGCAATCTTATAAAAGTGTTGGAGGGAACCAGCTAGCCCTCTTTTTGCTCTTCTGCCTTCTGCCATGTGAAGACACGCCACAATGCGTCATCTTGGTGAGAGAGAAGGCTCTCACCAGATACCAAATCTGTGAGCCCTTGATCATGAACTCCCCTTCTTCTAGAACTGTGAGAAATATGTTTCTGTTCATAAATTACCCAGTCTCAAGTATTTTGTTACAGCAGCACAAATGAACTAACACAGAAATTGACACTGAGAAATAGGGTGTTGCTATAACAAATACCTAAAAATGTGGAAGCAGCTTTGGAATTGGGTAATGGGTAGAGGTGGGAAAAGTTTTAGGGTACATGCCAGAAAAAAGCCTAGATTTTCAGTGTTTAAGGGCAATTTTGGTGAAGGCTCAGAAGAAGAGGAGAGTAGAGAGAGCCTAACTCTTCTTATAGATTATTTAAACAGTCATGACCAGAATATTGGGGGAAATACCGACGGTAACGGCCTTTCTGATGAGTTCTTAGACAGAAATGAAGACTATCTAATTGGAAACTGGAGGAAAAGGCATCCTTATTACAAAGTGGTAAAACTTGGTAATTATGTCTGTGTCCAAATATTTTTGTGGAAGGCACAATTTAAAGGTGGTGAACTAGAATACGTAGCAGAAGAAATCTCTAAGCAAAGTGTTCGAGGCGATGTATTGTGTTTCTTGACTGCTTTTAGTAAAATGTCAGAAGAGAGAAATGGATTAAAAATGCAATTTATAATCAAAAAGGAAGCAAAACCTAAAAATTTGGAAAATACCCAGCCAGGTCAGATTGTAAATAAAAATTGTGCTCCAGAGAAAACACCAACAGTTTGTCCAAGCAACTATGTGATAAGGAGACTCTTGTAAGATAAAAGGAAGCCAGGTGGTCTTCATCAAGACAATGGAAGAATAATCCCAAAGGCATTTTGGAGCTCTTCCAGACTGTCACCCTCATCACAGGACCAGAGTGTGAAAGGTTTGAGGGCAGAATAGTTTCAACGGAGGAAACCAGGGCACGTTTGGGGCCTCAAGAGTCAGCTTTCTTCATTCTGGTGCAGTGCTCTTTGGCTACCCCAAGTGCTGGTCAAGCAGGTGCAGGAGTGACTCAGGATGCTGCTATGGAAGTCAGAGGTGGTAAACCTTGGTGGCATCCATGTGGTGCCAATTTTGCAGGTGCGCAAAGAGCACAAGCTGTGAAGGCATGGTGACCTTTCCTCTAGATTTCAAAGGATTCCTTGGAGAGCCTTGGGGCCAAGAAAGAGAACTACCACCGGGGTATGGCAGCACAGAGTCCCCAACTAGAGCAATGCCTGGTGGAGCCATCCCTGAAACCCCAGAGCTGTAGTCAGCAGCATGAAATGCCAGTGTGGGAGAGCTGGAGATGCTAGACCCCAACTCCGTAAACGCTGCTGTGTGGTCTTTGCCAAACAAAGCTTAGAAGATGGGGCTTCCCATGGCCTGGTAGGGGCCGACTCCTCCCCAGTGTGACCAGAAGTCAAGACATGGAGTCAAAAAGTATTCTCAAACCTCAGGATTTAATGTTTTTTCCTTGTTGGATTTCCAACTTAATTGGGACCTATTACCCATTTCTTCTTGCCTATTTCTCCCCTTTGGAATAAGAATATCTATCCCATGCCTGTCTCACCATTGTATTTTGGAAGCACAAAACTTGTTTAATTTCACAGGCTCACAGCTGAAGAGTAATTTGCCTCAGGGTGAATCATGCCTTGAGTCTCACCCATATCTAATTTAGGTGATATTTAGATGAGACTTTGGACTTAGAGTTGGTGTTGGAACAACTTAAGACTTTAGGGGCTACTGGGATGAAATAAAATGTATTTTGTATGTGAGCAGGACATGCATTTTGATGGGCCAGGAGCAGAAGGCTATGGTGTGAATGTGTCCCCTCCAAAATTCACACTGACACTTAAATCCCACAAGGCAACATTATTAAGAAGTGGGACCTTTAGGAGGTGATAAGTCATGAGGGTAGAGCACTCATGAATAGAATTAGCAACCTTATAAAATTGTGGGTGAGAACCAGCTGGGCTGTTTTTGCCCTTCTGCCTTGGGAGGATGCAATAGTAAAGCCCCATCTTGAAAGCAGAGAGAAGGCACTCAACAGATGTTAAATTTCCAGCATCTTGATCTTGGCCTTCACAGCCTTCAGGATTGTGAAAAAGGAATTTCTATTGTTTATATATTACCCAGCCTCAGGAATTTTGTTATAGCAGCACAGACTAATATAATCATGGAATACTACTCAGTAAATAAATAAATAAATAAAAATTAAAAGAAGCCAAGTTCTGGATAAACAGCAAAAACATGTTGAGTGAAAGAAGTCAGATATAAAAGACCACATGTTGTATGATTCTGTTTATATGAAATATCCAGAGAAGAGCCAGCAAATTAGTGGTTGCCTGGGACTGATGATGGGAATGTGGTGGTGAAAATGTTCTGAAACTAAATTGAGGTGATGGTATATATCTCTTTATGTATATAACTTTGAATATACATGAGAAAATTATTGAATTTACACTTAAAATGAGTAAATTTTATGACACATATATTATGTCCCCATAAAGCTATTTTAAAAATCAGTGTATATTTGTGAATACTCACTATGGCTTCTGGGCACAAGAAGCACATGGCTCAATTATGACAACCATGAAGAAATAAATATTCAATGTTTACTTTCCAGAAGTTCCTTTTCCGGCCTTTTAAGATAATCTCCTTATTTGTCTAAGTTATGTAGCATACATATTCTATTGTCTTTATGTATATATATATATATTGGTACAGTCAAGAATAAGCTTATGAATGGTTAGGTAGCTGGGTAGGTACACAGGTAGAGGTATCAAGAGACAGAAGAGAGAAAGGAAGATACATGTCATCATTATAATTGTTTACAACTGTTGTGTGTGTTTATTTGCTTTTTTCCTTTTTCTTTTTTCACTTCAGGTCTCCAAAATGGCCCAGCAAAATCGCCCTCGTTTTATGCTTACAAATTTTGTGTGAGCTGCCAGACTGTAAACATACTTAAACCAATGAGTTGATTCATAACAGTTTATTGGCTCAGCTGCCCCTATGGAATATTGCCAAACTAATTACGAGAATATTCAAATGTAGTCTAGTATTACCAAAAATGGAATTGTATAACACTTCTGTGAAGTCAAGTTTTAAAATTTTATTTAAAATAACATATGTTTGAGAGTGTAAACAATTTTTGCTTAACTTCTTTATACTTCACTAGAGAACAGAGAAGAAAGATAACATATATTTTTAATGATTCAAATATTGAGTGCTTGCTTTTGCTTGAGTCTGCATTAAAAGCCGATCTCTGATTATAGTTAAAATGTATATTTCTTAATTCAAATATATATTTTCTAGACCTAAACTACCAAAAAAGTCTCCTACTGTGCTTCCAGGTCTTTTGTTTGTCCTTTTAACATAATGTACTCATAAGGGCAGTATTCATATTCTTTAAACACAGCTCAACCTCAGGTTCGAAAAGCTGCGGGATTCTCACTGTTTAAAGAAACCTCTATAACCTGTAGTTTGATAGATTATTATAATAGCTGCCAACAAATGAAGTCTTCATATGTTCTACAAACCCTTCTTTTGCAATATAATATTCCTGTACCACCCATCAAGATATGAAGTCTATGTCTTCAGGTCCTTCAATCTGAACTGGACTAATGACTTGCTTTGACCAATAAATATGACAAAAGTGACATTATGTGGTTGCAGATGCTAAGCCTTAAGAGACATTGCAGCTCTTTTTTCTCATTTACTTGATACCCTGAGACCACCACACTGTGAAGATGGTGGTACAGTCTACTAGAGGATGAGAGGCCATGTGAAAGAGAACTAAGATGTCCTACTTGGTTCTCTTCCAATTGCCAGACATAATAGTAGGGCCATCTTACATCCTCCATTTCTCCTCAGGCCATTACTGAAGTTGAAAGAGTAATTACAGGTAAGACTGGAAGAAAATCTGCCCTGGAAATCAACCACAGAATTTTGAGAAATAACCAACTGGCTATTTTAAGCCACTAAGTTTAGGGGTGTTTTGCTATTTAGCAATAGATACTTATGTGTGTGTGTGTATGTATATATATATATATATATATATATATATATATATATATATATGAATATGGACTACAGCATCTGGATCTCATTTGTTTCTTTCTTAAACTTTTGTCTCATTTATCTCACCTTCACTATTTGGACTGTTTACTTAACATAATATCATTTGAAATAGTCAAGTACTAAAAGCAAGTAAAATAGGCTTTACTTTTCCTAGTAACTAGTATTTATAACTCCAGCCTTTGTTTCAGGTAGTAATATTTAAATATAATAAATGAAAAATTGGGGAATTTGAAATGCATTTGATTTACTTATTGAAATTCATTCTACATAAATAATGTACAAGTAAATAATAAACTAAAAACTTGTCTTTTATAAAACAGATTGCATATTCCAATATAAGATATATTTATTTTAGTCACATTTCATTCTGAAATGTCTATGTCAATAACGTATTTCAAAAGTTTTTATGATTAACTTTGCTACCATGTTGACGTACAAATCAAATGCTTGATTCATAATCCGATTATGTCACAGTGAATACTGCATGCTCTAATACAAAGTTCAGTCAATCAGTTTAGTACATACTAAAGCATTCGGACAACTGTCTAGGCTATGTTTTATGGAAGAAACAAATTACTCAATATTAGAGACAGAATTGCCTGTAATAGGTATACAATCTGGACTCCATTGTCACTTTCACATTAAGTTTTACAACTACTTCCCTTTTTATTATCTTGTTTTTATGTAAAAAGTCACCTCCTCAAAGAGTTGAAATTGTTTAGAGGGGAATTTTGCAGTAATTTGCACTAGCTTATCACATCCTAAAGGTAGAATGTTCACACTGTTTAAGAAAAAACTGTCTTCAAGCCTCATAAAATCCTAAAAAATTCATTTAAAAAGTATTTTTAAAATTACTACTTCCGAGTTTTTATTTTACAAAATGATACTAAGACATGGAGAAGTTTGATTTAAAAACAGAGAATAGACTATTCTGATTCACATTATATAGTCATAGCATCATTTTCTGATACCCATTATAGAGTACCTATATACAACATGTGGAAAACATTGTTTAATTGCATATTCTTTTGGTTACTGGCAACACAACTGGAGAGGTTTCAAAGATAATAAATATAAAGACTTATTTTACTGCTCTGTGGTAATTATTCAAGTAAAATATATCTTTATATATAAACTATCTCTTCAAAAAGTAATTCAGCTAATTGTAGGAAGGAAGAGAAGAAAGTGTGCCTTCAGGACAGGTAGATACACAGACAGTTGATTGTTACCTATATGTTATATAAGAATTAAGGCAAAGACAGCTTTAGAACTGGTAACATACTGGATTTGCCTTATGCACAAACATTAATATTACACAAATACATATTAGTTATTTTACTTAGATCTGTGAATCTTAAAACATGCTACGTAAAGATTTGAAGCAATACAGTGATAATCAGGCATTATAATATAGTTATCTTGTTTCATTCACACATGTCTTTGGAGCTATTATTAAATGAAAACTGTCTCCTCTCTTTCATCAAAATTAATGAATTTTGGTGAGTTCTTATTTTGTGTCTGTACCCAGAAATAATTTTAATGATAGGCAGAGATTTTCTGATAAATTAAATACAAAATGTACTCAAATACAGCACATTCATAAGCATAATATTCTATTTTGCCTTATCATAAAAGAAATGCATCTTTTCAGTCAGTTACAACCAAGTTAAACAATTTAAATTATATATTACATTAAAAGTGGCAAAAGAATTTAATAATGTCTCATTACAGCATAAATAACCATAGTTGGTGGATTTTAGTAAACATTTTGGTATGTTTACATTTTCTAGTAATCAAATTTAATATTGTTTTGTGACTGGGAAATATACATATATTTATATACATAAATATATATCATATATAAATATATATTTATATACATAAATATATATCTATATATAAATATATATTTATATATATTTATATATATTTATTTTAGATTGCAATAAATTTTTTAATTTAAAATGTTTAGGCAGGGGATATATGATAATAAACAAAATGTGTGTTACAATTAGGTAACTACCAAAACCAAGTATTTTAAGAAAGCTTATATATATATATATTTATATATTTTTTATAAATATTTATTATATATATAAAATATATATAATATATATAAATATATTTATATATTTATATACATAAACATATTTTTATTTATTTTTATTAATATATTTTTATTTATATATATTTTTATTTATATATATACACAAATTTTATATATATATATAAGTTTTCTTAAAATACTCGGTTTTGGTAGTTACCTAATTGTAACACACATTTTGTTTATTATCCTATATCCCCCGCCTAAACATTTTAAATTAAAAATTTTTTTGCTATCTAAAATATAAAAAAGAAATCAATGTCACACCATGTTCTATTTATAATTTTTGCTTAGTTAATACATATCAAAGTTACTCCAATTCATTTATAGTCATTTACTTTCAAATGAAAAATTGCAAATGAATATCTTTTTAGTATAATTTCTCCATTGCAAAAATACCTATAAATTTTAAATAATAATAAAATCATTTATGTACACTAACAGGTGCTATAAAATTTTACTTAAGTATTTTGTAATGGAAAAAAGCTACCTAACATTATAAAAGTTAGTCACATTTATTCATACAAATAAATTTATTAATGTTTTACTAGCCAAGCATTGTACTGGATGTTACAGATGCAGGTATCAATAGGACAAAGGTCTTTCACCCAGTCTGGTAAAAAAAGAGCCTCTAGAATCTAAAGTGAATGATTATGACCTCACTTTACTATTACTAATAATATCATAAATTAATAAATATTTTTTATTTGCTGAGTGCTAACCTAGGTAAGTTACTCAAACTTCATGCTCCTCAAATGAAAAGCAAATATATTAATAATAATATTAACTTCCCATTGGCTATAATGAGAAATAAATGAGCTAATGCTCTGTGAAATGTCTGGGATAGAATAAGGTTCAGTGAATTCAGTAGTAATTTTGTTATTTATTTATAGCCCCAGAATGAGAGAAATAGAATAATAAAAATGAATCAAATATATACACAAAAGTCTCATAAAGCTTTTGTTTCTATTTTACAAAAAAATAAAATATTACTGCTAACGATAGAGTCAGGGATTATAGAGAGAGAAAGTGGTGATAAGAACATAGTGTTTATCCCTCTTTCCTAAGGATTCACTAACAAGTTTATTAGCAGCAGACACCATCCAGGGATTAATGAGTAGCTATAATCTTGTCCTTTCTCAATGCTGCAAGTCCCAAGGGTTATGGAAGTGGAAATATGGGCGATCATAGAAGGCTCCAAAAAAAGAAGAGTTAGGCAATTTGCAAAGTAAACCCATAATCTTTAACTATTTGCAAAGAATAGTCATGTTGAGATTAGTTGACCTTTGGAGGGTTGACTGCCATCATTTACAGAAACTGACAACGAATTCTTGGAAAAGCAGTCAGGGAAAAAAGATTAAGCACTATTTCAGTGCCAGTATGTCAACATCAGGCTAGTGACTTGTTTTAAAGGATTACTTATCACTGAGATTAATTGAATAAAAGGATTTCATTTGTGATTATATAAAAGACAGTGTATCTGTATATCCTATATGTATATATTTATACAATTCACTAAGTTATGTAACTAATATCATGATATGTTAACATTTAAGACCTAAATTTTAAAATAGTAATATTTTGAAAAAAAATCCAATAGAATTTTCTCTTTTTATATTACTTAAAACATATATTCATACTCACTATTAAGATTTAAATGGATATTTAATTTTAAATGACTTAAGGATTTTATATTTTGTGAATGTTAAGTATACCTATTTTTTTAAAGTTTATGCACTTTAGGAAGCAGATAAATCTCGCCATTCACATATTTATCTTTTTGCATAACTGTGGTCAATATTCACAATATTGAGCTTAAACTGGACTTGGGCTTTCAAAACTAATTCACATAGTAATTTCTGCCTTACCGTGATTTAGTTTTATATGAATGTCCACTTTGGTTAATATCTGTTTTAAAGAACACTGCCGCAGAATAAAAATCCTTTAAGAATTGTTATAGGCTGGTATTCTAGTATTTTTTTCTAAAATTCAGGTAAATACGTGTTTAAATTATGAATACTATAGAACAAAATGACAAATGGCTAAATTTGTCCTTAAACACTTTTTCAGAACTTGATTACAACCAATGTACAACAGAAAATACAGAAATTTCCTGGGGAATTTCACATACTTTAATAATTCCAGAATTATATGAATAGAAGATTGAATACATGACTAGAACCATGTGAAACAAATATGCCCCTTGACAAGTATATTGTTTTATGTGGTTTTCAACAAATAGTTATTGATTTTCCAAATACAACCTACAGATAGTAGGGGATAAAGGCAATGGTTAATAATGACATAAAGTAAGAAATACTACAGAAAATTTTGCAGGTAGAAGGTAGGAAAATATTTCCCTTTTGGGCATGCTGAATTTAACATTCCTATTAGATATCCTCCATCCATTTGGATTTTGTATTTTATTAATATATACCTGTAGCAAGCCATTTCTTACACTCCTTGGTTTACATCCTACTTGAACTTGTTTACAGTTCTAATCTTTTCAGTTCCAAAACAATAGTAATATGGACTTGTTATTAAAAGATATATAATAACACATGGACACTGGGAGGGGAACATCACACACCAAGGCCTGTCGGTGGGTGTGGGTCAAGGGGAGGGAGCGCATTACGACAAATACCTAATGCATACGGGGCTTAAAACCTAGATGATGGGTTGATAGGTGCAGCAAACCACCATGGCACATGTATACCTATGTAACAAACCTGCACATTCTGCACATGTATCCCAGAATGTAAAGTAAAATAAACTAAAGACATTCAATAAGGATACAAAGAAAGTCTTATATTATCCTACCCCTGTCTACCCTTGAGGTAATGTTTAGTGTCTTTTTATTTGTTTAATATTTTGTTTGGTTTTAATTTTTAATTTAAATGCACTTATGATTTTATCCTGGCAATTTATTACCACAGGATTTTTAAACCCATCATTTTAAAGTGAACTTTGTCTTCAGTTCTGTATTTCATTGTATGTATATGTTCCTTGAAAATCCAATTTGGCAGTAAATATTAAGCAGATACAAGATTCTGCAGTCAAATACATTTGGCAATTCTGGCTTAGGCATAGTTTTTTATCAAATGACATTTCACTTTTTTTATTGCACTAATATTTATTGTGTATCTCTGAGAATTGATTAATTTTAAAGGATTTACCAAACATATCTGCCAAATATTTTGGTTTATACAGAATATTTCAAAGAGTTAGGGTTTCGTGGAATAAACCTTGAGAATGTGAGCCTATAATTTGTGCTTTGTCTTAGTAATTAAGAATCACAGTTTACCTTAATCATAAAATGACTTGGGTAACTTTTATCTTTGTCTATGATGTGGATTACACAGCCCTGGAGTAACTGTTCCATAAAGGAATTTAATAATGAAACTGTCAGTTCCTATTTTTTTTTGTTTTTTCATGGATATCAAAATATATAACTTAAAATACAACATTTAAAAAATTCTCCATCTCTACCCTTCATCTCAATTTGATTCTACTTAAAAACCCATAAGTTTGCATTTTGGCATGACCTACCATTCCTTCCACAGATCCAAAAAAATCAATATGCCTCACTAAGCATCTCTTTTACTGAGTTCCTACAAATCTGAACCTTGAGAACTCCTGACAAAGTACGGTCTATACATACAGACCCACAGCAGCCAAACAAAGCACTAGATAAGCACAGAAGCTCCCTCATCCTGCTCAGAAAGAAGCTGGGAGAAGACAGATTTCTTTCCTAAGTACTGCAATTATTTTGAAATGTGGCTCACCAAATTGAGCATGCCATATGGAAAGGAAGACTCAAAACTGTAACTCATTAAAAAAATTGACATTCCACCTTTTTGTTAACTGAAACCGTGTTAAATCTTATTAAGAATAATTTTAGTTAAAGAAACTATTTAAACACCTATGAAACATCTTAACCACATTAACTGAAAAGTATTAGGCCCCATTTTGCAGTATCTAGATTCATGGCATATATCATAGCTGGCCTTTCATTTCAGATTACCCTTAAAAATAAAAAATATATATATATTTAAAAAGTATTCACTTCTTAAGTCTCATTTTAACAAAATATTCTCCATTTTGAATAGCTATCTTAATTTATATATTTTAAAATCTACTTTTTTTTTTTTCCTTTTTTTCTTTCACCTAATGAAAGAAGAATCACCAAGGTGTGAGACAGAAATTATCTAAGGCTGTACCAAACAGAGTGCTAAGTGTTCTTTCTTATATTAAATATTTCAATATTGTCCACATTGTCCATTGCCAGTCCTATAGAATATACTTCTTTAAACAAAATTATGTTAAATTGCTATTTATTACATTTTATCTTCTTTCATCATTAATGATTTAAAAAAATAAAAGCATCTGCTAAACAATCTTTGTAGAGTTTTTATAGACTCAGCCTGTGGGTTATTACTATTATGTATACAAATGAAAGTGGGAGGGTTCTGTTATTAGTAGGAAAGATGGAGCTTTTAATCATGTAGTGTGTTGTTCTGTTGAATCCTTAGGTCATGTGCTGTACAAAGTATCTATTCATATCCATTCATAAACATTTATTAAGAAATACATACTGTGCTTAATGTAAAATGTATTTCCCACTGTGAATTGTGAAGGAAGTAGACAAATAAAGAGACAAAACAATGGAATAAGAAGGATGATTAAAGTAGATCAAACCAGGTGAAAATAAGGAGACAAAAGCACTATGGTCAAAGGCAATCGCATAGTACAGTCAATAATCAAGAAAAATCATCACTTTCGTCTGGAAACTCCAATTCTATGAAACTCCAACATTAAGCAGTTAAACGCTTATTGGGAAAAAGAACAGTTCTGCTGGATCACCGACGGAAAAGCTATTATAAAATTATTTTCACGTTTTTAGAACAAAATCACATAAGACAGTAAATAAAGGCAACCTGGTACTTAATCACTTTACCTTTCTACTAATAAATGAGAACACTTTCAATTTGTTACTTCTTGCTTCTTGGAAAACTTATAGGATTTTCTTCTCCTGAAAAATGTGAAAAAGTTTTGTTCTCCATTCACCTATTTATTGAGTACTATTAAGTGTCAGGCACAGTACTTAGTTTTGGCAAAGACACTGGTATGTAAAAACCAGCATGACTGCTTCCTTGATGGAACTTAGAGTTTAGTGGAAGAGATAGAAAATAATAGCTAATGTACATGTATACAACTACAGAAAGAAGAGGCCCCAGAGTTATGACTTCCGTTCATAGTGGAATTTGACCTAAGCAGGTGGTTCGGACTTCAATGCAAGAGTCATGCTTAAAATAAAAATGATGTCAAGCTTTCAGCCTTTATTCGGTAGAGAAGGTTAAGCATTCTAGGTAGAAGGGAGGTTAGCATGATGGAGGCAGTAAAAACAAAACAACAACAACAGGACTCTGAAGCAGAGAAAAAATAAATAAAAATGTGAGATGAGAATAAAAACATAGGGAGAATAGTGTTCATGTAAGAAATTCAGAACAAATTAACACGCTTTGCCTATACAACAAGACACGTGGAATATTTTAACAAGTATTAAGTATATGGTAACACAATCATATTTGTCTATCACAAAGGTCATTTTGTTGTCATGAGATGAATGGTTTGGAATAGAGCCAGAGGGAATATAGGTAAGCCACACATACATATATAGCTCTTGCTATAAAGAGGTTATGATCATTTAGATAAATAAGGTGGTGACTAAGAAGTACAGAAGTGGATAGATTTGCAGGGTGTTTAGGAGGTAAAATCTATGGGATTTGTTGATTGTGTATTCTGTAACAAAGCAGGAAGTGTTAAGAATGCCTCCTACGTATCTGGATTGCTCAAAAGAATGAGCAGTAATTGCTATCTCAGAGATGGGGACATTTTGGGAAGAAATACAAATTTTATTTTGGACATATTTAGTTTGAGGAATCTAAGAGGAAATGGAACAAAAACAGTTGCATTTAAACGTTGTAATGAAAGCCATAGTAACTGACCTAAGACTATTTATTTGGTCATCATTTTCAAGTTATTTTGGGGGCATATTTGTAACCACAAATGTAAAGAGGAAAAGCTGAGGCCTCAGCTTGATTCTCCTTGCCCTCCACAGCCTTGCAGCTAAACATTATACATTGAGAGCAAAATCTTAGATGAAACTCCATCACATAAAATAGTTATTAATCCCTATTTTGTAAGATCAAACAGGTTTACATATTGACAAATACATGGGAACAAACACATGGGAAAAAACAGTTCATACCACAAAAGTATGAAAATGTACTAAAGGCAGGTTCAATAACCAGCTTGTGGAATCAGGTGACTGAAGTTGCTGTTAAATGGAAACAGGTTTGAAAAGGTTCCCTAAAGCGTTAAGCTACTGTGCTCTCCGTGTTCTTATAATCCAATCCCACAAGGGCAGAGGCAAACAAACAATATTTTCTTGCCAACCTCATGTCTTGAAAGATATTTCTAATTCATCTTATGTTAATTTGAAAGGATTTGGGCACAGAACTATTGACACTTGAAACTGGCAATAGTTGGTACCGGTTCCTGATTAGAGTTCTTCACAAGCTGATTAGCCATCCCTAGACATTAATTTGCATGGACACATATCATAACACACTACCCATACTGCTATATTTATAGAATTACAGATAATATAACTAAAATGTAAGATATATTCCCAAAAGAAAAATATAAGAAGAAATGATAAAATTAAAAAAGGGCCTAGAAATGATCCCTGAGGAACTACATCATTTAATGGTGGCTTACAGAAGAAATGAGCTTGCAAAAAACATAAGAGAGAGAGAGAGTATGTGTGTGTGTGTGTATACCTATGGAGTGTATGTGTGGGTCTACAGGTATGTATCACATGACCACATGCATGTTCATAGCCTCCATGCACATGTAAATATTTCTTCATATAAACTTTTCTGACTTTAATATTAGAAAGAACTTACACTGGTTTTCTGAAGCTCACTGTGATATCAGAAATCCGTTTCTAAATATACCTTTACTCCCTTCCCAGTAATACAATAATACAAAAGGTCAATCGTTCTAAGAATTATGTTTCCCTTTTTCCTTTTTTTAAGGCTTAACTTTCAAAAACAAGCAAGCATAATGCCTATTCTGCTTTCCTTTGAATTTATATTTCGTCGTCCTCTCATCAGTTTACCTTAAAAAAAGGGAATTCTTGATAGGAAAAGTTTCAACATCGTGACCAGTTAAAAACAAATTCTACTGGTTATAAAGAAGATTTAATAAAATTTTTCATCAAAAAGTCAACTGTAAAATGCATTACTCTGGTGCAGTATGATCATAAACAAAAGCATTTCGAGTAGGGCAAATGTGAATAGATGAGGCCAGTGAAGAAAGCAGGGACAAATTATAAATTATTTCATATACAACACTAAGATATTTGCATTACCCTGAAGACTCTAACAGCACAAATGAAGAATTTTAAGCAAGAGAATGAAATCATTTGGGAAGTGTTTGAGGTCATCAGTAAATCAATATCTACTGATATTGTGAGTGGTTCCTACTGCCCCAAGCAGCAAATATATTTACACTAAACTATTAGTCTCAGGCTGAAAATCACTTTAATACTGCCCATGAAAATCACCCAAGTGAATTTATAGCTCTAACCAGAGCAAATAATAGATACAGAAATGCTACTAAATTCAGTCTAAAAGGATTTTCTAAGTTGTGAGCCCTTTATTCTCTACAACCTACTTTTCTTTTTGCTTAAATTTATTTTACTTATCTCATTCAGCCCTTAAAAGTAAAGTGTATATCCAAGAAATAATATAGAAATATTAGCTTACACACTATTTCCATTATATGTTTAAAGATATGTTCACAGATTTGATAAAAATAAAATAATATATGTATACATCCCATCTTCTTTACTATCAAGAAGTTAGTAAGATTAACACTCAATTTAAATGTCCTTGCACATGTGAAATATGAAATAGGACCAAATAAATATCAGCTAATTTAAACGATTTGTACACATTTATTGCATTTCCAAAAGAATATCTTGCTAGCTGCTGCCAGATAACAAGACCAAATAGTCTCTAGTCAACATTTTCTGGAAATTAAATGAGGCACAAAATAAGCTTTGTTTTATTCTATCAGAAATGGTCCAAATGTAACCATTAAAAATAAAAGAGAAAGTACAGCTTAACATGTCTCTTCACATTGTAAGCAATGAGAATTACTCTCACAATAAGACTGACTCTTATTTTTATGTAACTACTTATTTGAATTCAATTCTTAAAGTGTAATATTAAAATATCATGTTCATCAACAGAGAAACTTTGTCATAATGATAGCCCTTTCAGTTTCATAATAAGCTCTGCTTAAAATCAACTGAAAAATTTCTCCCTTCTAAGAGATGGTTAATGAACTTATATCCATTTCATGGACTATAATATTCATAGATAATTCTGTAATATACAAACATAACCATATGTGAGTAACAACACTGTTGAAAGGAAGCTGAGCAGTCCATGAGCATTCAACTAACCTTTCTGTCAATGGTACATTTAATTGCTTATAAGCTAGTATCAAATACATCAGTATCTTTACAGAATGGCCTCTTAGACCAAAAAAAAAAAATTACTGCAAATTACAACTGTTTTCCTGATCAATGATATTTGTTCAAAGAGCAGTGTCAGAAGGTCAATGACACATTCTAAACTAAAGAAAGTTACTGGAAAACATAGTCTGTGTTAGCATTAACCTAACGGACATTGCTCTTATGACTTTAATTTTTAGAAAATTTGTCAGAGACTTAGCATATCAGATTCTTTAAACTCAAGGAGATTAAGGTAGGCAATAATATTGCAATTAAGATGCTACCATTCAATAAAAGCTTCTACTCTGTATTTTTTTCAAAACACATGACAAAAAAATTAAGCAAAAGATAGATTTCTTTAAATCCAACATGTACAATAAATATACTATTCTCTATACTTTTTCACTCCATGAGACGCATTCAACTAAAAATAACATTTAACGGTCATTATTCTAATTGTCTTTATCTTCATTCTTAGCAATTATCAATGTCATAGAATAACAAACCCATGATGACACTGATGAAAAGTATGGAGCAAGCTGTGGAACCACAGCTTACTGGTTGGGAATAACTGATTGATCTAGTCCAACTCGTTTCTCTAAAGAAGCAGCATCTTAGGGCAGTAAGGGTAAAAATCTTGACCAAGATTCACTCTACTCATAGGAGGTAGCCCTAGAAATACAATAAAGCTTTTCATCAATTACCCCCAACTTTGTGGAAGTTAAATAAGCCTTCTCTGTGAAATCTTTGAAATTAGACATATCTTCATTTTTGAGATATATCAATTAGGAAGAGAGCCAGTTACCTACAAGTACTTTGTTTATTCAGGGGCTGTATTCTAAGTCCACATTTAAAACCTAGTGAACTAAACCAGTAATAGTTATTAAGCTACTAATTAACTAAGACAAATGTTCCAAATAAGATGAAATTTAACTAAGCTATACTGTCTTTCCTAAGTGAAAAATTTGTCTACTGTGTCTTCCTTCCACTTATGTAATGTAAAAGAACTCACTTAATATCACTCTTTTTACTACCACCTGTCTTTACCCATTAGAAATGTAGATCTATAAAGTTTTGATCCCTGTTTTAAATATTTGTTGCAAGGTTCAAAACATGGCTAGTATGAAAAGAATAATATAGTTCATTAATTGGCCTTCATTGTTAATCGCTTTGGATGAAATTGAACTTAAAGTAAAATCACTGTTTCACTGTTTCATTTTTTCTTTCTCTTTCTTTCCATCTTCAATGAAATATTTTGCCTCAAATGTATGATAAAAACTCAGTTTCATTTCCAGAACATATTTTATGTTATCAAAAGAAAAAAACTGTGATACAAGCAAATGATCGAAAATAATGGAAAACATGTATTACAGAGCAGTTGGTGGTAGATGGTGTAGCAATATTTTTAAGACCCTGAACTGAGTTGTCAAGAAAGATTTCTTTAAGTATTTGACATATAAGCCAAGACCTAAAGGAGGCCGAAAGCTAAGTAAAGAACATACAAGGAATCAGAAACATTTAGTTCAAAACCCACACGTCAGGAATCATCATAACATCATCAAGGAACAAAAAGAAAGCTGTGGTGAGGAAGCCTATTGAAGGAGAGAAAGTACGATGTAAGTTGGGGTCAGAGAGATAAGCATTATAAGGGAGCAATTATGTTGAAGACAGACCAGATCATCCAGGCAAGAGATAATGGAGCATAAAAGGAGTAGTGACAGTGCAGAGCTGGATGTAAAGATTTGGGAGGTAGAGCCAATAGGGCTTATCAATGGATTGAATACTCAGTGTGAAGAAAGGGGAGGAGTCCAGATATGCCAAGTTTTTTTCACTTCTTTTAAGGGATAGGGTGAATAGTGGAGTAACTGACAGAGAAGATAGACGAAAAAAGTTGTCTGGAAAGACAGAAGAATTAACAACGTTTTTTTGGACTGCTGCAGTTATCAGCTTCTAGATGATCTTGAAATCCGTCTACCTCTATGAGCATCTAGGCAGATAGAGAAGTCAGGCCACCGAGAGCAGGAAGAGCCTTGAAAACTTTCTCTCTAACTCTTACCAAAGGTCTGGAAAGAGAATGATATTAGGAAAAGTTAAATGAAAGTGTAAATTATTCTTCCACTGCTCTATGTTTTCTAATGGATCTCCTAGGATAAAGTTGAATCTTGGAAAACACCATAATTTTCACCACAACATGTCATCCCCTGAAAAAAGAATTGCTTTCAAACTACTGATAAGGCTTCAATGCATGAAAAAGAAGGCAGAGCATGGTCAGAGAAACCCAGACTCATTTCTGATGTCCAACTTACTTAAAAACTCACTTAACTCCCTCTGACCTTATTTGTCTCATCTATAGACAAGAGATAATAAGTATCTCAGTGTCTTAGAGCTATTACTGGAATTAAAAGAGATAATGCAAGCAAAACTCTAAGGCAATAGGCAGGGAGCCAATGCTATTTGCACATTATAAAAATTTTTATAAAAAATATATTGTATTATTATATATAACATTTCTGTATTATTTTGCCTACATAATGAAATTCCTGACTTCTGCAAGAGGGAAAATATTAATTTCATTGAGAAACGTGTGTTTTGTTTTTCTCTAACTATGTATTTACTCTCTCTAATGAGAGCTAAGTAAAATTGCATTACCTGCCCTCTACTGTGTGGCCTGGAAGCTTTTTATAATGTTTATACAATGTTTATACTTAATCCCGACTCTGTTGACTTATAGTTTTTTCTGTTTCTGTTATAATAATCCAATTTCATGTCTACTTTAAAAGCTGTCTCAAATCCTATTGTTGAAGTTTATATAATATTCTTCTTTCTCCGTTTGACAAATGAGTAGATTGAGGCTCAGGAAGCCTGTTATTCAACTAAAGTCACACAGCAAGAAAGAGGTACACCAAGATATCTTCAAATCTAATGACTTTTTTTGTTTTGTTTTCTACCTAACGACACTCTAGATAGCTGTATATAAATATGCCTCTGTGAAAAATAAAACCTAAGAAGAACAATCATTTTTTTAAACTAAAAATATTTCCCCTAAATTGTGGCAATAAAAATACTACTTCATGTTTGAATAGCACTTTATAAATTACACAATGCTTTTATATAAATGAGCTGGATCTTTGCAGTTATTCAGCACTGGGCCCTGTTTGAATTTATAATCATAAAATGGGAAAAATTTAGAGAAAGGCAAACAAACAAACAAACAAAAATCCTGGGGAGAACAGTTAAAGCATTTGGGGAATATTTGGCTTGTAGAAAAGAAGACCGAGTACTCTCAATTGTCAATATTAAAGATAATTATAAAGCAGAGAATTGAAAGTGGTTTTCCACCTTCACAGTAGGCACACTAGAGGGAACAAGCTCATATGAAATTCTAATGAGATATTTAGAACATCCTAAAATCAATGTGCTAGCAAACCAGGAACCTAAAAATAAATACCCAAAACTTATACATAAAGACCTAACAAAGACCTATAATAAATGTAATTCAATGGGCTAACAGACAGGCTCTGTAAAAAGAATATTAAGTGTCCCAATGAACCTGGATTATTAGGGAAAATCAGAAATACTCTATATAATATTTGCAAAGCAAGATGTTAGTGGAAGATAATGTAACCCTGGTATATTAACCTGGGTAGGAGATATCATCAGTTTAAGCAATGCATGTAGAAAAAGAAGACATTGCTAAAATAAGTATCTCAACACACTCTGAATCAAAATACTTTAAAATATCCTGGGAAAGATCATGGACAAGAAAAAGGTTATTTCATCATATATGATGAAATAATTTAGACAATGTACTAATAGGAAATCATGAGAAGAAAAGCAATGAATCACAATCTTCATTATAAGGACTCTATACTCAGTTGAAATGTAAAAATATCTGCACAATTTCAGGAGGTGGGTAATAGAAAAGGCACTAATAAAGAAAAAAGAATAAAAAATGAAGAATTTTAAAAGAAAAATTGACTTTATGATGTTTTAAAAAGATGTATGAATTCAGCATAAGTTTGGTTGCTTGAGGGTAGGAAAATGCTTTTATAATAACAAAAATGTACTATAAAAGCTCTGACGTTGACTATGGTTTAAAATAGACAACCATCTGGGTAGGATGGTATAGAAAGGGCTGTGTTTGAAGAAGTGGAAAATAAAAAAATATTCTCAAATCCATTTTAGTAATATGGTTCTTTATAAAAATCTTCTGCTACAATTATATTTTTATCAAATTCTCATTGCATTTTCACTCATTTTTGCTTTGTATATTTAATGGCCAAGTGTTTTAGATACCATAGGTGAAGACCCTATCTACTAACACATTGTGTCTTTCATCCCTATATAATGCCTCCCACTGCCCGGTAAAGGTTTTTGTTTTGTTTTACTTTTAATCAGAGATTCCACTTTGTCATTGCCTAGGTACTCTCTTCTAATCCTGTGATTTTAGTGATCATTCATATGTTGATGATTACCAAATTTACACATTAATCCTAATCCCTCTACTGAACTCCAGGATCCTATAGCTAAATGGCTATTTAACATCTCCCCTTGTATTTCTAAAAGTTATGTAGAATATAATGAACTCCTTATTTCCATTCCTTTCCAGATTCCTTTCCAGATTTTCTTATCCTTGTATGTATGTGGCACCATCATTCACAGTTTTCCAGATTACAAACCTCAAAGTTATTCTTTTTTTTGTCCTCACACCTTATATCTAGTTTGTAATCAAAAGTGTGTCACTTCTGTCTTTAAAGCAGATTGCAAATCCAATCACTGCCTACTTCCTTGCTACCATTCTAGGTCAAGATTTCATAACCTCTTTCCTGGAGTCCCACAGTAACCTCCCAGCCAGTATTTCTGCTACTGCTCTTGTCTCCCCACAGCCTGTTCTCCATATAGTATCCACAGCATTTTTATTAAAACGTCTATCTGAGTACGTTCTTCAAATAAGTAAATAAAGCTTCTGTCCCAGAGCTCTGCACTGACTCCTCCTCTGCCTAGCACACTTTAACTAGACATATGCATGGTTTATTTGAATACTTCATTTATTTCCCTATTCAAATTCTACTTCTGTAGAGAGCAATTCCCTGAACACCCTACCTAAAAAAGGAGCCCATCTGCCTCCATCCTCGCCACAGATTTATTTTCTCATTTTTTTATTAGCTGACATTATATAATGTCAGCTAATGATTATTGTCATTATCCCTAAGTTAAAAAAGATTTTGATCATTTTAATTACTGCTCCAGCTCTAGCAACCTAAAAGAAATTCAAAATTACGCTTACTGAATTAATAAATATTCGCATTGTTAGTGCTATATCCCTCTTAATCCCTCTTTCTTTTTTTTTTTTTTTTTTTTTTTTTTCCTTTTTCTTTTTTTTTGAGACTCCATCTCACTCTGTTGCCCAGGCTGGAGTACAGACACAATCTCAGCTCACTGCAACCTGTGAATCCCAGGTTCAGGCAATTCTTATGCCCCAGCCTCCCGAGTAGCTGGAACTACAGACGTGCGCTACCACACCCAACACATTTTTTTTTTTTTTTTTTTTTTTTTGGATTTTAGTAGGATGGAGTTTTACCAAGTTACCCAGGCTGGTCTCAAATTCCTGAGTTCTGCTTGCCTTGACCTCCCAAAGTGCTAGGATTACAGGCATGAGCCACCGTGCCAGGCCAGTCCTCTTTCTTTTCATTTGCACTTTTTTGTTATCCCTTTGTAAAGTTTCCTTACCACCTTAAATATACTAAAATATACTTCTTATAAGGAACATTAATATACTTCTTATAAGGAGCATTAATTTTTTTACTCAATAAGACACTCTCTTTTCTTCAATAGAAAAATTTAGTTCCTTCATGTTTAGGGGAATGAAGGAACTAATCTGTATTTGTTATTTAAATATCATTTGTGTTTACTGTTTTTTCTTTTACTTTGTTGTTACTCATTTTTCCCCTCTTTTGGGGAGACTGACCAAAGAGATATGGTCCTTTCTGTACCATACATTATAAATATTCCCAAATAAAATTTTGGAATGCTATTACACTTTTCCTAGCTTTCCTTCTCCCCTCTCCTAGGTTTGCTCAGATAATTTAGTTCTTTTTTTCAAGACAGTTATTAGAATCGGGTAATAGACAAGTATTCCCACACAGTATTTGTATTATCTGATAAAACAATATCCTCTTAAGTTTAAATTCACACAGACTTAAGAGATCCCTCTATAACTTCCCTTGCTTTCTATAAAGATGCTTGTATGACCTTGAGTTGTACAAGTGCACGACTAAAGTCATGCCTTCTATCTGCAAGGTTTTTAAAAGGCACGTAAAGCTTTTCATGTTTCCAGTAATATCACTAATCCCAGCTACTATCACATTACCACTTCATTGCTATAAGCTGCCTTTGAATGAATCCAAAGAAACTCTGAGAACTAATAACCCACCTTTATATGAAATATATTGATGATTATTGCCATATGCCTCTCATTTTCTTTAGTCACCATCAAAGTCTAAAATTACAGATTATAACCCAGATCATTATCCCTATTCTATAGCTCACTAAGCTCCCTATTTCACTAACTCTCCTATATGGTCTCAGTCTCCATTCATGTAGATGACTCCCTCAACAACCTGTGTACAGGCAATCTTGTATATGCACTCAGCTCCATATCAGCTTTTTACGGCTCAGCTATGTTTTGGAAACTATGTCTGCAAACTGAAATTTCCTGTCTGTCTTGTCATTTGACTTCAGGTTAGATTCTGTCAGCACAGAGGCACTATTGGCAGACTGGAATACAGAAGGAAGAGTGTTAGTCTGGATTCTCCATAGAAATAGAACCAATATGTTATATAAATAGATGGTATTATAAGGAATTGACTCACTAAACTATGAAGGCTGATGGTGTGAGAGACCCAGGGAAAGCCAGTGTTGAAGTCTGAAGTCAGTTAGTGGAGGGTCTGGGGAGGGTGGGTTTTTAAAATTATATTTATACCTTCAACTGATGAGGTCCACCCACATTATGGAGGGCAGTCTGCCTTACTCTACTAATTAAAATGTTAGTCTCATCAAACTCACCCTAACAGAAACACTCAGAATGTTTCAACAACTATCTGGGAACCCTGTCGCCCAGTGAGGCTGACATAAAACTAATGATCACAGTAAATGAGAAGCTGTTTTTGCCTGTTATTTTTGTTTTGTTCTGTTTTTGGTTTATTTTTGTTTTTCAGTTTGTGTTATTGTTTTTGTTGTTTTATCTTTTTTTGGCCTTTTAAGTAACAGCACCAATAGCTGGTGTGTGTGGAAGCCTGGCTTTTGTGGAGTGTGTCAGCAGAAGGCACGCCAGAGACTGCAGTAGAACGATATTCTTAGGATCTGACTCCAATCACAGTAGTGGATTTTCCATAGCCTCAACACTACGGCACTTGAGGACTTTGGCTCAGGTGGTCGCAGCAACATTGAGGGATGCTTTTTGACTCCTTGGATCTCCAAAGTCAGTGATTGTGTGGCTTGTAAATTCTTGTAAGGCAGCGCCATGATACTGACAACTTCATCATTTTACTTTAATTCCTCCAGTTCAGAAGTGGAAAATTCTCATATTCTTATTTTTGTTCCTTGAGTACTTCTATAATGTTGCCACCAGTTCCCCCTTCCAATAGACAGTAATTTTTGTTTTCTTGACTGGATACTGACTGAAACAGTCTGACTTCTCAGATTGTTGTTTTAATGTTTTCACATTAATCTTTCCTTCCTCCACTTCTTGGTCACTCAACCTCTATAGTCATATCTTAGATCATGCCACATCCAATGGGGGGATAATTCACGTGTCACCACAAATGTTACTCCTTAGAGCCTTCTTTCACCAAACTATCTGAAATTTACCTCCCTATCTTTCCCTATAGTTTTTATCGGTACTCAACATAGAAAAGATAAACATTTATTATTCATCTCCCATCTGTGCCCACCCCCAAATGTAATATAAGCTATCTGAAAGCATTATCTTTCTCTACTTGCTCATTTCTCTATCTTTAGCCCCCTAGAAGTTCTGAAATGGATTTAGTTTCTCAATAAATATTGATTAAATGAATGCATTGCATAATTCACAGCCAATTGCATATTTTGTCATCTTTCCATTTTTTTTATTATTCTTCCCTGTGTATTTTTCTCAGATGGAATGTGTACTCTTTTAATCCTTATATTTCCTGAAATAATTTTCTTACACCTAGAGAAGTGGGTATAGGATTCTTGATTTCAGGCTTTTCTCTCTGATGTCTATACATATTTTTCAACCATCTTGGAATTTCCAGTATAGCAGATACAACGATTGTTGCAAATGCATTAATTTTATTTTTTATATAATTTAAACTATTATTTTAGGTACTGAGGGTACATGTGCAGATTTATGACATAGATATAGTGCATGATGCTAAGGTTTGGGGTACAAATGATCCCATCATCCAGATAGTGAGCATAGTATCTAACAGGTAGTTTTTCAGCCCTTGCCCTCCTTCCCCTCTTTCTCCTCTAGCAGTCCCCAGTGCTTATTGTTGTCATCTTTATGTATCCAGTGTTTACCTCTCACTTACAAGTGAGAATATGCAGTATTTAGTTTTCTGTTCCTGCATTAATTCACTTAGGATGATGGCCTTCAGCTGCATCTGTGTTGCTGCAAAAGACATGACTGTGTAGTATTTCATGGTGTATCTGTACCATATTTTCTTTATCCAATCTACCACAGATGGGCACCCATCTGTGCCCATTTTGTAGAATGATTTATTTTCTCTTGAGTATATACCCAGTAATGGAATTGCTGGGTTGAATTATTTTCCATGAAAACTGTACTAGTTGTTGATTGCTGCAGGAAAAAAAAATTACCACAAACAGCATTTAAAAAATTTACCACAAATAGCATTTAAATAACACAAATTCATTTTCTCACAATTCTAGAGTCCAGAAGTCTAGGTAGGCTCAGCCGGTTTCTTCTCTATGAGTTTCCCAAGGCAGAAATCAAGGTGTTGACCAGCCCAGGCTCACTACTAGAAGCTCTAGGGGAGAATCTGCTTCCAAGTCCACTCATGTTGTATGCAGTTCAGTTCCATGTGATTGTTGGACTAAAGTACTGTTTCCTCCCTGGCTCTTGACCAGGAGTCAATTTCACCTTCTAGTGGACTCTTGCATTCCCTGGCATGTGGTCTTCTTCAGCTTCAAAGCTGGAAATGGCTGGTCCTTCCCATACTTCATCTCTCTTTCCCTTCTGTCTCATCTCTCCTTATAGTGCATTTATTTGACGCCAGCCCCACAGTTTTCTTCTTGTAAGAGCTCATATGATTTCAGACTAGGTCACCTGGATAACCCAGGATAATCTCCCCTAATTACATCTTTGAAGTCCCTTTTACCATCTAATGTAACATATTCACAAGTTACAGAGATTAGAACATGGACATCTTTGAAGGCCAAGCTGCCTACCTTTTGTAAATAGGCAGTACATAATTTATAAGTCAATTGGTCATTAATCTTTTGTTTTCCTACCGGAAGCTTGAACAAGTTTTTCTTTGTCTTTGGAGTGAAGTAATTTTAGCACTATATGCTGAGATGGTGGTTTTTTTCTAATATTTTAATCTCTAGACTCACATCTTTCCTCAAAACAGCATACCTTCTTTTCCTATTATTTGTTTATTATCTTTCTTCTATCTTTTGTTTTTCTCTCTTATGAACATCTATAGTATTGATTAGTTATTCCACATATATCTTCAAAGTCCATTCCATAGTGTGTTCTATTTCCATGAGCAAGTCTATTTAATTAGAGACCTATCTAGATTATTATTTGTTTTTCCCTTCTTTTATTATTGGCCCTCTTAGATGATTATTTTCTTTTATCTGCTTGTTGAGCAAGTGGTGGCAATTCTCAGGAAAGCAGAGGCGTCTTTGCTCCTGGGGGCCAGCAGTACACTGGCTGTGAAAACCTGGCTGAGGCACCAGCAAGAAACCTTTCTGACCCTGTTCTCAAATTTCCCACTTTCAGTAGATGGAGAGGCCTCAGCCAAGCTCTTTAGTTCATCCTTAACTCTTTGGAGCCCAGGCAGATTGGTAAAATTCACTCCAGCCGATGTCCACCTACACTGGATCTCCAAGTTTAAACAATTATCTGGTTCCGATTCATTCAGTCCTCACTCTAGTAACTTTATTCTAGTCTCAGGCTCTCCAGTTTCCCCAATGGCAAAAAATATCCCAACTGCTTCCTTCTTGGCACTTTTCTTGCCTGCCTCAGGAGGCATGAACAGGTAGAAGCTGATATTGGAAGTGGAGGAGGAAAAGGATGTCTTAAGCAGACTTCCTCCGGGAGTCTTTCTTGCACTTTGCCAAGTTTTCATGTTTTTTTCTACTACACTTTAAGTAGGGCACTCCTTTTTTTTTAAGTATGTTTAAAGATCCATTTTGTCTCCATTATTGATTTACTGACAAAATCCTTTTGTTTTATTTTGTTTTATTGCATTTGTAATGATTGCTTCCAGAATTTAACGTTATGTATAGTATAAAAATTAAAACAATACAATTCTATTTGCTCCATTCTGTCCTTTGTGCTACCATTATATTTTACTTCTATATATGTCTTATTTCTTTGATTAACAAAATGTACCTTTCTTGACTGCTTCCAGATTTTGTCTTCTCATTTTTAGGTGTCAAAGTGCCCTTAACAATTCCTAAGTTTTAAGATCTTATTTATGCCCCATTGGGTCTTCTGGTTATTTGTTAATAGGGGAGTAAAGTAATAGATGCAATTAAATTGTGCATTATCTGAAGTCCATTTTGACTTTGTTCATACCACTAGTGTTATACATGATTTTCCCAAAACATCATAAGATTCTTAAGATCAGGTACTAACCAAGTTCATCTCTGTAAGCATAATTATAATCTGATCTATACCAAGCATTTAATAGACATCAATAAATGACACAGGCATATCAGAAATATATTCTAGAAAAGTTACCTAAAAGCCCTGGAGACAGTAGGCATGATATAGTTAAACCAAAGAATACATATTAGTGTATGAATGTGGATGTTAATGCATAAAGGTACAACGGTTGGTCTTAATACAAGTTTCCTGAGAGGAATTCTTTGTATTTTCCAGTCAAAACAATTTAATTCTCAACTGAGATCCCAATCAAAAAGTGAGCTATTTTCCAAACAAAATAATTTTTTACACCCAAACTTTGTATTCCATATTTATTCAACACACATTATTATGTACTTTCTCAAGGCTGTCTGAAGATAAAACTGATTTAAAAGGAGTAGACAATTTAGAAAATAACAGTGGAGTCCATTTTCAGGCAAGCATAGCCCTCTTACCCACAAAAAAACACTGTTCTCACACTAAAAATTAAATAATAATAATAATAATTTATTGGTTCATATAATGAATTGTGTTCTCTAGTACTTACTTTTTATATATTAACTCAGTCTTTTCACAACAATTCTATACAATATTATTATCTACATATTATGGATAGTAAACTGAACTTAGAGCAGTTAAATGACATGAAGTTATACTTACTGAATTGATTAATGAAAAAGGCATAATATGAGCCCTGGACTGCGTGGTTCCAGAGTTTTGTTATGCTTACCATTATTCCAAATGGCAAGCACATCTTAAAGCTTACCAAAAAAAAAAAAAGCAACTCCCTGAAGTCACTCTGGTGTGACAACAACTATCATTAAGAGAGTAATTAAGGAAGTTAATAAGAGGTGAAAGAAAATAAGGTAAATGTATTAAGAACAACCTAGATAGCACGCACTTGGTAAATGGAAAGGGTTCAGCACAAACTAAAATAGAATGGAGGCCATTTATTATTGATCGTTAAGCTATCTATTTTTAGTCAAGGCTTCTTACCTATCTTCCATAAGAAGGAGTCAACAGTTAACTTAGTGAACAGCCTGCCCTGACCTAGAAGAGATTGCACTCAATTGCTGCTTGAGAGTACAGGTGAGAGAGCCCCCACCAGTTAAGTCATGGCCTCAAAATGCACCATTCACAACAATGATAGATTTGAGCTCTTTGCAGTGATAAAAACCAGAATTAGAAGATAAGGCTCTGGGAAGAGGAACGTTTGAGTTATTAAAGGCAAAGCTCCCAGTGCAGATAACGCACGAGACTAAAAACATCCAGAATGAGACATACAATTTTACATTTCATCTCAGCCCCAACCTGCAACTGGGTCAAACCTACCTGCTACAATGTCATATATAATTTTGTTAATATATACAAAATAAATATATAGGTGTATAATATTCTCATTCCTGAATGGGTGACTGCTTAATTAAAAAGCAATATTAAAAAACAAAATAATATAAAACAAAAATTATATTACGTAAGAATATATTTCAAATATAAAAGAATTTAAATAAATTATGTTTTGTAAGACTTCAATATTAATTATTTCTTTTATAAAAATGCATTTTATTTTAGAAAATATTTCAAGATAATCTCATGAAGAATGTTGGATTTGAGTTAAGAATATACTGTGGAGTTTGCTTCTTTACAAAACATTCTTAAGTGTTATCTTTGACACAAACCCATACAAAATAATTTTGTTGTTACGTAATTCTAAAACAAAATTTAATTAGGAAGTTGAATACAAACTCTTATGTTACCCTCTCAAAATACCTAAAAGTCATAATTAATCTACTTACTTAAAGAGGTCCTGTATATCATTACAAAGGCACATTAACTGCAAATTATTTATTCTGTGCTTCTTAAAATGCGCTTCTTTTAAAATGTTAACTATACATTTGGCAGTACAAATTTTTCAAGCTTTGGCATGTTTTATAAGGAAAACATTAATTTGAATGAAAGGAAATATTGAGACTGCAAACTTTTCTACCACCTGGTAAATGTCAATTTGTACAACAAAATATTATCAGAGAAAAAAAGTCACATGGCAGGAATAAATAATGCTTAATATCCCATATACTCCCTATGAATCTCATTGCTGTGCACAGTTACTGGAAAAACTTAATTAGCAATGGCATTCTGTGCTGAAATCATCTAACACTTTCATCCATTCCTGTAATTCAAACATTAGCATTCAAATCAGCCCTCAACTTGCACTTTGGTATTTATTCAGTGAATACCAATTAAATTGTCCCAAATAATCATTTTCATTTCCCGTAGATTGTATACCTAATATCTAAGAGTCCCATGAAACATACGATCATTTGAGATGTTGGGATTCTACATTTTCTAGGGGATTTTTTTTTTGAGGTAATGATAAAACCAGTCTTTCTATTGTCAAAAGAAATGTCTCACTCTCTTGAGCACTGTCTTTGTGTCTATGCAAAAAACATTAGTAAATCATGTCATTAGCCATAAATTTGGGGTCAATATACTTTGCCATTTAATAATTTATAAAAGGTGACCATGCCCTATCCTGTGCCCTAATGTACAAACATGGATTTTCTTTATTTCAAAATAATGGAAAATTAACAGATTTTCAGGAGAGGATCAGGATTCAGGTCAGACAAAAGTAAAATAGAAATTTCAAGAAAAAAAATCAAAGAAAGAAATAGAAAAAAAAAGTTAAACATCCTAAACAATAATGGGAAGAGAAAAACATGATGGCACTTATGATAATGCTCTGAGTATTTAACCAGTTTGTTTGTATGCTCCATGCAGTTGCTAGTTCTGTAACCATGGCACTAGCTCAAACTGGGCCTGCTCTGTTGATAAAATGTCAAGTTATCATTTAGGTATAACAGAGCCAAAAACTGTAAGTCATAGTCAGGGCATGTGCCCTAGAAAAAGCTTTGACCTCTAACAACATCCTGAACCAAAAGACTGGGACAAAATTAGAATCTGAATGCTGAAAACTTTCAGAAGTGAGGGATTCCTTCACTTGGAAGATGCACGGCTAAACTTTGCCTCAACGTAGCTTACTGTAAATGACCACATTTGAAGTCCTCTAATCAAACTCTGTCAAGTAAACATTCCTAAATCCTTTATCTTGCCCTCTAACCCCTTAAAACTTGCTTCAGGTCCCAAATCAGGGAAACTGATTTGAACCTCTCTCTTTGATGGCCAATTTTTCAATAAAGCCTTCTTTTCTCAAAAGCCAGTGCCATAGTTATTGTCTTCTCTGTGCATCGGGCAGCAAGCCCATTTTCTTTCTAACAGTTTCAGTAATTTTATTACATTGTTCTGCTCTCACAAATTCTAAAAAAAAGCAAAAAAGGGAAAATGTTCAAGGCATAAATTTGGGGGTTATATGGAGACAAAATTGGCCAAAATTTGGTTTATCATTTCTATAAGGTATGTGCGTGTAATTTACAAAAATTATATCCAAGGGTATTTTTTTAAATTAAAAAGTTGCAAAAGTTTTACTACTCAGTCATATCTTTTTGCCAGAAGCCATTTTCACAGATTTACACTCTGGCTTATAACTGTAAAAGTCCTTCTTATGACCTCACACAAAACTTAACTGAAAATAAGAGTTTTAAAATAGTGTTCTTAAAATACATGGTTTGAAATGCTTAACTTATAATATATTTAAGTATCTCCACTTGATAAGGGTATTGTTATTCCAGAATGCTATTTTCTATCAATTGCAAATATTAGTTAAACATCTAGTATTATCCAACTACCATAAGAGATGCTGGGCATAAAATGGTAAGAAAGGCAAATTGAGTCTTTGCGCTCATGAATTATAAAAGTCTAGAAGAAACACTGATAATTAAAGAATCATTATATATTTCACAGGTTTTAGAATGTTGAAGAAGCATAAACCTTGACCATATTCCATAATTTAGACAGACTACAAGAAAGTGTCATAGAGAAGCTACAATCAAAAAGTTGAGACTTGAATGATGAGTAGGAGAAAGTGGGGAAGTAGAACTTAATATGAGACTCATTTGAATAAGGATCAAATTAATTATGCAGATTATATTGAATATTACATATAATTATATTTTGCATTTTGTATTAAATTTTATTTCCTCCTTTTACATTTCTCACTTTTTGTGACTTCGTCTTATTTTGTTTTCAAAAATTATACATAGCCATTATGAAAATTTAAACCATAGCAGGAAGAATAAGGAAGAAAGTTGTTAGTCAATTGCCAGATCTTCAGACAAAAGCACTTTCAGTAATTCATTTACAATGTAAGAAAAACTAATGTGAAAAAAAACAAAAAACTAGGAACCAAATATGACAGTGGCAATTAACACCATTAGACCATGTTGTAATTCTTCATCCAAACTACAGTACTTATCTTCTCACTGTCCACTTCCCAAGTAGCTATTTGCCGTTAGACTTTAACCAGTAAATAGAGTTCAAGAACTTAAGCATCCAGTGTTTAAATAGGTTTTAATCGATGCATAGGAACATTCCAAGTACTTTTGAATTAAGCATGTTAATCATGTTTAACATGATCATATTTTTAAACAATAAATGAGTTTATTTTGTCTTGAAATAAGACTGAGAAGGTGAATTGATTCAATTATTATTATGACATTGAACTAAAACAGGAAATTATAACATTGAACTAAAACAGGAAATCAGTTAACATAATATAGTTTCTTATGTTAGAAACCCATGAAATAATATGAAAATATATAAACACATGTAAATTTAAAAATATTAAAGTTTGAAGTAAAGTAGTTGCAAAATAAATCTATCTGTAAAATTAGAAACACCAAATTCATTATAAATGATAGTGCTTATTATTGGTTAGAATATGTTGATAATTAAGCTAAAGTCATGCATTTAATTCCCGGATGCTCCAGTTTACTCTGCTTTGTTTTAGAGACGCAGAATGAATCACAATTCCCAGCTGTCTTGGAAGTGTGTATTATTGATGAAGAGGGGTACACTGCCAATATGTGGACAGATTAGTCCAATTCCATTACAATGACCGAAAAAACAATTCTGAGCACATTTCCCATAGAGAGTGGGTCAGCACAGCAGCTTAATTTTTATTTCAGTTTGGCACTAAACATGTGTCTCTTGCAGAC
This sequence comes from Homo sapiens, assembly GCF_000001405.40. NCBI lineage: Eukaryota > Metazoa > Chordata > Mammalia > Primates > Hominidae > Homo > Homo sapiens. Next base: position 311,543 of record NW_025791754.1, read on the forward strand.
AGATGCATATTGATAGTTCTTTGTAATGGTGAAGGGAAAATCTTTTTAAAAAACCATGTAACAGCTTTCTAAAACAGGTAATTTTAAGACTGTAAGATTCCTGAACAATATAGCCAATTTATCCAAATCTTTCAGGCTCAAATTACAATGTACATATTACAAGTTCTGATTTAGTAATGTTAATTTCTGACATGTCCTATGGTTCAATATTCAGAAAGTGGTAAAATAAATGATGGAATCTATTCATATGAGAAATATTTCTCAATAGTCCAAAAAATAGTTCACTTTTATCTTTACAGAACAGTTACTTCCCTCTCTGTGGCCTAAAATTATTCCCCTATTTACCATGCCCCTGGTTTTTATCTGTCATGTTACACTAAGATCAAATTTTAAAAGTACTCTGAATGAAGTAAAACTGGAGCCATGGGCATGTCGCAATGCTGTGTGTCATTGAAAGCATTAAATGTACCAAGAGAGCGATGCTACCATTATCTTTAACTTGGTGGAGATAATGAGAGACTCAAGTATTAGAAATAGGTATGAAATACTGAAAACTTGAATACAGTGGTGAAAGATGTTTTCTTATATTTTCTGTTAATATATTTTAGGCACAGTGGTTCCCTCTTATAGTTTTATTAAAAGGATACTATGTTTAGATATTTTTAAGTAATTTAGTTTTTGTGGACTCACATGAGAATTTAATCATCTTTTATAAAGAAGGCATTTGAAATGGAAAAAAAAAACTAAAACTTTTGAGGTGTTAACATTATTTGCCATGCTATTTGCTTAACACTTTATATCTAATTTAATCCTCACTTCAAAATAACCTTATAGAGTGATTAATATCCTCATTTAATGATGTGTAAAAAAGTTGTTCAAGGGCTCTAAACTAGGATAACCCTAGGTTTTAAACAACTAATGTACATGTGGACTTTTATCACTTAGTACCAAGAGACTTCTTTTTATTCCAGTCTCCAGTTGTTTTTTCTTTTTTGTGTGATAGTATGATATTCAGCTGGATATACTACTACCCAGCTAGACAATGTTTTTGCAGGCCCCCTTTCAGCCATGTGTGGATATATAACCAAATTCTAGCCTAAAGTACAACTTGTGTCTTATTTTTCTAACTACAGGCTGGACTTAGGACGTACTTGCAAGAACAGGGCAGCCATCTTGAACCATAGACAGAAACCATGTTTTGAAAAATGGAAGGAACAAGATATAAGGAAAATTATTCCCCAGCAGTATCAAGCTGGGGAAACAGTCTTAGACAGACTACCTAGACATTTCTATTTGTTTAAGTTGCTGTATTTTTGTGGATATTTCTATTTTACATTGTGTATGGTGTAACACTTTGTTAAAACAGCCTGCATGACATACTATGACTAAGATATAACTAATATATAACATTGTTTATATGTTTCTTGGTAATTAGACCTTTGATGTTGAACTTGAATGAAACTTATTCGATTTTATGATGATGATCATAAGTTATGAAGACAGTTTGCTTGTAATGCAGAGAAGAATACACAAAGAAATCAAACCTGTTTATCCATTTGAGTTATTATAATTTAAGAATATATTATGATACATGTGATTAAACAATAAAATTGTATGTAGTTAAACTTAATGTTATGTAATTATTGCACATTAAGGGACATATCCACTACTGGTGACAGTTGTAATATTAGATAACATCTCAAAACCACTACTCGGTTATTTAAAACTAAAACACACACACAAGACACACACAAAACAACAAAACAATAACTATTATACCAAATAAAACAATGAAATAGAAATAATTTCAATAATGAATACATTATATAGTGGAAATTTCATATAAATAATGAATAACCCTTTCTCTAGCAATGCTGCATCCTTTCGCATAAGAAAATGGTGAAATTTGTCTAGGTGCCACCTATACTACCCAAAAAATAGAAGTACTAGGCAGAAAGTAGGAGTGCATAGAAAGCCAACTACAGATGAAGATTTATTGTGATGAAGATGCCTCCAGAACAAAAGTACTGCTAAATGTCATCATGTAAAAATAACGTGTCCTTTTTCTCACACTAACATCTCAATTATCCTTTGTCTAAATTTACTTTAAGAGACTCCCACATTATATTTAGTAATCATTAATTTTAGTATTTGTAATTTTCCAACAATTGAAAAATTATCGTATGCATACCATACATACATAATTTTTTTAAAAATTTTAAGTACTTTCCCTTAAGTTAGATGAGAAAACACTCCTAAGTTGCCCAAATAATGTTATTATATTGAAATCCAGAATTTTTAGTGACTTTAGAAGGGAAATAATTGCAATGAGTGTTTCATATTAATGCAGTTAGATAATTGCTAGGTGAATCATAAAGACAGTTTGCGAAAGGTAAAAAGACACTAGGCGATAAGATGGCTATATCGATCTTAGAGGTTATTTTATATTTAAAAGCATTAAGTATGCTAAAATAGGTCTACTGTTTTTAAATGATAAAAGTATGCAATAAAACATATTTGAAAACCATTTCGTAGAGTTACTAACCACATACTATTGATACAAAAACTTGTCATACCTATGTATCTATATTTACATGCATACATGTATAGCCATATTTATACCTAGCTCAGTTGTACTAGTGTATGTGTGCATTTTTCCTTTTTTAGTACTTCCTAATTAGCTTTTTCTCTTTCTCAATAGGGTCAGACCCAGGTCACAGCACAATTACACATATCTAAGATTCCTGCAACAAAAACATATTATTCTACCTCATTTTTTGATGTTCACATTTTTTCTCTCATTAAGGATCTGAATGAATCCATATGTCCGGTGTCATATTTCATGTTGGATTACTCTATAATTGTCAAAGTGTGACCTTCCAGAAAGGGAAATTACTGTTTTTATAATAAAGCATATTTTATATGTTTTTATAATGAAGTGCCAGGTCTTGCCTTGCACTGTCCATAAATCTGCCCTGGCTTTCTGCCTGACTGCACACTAAGAATCATGCACAGAAAGCAGAGGCAGAAGCAGTGATTGGTAAGGACAGTTTTCTCAACAGTGTTTCTGCTTTGAAGAATGTAGAAAGATGAGGGCACTTCTGTAACAGTAGTTTGAAGGAAAAATTCTTGTTTGACAACTATGGGATGCAATATAAATTCTCATAGTTTGGCTGTTTACAGCAGTTGGTAAAATGCCAGAGTTGCAGTATATATCAATAGCAAATGATGTATGTGCTTTATTATTTTTTAAGACTGAAGAAAGAGTGTTACTTTTTCTTCTGTAGGCGATCTGTTACATTTTTTGGTGAATATTTGTTTATTTATTTATTGACAACTATTAATGAAAGTTATTTATAATATGGTTTCCTTTAGAAATTATAATTAAATGAAACATAACACAAATTCTGATATGTACAATCTTACCAGGTGAAGATAAGGCATAGTAATGTAGATATTAAAATCAAAACTTGATTAAACATTGCAGACTGTGTACGCTGAATGGCTCTGTGTAGATCATTCTAAAATAATACAGAAAAAAAGTTGTAAATTTTGATAAATACTAAATATGCATGAGTTTCATTACATTTATTAGCATACATTTCATGTCAACTCTCCTGTACACATACATACATATGTAAATACATGTATTTCAAATGGAAATATAAGCATATTTCCATTTTTGCCTAGATCTGATTGTAACTTACTAAAGCTTGCATAGTTCAAAGATATTGCTGTAGGAAGACTACCAAAGCACTAAATTTCAGTTTACTTGCATTACAGACATCTGAACAGGTGTTGCACTTACTCCCCCAAACCCCTACATGTTAAGCATGAACTTTTATGGAAAATCCTAATTTCAAAAGATCAGAAAATAGTATGTTTAATTAAGGAAGAGGGAATAGATGAGTGAAATTACAAACAAAGCTCATTATCAGGAAAATTAACATCAATTAGCCCAGACAGTTTATTTTGAAAAGAAAAAAAAATAAAATAGCCAATAAACAATTTTTTTCTAAGTTTAATTTCTTATAAAAGATATTATGGCAATGAGCCATTATTTGTGTACCACTCATTTTGTCCACCACTCATTTAACCAGAACTGTTATGAAGACAAATAACTAAGTTGACTGATTTGGATTTCATCTCTCACCCTTTAGTCTCTAATGGCAGAGGTATTAATGAACAGAAAAGCAAATACAAGTTTAGCATCTGGCGAAAAGAGATATGGAAATAAAATGGAAAATGAATCATAAATTAATATTGCAAAACAGGCTTTGTTACTGTCAATATTTGTTTAATGTATCCTGTCTTGTTTGAGTTATTTTTTTCCAACAACTAATAACACAGAAATTAACAAATAAGTTTATTTTTTTCTGGTGTATTTTTATTCATTAGCAATTTAGGCAATCTATATTTAGTCAAACAGTATTTCATCAGGGCAATTAAGACAGCCCAATGTTTCTGCAAGTCATTTCACAGGCCACACTCTCCCACCCTTTGGCAATGTATTTTCATAAGACTCCAGTGGTTACTCGATATAAATGTTTAGAAACATTCATCTAGTTGTGAATACTAAAACGTTATCCAAATATTCCTTTAGGCCAAAACTTTAGTCATAATGTCATTTTAAAACCCATTTAAATGGAAAATAACTTTGCCTCCAAACAAGTATAATTTTCAATGCAGTAAAATTAATAATATTGAGCCCTTACTTTGTTGTGCCAGATAAAATACTATACATACATATTATGCATATGTATCTGTGTACATTTTGTATATATGTATGTATATATAATTTCATTTGATTATCATAGCAAACTTGTAGGTGCTTTTCTTTGCAGATGAAGATAATAGCAGAGAAGTTAGATCATTTGCCCATCACATTGTTCAGTATATAGTGAACATGTATTAACATTTGTGGTATGAATGACTCAATGGAAATGCCTTACAGCTAGCTTTGAAGTACTAAAGCCTGTGGTAAAAATGTTTGGGGTTTGGGTCATAGTTATAAACCATGCCACCAAGCAGGGTCAGCCTTGGGTATAATGCAACTGGGGCACAGCTCTGAGTTCTCCATCTTTTATTCTACCTCTTGCTTCCTTTTCTCCTAATATCCCACTCACAACCCCGCTCAAGCAAATCCAGAAGGATGACTCTAAATGAGGGGCTTCTGGCTCCCACATAGAATCTTAGGAAACCCCACAGATGTTCACTGCATATGAGACTACCTACAATTAAGAGCAGTTTGACTAAATCACTTACTTGAGCCCTCAAAAGCCAGGAGTCCCATTATGCATCAACAAACTGCCTTGGGAGGGAAGGATATTTGTACTCTGAAGATTGGCTAAGTGGTTGAACCAGTCCAAAAACCAATAAGGTTTTTAGTGACATTGAGAAATTCTGAACCATTTTTCTTTACCAGTCATAGGACCCTACAAAGGTAGTAACTTGGCAATATGGACATTTTACAAGTTTTCATTCTGAGTAAGATACAGCAGACTGGTCATTTAAGGTCTGTTAACTTTCAAATTTACACTATGCATCACTTTAACTATTTAACAGTATTTTACCACAATGACTCATTAAAAAAACATTTAAATGAAACAATTTACTATGACCTAAATTAATTTAAAAGATGTTTAAAAATGAAACATTTGGAAATTTAATTACAGCTTAATTAATTCCAATAGTATGAGTTAAACGTTATGGGAGAATGCAGAATTAGAAAGTTCAAGACTAGATCCCAAATTCTCTCTCTCTGTTTAATCTAAACATTGAAAATAAGAAATGGTTTAAAAATATTTTCATATTTGCACTTTAATTCTATACTTACAATCATATTTTCCAAGGCATGTTTGGCAAGCCAACAGTTCAGAAAGACTGGGACAAATAGATTCCTTAAGGAAGGCCAGAATATCTGGAAAACAAAACAAAACAAAACTAGACTTTTATCTCAAAGCAATAAACCATACCCAGTATACTAAAAAGAAATGGAAAAAAAGCTGTTAAAGAAAGTATAATAATTTAAAATATGACAAATAATGTAAACTCACTCTTAATAAAATGTAAGGAATTGATATGTTCTTTCATTCATTGTCTAAATCTTTCTTAGGGAAATTATTGCAGAAGCAAAAAGAAAATAATAATCTTTCACCAGATGGCAGATATCTATGCTAATTATATCATTGAATCTTTTAGTGTGATGGTTTGTAATAGACATTGACTTCCTTTTCTCTGTAACTTGAGGTATTAAGTAGGAACAAAGAGGAAAGGTACTCTCTTTTTTCATAATATTGCCTCTTACTCTCTTTATGTTAAACCACTTTAAGCGACATTGCGGAGCTATGTTCAATTAGAATTATATTTAGTTAACCTGTCATTTAATCTAGTTCCAGTTGCTTCTCTAGATAAATCACTCAAATTAAAATAATTATCAGAACAGAGCGACAGCTCCAAGTAATATCTACTTATTTTCAAAATCCTCCAAATAAAATTCAAATGAAGTAATACAAAGGATAATCCCAACAGACATTATTATAACTTTATTAAATTGCGATTAAAATATAGTTTTGCAAAAGGAAAGTGCTGAGTAACATATTTATGGGACTGTAGTTGAATAGGATCATCATGGAACTGATAACACAGAGCAGTTTGAAAAGAAGCAAAATGTTGGGTGCCTGACTTTTGACAATCTCCTTACTAAAAACAGAACTAGACTTAATAAATCTTGTGGTTAAACCACAGATAGATATTTTCAACGTATGAAAAACTTTTGTAAATATGTTTCCAATTGGCTTATTTTTTTAAAAAAAATCCACAATATAAACAATAAGTGGATAAGTAATTTCTAGTAATTTTAAACAACAATGACATTTGTCAAATGGCATCCCCAGAACATATATCTCTTTAAAATATTTTACTCTGCTATTGTATGAAATCATTAGTTTCCATTTAGTTACACAACACGATCCAACCAATTTTATCTTGTTGCTTAGTATCATGATTCTAACCAAAGTCTAAATCCATTTATCTTAGCTACCATATTATTTAACAGTATCTAGGTTTAAATATTTTACTTAAGTCTAATTACAAAAGTGTTTTTTTAAGGTTCTTTTAGGACTTACTGAGATAATGAAGGGAACTGCATTAATTATTTCCAAGATGAAGGGTATTCGTAAAATCTGTTCCCAGATGTTTCCCTTCCAAGAAAGAATGAATAAAAACGAAAGTCAATTATACTGCCTCCTATTAAAGGGGGAAAAAGACAGCACTTAGAATTTCTCTAGCAATAAGGATGCTTCCATTAACAGAATACTGAATATTATATAGAGATGTAGCAATGACTTTTAGAGATTATTTTTCTTAGGGTAATTGTGCTCTCTCAATTTTGTAAGTTTAAGAAGTAAAACAAATGTTTGTAGAAACCAGGAATATTGCACATAACATTTTTTATCAAGTAATATGTCATGGAAGAAAAGTACTAGTAAAAATAAAACACATTAACAAAACCTACAGTCAATTAAAAAGTGACAATTTGAAGTTTTACTTACTATAATAATGATATTCACTAACCATCAAGTATATTAGTTTGTGAAACGTACCCTTGTTAACAATCATTGGTATTAAAATTGTTTTCACTTTAATACAATTTAAAGAAAGGACTTTTTCAATCATCTAGACTCTAATCTCCCTACCCTCATAATACAAACATATTAAACAGGACTGAGTACATAATTTGCAGGACCCAGTGCAAAATGAAAAATATGAGGCCTCCTAATAAGACATTAACAATTTCAAGAAGGTAACATTAGAACATTCAACTAATCACGAGGACCTTCTGGTTGTGGAACCTTGTGCTGACCCTGATATTATGCACAGAATACGTGTCCATGAAGCTGACCCTAACATTAAGAGGTCACCACTGAAACTTTCTTGATTGGTGTCTGACGATAATGAGCACAGACTTTCCTAAAGCAGTTTATTCTTCTATGAAGAGATCTATGTATTAGAAAGGCAATTTGAAATCTGCTATACTGTAATCTCCAATTATCCATTATAACACTGACTATAAAATTGGGACTCTTTCTTAATTTTCCTTAAGGCCCCAAAGGTTTAAAAACTGCACTGATGGAATATACTTGCACATCCCAAAGGAAAGTTGTAGAGCAGCTATTGTCTCCATATACTAAGAAATTAAGTAATAGGTTTTGTGAGCATAGTTTATCACCCTCATCCAGGCTACATAAAAACAGTAAAGGAGTGGGAAGTTAGAAGAAAGGGAAGCAGTGAAAATGCCTCCTTATAGAGATGTTACAGGTGCTGTGGTGCATCTCATCACCTCAAGTTAAGTGAAAAGGGCTCCAGGGAACCAAACCACTTAACTTGGCTCCAACATGGAGACTGCATTTGGCTACTGCCCAGAACTTTTTAAACTGAAGAGATCAAAGAAAAAAAGGATGACTGGATAATAACAGGACACAATCCCTCCTATTTTAAGGCAAAAGTGCCTATTTTCTGGGAACCAGATATAAACCCTAAAGAATGGAACCTATGGTCATTTAAAAATGGTTTACACTCAGTAAGACTGTGTAGCTGAAGGTGAAATGGGACTTCAACAGATGGTGGGCCTGAGAAGCCCAAGGTCTGTGTCAGAGCCCTAGTCTGTAGCCTGACACACTGAGGCCTCCAGGAAATTCAAAGGCTCCAGATAGGCCACAAAAGCTTTACATGGGAGAAAGGGCCAGAGCTTGTGTCTGCCATGAGGAACAACCAAACACCAGACAATAACTGTGCCAGTCAGGCAACTTCAACCCAGAAACTGACTGCACTTCATTCCCTGTTCTTCCTCAGCCTTAAAGGGCATCAAATAAGAGAGGAAGTAGAAACATCAGATAGGCCTCCCATGATAATTCCCTGTGCCATGTAGGTCTGAGTTGAGGATAGGGAGAAGCCATCTTAAAGGAGAATTTTAAATTTTTGCATATATTGACCCTAATTTCTTTCTTTCTTTTTTTTTTTTTTTTTTTTTGAGACAGAGTCTCGCTCTGTCACCCAGGCTGGAGTGCAGTGGCACAATCTCGGCTCACTGCAAGCTCCGCCTCCCTGGGTTCATGCCATTCTCCTGCCTCAGCCTCCCAAGTAGCTGGGACTGCAGGCACCCACCACCACGCCCGGCTAATCTTTTTTTTATTCTTTTTTTAATTTTTTTTTTGTATTTTTACTAAAGACGGGGTTTCACCGTGTTAGCCAGGATGGTCCCGATCTCCTAACCTCGTGATCCGCCCGCCTCGGCCTCCCAAAGTGCTGGGATTACAGGCATGAGCCATTGCGCCCGGCCCCTAATTTCTTAAATACTAAACTGTGATTTGCCGTATGAATGAAAAGACCAGAAAAGCTATAGAACCTCTCTGAGATGTCATCTGATTAGCATGGATGAGACAGAGGATGCACGGTTTTGAAGAAGTGTAGAAAGAGTGGTCTTTTCCTACTACCACTGAATCAGGACTATTTAACAAAAGAGTTATAACTAGTCATAGTTATGCCATGTTTTTTTTTAATTGTGCAGGTGAATAATATCATTTCTTTCATCAGTTTTTACACGGCATCATTTCCAGAATGTTATCCTTTGCCTTTCTCTTCCACTATTGTATTTTCACTTTTCATTTTACATTTTTTTTTGGTATCAATGATTGTCCACAAGAAGAGATTGATCTGAGTAGCAAGAAAGGAGGGTTATGGGACCAGTTGCTGCTAGTGATATGAAAGGCTATTTCTGTTAATGCCCAGCAAAATTCGTATGAACTGTGGCAGATTGTATAATTTAGTTCATGTAAACAAAAACCTTTTATCTCTCTTATGTCTCTCTTCTCTTCATTTCCATTTATAACACATTAGCCTTTTATGATTTTTATTTAATTATCTGTCTAGGTTGGGTTTGTTTCCGATTTTTCTTCCACATTAAAGCCAGAAGAATCTTTCTAAAATGCCAAATTCCCATTGCCAACATAATAAAATCCAAACTCATCACTGTATTATATGAAATTTCACAGTTTGAACTCTGGCTACTAGCTTGGCTTGTAATTTTGATATTTCTATTCCTATCCTGAACTCAACCAAAGATTAATCCACACTGAATTTTATATCCATCTCTGAACAAGCTAGGCTACTTTATGCTTGTAGACTTTTGCCCACATCTGTCCCTCTGGCTGGAATATTACACCTCCACACCTTCAATACTAATCTCCTTGGCAAGCACTTGTAACATTTCAGTGAACTAATTTTTTAAAATGCTTGTTGGGGCTCAATTAATATCACGAATGAGTAAATGATACTCCCAGCTATTTCATACACACTCTTCCCCTTCTGTGATATAGTTATTTTATTTTTGGAGCTTAAATATTTACATTTCTTTCCATTGGATCCAAATGATCTCATTTGAAAGAATGATATTGTTTAAAACCTTTATACTTAAAGTAATCATGTAGAAATGATTAAACTTGTAACTGCTGAGCCAATTGAAATTTTCTGGAGGAAAGGATTCAAGAGTTCTTGTTTCTATACCCATGTTAAGTAATTTCATCCATGTTTCAGCTTCAACTTATAATAAGCTAATGACTAATAATCACTAATAAGCTAATGACTTCCAATATTGTATCAATAGCTCGAACCAATATTTTATCTCTTGAGATTCTGACTCAGATCAACTGCTTAATCCACTGATTCACATCAGCGCCTCTAAAGCACTTTATATATAGTATGTCTAAAGCAAAACTTATGATTTGTTCCCTGACTTATCTCCCAGTAACACAAACCAAAAATCTTGGAGAAACTTTTTACATTTTCCTTTCACACTATACTATACTTATAATTATACTATAATTTATCAATAAGACCTACTAATTTGTAAATAGATCTTGAGATTTTCTAGTTTTTATTTCAGCTCATTTCTCACTTTTTGACTTGTTAAGCCTAGTTAGCCACCATCCCATCATTCTTGCCCCATTCCAATTCACCTACTGCACTATTACCAATCCCCTGCACCTTTACGCCAGACCAGGCCTACTCTTCAGAACTATTCAGATACTTACAAAACAAAGACAAAAATGTGATTATATCATGCAAGGCACTATTTCATTTGTCTCTTGTTGACTTCTCCAACCTTATTTTAAAGATCATTCCTTCCATGGACGGAATATATAAAGTATATTCACTGCTTAGAACATGCCTTAAGTATACTTTTGCATATAACTCTTAAAGAGGCTTGGAAAAGCTTTACCTTTCTTTACAACTTCACTTTGCCAAGTTAACTCATACCTGCCTTTCAGCTCTCAACCGAAATCTGGGTTTTTAGAGACTTTCCTTGCCCCTTCATCATATACCCTCTAGGCAGGATCTGACCCCCACATTAGGCTTCTTGATTCTCCATCAATTTCTTTCACATTTTTTTCCAGTTTGTATTTATATACTTAAGACATTACAACACTTTAAACTCTGTGAGGTCAAGATCAGGACCAGTGTATTTCAGGATTGCATGCTCTACTCCTAGCGCAGTGCTTGACAGTCTGAATCTCCTAAATAAAAACTGTTGGTACATTACGTCAACCATGGATTGTTGACTCACACCACATGTATGCATATATGTGTATGTTTGTGTGAGTTTTGTGACACATGAATGAACTTCCCACAGAGGACTAATTTTCATGGTCTAAAATTGTACAGTGGGGCAATGTATTTATTGCTAAAAATAAATGCGTCTCTTTTCAGTTATATGCATTGAGTTTAATTCTAAGATTTCAGGTTGTCTTCTAAACTATGAGATACATCCATAAATTATCTTTCTTAAAAATAGCTAATGAAACATAAATATAGAAAGGATCCACAAGTTTCATTGGCCAAAAAGGAGTCCCAATAAGCATAAATCACAAAAACCTAAGGATAAATGCTAGTATGGTGAAAAAAAGTATGCTTTCATACAATGTCACTATGTAAGAAAACTAAGAAATAAAATTGAAAGGCAAGCACAATGCCTTTCAAAATTGTATTAAATACATTTTTCATTTAATCTTATTTTCATGAAGGAGATAAAAAGCATTATTCTTCTTCCAAAAAGTAACTTCTTTAGTTTCTAAGTAGTAGCTGTATCTCAGTGGCCAGTCCTCTCTATGTTCCTTTTATTATTGACAGAATTCAATAAAATATAAAGAAATCTCAATCCAATTAGTCTACATTTAGCACGGACACATCATTTTTAACCAATAATAATGCAGAAAAATATGCGATTTTCTAAAATGCATCGCACTTTTATTTTTATCATAAAGAAACATGGAACCTTGGAACTACTATCTGTGCAACCCTAAAGAGCACTTTAAAAATTATATTAGTTATAGCAGTTCATTTGTTGCAAGCCCCAATTCAGCCAAGGAACATTTTGTAAATACTTTTTGTTCTTAAATGTTAAGAATACCTGTATTTTAAAATATTTAATAAAAGGTTTGGTAATTTGTCTTCTTTGGATGAATTTAAAATAGTGTCGTAACGCTATGGCAGTCTTTGTATTTCTACATATAAACCCAACAATATTTAGATTTACCATTTTCAGAACAAGATAAGCAGAATCAACAGTATCTGGTATTCAGGAGTCCTGGACTAAATTCTTTGTTCTTTTCCAGAAATAAACCAGTGTGGTGTTAAACTTTCAAAATTGTTGCTTTTTGTAATGTGATTATGGAAAAAAAGAATTGCACATTTAACAAAAGGGTTCTAGGTATGATGAATTTTTGTGTGTGGAGGTTTGGAAATTGTGCCAGAGTTTGTTTTTGTTTCCTTTTGATTTAACGAATGTGTGTGCATAAATAGAACTTTATTTTGAAAGCAGTTGATAAAGAATTAGAGGGTATTTATGATGACAAAAGAATAAGAACTTTAGTGTTGGGTGATTACCATGTTTGTTTTGCCAACTAGCTATAAACATGAATGGAATGATGATTTAAGCACAGACCTGCACTTCTGTATGACAGAAGACAAAATAAGTTCATGTCATGGATGCTAATTCATTATCTGCTAAACTCAACATGTACTTTAATAGTTCTAGGTAATTTCGCTTTAAGTTGGTCTGGTTTTCAAAACCTACAGTCTCAATGAAAGTTTAAACTATTTTAGTAGCTAATGATTTAGTTATGCTTATTTTAGAATGTCTAATTTCAAGAATTATAAAGTGCTTGCATAATGCTGTATTAAATGTATTTTTAAATATTTAATGTATACACATATAAGCATACATATCTATCCATAAATATACATATGTAAACAAATACAAGAAAGTTATATATGGATTTGCTATTAATATTACTATTTCAGAATTATAAGTATCAAAGAATAATATCAGCAGTGGAAACAATTGCTGGTGCAATACAATATCCATTTCTGTGTGTCTGTATATTACTTTTCTTTAAAAAATCTAACTTAGCCAGGCATGGTGGCTCATGCCTATAATCCCAGCACTTCGGGAGGCTGAGGAGGCAGGCAGATCACTTGAGCCAAGGAGTTCCAAACCAGCCTAAGCAACATAGCAAAACCCCATCTCTTAAAAAAAGATACAAATATTAGCCGGGTGTGGTGGTGCACACCTGCAGTCCCAAGCCACTTAGGAGGGTGAGGCGAGCGGATCTATACCTCCTAGGAGGTAGAGACAATCACGCCACTGCACTCCAGCCTGAGCAACAGAGTGAGAACCTTGTCTCAAAAAAAAAAAATCTAACTTGAAGGAAGGAGTATGTTTTAAATTCTGCTACCAAACATGCTTTATTTAGAGACCATAAATGACTACCAATTACTTGATTTACCCATTCTAAAAAAATTATCAAACACTCTGTTGAAGGGACCAAAGAGATTCACAGATTGGACTATATTGATGAGAGGAAAAAGAAGATAATTAACAGCAACCTATCCTTCTACTGTCACATAACTCCTATTTATCCTATCTGTTTTCTCTGTAACACACTGGACTTAACTGCTGTCTACATTTCCTCCATCGAAGCCATTAATGTTTATGAGGGTTGAAATGGAAATATTATATATCATCTAGCTCTGCATGCTAGGTCTTACAATTTTCTGCTCTAATTTTATAAATTATAAGCAATAATTGATTATAAATGTCATCATCATATGATTGCAATAAAAATTATCTTGAATCAATATGTGTTTTTAAATGGCTTTTAAAATTAGTGCTAAGAGTTCTATTAGCAAAACACCAATCTTAATTTCATATTACATTTTAGCCAGAAGTTGGAGCAAATACATCTTCAAATGCAGATTAATATTTTGGCCATGTTACAGTTTTGTATATATTCCTGTGCTAGTGGAAGGGATAGGATTAATTTACCCCAAAACACACATGCCTAAATTTTAAGCATACCATTATTTATATATTACATTCAACATTTATCATATATATGTATGCATGTATATTAATGAACATTAAAGATAAGAACTGGGATATTAATTTATTTGATTTTTTATTTTGTTTTATTTTTCTAGTTACCCAATATCCAGATTTGTCAATCAGGACATATTTATAGTGCACCTATTTTGACAAGGAGATATACTAATACACCCTTAAAAGACCCTTCTTCATTATCTTCATCTATATTGCTTATTATTGATTTAGTACTTTCTAGGTAATTTAGGGATGTGTGGCTCCCATGTGAAAGCTCTTTCATTTCTCTTCTCTAGCTCTAATTTACTTATTGATCCACGACTTTCCACCTTCTGCACTCCCAAAAGACAATGGAGACTTTCCAAAACTAATCATTAAACCTCAGGTTTCTATTCCAGCTTACTTACTTCTTACTTATTATAAACTTTCCTATAATATTTCACTCCTGCCTTGTACTTTCTCTCTTTTTTAAACAATGAAGATTTTTTTTTATCATGAAGCAGTCATCCTTGCTTCATCCTACTGCTTTGAGTAAGCACCTGCCCCAGTCAAACAACATTCTCCATTTAACAATTTTGACACTCAATTGTATTCCATTATAACTGACCTATTGTAGGCAAATAGCAAATGACCTCCTAATTTGTAAACTCAATAGCCTTTTCTCAAGTTTCTTATACTTGACATAGCAAATGTGCTTTTATATGATACTTTTTGTTCCTCAGATATTTCTAACATCCTATGTCTTCTCATAAATTTTAATCAATCCACCTATATTTTTTAAAGCTGTCATTCTTTTCTTTCTATACTTTCTTATTCATCAATCTGACATTCTTAGAAATTAGTGTTTTTTTTAAGATGGCAATAATGAGAATTAAAAAAGAAAAAAAAAGTGAGCCTGAAAAAAGGGTGAGTTTGTAAAAACTTCTTGCTCTAAATTTAGAACTAAATAATAGTCTGAAGAATGTTATCTTCAAAACTCTTGTTTTAAAAAGTGAGAGAGGGACAGATGCAGTGGCTCATGCCTGTAACCCAAGCCCTTTGGGAGGCTGAGGTTGGAGGATCACCTGACCCAAGGAGTTTGAGATCAGCCTGGGCAACATGGCAAAATCCTGTCTCTACAAAAAAATACAAAAAAAATTAGCCAGGTGGCAGTGTGCACGTATAGTCTCAGCTAGTCAAGAGAGTAGGGAGAATTGCTTGAACCCAGGCGGAGTTGAAGCTGCAGTGAGCCATAATCATGCTACTGCTCTCCAGCCTGGGTGACAGTGTGAGACCCTTTCCCCTCCCCCTCCAAAAAAAAAGTGAGAAAGAAATTGATGTGCTAGATATGAGTTCCCCAAAAACATAACCTTGAGTACACTTGATAGAGTAGATGAAAAGGCTATTAACAAAAATTAGTAATGATTATGACAACCACTCCAATGACTTTCTATCTTTTCTAACTTCTCTGTCTTCCCTGATTGTTCTATTATTCCTCCAAAACCCTGAATTTAAGCATCTCCATCAACATAAGCCTTAGTTTCCACCCTGGTGATTAACCCATGCATGATAGATTCTCATGGCTTCCTTTACTATCAGGTCTTAATAGTGAAAATGACTGTCAAGTCTTAATAAATCTCCCTCTCAAAAGTTCCAGATTCTCATTCTCAATTGCATACCTTATTTATCTGTGTGTTCACCAGTACCTGAAATTCATCACCTCCAAAACTAATTCCATTATTTAATCTATGTGGATCCCAATATGACTTCTTTCTTGGTACGATTGTTTCTTAGTCTTACTGCAGTATTTCCAGTCCTTCAAACTTAGAAGCTATTAGAATGCTATGAATTTCCTTCTCTTCGCCTATCTCAACCCATCAGTTGATTTCTTTAGCTTCTACCTTCATAATTAATCTTTCATTAAAACTGGTAAATCTTTTCATCCAGCCAAAATCTTACTGTCAGTTTTCCTTTCATACTGCAACACATCTTAACTGAGCACATGAACTTCACCATAATGTCTATTTGACCTGAGCTGCATAGAGATTCTGAACTAATATTCCTAAAACTGAATTTCAATTACAGAATCTTGTGTTAGTCATCTTCCATCAACTTAAAAATATATGCTGCTATACAATGCCCCCATGTTCTAGACAAATATATTTATTATTCCTCCAATTTTACATGCAAAGTCCTTCCTTTATGCCTTTGCTAATTTTATCAATCTCTATTGTGCTGTCTTTTCATCTTGCCTTATTGAAATCACTATGGTTCAAGTACTACTGTTTCCTTTTCATTCCATGATATGAGCTCTCTCTATAAAACCCCACAGTACTTTCTTAGACCTCACTGGAATTACCCATTATATGCTGCTTGTATTATTATTATCTGTATGATGCTCTGCTGTAACCTCCCCTTTCTTGACTGTAAACTCATTGAAAAAAGAATCATGTGAACTACAGAGCTCTCCATTAAATAGGAGCTCAATAAATACTTGTTAAATCATGTTAGCCAAACAAAGCTTTATCAAAAAATAAGATAATTTATTAAAATAATTCCTAAGAGACATGTTTTTGCTTTCTCAATATTTTGTGTACAAATCAGAAAAAAACAATGTTGAATACAATAAAGTTGAACCATTCCATTTGCTTGTCTCACTATATGCATGCATATAATGGGTAAGTAAACCCATAGGAACTAGCAAAGCATTTGTAAGTCATCAAGGAAAACATTACCGTATTCATACAGCTTTTTATCAGCTACTGGAGCGGCTCAAAACAAAGTGGCTCAAGAAGAGTCAGCCTTACCTTCCAGTGCGAACTATAAATAGAGGAATACTGAGTAAATACTACAGATGTGTTCTATCAGCGGGAAACTGCTAATTAAAATAACTTACCTTATAACTAAGATAACCAAGTAATATTGTTTCAAACAGACTTATCAATGCCACTGAAACCTGAAAGATAAATTGTAACTTAATGAGAAAACGCAATACAATTAAATTATATATATTCTTGGCTATACTACTAACTTTATTTAAATATATGTGCATGTATACATATATGGGTGTATAATAGGACTTATTAGGCGGTACTTTAACTTCTATACACAGATGACAGGCTGCTGGCCAGAGTTTGCTGTCTCCTGTACTACATCTTAGTTTTCATACATTCTAATACTCCTTAGTAAACCATTTTTAGTTATTATTCAAAATGTAAAGGTGGTATTAAAATAGGCTGGCTGCAGTTTACATGATATATAAAGAACAGGCTCTTTTATGGGTGTGTTTCGTTTTAAAATTTTTTTTAAATAGAAATGGGGTTTTGCAATGTTGTCCAGGCTGGTCTCAAGCCCCGGGGCTCAAGCAATCCACCCTACTCAGCATTCCTAAGTGCTGGGATTACAGGCGTGAGCCACCGTACCCAGCTATGTGTGTGTGTTTCTAATACATAAAATCACATGTGACTGTCCACCACAGATAACCACTCTATCCCAGAAGCATGACCATCTGTACCAAAATCAGTATTTCTCTTCAGAAAATACAGAAAATGAAATAACACACACTTCAAGTTTAATAGTATATTCAATCTTATCACCCATGTGAAACAAAATAAAAAGGCTACATCTTTGAGTACTAAATAAAATAGACCATACCACCACTTCAAAATACTTTCAGATTTTATTTGAATGAATTTCATAACCAATTCCCCTTGTGCAGATAGAAGTGTTAGTACTATCTTCCTACGTATCCTTTTATCTTTTTCTATATTCTCTATTGTATACACCATCTCTAGTGTTAACTACCAAAAATATATTACTGTGCCACAAAAAGTAACTAGAAAAAATAATAAAATTATTCTGTGTTAAATACTCTACAACCTTAGGATAGATAAATAGAATCAAATAAGCAAATATAAACAAAAAGTGTCTCAGGTAAATATATATGTTTATAGATTTTTGAGGTTTAAGACTATTCGAATGAGAACGGCAGATACCCTGGAGATTACATTTTTTCTTCTGTTGGGATAAAAATCTTTGAATTTAAAAGAATATTAAAACAGGAGAACAATAAGAAAACAGATAAAATGCATAACAGTGTAAGTAAAATATGTTCAGAAGTATGTGCAGTAGCCAGGCATTATTATGATAGAAAACGCAAATCTCTTTCATTTTCTCCATAAATCCTCTAAATCATAATTACTCATGCTTTTTTTGTAGAAGTACATAGCATTAGATGATCTCTAGAGCATTTTTAACATTTTACTCAAAGTGCTATTTAAAAATGAACATCGGCCAGGCGCAGTAGTTCACGTCTGTAATCCCAGCACTTTGGGAGGCCGAGGTGGGCGGATCACGAGGTCAGGAGATCGAGACCATCCTGGCTAACACGGTGAAACCCCGTCTCTACTAAAAATACAAAAAAAGTAGCCGGGCGTGGTGGCGGGCGCCTGTAGTCCCAGCTACTCCGGAGGCTGAGGCAGGAGAATGGCGTGAACCCAGGAGGCGGAGCTTGCAGTGAGCCGAGATCGCACCACTGCACTCCAGCCTGGGCGACAGAGAGAGACTTCGTCTCAAAAAAAAAAAAAAAAAAAAAAAAAAAAAAGAGCATCGTTAGTATTTTCAAATATCACTGTTTTAAAAAGCAATTTGAATAGATCAAAATATATTTGAAGATAATATATGGCTATTCATAAAACAATTTATTTTAAATGTGCACTTAATTGAAGGATAGCTCAGAGATTAAAATACTACATTTTAATGAACATTTCAATATTTTCAGTGTTATTTATGAATTAATATGATATTGCAACAAAAGTCAGAGTAAGGAAATGTAAAAAACAACTTGACTTTAACAAAACTTAAAACACCCAGGCATAGTAAAAACTTGATTTCATGGTTATGATCACAATGCACACATACTTAAAGTAATTCATTATCACATACAAATATACAGACTTCACAATCATCGTGACTTTGAAAGACATGTGGAATGAGTGTAGAATGAAAGATATTGAAGACTTGGAAGAGTGAGAAGGGAGGAAGAGGGTGGATGATGAGAAATTGCCTGGTAAGTGTAACATACATTATTTGAGTGATGGATATAGTGAAAAGCTGGACTTTACCACTACTCAAAATAGCTAAGTAATAACATTGCACTTGTACCCCATAAATGTATACAACTTTATGAATAAATAAATAAACTAGTTTAAAGATTGCTCCTAAGCAGTGAGTCTTAAAGTCTTTCTCTTTCCTCCAGACTCAAGTGTCTTCCAATCTCCAATTCTTTCTGATGTTGGTGATTCTATTCTTCCGATTAATTTGTAATTTTTAAAAGCAACAGAAAATAAAAAGGATCTGTAGGAAGTAAACAGAAGTAGAGGCGATAGAAACTTACAAAAAGTTCACTGGGCATGAAATTCAGTAGGAAACAAAACAAAACAAAGAAGTAACGGAGACTCTAGGGAACACCTCAACAATATAAATCAGACATCTTGTGCTCTGTCATATTTTCTTAGCCTTTCTTAAAGACTCCTTTTATGCTATGGCATACTTTTGGTTTTATTTACATGATTAATTGCTTAGGAACTAAGCTCTTACTATTGGTGATATGAGTCATTGTTTCATTTGTTCATTCATTAAATAATTATTTATTGATATTCTACCATATTCCAGACACTAAGAATACAAGGTAAAAAGCAAACACAGTTATAGGCTTTGAGTAACCTTAAAGGAATCATATAACAGGAATACTTAATGTAGTTTGGGAAAACTTGTGGAGCCTTAAAGCAGTAGTATACTTTGGTTTTCTCCAAACTCTCACAACCTCTTTAAAATCTAATTCTGATCACGACGAAATCCTCAAGAGGTAGAATGCAGGGCTCAGACAAACAAGAAAAAAGAAATGAAAATGTTAGTCCAAGATGTGCATGAAGATTAATCAGGCAGAAAGACAAACTCATTTTGAACATCAAAAGCTCTCCAATAGTACTTCTCTGTGAAATGTGAATAAACCCAGAGATATAGGGATAAAACAAAATTGTACATAACCTGTAAGCCCCACAAAGGTAGACTTCTGTTCACCCAAAAGATATGAGACCTATAAAAAGAATAATAATAAGTTAGTTTTTTAAAATATGAAAAATCTATTCACTTTTAAAATTCAGTTAAAGTTGGAAATATTAAAATATGCTAGCATAAAAAGACAAAATATCAAAATCAACATTTGAAAAAACGTTGTTGCCTTAGTTTTCTTTTTGCTAATATTCATTTCTATTCCGATAAAAACTTTTTGAATTTCACTTTTTGTCATTGTTAATAAATTAAAATATGTGACATTATTTAAAGAATGATATGGCAGGGCAGAATAACCTTAAACCCTTTACTGGATAATTCTACACCGAAAAGTCATTTAATAGTCTTCTACAAACTCTAAGATATTCTTATTTGTAACAGGACATATATATGTCCTGTATAAATACAACAGTATAAATAACCAGAAAAAAATCAGTAACAGAGTATACAACACAGTTATATTTCAGACTTGAAGTTTTATAAAATATTTAACATACCATGGAAAACAGTATGACTGGGGTTAACATATTGGGCAAGACAAGGAGTAATCATCTTTATTCCCTAAAAATGATATATTTTCTGATGATAAAAAGGCTTATGCTCTGGAAAGAACATCATAACACTTATTATCCCTCTAATTCTAATTTTCCACAATTTATAACCTAGCTGTGTCTACATCATTTAGTACACAGTTGATTCCAATGGGAGTTACTTACAGCAATATACCCTATTCAGGAAAAGATAAAAATAATTACATTTTCCTGAAGAGAGGCAGGTGAATGGTAGTTTTTCGCATTTAAGTAAACGGTGCCAAATCTCATTTTATTTGGCTACTCAAAACTTGAGCATCCTTTTAGATACTTTCTTCTCCTGCATCTGTAAATACTAAATTCACTAGCCATCAAACCTTTTCAGTCATTACAACAAAATATCTGCAGAATTCATCTGCTTCTTTTCGTCTCTACTACCACAATCACCTTATTCTAAGCCACCATTTTTCACAATTGGATGCTTGCAAAAACCTACCAGTGGGAACACTGCACCTTCTTTTGCCTTCTACCATTTTTCTCCAAGTCGCAAATACACTGATTCTTTCAAAATGCGTTTTAGATCACATTACCCTATTCCCTATTGTGTATTGCCTTTGCACTTCCGTTAGAATAAAGTTCAAAACAGTTGACATGGCATTCTTAGACTTATTCAAGTGGACTCATTCCTTCCTTCTACAAGCTCTTTTTACATTCTGTCCTCTCATCCTAGAAGTCTCAGCTCAACCCTCTGTGTTTCAGGGAAACCCTCTCTGAGGATTCCACTTGATCAACTTTGTCAACTAATCCCTTGGGCCACGTCACCCATCACACCTTTCCTGCCACTCATCTCAGTGGAAACTTTATATTTATTTGTATATGTGTTTCTTTAATGGCTGTATCCTTGCAATTACAAGTTCCATAAGATAAAATAACTATCTAATTTACTCACCATTATAAACCCAATGCCTTGCTAAGTACCTGCATATATTAAACTAGGTAACCAATGATCAATGATAAATGGTGCCAATTAAGTCAAAGGTATAACTTATGGATTCATTATCACTGTCTTTTCTAAAGTGTTTATATTTTTATATTCTGAGTAACATTTGAGAAATCAGACCACAACAAGGTGTGTCAGAGTGAAGAGGGATAGATGCCCAGTTTTGTAAGTGGAAAACTATGTGCCACAAAAGTTACTATATTGTCAAGTAGGTAGCAATCTCTGGAAAAAATTATAAAATAAGTTGCTGAACAGAAGTGCGTATTTTCAAAGAAAATTGGTAATTAACATAGACTTATTAAAATCTGCTTGACTTTCATAATCGCCATTCTGACTGGCATGAGATGGTATCTCACTGTGATTTTGATTTGCATTTTTCCATTGATCAGTGATGTTGAGCTTTTTTTCAATATGTTCATTGGCTGTGTAAATGTCTTTTTTTTTGAGAATTGTATGTTCATAAACTTTGCCCAGTTTTTGATGGGGTTGTTTTTTTCATGTAAATTTGTTTTAGTTCCTTGTAAATTATGGATATTAGACCTTTGTCAGATGGGTAGATTGAAAAAATTTCCTCCCATTCTGTAGGTTGCCTGATATTCACTCTGATTATAGTTTCTTTTGATGTGCACAAGCTCTTTAGTTTAATAAGATCCTGTTTGTCAATTTTGGCTTTTGTTGCAATTGCTTTTGGCATTTTTGTCATGAAGTCTTTGCCCATGCCTATCTCCTGAATGGTATTGCCTTGGTTTTCTTCTAGGGCTTTTCTGGTTTTGGGTTTTACATTTAAGTCTTTAACCCATCTTGAGTTAATTTTTGTATAAGGTATAAGGAAGGGGTCCAGTTTCAGTTTTCTGCATATGGCTAGCCAGTTTTCCCAGCACCATTTATTGAATAGGAGATCCTTTTTAAAAAGTCAAGAAACAATAGATGCTGGAGAATTAGGAACGCTTTTACACTGTTGGTGAGAATGTAAATTAGTTCAACCATTGTCAAAAACAGTACGGCGATTCCTCAAGGAGCTAGAACCAGAAATACCATTTGACCCAGCAATCCCATTACTGGGTATATAACCAAAGGAGTATAAATCATTCTACTCTAAAGACACAAGCACACTTATATTTATTGCAGCACTATTTAAAATGGCAAAGTCATGGAACCAACCAGAATGCCTATCAATGATAGACTGGATAAAAAAATGTGGTACATACACATCATGGAATATTATGCAGTCATAAAAAGGAATGAGATCAGGTCCTTTTTAGGGACATGGATGAAGGTGGAAGGCATCATCCTCAGCAAACTAACATAGGAACAGAAAACCAAACACCACATATTCTCACTCATCGGTAGACATTGAACAATGAGATCACATGGACACAGGGAGGGGAACAACACATACCAAGGCCTGTTGGGGATTGGGGGGCGAGGGGAAGGAAAATGGACAAAAATAATAATAAAGTTAGTTTAAGACTTTTACACTGCCAGTATAGCAGATTTGGTGAAATTAATACTTTCCTAAAGGGTCCAAAAGAAATAATTTTCTAATGTGTATATCTGAAATTTGTAATACAATCAACTTCGTATTTTTAAAATTCCAAAAGAAATCTGCTTACGTCAAACTAATGGCATTTTCTTTGGTCTGTGATATTGGTAGGCAATTGAAATGTCATAAAGAATTTAAATAAGAGTTTTAAAAAAGACATACTTATTTCCCAGTCTAGACTATGTCTTGTGAAATAGGCTTCAGAATCCATAAAAAAAAAAGTCCTACAAATCTCATATATAAATTTCAAAGAGATCTCCAATGGAAAGACATACTTTTACCAGTTTCCTTAACATTAAGTTGGATAAATACATAGAAGGAAATGTATATATTTTGGTAAAAACTAGTGTTCAAACCCTCCTTCATAAAATGAATTTATCATAAAAAAAAAGAATGTGGGATCTAATCTGCACATTCGTAGATAACCTCCAAAATGAGGAGTGAAACCAAAGCTGACAGCCAAATTATAATTTCAAATGAAAATTTAATCTCATTGATAAAAAAAACACTAGGAGGAAAGAAAACATGCACAATAATATTTATTTCAGTATTATTTACAGCAGGAGAGTAACTGGAATCTACCTGAATACCTAATAAGAAGAGAATTTAAGTAGCAGATGCATCATCATCAAGTAAAACAACAAAAACATTACAAATGAGGAAAAAGTCATTAAAATATTACTTTAGGTCATACCAGTATGTATATGTTATCTATATGTCTGTGTATAGAGAGAATTTGTAAATGGAGTCTTTAAAAATGCTAAAAGTATTTATTCTAGGTGTTGTGATCTCAGATAATTTTTACTTCCTTGCCATATATATCTATATTGTAATATGCATGAAACATTTTTAAATAATAAACAAATTTCCCTTTCCAAAATATAAAAAATTAAATAAAAAAATGCAAAGCAAAACCCAAATATATATCATTTAGTTATTCTGAATTAGACTGTCCTGTTGATAAAATTCATGTATGAAGCATTATTGTGAAAACTAAAGGAACCATACCAAACAATAGAAGGAAAAGCAAAAGTTAAATATAGGAACTTAGTAATGTGGCCTCAGCCACTTTTCCCAGAACACTTATGAACTGTCTTAAAAGTAGGAAAATAGAGGGTAAAAGTGTGAGAACAGCTTTGGCAGAGGAGGTGGGAGTCAGGAGGTGAATACATTTAGCAGAAGAACAAAGCATTTGAAAGTAATAGGGTTAACATGCAGGACATAATTCATATGAAAGGATATGTTGCTCACAAACCCAAGATGAACTCAAAGACTGGTAGCTCTAAAAAAAAACCCTAATATAAGCTTGTAATGTATTAACAAATAATAAATAAAACAGGAGGGTAAATTATACAACCCCCCTGACCATAATATACACTAAAATCTGAATACTAGATATGATACTAAGCCCACATTTCAAGACGAACATAAAATATTTAATACACATCCAAAAACTAGGTGACCAAAATATGAAAGCATATGAGTCTTGCCAATATGTTAGAAAGACTTTTCGGTATTTGAATCCTTTCAAAATATTGGAAACATTTAATCCCAGGTTAGACAACCAACTATCAAGGATGTTACGGAGAAGACTGATAACTAACTCTTTGAAAGAATGGACATTAAGGGCCCTTCCACCAGACAACGTTAGCTGTCACAGAGTTGGCTCTTTAATTAACATTCATTCTCCCCCTTCCACGGCATAGAGTCGAGTGCAAAAAAGTCACTCTTCAGTCAACTACATTTCTCAGTCTTTGTGTCAAGGTATGATGATATAACTGGTTCTCATGTGAGACCTGAGTATGAAGTACAAGCAAAAGTGATGTTTGTCATTTGTTGGCCAATAATTTTTAAAAACATATATGCCTTCTCCAAGCTCTCTTTCTCTTTCTGAAATCAGGATGCAAAGATTCCGGTCTTAGGACAACACATAATCACAAAATGCAGTGGGCTTGTACATATAGTACCTACCATGTTATGGAGTGTGTGTGTGTGTGTGTGTGTGTGTATGTATGTGTCTGTGTCTGTGTGTGTATGTTTGTGTATGTGAATCATTATATGGAGAAAAGGTTCACAATGACCAGAAACACCAGTATTAGACTCCAGTAAACAAAAAAATGCTTTTAAATTTTTGAGATTTGTTAGAGAACTTAGTCCTACTTCAATCTAAAAAATAATCAATATACAAAAAAGAAGAAAAGGTCTGCATTAAAATACTCATTCCTATTGATCATCAAATATTTAAGAGCTATTGTAAAAATTCTGTTTTCTTCCTTTAATAGTTGTTACCCTGAGGAAGAAATCGTATTTAAAATTTGAATTTCACTTAAACACACCATTTGCTATATTAGGCATTGATTTTAAATGGAATCCAAATACCATAAAATAGAAGCATGTTCATGTGCTTCTTACCTGTGTCTCTATCACTTGATGTTAAAAACTAATAATCATTTGAACAATTTTTAAAGTAGATGCAGATGCATGAGTTTGGACACAGTGATGAACTGTAAGCATCAGCAGGCAATGAGTTAATGCTGATGGCTCATCTTTCAGTGTAATTTATAAACTACATGCTTCAGGTGTGCTTCCTTTCCTAACATCTTTAAATCATTTACTACACATTATCTGTACATCACAGTTTACCATTCACACATGGTATATTAACAGTAAAATTCTTTTCATATTATTCAGTTTTCCCATATTATAATGTTTTCGTATCAGTTTTGATTCCTGAAAGGGATTTAAAAATAAAGCAAAGCAGCACAAAATATCTGCAGACTTATCATGTCAGAAGCTCTAATTAAATAAATCTCTTTGCTTAATTAGCCTCATTATTTTAAAATAGAGCCTGCACCCATAAAGGCGACTTCTGTTTTTCATTAACCAATACTGCACTAACCATGGGAGCTAAACAGAACATTGTATTCAAAATGGAACCATAAATATTTTTTAATTACTGTAATCTGATTTTTCAAATGTATATCCTCTACAATTATGGCCAAACATTCTTAGTGATATTACATAGAAGTTAATTGTAGGAAACTTTGTTCCTCTTAATGTTTTCAAATAATATAATTTTACTCTGCTAACACCCACCAAATGCCCTTTTACCCTTAGAAGGATTCCATCATGCTTCATTTTATGATTTTCAGGTCCCACTAGTGTACTTTTTATTTATAAATCACCACATTTTAAAAATAATGCTGATATGATTGTAGAATAATTTGTTACATGAACCATTTTAATAACACTGACATCTCCAGGCAGTAGTCCTCAATCATTTTTATTGTGCAACACACTATCAATAAAATTGCTGAGCATCATTTCATTAATTCAGCAGCATTCACTGACCTACCAAGTCCTATGCTTAGTGTGAGAGCTATGGAGGAAAACACAGCATGGTTCTTGCCCTTGGTGAGCATATAGAAAGGACTGATAAGTGAATGGTAAAATCAAGGGCAATGCTTTGGCTGTTGTGAGAGAAGTATGTGGGAGAGCACCCAGAAGATACTCCTAAGCCAGAGTGGAACTGGGCTACAAGGCACAATACCCATAAGGATTTTAGATTAACTGTTATCCATAAAGTTGTTTTCCTGAAGGTCCTGGAGTCCAGAAGCAAGTCAAAAAAGTGTGGGTTGTGAGGAGCAGGAAACTTAATTTCCCAGAAGAGGGAGAAGAATGTTAAAAGCCCCAGAGGAAGGGAGATCAAAGGTGCATAAGCTACTTCAAGCAGTTCAGCATAGCTGGAGTAGGGGGCTGATGAGGTAGAGTAGGCAAAAGTTAGATTACTAAGGAACTTCTTTTACTCATGTATCCATTCATTCATTTAACAAATAACTATTGTTTGCCACTTTGTGCCAGGCTCTGGGGATTCAGGCAAAGATCCTTGCTGTCATGGAATATCCTCTCTAGTATTCATGGAATACCACAGAAAACAAAATAAATGACTAAAATTAGGTAGAATATGTAAAAGAGAAACAGTCTCTAGAGAAAAAAAAAGAAAAAGAAGAAAACTATTAAGGGAGTCTTATGAGGAGATTACAATGTTAAATAGGAAGCTTCATATTATCTTTTGGGAGTATCTGAAAATCAAGAACAAAATTGCATTCGGGTCTTTAAAGAGACTTACCCATTTTAAAACAAAAACTACTTAATGCACTTTGGCTAGCAATAAAATTTTATGCCTAACAGTCCAATATTAGCATCAGACAAACAGAAAAATAATAAAAGATACTTACAAAGAACCTACAAGAATTATGTAGTGCCTGTAAATCGATCAATTTTATTTGTGACAAACACCTAAAATACCCTTAAAAATTAAGCTCTACACAACATGCTTTAAATTTAAAATGTGATACAACTCAAAATAATCAAAATAATATTGTTGAAGGTCAGAAAAAGGTACCTTACCATTCATTTCCTTGTGAAGGGTTTTCTAGTAGTACTCGGATTATGTATAATAAGCAGCTTAGTAATTTGAGAGAAAAATTGAACAGGCGTATCCTTAGACCTTTAAACAAATGATAAAAGTTTGATTTTCATCTGAACTTAGTTCACAAAAGACTAAAAAGAATTGTCAAAAATATCAAATTTAAATACAGCACTTAAATTGTATTTAGAAGCTGCACTACTATAATTGTCTAAACTCTCTGAAGTTCTTGGTGGCTGAATTTTAATTACCTGAATATTGAAACAAAAAGTGAGTTTGACAGAATACTTGAACTGCAAATGAGAGTGCATATTTTATAAAAAGACTAAATCTAGATTTGAACATTCAGAAGCCACAAAATTTGTGTCCAATCGAGGTTGATTAAAGTATGTTTATATGTTTAAGCATTTTATACATCCATAAATTTTGGGATAAACTTTGGCTAGAAAATCTAGCTGCTTACAAATTCACAAGCCAAGTTATAAAACTTATACCTTCACAGAATCTTGTAGATTTGATTATAAAGAAATTAATTATATTTGTATAGTTCTATGTTGTATATTTAATATTAACTATATAATTATAATACATTCCAATTATATAATTATATATATTATTTATTCATTATATAATAATATATATTATATAAGTATAGAGAAATCTTAATAGCATACACTGAGAAACACACACACGATCAATCTCTCCATTTCTCTCACATACACACACATACGTTTAAAGTTCAATAAATTAAATTCTATTTTTAACTATTTAAAATACCCATGGAATCTTAAACTTTTGTGGGAATTAAAACTGCCATGTATGTATCTTCTAAACTGTGTGGGTCACAATTATGCAGCCTGTAATATTCAATGATGATGAAGAGTATTTAAGATTAAGCACAATATGCATAAAGTCTGATTAATATGAGCATTATCTTTCCTGTAATTACTTTACGATATCTGATTCATGCATTATGAATAAAATTTTGATAAAGGCCTTCCTATAATTATTACTTAATAAAATCTAGAAATGAAATGTCACTTTTTTTGTCCTACTCTGCTGTTGTGAGTGTACTTGTGGTAACAGTTCTTACCAGTAAAAAGGTCGATGCTTATCATTTGTGAAATTTTTCCAAGGTTTTCCAATTAAAATGCTGAATACATTTTATGGGTTCACTTCCTTAAAAAATCTTTCAAATTATTAAAGAAATTATGCTGGTTTTATAGAAATGGGCCTCCTCAAATAACTGCTTAGTTGCAGCTGACTATGGGTGAAGTATTCAAACAATGCATCCACCTTTTTTGGCCTGGAAAGATAGGACTGTTAGTACTGAAATAAGGGAAACTATTCAGATGATGTGACCCCTTTAGGTAATATCTATTTATGGGGCTTCCTTGGATATTCTGAACAACCATGTTAGAAAAACATTAGTTGCTAACAGTCTTAACCTTGAGGCCAGCCTGTCATTAAGACTATCTGAGCAGTATGACTTAAATATTGAAATATTCCATATCATCAGTATTTGGACAACTTCCCACAAGTCAAGCTTCTCTCTTTGAATCCTACCTACAGAGGCACAACTTAATTTTGACAAGAGGATTTGGAGGTTAAAATTCACAGAGCTTAATGTCTACACCAACTAATGCAGGCCTCTCCATTCCCTGTGACATTGTAAGCAATGACCATAAAAAAAATTGCATATTGGTTTATTACATATGGCTTTTTAAACATATATGGCATTGTGGGAAGCAACAAGCATCAGCGGCACTCCTAACCTTGAATAGGCTCAGGAGG
The DNA here is from genome assembly GCF_000001405.40 of Homo sapiens. Classification (NCBI taxonomy): domain Eukaryota; kingdom Metazoa; phylum Chordata; class Mammalia; order Primates; family Hominidae; genus Homo; species Homo sapiens. The sequence continues at coordinate 341,327 of NW_025791754.1, forward strand.
ACAGTTACTATGCCAATTTTGTATTCTTGAAGTTCTACTTTGTTACTTTCTTACATTTGTCTGATGATAGGAATCACTGGGATGTTAAACTCTGAGATCTACCCTACACTTCCTGGCTCAAAATCTCTAGGCTAAGAAAGATAGGAATCTGTATATTTCAGTGCAACCTAGATGTTTCTTATTATTTGGAATGATTAGGAAATATTAAACGTTCCCTTCCCTAAATCAGACAATTGTTTCCCATTGTGGTCTGTCAGAGCTTTTTGAAAATACGATATTTAGAGTTAAAATGGAAGGACCCTCATTTAAATTATTTTCCTCAATGTTTATACTAATCCAGATAGTCCACTCAGAAGTCTACTTATTAACATGGAATTTGGAGAATTGAAGATGTTCAAGAAGCATTAATATCACTATATGTAGTGCCTATACTTTTCTAAAATGTTACCACCTGCTGGAAAAAATAACCAATTTTATTCCTCTACCACCTGCTGGAAAAAATAACCAATTTTATTCCTCTATCTAAAAAGTATTTTGCAAAAGATCACACAGTTGAAATATTTTGAAGTAAATATATGTACGAACAGAGGGGAATGAAATGAATAACTTACTTGATCTCTGGTTTTTTATGAAAAATAATTTTAGTCTTTCTTTAAATGTATTTTCATTCATATAGAATTCAACTTGTACCCTGCAAACAGAAAATAAAAACATGTAAATGTATGCAAGCAACCATATCTTTATTTTCATGAAGATCAACAAATATAAATTGATCTGTAGTTCTCTAACTTAAAGAATAATACATTTTTGAAATAAATTATTTGATTTAATGCATTATGTATTTTAGTAAATTCCCTGCCATGGAAAATGAGAACTGAGTAAAGTACTGATTTAGAGAGAAGCAATTATTTTCTACTTTTAAAGATAGAATCATTTTAAATATTATACATAGTCAATTCAATTATTTGTATTAATGAATATAATGAGTGGCATGGATTATTCAAAACAGCAATAATGCAAAAGTCTTTAATATGTGTGTTTGAAATGGGTTTGAATCAGTGCTTTCCCCATTTTTTTCCCTGCTGTAAGAATTAACTGACGTTTGAAAAATTCAGTCTGGGCACCACCGTGCCAGATCTACTTATTCAGAATTTTAAAGGGCAGGGCCTAATAATCAATTCTTCACTACACCTATAGCCTATTTAGGACACCACACTCTGTAACACTTTACCTTCCTACTTATGGATCAACCAAGAAGTAGCAGTGGCAAATAGAACTGTTAAGGTTACCACAGATAGATTATAAAGCAAACAACTCAATTAATAGACTACATATTGTATATTTGATCCACTATACAATAATATCAACAGTCTAAAATAATAGCAGTACTTTAATAAATACTCTAAATTCTAGCAAACAGTCTCCCTTTGATAAGGCACAATTAATATTTTCAAAATACTAAGTGAAAAGAGAAATCTTGTTCAGTGCAAGGTAACTTGTAAATAATACTCAATTTCCTTAATCAGTCTCAAATATATTCATTATGAGTTAGAATTTCAAAAACAGCTAAGAATGGATTTTAATGTTTACGCAAAAACAAATATTTAATTTCATTTTTCCTAATATGGTAACATTTTGAAAATGTAATTCATGTAAGCCAGATAAGGTTTGGGGGTCTTTTTTTTGGGGGGGAGATTTTTGGTTTTGTTTTTTTTGCAAGAGTAGATACCTTAGAGAAAACTAGGAGAAAAAAAAAACAACTGACATTACAAAGCTGCTCATGCATTTGAGAAATAGTTCACTACTATATTATCTCATAAACCCTCTACTACCCTGTTTATTCAAGGAAAACCATGAATAGTTTTAAAGCAGTTTATTGTGTCACAAAAGCAACAGGGCATTTTTTTTAATTTTATTATACTTTAAGTTCTGAGATACATGTGCAGAACGTGCAGGTTTGTTACATGGGTATACACATGCCATGTGTATGGTTTGCTGCATCCATCAATCTGTCATCTACATTAGGTATTTCTCCTAATGCTATCCCTTCCCCAGGCCCCATTGTGTGATGTTACCCTCAACAGGGCATTTTTAAAATTAATTACGAATCAAGCTGTATGTGTTGTATCTTCTAAAATACTTGAATGTTCTTTTATATCTTCTCTCTAAAGAATATATTTCTATTTTTATTTCCTCGTTATCATATTCTGACTTACTTTGTTTTTTCTTCACCTTATATATTAAATGAAATTGTTTTAAAGTAAGCAAGATTCTCTTTAGTTAATACCTTCTCCAGACTAGAAGTTGGAAAAGTTCTCTAGAAGTTCTAAAGAAGCCACTAAAATGGCAATGATATCTTTTAGCAGAACATTTCCATCTGTATGCCCATGCACATGTGCACACCCTACACATCTACGTACATATACATACTACAAAAGTCCATGCACACACATACAGAAACAAAACTTCATCGGTGTCTTGGAAATGCATTATTGGACGTGTTTCCCTTGTTTATCAAATGAAAAGTCAGTTCATTTTAAATATAGTAACTGTAAATAGTGAGATAAAGCTAAACTAGTTGAAATTTGTTATGGCTACATAAACAAATTTGAGAGGACAATACGGCTATTACACAAATAATTCAGCAAAGGCCATGCAGATTTGCTTCCTAGAATTACCAAATTTATAAGAATGAGTCCATTTTTCAGATAATATTGGAGTTCAGTACTGGGTATGTAACAGAGGAGCCTTTTTTTGTTGTTTTTTGGTGACGGAGTCTGGCTCTGTCGCCCAGGCTGGAGTGCAGTGGCGCGATCTCAGCTCACTGCAAGCTCCACCTCCCGGGTTCACGCCATTCTTCTCCTCAGCCTCTCCAGTAGCCGGGACTACAGGCGCCAGCCACCATGCCGTGTTAGTCAGGATGGTCTCAATTTCCTGACCTCGTGATCCGCCCACCTCAGCCTCCCAAAGTGCCGGGATTACAGGCGCAGAGGAGCATTTTTTAACTGAAATGAGATCATCTAAAGCCTTAACAAAAATAATGAGGAATCTGGAAAACATACCACATATGGAAAAGGTAGGCGAAACTAGAAAGAATTCGTAATTATGAAGAGTTAGGAGTCACCGTTGTCTTTAAATATTTCAGTTACCAACATTATTAAAATGGAATGACACATAATGTGATTCTCTATTAAATAGAATATTAGATAAATGCACGAATTACGAATGAGAATTATCCAACTTTGAAATGGCCATCAATGTGGAGAGCTCTCCAATACCTATAAATGTGCCAAAGGCTGGACAACAGCATGCGAGCCACTGGCTTTTTTTTTTTTCCTGAGAGCAAAGGCAATTTTGCATGGTGTGAAGTCTCTCATTAAATAATTTCCTAATCCCAATCTAATTATCAAATTATGTGAAGTAAAACTCTTAATGAATCTGGCGATCTCTCTGAGTCAATATAATCATTGAGAAACATGGATTATATTAAAACATGAAATTATACAACTTTTATTTAAAGCCAAAATGCAAGCAAAATGTTTTTTGATACATGACTTATACTGGGCACAGAAAATGTCCTTTAGGCTTACTGGTTACAGTATAAAGTAGAGCTTTTTTTTTTTTAATTTGATTTAATGATAACTCTTTCTAGCAGCAAGGCATGTTAGTGACAGCGTGTACTTTTGAGACCTTCCTCAGCACCAGTTTTTTAGCACCCAGGTATTTAGTTCAGAGTTTAGTGGTTACCCTTCCCAAAGTTTTTCATGATTTAACTTATTTTAAATATAATCTCACCGCTTCCTTTTTCAAGTTTAAACTGGTTTCATCTCCTCCCTCCATTCCTTCCTCCCTCCTTTCCTTCCTTTAATCTTGCCTCCCTCTCTTCCTTCTTTTCTTCTGACCTCCCTACCTCCATCTAACTTTATCTGAATTTACTTACATCTAGTAGACTATGTTAGTGTAATCTTTCGTGTACTCTTACACTAAGTTAGTGTACTCTTTCTGGACCTTCCCCAGAACCACAGAGTTTTGATTTATGGCAAATCTGCTCTCATCACTTTTTAAGATGTCATTTTTGTCAAAGGCTTATACAAAAGTTAAAATTTAAAGTAATTTTGTTACATTTATTCAAATACCATAATAGCAATTTTATTTGATTTAAAAAGATACTGGAATTCCAATCATTATTAGGTGGTACCTTCTATTGAAATATGTTCTTGCTATTTAATAGTTATTTTTATGTTGATCAACAACATTTTATTTGGGTAAATGTTATATATTCTTTGTGACACTTATTTCTGGCTATTTTATAATTTTGGTTGCCTTTTAAATTGTTTTATTCCAATCTTTAACTTTTTGGTTTTGATATTGGAAATAGCTGCCATGTTGACCTCTCTTACATGTGATTTTTTTTTCACATTTATTACTTGGGTTTGCTAGACAGACAGTTATGGACATGTTCTTTAATATTTCTACAGTAAGACCTCACTTAATGTCATCCATAGCTTCTTTGCGACTTTAAGAGAAATGATAGATAGGCCAGGCACGGTGGCTCACACCTGTAATCCCAGCAATTTGGGAGGCCGAGGCGGGTGGATCACGAGGTCAGGAGATCGAGACCATCCTGGCTAACATGGTGAAACCCCAGCTCTACTAAAATACAAAAAATTAGCCGGGCATGGTGGTGGGCACCTGCAGTCCCAGCTACTCTGGAGGCTGCGGAAGGAGAATGGCGTGAACCTGAGAGGCAGAGGTTGCAGTGAGCCGAGATCGTGCCACTGCACTCCAGCCTGGGCGACAGAGCAAGACTCTGTCTCAAAAAAAAAAAAAAAAGAAATGATAGATAACAAATCCAATTTCACCATAGGCTAATTGATGTAAACAAGAGTTAGGTTTCTACTGGCCACAAAAATGTCACCAAACTTCTAAATAAAAACCAAAATACTTTTGATATTAAATGTCGAAATAAATATGAGCTATACATACATTCAAGAAAGATTAGTGAAAACAAGCAAGGTTATTTACCCACTTGTTCCAGTTCAGGGTGGTAGGTGGCCAGAGCCCATCCTAGCAGCTCAAGGGGCCAGGCAGGATCCCACCTGGACGGGACGCCATCACATTGCAAGACACACTCAAACATCAATACTCATGCTACGATCATTTAGACACACGAATTCACCTAACTTGCACGTTTGGCATATGGGAGGAAACTGCAGTAACTGAAGAAAACCCACGCAGACATGGACAGAATGTGCAAACTGCACACAGACAGTCACCCCAATCAGCAATAGATTTTTTTTCTCAACAATATTATAACAAAACAATGTTGAATGAAATGGCATTATTTAAGGAACTACTGCATTTACATTTCATTGTTTATGCCTTACTACATTGACTAGCACTTTTGGGGGGAAAAAAGTCAAATAATTGTGTTGTCCCTTTCTTATAAGAGGATGCCTCTAGTGTTTTAGCAGCAATTAATTACACTTGGCCCTTTGTATCCATTAAGTTCCACATCTATGTATTCAACTAGTTGCAGATAGGAAATATTTGGGAAGAACAAAAAACAACATCTGTACTAAACATGTACAGACTTGTTTTTCTTGTCATTATTCCCTAGACAATACAATATAACAGCTATTTACATAACTTTCATGTTTTATTAGGTATTTAGTAGTACTTAGGTACTACTAAGTGCTATTTCCCTCCTAATTTTCCTAATGATACAGATCTGTTTTTCTTGTCATTATTCTTTAGGCAATACAGTATACCAACTATTTACATAACTTTTATATTTTATTAGGTATTATAAGTAATCTAGAGATAATGTAAAGTATAATGGAGGCTGTACATAGATTATTATGCAAATCTTATGCCATTTTATATGAGGCACTTGAGCATTGTGGATTTTGGTATCCACAGAAGTCCTGGAACCAATCCCCATGATTACTGAGGAACAATTGTATTTTGTTGATATTGGGATTGCTTAAATATTTACACTTTACTAAAAATTATATCAGTAATGGATGGGTATTGATTGTTATTAAAAAAAACCTATATCGAACCTATCAAGTTAATAGTATATTGTTCCTTTTCATGTACTGATTTGGTGAATTACTTCAACAGTTTTCCTATGATGCAATTGTTTTTGTCTATCCTGGAATAAGTTGTCTTTGTGACGGTAAACTATTCAGGTAATTTACTGTTGGATTCATTTTCCTATACTTTTTCAGGAGTTTTTCTTCTACAGTAATAATGATGTGATGTCTTTTTTAGATTATTCTAGTATCTTCGAATATGAATTGAACAACTCCAGATTTTTCTATGGTCTGAAACAATTTAGATACTGCAGAGATGTTTTTTGCAACTGTCATCAATTTTTCCTAATGATATCAACTACCTTAATGTTGATTTTAATTTGATACTTTTTTTTCATTTTCCTTTTATTCTTTTGTTCTGGTACTTGAGTTCAATGTAAAATTTACCCGGAATCTTGTTAAAATGCAATTTTCCTGATTCACTCTTAAAATTCTTATTCAATAAATTTAAATCAGGCCTCGTCATTTTAATAACAGGAAAAATAATTCTGATCCAGGCTGTCAATGCACCATTCTTTCAGAAACACTAGTTTGCTTTTTTCTAGTGCCAGTGCCTTGATACCTATTTAGGATATCAAACTTTTGTGGATAGTCTCTTTTAAATCTTACAGTAGACATAGATCACTATCAGAGGAAGGTTCTTCCTCTGTGTCTACTTCTTACTACCAAGTGCTTTTTCCCTCCCTCTTTCTTCTAATTCTGCAATATTGGTCATGGAGTCCATATATAAGATTTTTATTACTGTACTCATCTCAAACAAGGGATTATCTGCCTGGACCTTCTGGTCTCAGCAGGCAGATTCAATGGATGCACAGAAGTCTTGTCCTCTATTTATTTGATGTTCATTGTCCTTTGGAAAATGTACATCTGAATGGTGAGTTAATATACATAGCTCCCAGTACAACTTGCATTTCTAAGAACTTTTCAGCTGGAGTTATTTCTGTGCTTCTAGATTGTGGCATCCTGCTAATTCCGTGTTTGGTGATCTGACTTTGATCAGTAAGGAGAAAGCATACTGCCAAGGTTATCTCACTCTGTTTTCACTACTAACAAAAATAAAAATTATACCTTTCCAAATGTATCACATTATTCTCAGTTTACTCCTATTTTTTCTAAGGTCATTGTGATGGAATGAATTATGTCCCCCTAAAAGAAAAAGTCCTAGCTCTCATGACCTCAGAATTCAAACTTATTTGGGAATGAGGTCATTGCAGATATAATTAGTTAAATTAATATGAGGGTATACTATAATAGGGTGAGCCCTTAATCAAATATGACAGATGTCTTTATAAGAAAAGAAAAATTTGCACACAGACACATATGCAGAAGGAAGATGGTCATATGAAGACAAAGGCAGAGATTGAGTTATACTTTCAAAACTCAAGGAACACCTGGGACTACTAGAACCTGGAAAAGACAAGGAAAGATCCTCTCCTAGAGCATTAGTAAAGCGCAAGGCCCTGCCTACACCCTATGTTCAAATTTCTGGCCTCCATTACTGTCAGTCAATAAACTTCTATTGTTTTCAAGCACCAAGTTTGTGGTGCTTCATTGTGGCAGTCCTAAATACAGTCTTTTTCTATAATGGTGACAACACCAGTTCTCAGTCATACCACGTTCATTCATTAGAATGTAAACTCCATAAGGGCAAGGGCCATATTGAGTTTTGTCCATGCTTATATCATGAGCATCCCACATATTAGTTAGGACCTACTGGACATTAAAGATTAAGAGATAAATTCCTGAATGAAGGCATAATGTGGTAGCCAATTTTTTCTTTGGTACAAACCATGAGGACTCTGAACTAATAGTATGGTAGGAGAGATAAAATCATCTTACTTTTCTTCCTTATGTTATAACATCTGAGGATGCAAAACTCGGGTTTATGGTGAGGTGAATCCTTGGAAATTCTTTCTTATTCCAACTTAATCTACCTTATGATTAATGTCATTTCCCCACAGATTTTGTAAATAGGTTATGAATTTAGATTTTATTTATTTGTACCTTTAGCTGTCTATGATTTTAATAAATGTTTATAAAGTATACTATTATTAATTTATTTGATTTTTACTTGAGTAACATAGATATCAACTTTATAGAAAAAGAAACTTTGGGCCAGAAGTGGTGGCTCATGTCTGTAATCCCAGCACTTTGGAAGGCCGAGGCAGGTGGATCACCTGAGGTCAGGAGTTCTAGACCAGCCTGGCTAAAATGGTGAAACCCCATCTCTACTAAAAATACAAAAATTAGCTGGGTGTGCTGGTGCATGCCTGTAATCCCAGCTACTTGGGAGACAGAGGCAGAAGAATCACTTGAACTTGGGAGGTGGAGATTGCAGTGAGCTGAGATTGCACAACTGCACTCCAGCCTGGGTGATAGAGTGAGACTCCATCAAAAAAAAGGGAGGAAAGAAGGAATAAAGGAAGAAAGGAAGGAAGGGAGGGAGGGAAGGAGGGGGAGAGAGAGAGAGAGAGACGGAGAGAGAGAGAGAGAGAAAGAAAGAAAAAGGAAGGAAGGAAGGAAGGAAGGAAGGGAGGGAGGGAGGGAGGGAGGGAGGGAGGGAGGGAGGGAGGGAAAGAAAGAAAAAGAAACGTTCATTCAAATAATTTTAGTGACTGGCCCAAATTCATACAGCTAGGATGGGGACAGAGTTGGAACATTGGTCTTTCTATTCTTTTTCTTGCTTCTTGCCTTCTTAGCAAGTTGAGAATTTATTGGTAGTAGGAGAATTCTAGAACATTTGTAAAATATTATAAAAGAACATTGTAAATAACAGATCCACCCACAAATAGTGGGCTATCCCCATAAATAGTGGGACATGTTTGTTAAGGTCTGCCCTGTGATTATTGACTCTAAACCAGATTCCTATCCATTTCCAAATATTCATACTTAGTTTCTGATAACCAACAAATGAAGGCTTGTCAAACACAACAAAAACACACATAGACAAATAGGAATTAATTAAACGAAAACTCTTCTGTACACCAAAGGAAACAAACAGAGTAAATAGACAATATACAGAATGCCAGAAAATATTTGCAAACTATGCATCCAACAAAGGGCTAATATCCAGAATCTACAATGAACTCAAACAACTCAACAAGAAAAAAATATAAACTCCTTAAAAAGTGTGCAAAGGATATGAACAGACATTTTTCAAAAGAAGGCATACAAATGTATGCAGCCACAAACATATGCCACCATGCTCAACAATGCTAATCATCAGAGAAATGCAAATTAAAATCACAATGAGATACCACCTTATACCAGTAAGAATGGCTACTATAAAAAGTCAAAAAACAACAGATGTTGGAAAGTTTGCAGAGAAAACGGTGCACTTATACACCACTGGGAGGAATGTAAGTTAGTACAATCTCTATGGTAAACAGTATGGAGATTTTGCAAAGAACTGAAAATCAAACTACCATTCAATTCAGCAATCCAACTTCTGGGTATGTACCCAAAGGGAAAGAAGTCATTTATTATATCAAAAAGATACAAGTACTTGTATTTTTATTGCAGCACTACTACCAATAGCAAAGATATGGAATGAACTTAAGTGTATACTTAATGGATGACTGGATAAAGAAAATGTGGGGTAGATATAGATACACACACAAACACACATACACACACAATGGAATACTGTTTGGGTATAAAAAAAGAAAAATAATGAAATAATATCTTTTTCAGCAACATGAATGGAACTGTAGGCCATTATTCTAAGCAAAATAACCTAGAAACAGAAAGTCATATATTGCATATCCTCACTTATAAGTGGGAGCTAAACAATGGGTACACATGGACATACAGAATGAAAAACAAGAAATCGAAGACTTCAAAAGGTGGGCAGGTGGGATGGAGGTAAGGATTGAAACATTATCTAATGGGTACAATGTTCACTATTCAGATGATGGGCACACAAAAAGCTCAGATTTCACTACAACACAATATACCCATTCAAGAAAACTACACTTGTTCCTCTTAAATCTATAAAAATAAAAGTAAATTAAAAATAAAAAAGAAGGCTTGTAAAAAATAAACAAGTAAGCCTCCTATCCATTTTTCATTTTAAAAAGGTAGTTTTGGGCCGGGAGCGATGGCTCATGCTTGTAATCCCAGCACTTTGGGAGGCCAAGGCAGGCACATTGCCTGAGCTCAGGAGTTTGAGACCAGCCTGGGCAACACGGTGAAACCTCATCTCTACTAAAATACAAAAAACTAGCGGGGCATGGCGGCGGGTGCCTGTAGTCCCAGACTCAGGAAGCAGAGGCAGGAGAATTGCTTGAACCCTGGAGTCAGAGGTTGCAGTGAGTTGAGATCGTGCCACTGCACTACAGCCCAGGTGACAGAGCAAGACTCCATCTCAAAAATAAATTAAAAAAAAGATAGTTCAGGCTCAAGTGCTTCCAATGAGTTTCCACCTGGTTTCCAACCTCTACTCTATGTACACAGAGAAACGCAATTTAAATGTTGTGCAATTTTTCCTAAGATATTTCCTAACTTCTTTTTGCCATCTAAGTCTTTTCATAATTACTCAAGCCTAACATACTCAACACCTTTAGTCAGTAACATTGCATAATGAAGGAAAGATTAATTTTGATGACATTTAGTAGCATTGTCTGCATTTTTAAAATACAATTCAAAATAATGTCAGTTTTGGAAAGGGAACTGAGCTACTCACACACATAGAGACACGTATATGCACATATATGCATGTGTTTATATATGTTACATATACATATACAATGTCATGTGGTGTAATGGTAATGAGGAAATAAAATGGGATAAATAACAACTATCAATTTCTTTTGTTAGAAATATTATGAATAGCCCCTCAATAACTGCATTGACTCTCCTTATCAGCCCTTAGTAATCACAACCTGCAGGTAACTGGAAATAGTCTTGTGGTTTCCATGGTAAAACACATTATGAAATCAGCCAAGAGTACTTTTCTATTAAAGTACTCTTTAACGCAAAAAAGTATTTCTTTTCAGTTAGAAAACTCACATCCTTATGTTCAATGTTCATTTGCTGGGCCAACTCTCTGTACTTCCCCATTTTATTTAAAATAATTAAATCCAAGCAACCCCAATTTGATTTAAATGTAAGCATGAGAACCAAAATAAAAAGAAATATAGAATAATTATAAAGGTATATTTTGTCATTCGTAAATTGCAAAGAGATTCCCCCTCTTCATGCCCCCTGCCCAACTGTATGAGGTGGGCAGGCCTGAGCCAAGCCATTAAAAAGAGAAAAGAAAAGAAAGAAAAAACATGCAAAGAATAAAGCGTTTATTCATTTTTATACTATTAAATGTGTAATAAAGAGCAGAAAAATATACAGAATTTAGGCCTGTAATAAATTATCTTTGGTAAGGATTATGTATCCTTACCACTACCACCTCAGAAAAGAAAAGAAAAAAAAAAGAGCAGATGCTCCTAAATTATTTCCACGTTTTTCTTCTTACCCCACCTCCACTCCTTCCCATTATTTATAAACACACAAAAGGCCTCAAAGGTAATATAATTACGTACCTAAGTACATATACATATGTAAACAAACATACACATGTGTATGATTACATACATTATAGATATATAAAGCTGTTCATCACAAAACTATTTATAAGCTTATAATATGACTACAGGCACCTGCAACCCCACCATAAACCTAATAGCTTGCCAATCAAAACTCTTCATAACTACAACACATAAACCCTCTTCTCCTTTTCTCTATACATAAGAGTATAGAAAATACCATGTAATCTCTAACTCAAATGGGAATATTTCACTAGTCATTGTAAAATCTCGAAGGAAAATATAAAGATGCTCTGACAGTCTAGGATTACCAGGAATGGCACAGTTAAATATTATAACAAAGTCCAATATGGGGAGAAATATATGTGTTTGTGGAGAGGGAACCAATAGGTCTCAAAGAGTTGGGCTATGTTCAACAGATGAGAGTTATTTGTATGAAACTGGAAGTTACATGAACACACTAACATGCAGTGAAGGAAGCACTTTCTTTTTTTTAACTTAACACTTCCCACCAAAAACATACGATTTTAAATCAACCCTCCAAATCGTCTCTTCCATTTTGCACTTAACTGGAAGAAGTCACAATTCAGTAATGGGCACAGCTCACTGGAACACATGTATGTCTTTAAGATTTCTCTTAGTATGTAATGCACTTGCTTAAGTTACGACTTTTAATAGGCAAATTGTATAGCGTGGAATACATTTAAAGTCAAGGTGACACAATTTGAAGGAAGAAGGGAAAATGGTCACTAATATAATTTCACTTAATACAAACTTACGACAATACAAATGGGTTTTTTTAATTATTATTATACTTTAAGTTTTAGGGTACATGTGCACAATGTGCAGGTTAGTTACATATGTATACATGTGACATGCTGGTGTGCTGCACCCATTAACGCGTCATCTAGCATTAGGTATATCTCCTAATGCTATCCCTCCCCCCTCCCCCCATCCCACAACAGTCCCCAGAGTGTGATGTTCCCCTTCCTGTGTCCATGTGTTCTCATTGTTCAATTCCCACCTATGAGTGAGAACATGCGGTGTTTGGTTTTTTGTCCTTGTGATAGTTTACTGAGAATCATGATTTCCAATTTCATCCATGTCCCTACAAAGGACATGAACTCTTCCTTTTTTATGGCTGCATAGTATTCCATGGTGTATATGTGCCACATTTTCTTAATCCAGTCTATCATTGTTGGACATTTGGCTTGGTTCCAAGTCTTTGCTATTGTGAATAGTGCTGCAATAAACATACATGTGCATGTCTCTTTATAGCAGCATGATTTATAGTCCTTTGGGTATATACCCAGTAATGAGATGGCTGGGTCAAATGGTATTTCTAGTTCTAGATCCCTGAGGAATCGCCACACTGACTTCCACAATGGTTGAACTAGTTTATAGTCCCACCAACAGTGTAAAAGTGTTCCTACTTCTCCACATCCTCTCCAGCACCTGTTGTTTCTTGACTTTTTAACGATTGCCATTCTAACTGGTGTGAGATGGTATCTCATTGTGGTTTTGATTTGCATTTCTCTGATGGCCAGTGATGGTGAGCATTTTTTTATGTGTTTTTTGGCTGCATAAATGTCTTCTTTTGAGAAGCATCTGTTCATGTCCTTTGCCCACTTTTTGATGGGGTTGTTTGTTTTTTTCTTGTAAATTGTTTGAGTTCATTGTAGATTCTGGATATTAGCCTTTTGTCAGATAAGTAGGTTGTGAAAATTTTCTCCCATTTTGTAGGTTGCCTGTTCACTCTGATGGTAGTTTCTTTTGCTGTGCAGAAGCTCTTTAGGTTAATTAGATCCCATTTGTCAATTTTGGCTTTTGTTGCCATTGCTTTTGGTGTTGTAGACATGAAGTCCTTGCTCCTGCCTATGTCCTGAATGGTAATGCCTAGGTTTTCTTCTAGGGTTTTTATGGTTTTAGGTCTAACGTTTAAGTCTTTAATCCAGCTTGAATTAATTTTTGTATAAGGTGTAAGGAAGGGATCCAGTTTCAGCTTTCTACATATGGCTAACCAGTTTTCCCGGCACCATTTATTAAATAGGGAATCCTTTCCCCATTGCTTGTTTTCTCAGGTTTGTCAAAGATCAGATAGTTGTAGATATGAGGCATTATTTCTGAGGGCTCTGTTCTGTTCCATTGATCTATATCTCTGTTTTGGTACCAGTACCATGCTGTTTTGGTTACTGTAGCCTTGTAGTATAGTTTGAAGTCAGGTAGTGTGATGCCTCCAGCTTTGTTCTTTTGGCTTAGGATTGACTTGGTGATGCGGGCTCTTTTTTGGTACCATATGAATTTTAAGGTAGTTTCTTCCAATTCTGTGAAGAAAGTCATTGGTAGCTTGATGGGGATGGCATTGAATCTATAAATTACCTTGGGCAGTATGGACATTTTCACGATATTGATTCTTCCTACCCATGAGCATGGAATGTTCTTCCATTTCTTTGTATCCTCTTTTATTTCATTGAGCAGTGGTTTGTAGTTCTCCTTGAAGAGGTCCTTCACGTCCCTTGTAAGTTGGATTCCTAGGTATTTTATTCTCTTTGAAGCAATTGTGAATGGGAGTTCACTCATGATTGGTTCTCTGTTTGTCTGTTATTGGTGTATAAGAATGCTTGTGATTTTTGTACGTTGATTTTGTATCCTGAGACTTTGCTGAAGTTGCTTATCAGCTTAAGGAGATTTTGGGCTGAGACAATGGGGTTTTCTAGATATACAATCATGTCATCTGCAAACAGGGACAATTTGACTTCCTCTTTTCCTAATTGCAAATGGGTTTTCTAGGGAAATATGTTGCGGAAAATATGTTTCCACACATTCGTATGTGAATTTGTTTATTCTGTAGTATAGTGTAAGAGCTAAAGAAGATGAGCATGAGCTTCGTATATGCATTTGATTACCAGGTCTGATAACTATTCTCTGTAAAATGCAGGTATTACTTCCATTTCACAGGATTGCTATAGAAATTTTAAAAACATAGCATATATGTAAAATATGCAACAAAGCAATGACAACTCATAACTTTTATAGTGTGTTGATAATACAAAACGTTCCTAAAATAAACGTATAATTGGAAAAACAAAAACTGTGGTTCATCTATTTCAATTTGATATGGTTGTTTCCTACAATAATCATTTACTTGGGAAAAATAAGCATATAATACAATAAAGAACTTCCTTATTTACTTCAGAAAATGCCTACAGATCAATTTATTGGAGACAATAATTAATCTGCTCACCTGGGCAAACAGATCACTTATCAAACAGTAGCTTACTCATTAAGACTTGCTTCAAAGCCCTCACTTTGTCAAGAACTTTTACCATTCTAAATCAGTTTTCCACCTTTAAAGATCTGCCTAATACCACAAGAGCCTTGATCCTAGAGCCTAATAAATAACTCAATTACAACATCACTCTCCTGAAATACTGTTAAAGCTTACTCACTAAGTGAAGACAGTTTGAGCAAACATAATTTAATTCATTAACAGGCTTTCTAGTGATATTTCAATTATTTGTTGTTTATGGTATAAAGGGAGCTTTCCCACACCTGCTGTTCCATAATGTAATTATTTTTAGTCAAAGTAGATGAGGCCTATGTCATCATTTTTAATGACTGCATATCATTTCTCTATAATAATATTCACCATTTAATCACAAATCCCCTACTAATGGATCCTTAAGTTTTATTTGGTCTCATAAATAATGATTAAAACATCTATATTTTACAAAAAAGAGATGAGTAAATAATAAATTTATTTTCTATAATTTTATTAGAAAATGTGAAATCTAAATGTTATTTTTAAATATATGCATATGTCAAAGAATACATCAGTAATATAAAAAACTGGTGATTATATTCTCCCAATTTTAAATAAGCCTCTTTGATGAAACCATCTCAATACAATTTCCCTAAGCTATCTAAGAAATTGATAATGATATAGTTAAAATTTGAAAATGTTACACTTGAGAAAAATTCACCATCAGTTCTATCAGAAAAATTATCCAGAACTTGAAAGTAGATGAAGGCAATTACGAGGTGCTCTTTCAATGCAGTGCTGGACGTGGCTTTCTATTTTCTGTGGTATTTTACAAATGTGAAGGAAAAGACATTAATGTATAGAGTTTTGTCTAATAGGCATCCAAAGGATTTCTGCCTAATTTAAAAAGATAATTTCAAAGGTTGTGGTTTATGGGCCAGTAGAACTAGGGGTTGGTGTGGGGTGGCGACTGTATTTGTGGAAGTGCAGGTGGAGGGGTAACTCAGCAATTTTATTCTATCATTGCCTAGAATTACTTAGCTTAACAAAAGCTCCTGGACCAGTTTTAATGCATTACTGTTTCCCTCATTAATTAATGAGGTGTATAAAATTTCTGACATGTTCTCATGTTATATTTATATAAAGGATATGTTTTTAACCTTTTGAAAATTATGCTATAACAGCCCTTCCTCAAATTAGTAAGAATTTCTTACTAACGGTCAATATAATTTAAGTTGATGTAACTGCTTTGGAAAACAAATGTTATTTATAATATGATAAAATAATCTATAGATTCCATAAGCTTCCAGTCAAAACTACATAGACTATTTTGAGGAATTTGATAATCTGATTCTATAATGAGTAAAAGATCAAACTATACAGGATGTTTGAGAAGAAGAATAAAGAGTAGAGGTTTTCTCTACTTGATATTAAGACTTATTAGGATGGTGCAGTAATTAAGGCATTATGGAAGCTGTACAGAGAAGGATAAATTGATTCGTGAAATTTAAAAAGATTCAATAAATTGACTCATGCATATAATAAGTATTAATACATAACAGAGGTGGTATGGCTGAACAGTAGTAAAAAAGAAGCAGCATTAAATAAATGAATCTTTTTAAATGGTTCCCTAAGTAGCAAAAAAAAAAAAAAAAAAAAAAAAGTAAAGAAAGAAACAGAAAAGAAATTGGATCTCTATCTCACAGTATATAGATTAAATCACCTCCTGAAATATTAAAAAATTTTAACCTTTTATGAAAAAATAATGGTTAATATTTTTGACCTTTGAACAGTGAAAGTATACTTTAGAAACAAAACAAAAACAAAAACATAAAGTATGTATAAAATTTCTGCCCTAGGAAGATAAGAGTATAAACCAAGAAATAACTTCACTAATGGGCTCAGAAAATTCTATAAGCTCAAATTTATAAAAGGCATTAATTATTTGAAGTCTTAAAGAAAGTGAAATAAGTTCATAATTGGGAGAAGATATTTGAATAAAATATCTGGTAAAGATTTAAAATTAAGAATACAAAAAGAAGTATTAACAAATTATTAAGAACAAACATGTAACCAAAAGGTGCCAACTAGCATTTCACAGAAGAGAAACAATATTGGCTAATAAACTTAGTGAGAAATGTTAAACCTCATTAGCACTCAGGAAATATACATAAGACTACAGTGAAGTAACATTTTATATCCATTTAATTGGAAAAATCAAAAGGTTTAATAAAGCCAAATGTTGCAGATATGTGAATCAAAGATTTCCTTATTATCAGTGGAGTCAGCTGCTGCAATCATTTTTGTAAACAATTTGGCATTGTCTAGTCAAATTAGATATTTATGTATTTACAACCCAGCAACTCCATGCCTAGATAAATGCATTAGAGAAACTTAAACATTTGCACTGGGATGCATGTACAAGAAGGTTCAAAGGACCGGGCACAGTTGCTAATGCCTGTAATCCCAACATTTTAAGAGGTTGAGGCGGGCAGATCACCTGAGGTCAGCAGTTCGAGAGCAGCCTGCCCAATATGGTGAAACCCCGTCTCTACTAAAAATACAAAAATTAACTGGGCTTGGTGGCGTGTGCCTGTAATCCTAGCTACTCGGGAGGCTGAGGCAGGAGAATCGCTTGAACCCAAGAAGCGGAAGTTGCAGTGAGCCGAGATAGTGCCACTGCCCTCCAGCCGGGGCAAAAAAAAAGCGAAACTCCGAAAAAAAAAAAAAAAAGGTTCAAGGAAGCACTGTTCATGAGAGCAAATTTAAATATGAAACAGACGAAGCTTAAATATCCACTGACAGGGATAACTTGTGGCATATTAATACAATGGAAAATTGCAGTCAAAGTTCATAATCTATGGTTATATGCAATAATATGAATAAATCTTAGTTACCTAACGTTGAATAAAAGATGCAAGCCTAAGACTATATGTCAGTGATCAGTTTTATAAAGTTCAAAAAAACTTTAAAAATTAAACAATAACTTATTTACAGATGCATACATATCTGTTAAGCTATACTTTTTAAAGCAAAAGTATGAAAAGCCAAAACAAGGATAGAAATTATTTCTGTGAGGAAGACCAGAGAAGACAGTATAGCAGTCCAGAGTTAGACTTCATTTATTTATAAGGTATTGGTTCTTCAAGTGTCATAGGTGTCTGTATATTTTTAATAAGTTAATTAATTAAGTAATGAAGTAATAAATGAATGAAATAAATTAAAGTCTATCCATATGACAATGATGAGAGTGTGCCACAAACTAAGAATTGCAACTAAACTAAATCTGAACTTCTGGAGATTAATAGCAATTGTAAATGTATTTATTAAAAATGGGCAGGAGGACTCCATAGGACTATCTTGAGAAGAAATGTCCATGTTCTGCCAATAAGTAAATTAATCAAATGTTTAGCGCTAGTAGGAATTTGACAGGGAACCATATAGAATATGATTGGCAAGGTTGGATGAGAAGACACATGGAAGATATTTTCTTATTTAAGCAACAGCAAGAATAAAGAGAAAAATATGTAAATATATGTATATATAGTACACTCAGGGAAGTAAAAGGAATTAAAATGGCTAGAACAAAGGGAGCAAGTCAGATAAATGCAAGATATGAATGTAGGAAGTTAAAAAGAAGCCCATGTAAGTTAAAAGAACTTGAATAGAAGCTAAGAAATATATTAATAAATAGTGACAATAACTTATCAAGAGGAACTATTTACTAATAAACCCTGGGCACTATGCAGAGCACATAGCCATAATCCCCACCTCCATTATACAGATTAGGGGACTGAGGCATTTGCCCAAAGTTGTACAAATCATAAACAATGAAACTGCTCCAGGCAGTCTAAGCCTGGAGCCCACACAATTTACCCTAACTTATATTATACACATCAAATTTACTTTATATTTGTTATTACATATTTTTTCTGATTATAACACACACTTAAACAGATTATAAAATGTATTACCATAGCTAAACAGACATTTTAGAAACTTTCTGGATACAATTTATTTACACAAGAAACAATGGTTAACAATTTAAGTTTCAATTAATTTAGTAGTTAAATATTATTTCATAAGACTTTATCATGTGTTAAGTATCATAGAAGTGGGTGTGATCGACATGGAAATGTGGCACCCAGATTCTCCTTCATCAGTAACAGCTGGATATTCTCCAGCTGCCAGCTGCTTCAATGTCTGCCTTAGCTGCAAATAGCCACCTTGTGTGAGGTCACACCTCTCCCAGGACAGCCTACAACACAAAGTTTGTATCAGTGTCCACTTCTAGAGAATCCAACCAGAGGCATTAGCAATTACCTTTTATTAGATGCCTATTAATTTCATAGTAACTCTACCTGATCCAAAACCAAGCAACTAGCTATGGTTAAACTGGCAAATATAGAGGAAATTGTTTTACCACAAACAAAGTTTTAAAAGTAATTCAAGATTCTGCATCTGGCAATATAGTAGACCAGATGTCCCATGAAACTCTTCCCCCCACCCTAAAGGAAGCACCTAAAAAAAGTTGAATAAATTATTACACATACGTAAACACACACAACACACACACACACACACACACACACACACACACACACACAACTTTTTAAAACATGCATGGCTTAGCAAAAAAGTAAGGGAAGTCCTTAGAAGCCAGAAAAGAAAATAAGAATCCAGAGAAATAAGCTATCACTGAAGCTACTGTTCACCCCGGTGCTATCTGTCAATTTTTGCTGATAAGGAATTTCTGTTTTGACAGGCCAGAAACCTTCCAAAGAAATCTCCTACAAAAAGCTCCAAAGAAATTCCCCACAGAAATCTGCCACAAAAACCAGGGTCCCTAAAGGCAACATCATCATTGCATGAACTAAGAAAATTCTTTCTTACAGCAGAAATAGATGTTACAGGCACTTAGCTGTCTTGTCATAGTTCGGAGCGGTATGGAAGGGGAGACAGAGAGACATAATGAGACTTATAATTAGTTTGCTAGGGCTGCTATAGCAAAATAACATAGATTCTGGGAGCTTAAAGGTAAATGTATTTTCTCATTTTTCTGGAGGCCAGAACTCCAAATCAAGGTGCAGTAGGGCTGATTTTTCTTGAGGCACCTCTCCTTGGTCTGCAGATGTCTGGTTACTCACTGTGTCCTCATATCATCTTTCCTCTGTGCATACGGGTCCCTGACATCTCTATATGTGTTCAAAATTACTCTTCTTACAAGAACACAAGTCAGATTGGAATAAGGTCCACCCTAACAACCTCATATTAACATAATCACCTCTTTTAAGACCCTCTCTCTAAATACAGTCACATTCGGAGGTACTAGGGGTAAGTGCTTCAACATATAAATGTCAGCGGGTGGAGAGAGACACCATTCAGGATACAACACTTGTTAGCAACAGGTCTGAAATCACTGACTAATTTCTCATCTCTTATACTTTCTTTAACCAATTCCACCTCTCCACCTAATCAGCAATTTTTCAAGGTCACTAGTGACCTCTACACATAGCAAAATGCAGATATCGGTTATCAGTGCTCATCGTACTTATTCTATCAGCATTAGGCACAGTTGATCATTTCATCATGTTTGAATCACCTTCTTTACTTGACTTCCAGGAAACTCCAGAGACTCCATTTTCTTGATTTTCTTCCTACCTTCCAGGGTACTCCTTCTGAGTAACCTCAGCTGGCTCTTTCTGCTCTACTCTTAAAATAGTCCTCTTTTGTAGCAACACTCAAAATGTAACCCAAGTATATGTCCAGGATTGCCAAATTTATATTTCCAGCTCAATCCATTTCCCCAAACTCATATATTAATTAAGCTGTCTACTCAATATTTCTACTTGGATCTCTATCAGACATCTGCAACCCAGCATATCGAAACTTAAATTCCTTGTTCTCTTCCCTGAAACCTCCTTTCCATGTTAGCTGATGTCAAATCTATTCTTCTCATGGTTCAGCCAAAATCATGTTGTTATACCTGAATCCTCTTTTAACTTGAGTGCATATTAATATTATTGTTTAAAGTTCTTCAAGTAGTAAAAATGTTTTACCAGAATAAGAGAGAAAAAAGAAAAAAATGCTTGCAATGAACATGTTCAGTTGACACTAGCAATAGTGACCTAAGATATTTAAACTTGACTTCAAATTAAAATTTATTTTCAACCAAGATGCAGTGAAACAAATCAAAACAAAACTTTAAGTAAAAAAATGGAAATATTGAACCCAAACTGAACTCCATCCATTTATCAATCTACAAAAATAGCAACAAAGTATTTCACATCATTGAAAGTACTGTGATGTGCAGTCTTCTATTCTAAGGCATGACCTTTAATTAGATATTACTGCAAAAACTGCCAGATTGGATCCCTAGGGTGAGTGATGTATAGTGACACAGAAGGAAGTATTGGAAAGGAAATAAACACCCACTCTCTTCTTCCCATCACCTTATCGTGTCTGAAAAAGGAGGTACTCTGATCTACCTGCTAATTTCCCCATGCCTATCCTTTCTTCTCCCAATTAATTCTAATTATGGCATTCAGGATTCCATAAAAATTTAGAATTAGTTTTAAGTCACAGTAAAGTTTGTCATCACAGAGCTTCTTAAAGTTCGATTAAACCTCAAGCTCCACTGACGAGATACTTAGAAGTTTTTGCTTATAACTGTATGCTCAGCACCTAATTCAAAGTGAATGCTCACTAATATATACTGAATTAAAAGTTACTCTGCAGTGGTTACTTCTAACACCCTGTTAGCATCCAAAGTTGACAACTATCAGCATGCAGAGGTTGGCAATCTGTGGATTCTGCCATCTGGCATCTATGCTGAGAAACAGAAACTCCCAAATAACCTTGCTCCAAAAAGGAACACATTTGTTAATTTTAAAATGCATGCTTCTGATTTGCTGGGGATAATATGAATAATCTAGCACACTATGATATCGCTTTATTTCCTCAACCAGACTTAATTATCGTACAATTTTTCAACAAGAATATTCATTTGGACTTTTAAGAAAAAAATGAACAACTCTTACGTTAACTAAGCTCTCTTTTGCCTTGCCTCCAGGCCTTGTCCTTCTTCCTTCAGCTCTCACTTTCTATGCTTCCTGAACCTTCTTCCTCCCTAGTCTTAGTGAAGTGACACACATGTGTTCTTGCTCAGTACCCTCTACTCCTTTCACAATAGTACTTATTATAATGTGTTGAAACTGTTTTTTAATGATCTATATCCTCCAAATGGACCTTAGAGACCAAACAACTGGTTCTACATAGAACACAGAGGTATGAAAAGAGGAAATAAAAGTAAATTCTAAAAATATTTCTGTACATTGATATTTTGTATATTTCCATGTTGAAGGTGTATACTCTCTTAGAGCAAAGTAGAAGCCTCTACGCTTAGTGCTTTGCAAGAATAATGAACACAAATAGACTGAAATAGGAAGCTACCAGATGGAATGCATCATTAATAACATCTAAATATGAGCCTCATCAAGAGTTGATTTGAGGGCATGTTTCTTGCTATGTGTCCCTCCAAAGCTGCCAGTAATGGCTTTACTTAGATCTAAAATTGTGAGGGCAGGAATTATTTCTATTTTGTTCATTTTGCTCGTGTTTTCAGAACCCAACACAGGGCCAGATACACATATTAAGTACTCAATACATTTGCTGAGTGTTGAATGAATTTTGCTATATAAAAGTTTGCTGTTTCCTCTTGTTCTTATTTACATTTTTATCTGTAAAAATCATGTTGACAATTATAAATATCTTCTGACCATTTTTTTCTAATTTTCAGTCATCCCTTCTTTTTATGTACTAATATTGGGGCTGATTTGGAATCCCCACCCAGCAATCTTCTTCAGCCTTCCCCTCAGTAGTCCACCAAATGAATCAGTAGTAGTATCACTATGTTCTTCTATGTGGGGAAAACACCACTGAAAAACATTTTTCTTACTGATACTTTCAGAATAGCTAATGTACTTCACAAAAATTACAGTTAAAATGCTGGAAAAATGTGTACTATGTGAACACTTACTTAAACATTTAAATAAATATGTGTTGTATTTACCTATAAACTTACATATTTAAATGTGTTGCATTTGTATTTACATATGTGCAGTATTTATATACCAATGTACATACTTAAATCACCAGTATATTGCTTTTCTATATCTACATAAAAATATAAGATAGTTGATTTATTTCTATTTTTTGATGCTTTTCATATACTTATTAATGAATCATTAAAACCATAACTTTATTAATTCTGCTAAATGTGTCTTTTAGAATCGCGAAACTATTTGTACCTTAACATGGAGGTACCTCTCAGACCAAGCAAGTCTGAATTTTAGATCATTAATTTTTAGAGAGAAACAGAAATAATTACAGCTCATTTCAAATAACAAATGAAACAAACCCACAACAGATGAGTTCTAGACATTCTAGACATTCAGCCTCTTGACATAATCCATGTCTCTAATTTAGGAAAATTGTAAAATATGTTCTAAAATACCAAAAGGATATCTGGGAAACTTTTAGGTCCTGGCTCACTATGATTTCCGATAATGATGGAAAAGGACTATGAGGATTCTGTTGTAAGCGATTTCCAGCATTTCTGTGATAAGGATAACTTCACCAGCAGCCATGGTTATGGGAATAACTACAGCATGGTCCCATCCATGACCCTGAGGCTTGCAAATAGAACTGAGAAGACTGCCACCTTGCATTGTTACCATTATCAATAAGTCTTTCAACTCCAGATATAAGACTATCAGGTTTCCATTAACAGTCATTGCACTATATAAAATAGATGATAAACTGTGAAGACTATTAATAGCATGCAAACTTGCTTACAACCTTAGTACTTATGAAAATATGCATATTTCATTTGTACTTTCATAAAAATTAGCAAGCATTGACTTAACATTAACAAGGAAGATGTGTTCTTTAGAACTAGGAAAAAGTTGATATGAAATTAAAGCCTAACTGTAGAAGAACTTTGTGAAAATAACTGAGAATTATTGTAAAGCAATTTTACTTTAACAATAGATTACATTTACCTCATTAAAAAACAACGACAACAATAAGAGTAAGATCCTGACTAGAAGCAGCTACTGTGTGCCACTCTTATGGAGAAAAGTGAAGGGGCAAGTAAATACAGCACCTTGAACTAAACATCCAGGTACATGCATTGGGATCCATCAAGAAAACAACTCAACCCAAGGAGATTAGAGAAAAGCAAGACAGGATGACTGCCCACCCTGGAGCAACACAGAGCCAGTGTAGCCTCCCCAACCCAGGGAAGTGGTGAGTAAGTGAGTGAGTGACCCCAGGGACCCATGCTTCTCCCACAGATTTTTGCAACCCTTAGATCAGGAGATCCCCTGGTGAACTCCTACACCAGGGCCTTTAGTCTGGCATGCAGAGCATCTGGTCAGGCACATGCGAAGCCCCAGGAGCATTAGATACCCAGACTTCCCAGCAAAGGCAGCTGCAACTCCAGCAAGGTGGGAGGTCAGACCTGCGTACATACCCTGGGAAAGGAGCTAAATCCAGGGGCTGAGCAGCATTGGTCTGCAGGCCCTGCTTTCATGGCACCTCCCAGGATAAGACCCACTGGCTTGGAACTCCAGCCAGTCATGAGTAGCATTGTCACACCACCTTGAGATGGAGCTCCCAGAGGGAGGGGCAGGCCACCATCTTTGCTGTTTTATAACCTTAATCATTGTTGCCTTAGGGCTCTGGGGAATCAGGGGCAATTAGGGACTGCGGTGGTCCCCCAGCACAGCACAGCAGCTCTACAAAGAGGCAGCTAGACTGCTTTTTCACACGAGTCCCTGATCCCATTTTTCTTCCCTGGGCGGAATCTCTCCATCAAGATCTACAACACCCCTGCTGGTGTTTTCCAGCTGGCAGCAGTCCCAAACCTCCCAGGGACTGAGCTCCCAGAGGGTGGGGTGTACTACTATCTTTGCTATTTTGCCACCTTAGCCATTCTTGCCTTTGGGCTTTGGAATGCCTGAGGGGCCTGTGGGCTGGAGCAGACCACAACACAGCAGAGCTGCTCTATGAAAAAGCAGGCTGACTGCCTTTTAATGTAGGTCCCTGATCTTATCCTCCTTACTGGGTGGGACCTGTCAAGCAGGGTACCTAGCCACCCCTGTCAGTGTGTTCGGGCTGGCAACAGGGACAGAGCTTTTCAGGGACAGATCTTCCAGAGAGATCTGCAGGCTGCCATCTTTGCTGTTTTGCAGTCTTCACTGTTGATACCTTCAGGTACTGAAAAATCCAAGGTGACTAGAGACTAGAGCAGACCCCCAGCATACTACAGCACCCTTATGGAAAAGTAGCCAGACTGTTTGTTATGTGGGTCCCTGATCTCATACTTCCTCATTGGGTGGGTCCTCCCAGCCTGAGTCTCCAACCACCCCCCAGCTGGGACTATGGAGCCAGTAGCAGCTCTACAACTCCTGGGAGAGAGCTCCCAATGGGAGTGGGGATTGCCGTATTTGCTTACAGCCTTCATGCTTGCTGTCTCCACACTCTGGGGAGTCCACGGCAACCAGAGGCTGGTCCAGACCCCCAGAACAGAGCACCCACCTCACAGAAAAGTGGTCAGACGGTATTCCATGCAGGTCCCAGTACTCTCTTCTCCCTACTGGGCAGGGTCACCTGACATATGACTCCAGTAATACCATGCTGCCCCCACTTTACCACTTTAATCAGAGGGAGCCCAGCAGTTAAAGCAATATCCACACACAGAGATGAGAAAGAACCAATGCAAGAACTTGAGCAACTCAAGTGGGCAGAGTGTCTTATCTCCTCCAAACAGCTGCACTAGTCTCTGACAAGGGTTCTTAACCAGCCTTAATTGGTTGAAATGACAGAAATAGAATTCAGAATATGGATAAGAATGAAGATCACCAAGATGCAGGAGAACAGCAAAGTGCAATCCAAGGAAACTAAGAATCAATAAAATGACAAGGAGGTGACAGATGAAATAGCCAGTGTAAGAGAGAACCTAACTGATCTGAAAAGGCCGAAAAACACACTACAAGAAATTCACAATGCAATCGCAAGTATTAACAGCAGAGTAGAACAAGCTGAGGAAAGAATCTTAGAACTTGAAGAGTGTCTCTCTGAAATAAGACACTCAGACAAAAATAAAGAAAAAAAGAATACAAAGAAATAAAACCTCCAAGAAATATGGGATTATGTAAAGAGGCTAAATAGATGAGTCACTGGCATCCCTGAAAGGGACAGGAGAAAGCAAACAACTTGGAAAACATATTTCAGGATACTGTCCATGAAAAGTTTCCTACCTTGCTACAGAGGCTAACAGTCAAATTCAGGAAATACAGAGAACCCCTGCAAGATTAAACACAAGCAGATTATCCCTAAGACACATAATCATCAGATTTTCCAAGGTCAAAATGAAAGAATATTAAAGGCAGCTAGAGAGAAAGGGCAGGTCACATACATAGGAAACCCCATGAGGCTAACAGTGGACCTCTCTGCAGAAACCCTACTAACCAGCAGGCATTGGCAGCTTGCATTCAACATTCTTAAAGAAATAAAAAATCTTCAATCAAGATTTTTATATCCAGAGAAACTAAGCTTTCTCAGAAAAGAAGAAATATGATCCTTTCCAGATCAAATGCTAAGGGAGTTTGTTACCATCAAGCCCACCTTAGAATAGACATCGAAAGAAGCACTAAATTTGGAAAGCCAAAACCATTACCAGCTAATAAAAACAAAGCTAAGTACGTAGACCAGTGAAACTACAAAACAACCACACAAAAAAGCCAGCATAATAACTGGTTAAAAACACATGAGAGGATCAAATCCACATGTATCAATACTAATCCTGAATGGAAACAGGCTAAATCTCACCATTTAAAAAGTACAAAGTGGCAAGCTGGATTTAAAAAAAAAAAAAAAAAAGCAAGATCCAATGGTATGCTGTCATCAGGAGACCCATCTCATATGCAATGACACTGATAGGATCAAAATACAGGGATGGAGGAAAAATATATCAAGCAAATAGAAATCAGAAAAAAGCAGAGGTTGCAATGCTAATTTCAGATAAAACAGATTTTAAACTAACAAACAACAAAAATGATGGAAAAAAAAGCACATTACATAATGGTAAAGGGTTCAATTCAAGAAGAAGACCTAACTATCCTAAATACATATGCAACCAACACAGGAGCAACCAGGTTTATAAAGCAAGTTCTTAAACTTACAAAGAAACCTACAAAGAAACTTAGACTTCCACAAAATAATAGCGGGAGACATCAACACTCCAATGACAGTCTTAGAGAGATCAGTGAGGAAGAAAATTAACAAGGACATTCAGGACCTGAACTCAACATTGGACCATATGGGTATGATAGACCTCTACAGAACTCTCTACCCAAAAACAACAGAGTATACATTCTTCTCATTGCCACAAGGCACATAGGTTAAAATTGACCATACAATCCAACATAAAAAAATCCTCAGCAAATCCAAAAGAACCAAAATCATACCAAACACACTCTCAGAACACAGCACAATAAAAATTAAAATCAAGAATAAAGAAAAAAATCACTCAAAGCCATGCAATTACATGGAAATTAAATAACCTGCTCCTCAATGACTTTGGAGTAAACAATGAAATTAAGGCAGAAATCAGGAAGTTTTTTGAAACTCGTGAGAACAAAGATACAACATATCAGAATCTCTGAGACACAGCTAAGGCAGTGTTAAGAGGGAAATTTATAGCATTAAACGCTGATATCAAAAGTTAGAAAGATCTCAAATTAACACCTTAACATCACAACTAGAAAAACTAGAGCAGCAAAAGCAAACCAAACCCAAAGCTAGCAGAAGACAAGAAGTAATCAAAATCAGAGCTGAACTGAAAGAGATTGAGACAAGAAAAACAAATAAAAAAATCACTGAATCTGGGGGTTAATTTTTTTAAAAAAATAATAAGTTAGATAGGCTAATACCTAGACTAATATAGAAAAGAAATAAGATCCAAATAAGCACAATCAGAAACAACAAAGGAGATATTACCACTGTCCCCACAGAAATACAAATAACCATCAGAGACTACTACGAACACCTCTATGCACACAAACTAGAAAACCTAGATGAGATGGATAAATTCCTGAACACATACACCCTCCCAAGACTGAACCAGGAAGAAATTGATTCCCTGAACAGACCAAAAATGAGCTCTGAAATTAAATCAGTAATAAATAGCATACCAATACACAAAAAAAGCCCAAGACCAGAAAGATTCACAGCTGAATTCTACCAGATGTACAAGGAAGATCTAGTACCATTCCTATTGAAACTATTCCAAAAAATTGAAGAGAAGTGATTCTTCCTTAGCTCATTCTATGAGGCCAGGATCATAGAAACGATACTAAAACCTGGCAGAGGCACAACAACAACAGCAAAAAGAAAACTTCAGGCCAATATCCTCAATGAACATGTATGCAAAAATTGTCAACAAAATACTGGCAAACCAAATCCAGCAGCATATCAATAAGCTAATCCACCACAATCAAGCAGGCTTTATCCCTGGGATTCAAGGTTGGTTTAACGTATGTAAATCAATAAATGTCATACATCACATAAACAGAACTAAAGATAAAAACCACATGATCATCTCAATAGATGCAGAAAAGGCTTTTGATAAAATTCAACATCCCTTGATTTTAAAAACTCTCAGAAACCAGGTATTGAAAAACCATATCACAAAATAATAAGAGCTATATATGACAAGCTCACAGCCAATATCATACTGAATAGGCAAAAGCTAGAAGCATTATACTTGAAAATTGGCACAAGAGAAAGATGTCCTCTCTCACCACTCCTATTTAACATAATATTGAAAGTCCTGGCCAGAGCAATCAGGCCCAAGAAAGAAATAAAGGGCATCTAAATAGGAAGACAGGAAGTCAAACTATCCCTGTTTGTAGATGACATGATTCTCTATCTAAAAAACTCCACAGTCTCAACCCAAAGCATGGTACTGGCATGAAAACAGACACACAGACCAATGAAACATGGTAGAGAACCCAGAAATAATGGTGAACACCTACAACCATCTGATCTTTGACAAAGCTGACAAAAGCATGCAATGGGGAAAGGACTCCCTATTCAATAAATGGCACTGGAATAACTGGCTAGCCATATGCAGAAGATTGAAACTGGACACATTTCTTACACCATATGCAAAAATCAACTCAAGATGGATCAAAGAGTTAAATGTAAAACCCAAAACTATAAAAGCCCTGAAAGACAACCTAGGTAATACCATTTAGGACATAGGAATGGGCAAAGATTTCATGACAAAGACACCAAAAGCAATCACAACAAAAGCAAAAATTGACAAATTGGATCTAATTAAACTTAAGAGCTTCTGCTCAGCAAAATAAACTATCAACAGAGTAAACAGACATTCTACAGAATGGGAGAAAATATTTGCTAACTATACATCTGAAAAAGTCTAATATCTATAGGGAATGTAATAAATTTACTAGAAAAAAGAAAACAAGTAGCCCCATTAAAAAGTGGGCAAATGACATAAACATCAACTTTTCAAAAGAAGATATACATGCAACCAACAATCATATAAAAAATAGCTCAACATCACTGATCATTAGAGAAAAGCAAATCAAAACCACAATGATATACCATCTCACACCAGTAAGAATGGCTATTATTTTTAAGAAGTCAAAAAATAACAGATGCTGGTGAGGTTGTGGAGAAAAGAGAACGCTTATACATTGATGGTGGGAGTGTAAGTTAGTTTAACCATTGTGGAAAGCAGTTTGTTGATTCCTCAAAGAGCTAAAAACAGTACCACCATTTGACCCAACAATCCCATTACTGGGTGTATACCCTAAAAGAATATAAATCATTCTACCATGGAGATACATGCACCCACATATTCTTTGCAGCAATATTCACAATAGCAAAGGCATGGAATCAACATAAATGTCCATCAATGGTAGACTGAAAAAAGAAAATGTGGTATATATACACCATGGAATACTACTCAGCCATAAAAAAGAATGAGATGATGTCCTTTGGAGGAACATGAATGGAGCTGGACGGCATCATCCTTAGCAAACCAACATAGAAACAGAATACCAAAAACCATATGTTCTCACAAGTGGGAGCTAAATGATGAGAACACATGGACACAAAGAGGGAAACAATAGACACTAGGGCCTACTTGAAGGTGAAGGTTGGGAGGAGGGAGAGGATCAGAAAAAACAACTATTGGGTACTAGCCTTAGTACCTGGGTGACAAAATAATCTGTACAACAAACCCCTATGACACAAGTTTACCTATATAACAAAGTGAACATGTACCCCTGAACCTAAAATAAAAGTTTTTAAAAAGCACATTAAATTATAAAATAAAGATGAATGTCAGGAATTCATAAATAGATTCATAAGTAATTAATTAATTAAATTCCAGTAGTACTTGTAGTTTTGTCTAACAATACACCACAGAATATAATAATCACTGTAACTTATATTTAAACAATGTGCTTATGCAGAAAGAGTCAGTATACTGGGAAACTCCATTCCAAACCTGCTTTCATTTTCTGCATGCATATTTACAAATTTTGTCTTTTTGTATCCTAGATTGCTTGTAAACTTCTTTATGTTAACAAAAAT
Source organism: Homo sapiens (assembly GCF_000001405.40). Lineage (NCBI taxonomy): Eukaryota > Metazoa > Chordata > Mammalia > Primates > Hominidae > Homo > Homo sapiens. Next base: position 371,920 of record NW_025791754.1, read on the forward strand.
TAAAGATTAATTGAGATGAATTTAGTTTAGGTGTCCATAAATGAGCTATAGGCCAAATACAAACTAGATAGAAGTGATGGAAGATAATACATATGTGAAAAGTATTACTACTAGAGGTACCAGCAGTTTTTGATGAAGAACAGATGTACATTTACCAAAATGATGTTCTAATACAAATAGTAAAATCTGTGGAAAATAAGTCATTAAACCTTACATTTTTATGCTTCAACTCTTAAAATAATTTTCAGATGCCTGAACTGTTTTATTCATTGGGTTTAATATGACTTCATACTCCTTAGTTTGCAATTGAGAAAAATAAGCTACTCATACTAGTGAGAGGTGAAGCCAGCGGGACTTCCTGGGTCGAGTGGGGACTTAGAGAACTTTTCTGTCTAGCTAGAGGACTGTAAACGCACCAATCAGTGCTCTGTGTCTAGCTAAAGGATTGTGAATGCACCAGTCAGCACTCTGTAAAAACGCAGCAATCAGCACTATGTGTCTAGCTAAAGGATTGTAAATGCACCAATCAGCACTCTGTAAAAAACGCACTAATCAGCATGTTGTGTCTAGGTAAAGGATTGTAAATGCACCAATCAGCACTCTGTAAAATGGACCAATCAGCACTCTGTAAAATGGACCAATCAGTGCTCTGTAAAATGCACCAATCAGCAGGATGTGGGCAGGGACAAATAAAGGAATAAAAGCTGGCCACCCAAGCCAGTGTGGCAACCCACTTGGGTCCCCTTCCATGCTGTGAAAGTTTTGTTCTTTTGCTCTTCACAATAAACCTTGCCGCTGCTCACTCTTTGGGTCCACACTACCTTTTTGAGCTGTAACACTGCGAAGGCCTGCAGCTTCACTCCTGAAGTCAGCAAGACCACGAAACCACCAGGAGGAACAAACAACTCTGGACGCACCACCTTTAAGAGCTATAACACACACTGCAAAGGTCTGTGGCTTCACTCCTGAAGTTAGCAAGACCACGAACCCACCGGAAGGAAGAAACTCCAGACACATCTGAACATCTGAAGGAACAAACTCAGGACACACCATCTTTAAGAACGGTAACACTCACCATGAGGGTCTGTGGCTTCATTCTTGAAGTCAGCAAGACCAAGAACCCACTGGAAGGAACCAATTCCGGACACACTAGCTTAAATTAAGAAGGAATTTAAAGCCTCTCAAAAATGAAAAGTGTAGACTGGTGACACCTACAGACATGGATTGAAGCAGGAGCCCATCTATTCACCGCTACTTTATTTTTCTCCATCTCCAGTTACAATTCCCTTGGTTCATTCAGAAGCAGATTTTCCTTCATGGTGGCAAGATGTCTGCAACTGCTCCAGAAATTGTATTTATTCTTGTTGAGTCCAGAAAGAAAGAGAGTCTAGACCAGAATTTCAAGAAAAACTTCTATTGGGTCTCAAAGCATCTGATAGAGCCATGCATCTACCTTTAAATTAAAAACTGAGGTCAGAGGATATAAAGTTCCTTAACTGACTTAGCCTGGTAACGTTTGTGAAAATAAGCGATTCAAATTAAAGCTGTTGGAACTTTCAATTATTTTGAGTCTTAAAGAAAATGTGATTGTTTCTCTAATTATAGATTAACTTTTTCCTTACCTACTTTGTTTTGTAAAATGTTGCAAAAGATTAAATGACACCAGAGATAAGCTCTCTTCCCTCTTACTTGTTGACCCTCATTATAGGTTAACTTCCTCCTTTTTTCTCTTGCACCTGACACAGATCAGATAGCACAAAGACTCTATGATTATCAAGTTGCTCAAGATGAACTGTTAAGTATACCTTTCCCAAAAACGAACAAGCTGTAACTAATCAAATTGTAATTCATAAACCAGCTTTATATGAAAATGTTGTAATCCTACTAAATTTCTTTGTTTCTACCTATAAAGGTAAAATCCTAGTTCTCCACTTCAGAACACTGACCCCATTCATTTGGAGTCTGTGTTTCCTGGGCAGCCATCCTTAAATTTCACACTTGAGTAAATTCTTTAGAACTGGATTCTGATCATTTTGATTATTTCAGGTTCACACATTCTTATTGGGAGTTTGAATGAGAATGGGGTGGAGAAGGGTACAAAGGTCCACGGACTGAGAATAAGGGGGGAAAAAAAGTGGTTTTCCAGAGAGGAATCAGGAATTGTTACCAAAAATGAGACAATGGATGTCCAGTGGTATAAAATAACATGTCCACTAAAGAGGATGGCAAGTAAATAATTATCACTAATGCCATATTACATAATAATTTTCCATATTTCACTAAATACAATGAGTGAGGTTATCAACATCATGCTGTATCATTTAATGTCCATGTTTCAAATGTAAATACAAGACATATTACATAATACGATGTAAAACAGTGAAGTTCACACTAAAGTCATATATAATAAGATATATTTTGTGTTAAGGAAAATCTTCATTTTCCTATATCCCGGATATCATTATCAAAAAATAATATTGATAGTGGTGTTATTAAATGTAATATTTGGGTTATCTACCTATTGTAGTCCCAAGCTATCAAATTTTCATTTTACTTCTATTTCTAGCAACAAATAGGAAAGTCAATCAATTTAGATCTAATTTATGTTCCATAAACTGTCTTCTAGCTTAAAAAATATTAATTTAATAAATCACTAGGTTTTGACTTTTATAAATACAATGAGTATTATAGAATCTTCAATTTCTCATCTATTTTATATTGCTATGGTTGAAGTAGAGAAAAGGAAGAAATCTGGTGATTTGTTGTATTTTGGAGATCTTTGCAAAGAACAAGTCAAATTTGACTTTGAGATTCTAGCTCAAGCATCAGATTAGATGTCAATGTCATTTACAAGGATAGCTAATATCACAAAAAAAGTAGCTATTCAGTGGTTTTTGATTGTCGAAGAAAGTGAGGGAACAGGTAGAAAACGACCACAATGGTAGTATTTTCACAGTTATTTGTAGATTTACGTAAAGCAAATAAAAAAAAAAATCAGTTGTCTGCACAGCAAATTCCCAGATGGAGTTGACCCAGGCCATGCTCTGCCTTCTCGTTTCAGCTCTCATACTGTAAACAAGTGTCTTTTTCATGGTCTTAACAGTGACACTTTTTTTTGTATTTTTATGCTTTTTGTTCGTAATTTCCCTGTTTAATAGCTCTTACATGTAACGTTGAGTTTCTGCTACTGTTACTAAGTGCAAGAAGGCTGTGATATACCTTACAGAGAAATATATGTGTTAGATGAGCTTTCTTCAATCATGAGTTATAGGGCTGCTGTCTGTGAGTTCAATGTTCATCCAGATAATCACCAATCTGTATATGGGCCTGCTCTAGAAAGTGCTAAACTAACATTTATTGTGCATAATGAGGCTATAGAAAAGATGGGAAGGTAGCTAAATTTGTGAATTCATGAGGTGATAACTGATTTTAAAACAACAAAAAAAGCACAGTAGGCAGTACTGTTACGAGGCTGAAAGCCAAAAAAGTTTACATTACTGTTTACAGCCATGTTGGCCAGAATCAAGAAGTGTGAAAACTTTCTTAGCTAGCGTTTTATTATAATGAAATACTGTACATATTTAATTATGTAATATAAATATACATTTTAAAAGGTGTCTTTAAACAGACATATACATAAAACAAGGTTATGTATTGAACACTTGACAAAAAATGTGACCAAAGGTTTAGAAGTAGTAGTTTAGTATTCACTAATGCAGAGTTGATGGCAACTTTATAGAACATAAATAGCACAAATAATGAGAACTGACTCTGTGTGTGTGTGTGTGTGTGTGTGTGTGTGTGTGTGTGTGTGAATCAGCACACTGAGGGGTACGCAAAAAAGTGCTAGACACAGTCCCTGACTTTGTGTTAACATTTGAGGAACAGACAAGAATGCATTGGATCATCCAAATAAAACTACAAGGTAGGGTCTTAAGGCTCAGTGTGAGTGAAACTTTACACATATAATTACATAAAAAATGTTCATGTATAATTTATATATGCTATGATATATATAAACATACATACAATTTCAATGCTTATATTTTATAAATTATAATATATAAATCATATAAAATATAAATGCACACATACACAGTCCATTCAAATGTTATATGTTACATTATTGTATACATAAATTATACATATATAATTTACATACATACAGTATTACTCGCTCTGAGTCTTAGAACCTTACCATGTAGGTTTTTTGTTTGGTTTTTTTTTTTGAGATGGAGTCTTGCTTTGTCGCCAGGCTGGAGTGCAGTGGCACGATCTCGGCTCACTACAACCTCCGCCTCCCAGGTTCAAGCGATTCTCCTCCTCAGCCTCCCAAGTAGCTGGGATTACAGGCACGCGCTGCCACACCCAGCTAATTTTTGTATTTTTAGTAGAGATGGGGTTTCACCATGTTGGCCAGGATGGTCTCAATCTCCTCACCTCGTGATCTGCCCACCTCGGCCTCCTAAAGTGCTGGGATTACAGGCGTGATCCACTGCGCCCGGCCACTATGTAGTTTTTTTTGGATAAGCCAATGTGTTCTTGTCTGTTCCTTAAATGTTAACAACACAAAGTCAGGGACTGTGTCTAGCACTTTTTTGCATACTCCTCAGTGTGTTTATTCTGTAACAGTGGTCCCTAACCCCCATGCCTCAGACTAGTACCAGTCTGTGACCTGTTAGGCCCACAGCAGGAGTTGAACAAGCATTACCACCTGAGCTCCACCTCCTGCAGCGACATTAGTTTCTCACAGGATCGCAAACTCTATTGTGAACTGTGCATGTAAGGGATCTATGTGGTGTGCTCCTTATGAGAATCTAACTAACGTCTGATGATCTGAAGTAGAACAGTTTCATGCCAAAACTGTGCCCCCACTGGTCTATGGGAAAACTGTCTTCCAAGGAACCAGTCACTGGTGCCAAAAAGGTTGGGGACCACTGTTCTATAGGATATCTCAAATCTTCTTGTAGAAGAAGCAAAAGAGCGTTTGAAATGGCAAGTTATCTCTTTTATTCATTTTAATGTAAAAAGATGTACCTCATAGAACTTATGAGAGCTATTAATAAGCTTCAGTAACTTGTCTTCTGTTTGTCCAATATAAGGTATTAGTAACACAAAGGTTGAAGCACAGACATAAAAATGCATCATACTAACATGAAGTTAGGTTAAATTACCTGAAATATGTTCAAAAGTATTCACGTGTGAGTAATGACAGTTTATTAGCAAAACAGGGTAACGTAAAATGAATGATATTAATAATCTAACAAATTTTTTGAAAATGAGGCCATTATCTTTACAGTTTCAAGTACTTTAAAAGCTGCTTAAATTTCTTTCATGGGGAACAATATTAATAGGAAACCATTATTCTGCTTGTGAATCAGCATGTGCTCTTGAAAGTTGCATATATTTCTAGCATATGAAGGATATATGCTTAATTACTCAGAAACTTTCATTTCAATAAAAATATGAAGTTACCATTTGAAAAGTTCCAATTTGTTTAAATAATTTAATGTGAAGCAAACTTGCTGGTGCACAAGAAGGAACATAATTCCTATGAACGGAGGTACACCCCTTTCACACACAGTGACAGAGCAAGAATTGAACATAGGTCTGGTCTTGTATCATGGCTCCTGCTAATGTACCAAATTTCTTCTGCCATTTTCCTTAATCCTAAATTGTCAACTTTCTAGCCTCAAATTGCTTTCAGTTAACTATCTCTAATAAGCATTTTTGATAAAACAGAATAATGGTCAGTAATGGAATGACAGCTATGTCACCAATCTAACAATCTCCACAATCAGTGCTATAGAACAATGACCCATGTCTATTACACAAGCTTCCAGATCACAAATTAAAACCTTACGTTTTTTCTGTCAAAACATCCGGTTTCATTTTCCATTTTCTAATTTGTTTACTTCACTCATGCTGTGATCATTGGCAATCCACAGAAAGATGAATCATTTTGATTTTATATGAGCATTCTCAAGAAAGTTAGAATCAGATGTAGAATTATTGTGAACAAATACTTTACTCTCAATATTACAAATCTGGGTAGCCCCAACTATTTACACAGATTGAGAAATGGTCTTTTGATACACTAGTTTTATTATTCTATGTTTTCCTCTGAAAAACAGAAAATTCTATGTTGCCATTTCCATTGAAAAAATAAATTATGTGATTCCTTTCCTCACTTCTCTTAGAATTGTTCGAGCTAGAATCAAGTAGAAATGGCATGAACTAACTTCTTATTTTCCGATGATATCTAAGCCAAAGAAGGTGTTATTGACTAAACGGCTATTAAGAAATGAAATAAATCTTTACTCATGGGTTCGTACCCATTTACTTTAGCATGGTCCATTTTAAAAAGAAGCCTTTTAGTTTTAAGTGTTGATCGTAAAAAAACAGAATCATTAATGGAGTAGAGATTTCCTTCTTGCTGGCTTATGACTGTGAGTAATAAAAATTGGTTAACACTTCCCTCGCTCGTTAGGTAGAATTATTCCCTTGATTGGTGACATCAATGTATTTGTAACAACCCCATCTGCAATGCTGGCAGCCTAGCCTAAAATGTACTGATAAAAGAAACAGAAGCAGGCATTTTGAGAGAAAGCTATTCTAATCATTCAAGGGTAAAGTCAGACATGATACGATTGTGCATTAGATTGCCCCATGCCTTTCATGCTTATGATTATGCTATACATATTTAACTCCTGAATATGAATCTTAAAATAAATAATGTGACTGAATAACTTTTTAGAAAAAATGTTGATTGTAACATATTCAAAATATCTTCAATTTAAATAGCAATGATAGAGAAAAGATTTTATATCAAATGAGAGCAATGTAACGGCTTAAAGTCAGTGTATAATATGTGTACTCAACTTTGCAAAGTAACTTAAAAATAAATGCGAAACTGAATATTACTAATGCTTAAGAGAGTTTTCCGAAATGTGTGTCTCTTGTTGATCATTAAAAGAAATATATTTAAACCATGTAATGTAAGTTCATTGAAACTACAGATTATGAAAAGTACTCTATTTTGGATGAATAAATAAGAGCAAATAATTATAGCCTTATCCATGTCAGCAAAAACATCCAAACATTGTTTTCATCATTTCGACCCCTTGATGTTACAGCTTACCCTACAGTACCTTTTTCTTGAATCAGATATTGACGGTTGAAGTCGTGGAAAAGGTACAAATGTGGATCCGCAAGGAACTAGCTGTGGAGACATTATGATCTTCTGCTCAGATACTTGTTCAAGAGAAAGAAATTTATTTACAGCCACAAACTCCTTTCATCCAGTAGCATGATCAAAGAAATGGAGGCTTGTGTTTTTATCATTATTTTTTAAGGATTTTATAGGATGTAAACATTTCAGCTTCAGCAGCTGATTCTAATTTCTTTAATGGTATCTTTGATTCAGCATTGCTTGGCAGACTATTAAGGAAATGTTGATGATGCAGGAAGACCAGTGTACTGGTTAACATGATTATTTTACAGAACACTGTGCATTCATTAATAGCAAATAAATTGTCATAATATTCCTCTCGGCTTCTTTCTAAAAATCTTTTACATTTATTTGGTCTCAAGATGTTTGGTGCTCAAAATATAGAACATACCACTTGTTTCAGAAAATATAACCTATGATCTTTACTCTGGTAAACAAAATCAGATGTTAATTTTAACATCCATTTCCCATGAAATGGTGATCATGTCTACCAAACACACAGGCCTGATGACTCAGAAAAATATGCAGCAATCATATTTCATACTAGCAAGGGGTATGAAATGTCAAATTTCAAGAAGACACTATTTTTTGACACACATCATACAAAATGACTGATACATTTAGAAACACAATAAATATAAAGTTTATTGTGGCCATAACAGGAATGGCAGAATGCACAAAGAAAATATATATATGTATAAATTCATTAAAATGTAGCAATATAGAAAATGTACAAATCCCATTAAAAGGCAAACAAAATGTTAGGAGGAGATTTAAAATTTAGATGATGACAATTTTGCAAAGTAGAATATAAATATTTTTTGAAGTCTTAATCATGAGAGACCTGTTTTGATTGAAAAATCAAAGCAATAAAAGACAATTAGTTAAATATTTTAACTAACTGTTCAGTAAAAGACATTTAGTTAAATATTTTTGGTATATCAACAGTATGAAATAGTATTGTAATCACAAATAATGATAGATGGCTATTCATAAAGTACTATTAAGTGGAAAACCGATATATAAACAAACAAAAAATAGGTTACCAAAAACCATTGTGATTTGATCCTGTTTAGGTAAAGCATATACATGTAAATATAGAAAAAATGGTAAATATTATACACTAAGTTATTAGCATTGCTGAAATTATGTTGTGTTTTTTGAAGTTTCTAGTAATTGTCACTAATCAGTATTTTCCATTTTCTTATACTGATCACATACTGCATATGTAATATAAATACAGTGCTAACAAAATAAGAAACATCGTTTACACTTAATAACATCTCTATCACAAGATTTAACCATGATTTTACTTCCTAAAATGTTTATCCCTTCAAAACCACTTTTTGAATGCTATATATGAAGATTCAAATAGCTGCTCTCTGATGACATTAGCTCATTTAACAATAGGCCATAGTGGGAATCACATCATATCATTTTCCTAACTACTATTTAATTATTACTTTGGCCCCTGACAACTTCCCAGAATTATTTGTTAGTTTCCGATAAAACTTAGAAGGATGAATCAGAAGCCAAAGATTTACTGTAAATAGTAATTTTACACAACATAAGTTCTTGAACTTATCACTGCCCGGAGATGAACAACCATGTCCTCTAATATTCTCATAACTTTTATTCTGCTGAGAAGTCTATGGGGAGTTGCTTTTCCCATTTCTTCAAGTGTAGGCTTTGCCATCTACAGCTTTGGAGACATTTTCTTCAACTCAACTGAGCTAGACCCATCCATGTCTTCTTGCCTCATCAGTGAAAATACATTCTTGCCATTCTCATAGCAGAATCCCCTCACAGACTTCCAAAAGGACAAGTTACCACCTGAGTATTATAACATCAAGAAAAGTGGCATGGAATAAAAGAAGACGAACTTTGTAGCCACACTGACTTACATTTAAATCCAGCTATGGGCTGGCTTGCAAGAGGACTTAGAATGCACCACGTTAACTGTTCTGCGACTCTATTTCCTCGAGGTAAAATGGAGGTAACGGCTCCTACTTTCTATTATTAATGAGAATAAAATAAGAATGTATAGGAAATACTTAATATAGAACTCACGGGTCAAAGCTTCTCCATATTTTGGTCTCACATCTTTATGGTATTCTTTTGATAACCATTATTATCATACAAACACAAATAATTTTAAACAAATCACCCCAAAACAGACTTTCAGTAAGGATACACGATATTATTGCTGAGAAATGTAGATTTGTGATAAGTTTGCTGAAATAAGAGCTCAGTGATTATTTCAGCAGAATCTCTAGTCAGTCTGTGCTAGAGTCTCTCCATGAAGTAATTAGAGATGTATTTATTTCAGCAATTTAATGTAATTACACTAAAATGTCTGCTGGTAAAAGTGAAGAACTGACGACTGAAGCAGCATTTCCTAGCATGTGGAAGTTACAGAAAGTGGTAATTCTGAGTATCTCGGTATTCTAAATAGGTTTATCTGTGAGTCAGCTCTCTTACTCCCATTATCTATAGCTACCAAAACACACAAATTTGTAGTTTAGTTTCCTTTGCTCAATAGTATAGTAAAGTGTTGGGTTTTTTTTTAGCAACAAAGTCTTTATTTTATCAGTCTTTTTCCATCTTAGGAAAGAGATGCCTTATCACATGTTCATATTTATTTATTTCACAAAGAATAAAATAAGGATCAACAGAAATAATACTCTGATTTAAAACATAAGTCCATGAGACATCTTTTCAAAGCATCAGTTTGGCATAACAGTACATGCTGCCAGGAACAATTCATTCTGATTCTGAATAGTTCGTAAACACCAGCACTAGCCAAGCAAAAAACAGGGAAAAAGTAGGTGATATTTACAATTTCCATGTAATTTATTTGGACCTGATTTTGAGTTTCCAGAACTAACATCAATAGAAGCATTCAACAGCTAAGTTCATTTTTAACCTAATATCCTGGAACTCTAACATTTCCAAGCTCCCACTTGGGACATGAGTCTTATTAACAGGAAAGGGAAAAAAAAATCTATATAAACAAGAGAAAAGTTACATATAATCCTTGAGATTATGTGTTTCTTACTCCAGCCTTGAATTTTCACACCTAGTTTAATTCTATGTATATTATATTTATTAAATAAAATAAAATGAAAATAAAAGAGAATAGAAAAATTGTGACTTTACTGCAATCTCCAGTAATGTATCACCAGGAATGAACTCTAGCGTGTTTAATGATTCTCTGTTGCTGAGCCAAAATAAGTGACTTCTGCTCTCTATGTGATCTTTTCCACATGTGAAAGGATGCCTAATTGATAATGTTCTACTTTATTAATATACTTTGATTAATAATCAAGCTCATAATCTCTTTTTATAAACCAAGGCCTAAACCATACAACCTATAATGTAAGGCACTGCAATGAAACAAAGGAGCTCGGGCTGCTAACTTCTCCATATCATCTTGGGAATATAATTTCCACTCATGTAAATCTGGAGCATTCAAAATGTACCCCTTCTAAAGAAAAGCAGCAGCAATTCAAAACCAAAGAAAATTCTCAAATAATCAGCACATGCAGAGATCTCTATCTGGCCAAATCTAATTTTACTCATTTTGTGGGCAACCAAGGATAATATAAACGATGTATGAAATAAAATGTGCATTTTTACTTTAGTGATCAAGGTGATTATTAAGAATATCATAATTCAACATAGGTATTACTTGCACCTACTAATATCTTTTAAAGCACAGGCTTCCTAGTGATTCTGACAGAATGACTAAGAGAAAGCTATTGATGTAGTGAAGCTCTCTTCCAATATGCAATAATTATTGGCCTTCTTAGGACTGCATATGTAAGAAGAAAATTATCCCTTACAAAAGGGGTAATTACAATTACAAAAGGAGATCCTTTTTCTTATTTCTCTGTGGAGAGGTCTATATGTCTCATAATGATGAGGATCATTTAAAAAGACAAATCTGATGATTCCAGAGAAGCAACTATAAATATGAACTAGTCGTACTGGCATTAACTGGCAGCACTCTTACAAACCAAAATGCATTTGGAAACTTCAAGTTCCTCAATCTTCTGGAGTCCTTAGTCTCCCAAGAGATATGAACTAGCTTTCTGTCATGTTAGATTTGAGGAAATTTGACTAGCTTTCTCCTAGGTTAGAAATCGAGGGATTCTTTACATAATCCATGTGGAAAAATAATCCTCAGCTTGGGTGCAGAAGTATTTATTTATTCACTCAATAATTCTTATGTCTTCTATTGTGGTTGGCATCATATATAAAGCTAGGAACAGAAAATAGGTTTTGTTTTCATAGAGCTCTTACCATAGCCAGAAGAAGCAGAAAATAAATTTAAAAAAAATAAATGTTTACTTACACATTGGAATAAGTGCTCTGAATGGAAAATCCATGACACTAAAGAATGGGTATGTTGAGTGGGTGATAGGTAACTAGGGCCCCTCCACTAGTACCATAAAGCCTGGGCTGAGGGGCTTCTCTTCTTGTAGATGGTCAGCTCCAAAGGTAATCTGATTAATTTAAAATTGGCTTTTATTCACAATTTGAAGATAATGCATGATACCTGTCATCAGGGTCCAGTATTCTTGCATTCAGTGCACAAAAACTTGGAAGGTAATAGATTGGTGGGGAAAAAAAAAAGGAAGAATCTTTTTTACCTAAGATATATTAATGCACTACCTCGGAAACCACATATTCAAAGACTGTTCCCATATCTCATGGTTATCCATATTTTAATGTTGAATGCATTTGAAAAATAACTATTTTCAGTATATTTATGCTTTGAGAGAAAATCTTAAATAGCAGTATTGTTCCATGGAGTAAACTGATTTCCTACTAGACTCTGTGGAAAATTGTTTCTGCATTGAAACTACACAATGGGCCAGGTGCATTACCTTAAACTTGCTCATTTTGAAACCTTACTCCAGGCAATAAATACATACAAGCCACAAAATTATTATTAACATAGTATTTGCTAGAGTTGGGGAGACTAATTACTTGAGCTGAAACAGAAATGCTTATGTCTTGAAATTATTCTCAGATGAAGAATAAGAAGAAAACAGGAAGTCCAAGAAAGCTGTCGTGAACTAATTTAGCATTAAGTGGAACAAACGTATTAAAAGAAGGCATTCATCTTTAGACTTTAAAATCATAAAAGAACAGAAAAAAAGGAAGCCTGCTTCTTAAAAATTTGATTAAAAGGTAAAACCAAGAAATAAAGTAAATTCAAAAACTGTGAAAACAGAATTTATATATTTTTGATATACATTAGATAGATCGTAAAATCCACCCAAGAAAAAGCAGGTCACTTTGTGGAACTTCGTGGAAATGACCCAACTTCACTGATACCTTTCTGCTGAATCATCTGAATGAAAGGAAACAAAAACAGAAGAATTCTCAGCATCCTCAATTCTAGAAGAGAATTCTAATATAATTTTCCTAGTAGAGACTAGCCACAGCCTGGACTGCATAATAACTACCCTTCAAAATCACCCACTTCCGTTTTCTTTACTTACTTAGCTCCATGTTATCAAGGTATAATTCTGATTATAATTTCCCTTTTCATGCATATTATTTAATGTGAACAAAGTCACTACCCTAACATTAAGGTTTGTTTCTCAGTCATACTTTAATTTGCTAAGTATGGGTCAGTTCCTCTGAAATTACACAACTCTGGATGTTCTCACAAAATCAGAGTCCCAACATTCTAGGAGGAGTGTAAGACTGTACCATGGCCCTCATCAAGTAAGGCCATTATGATGTATTCACCATGTGGTCAACACCATCTCATTTTGTCTTTGATTTGGCTTTATTGTTAAAATGTCAAAGAATTAAATTTCAATTGTTCAGCTGTTACACATTGTAAAAGTGTTTGTCATAAGCAATATTCATTTAAAGATAGTATCAGTAACACATTGGAAATTGGAGAGCCAAGATGCCTGGATCTGCTAATGATAATTCCAATTAATAATGACAATTGAAAATCACTCTAACAAATATTTGAGAAAACATAGTAAAATGTATTCTAGTTTAGGCTGTTTAAAAAGTTTCTCTAAAACATTTTTTAGAATAATGCTTATTTTCTTTGCACATTTTTATAACCTTGGTTTTACCAAGGTTATAAAATGACTATATGAAATGTCAGGTTGTTAGGTGCTAAATGAGGTCTGAGGAGAGTTGGTGGGGTGGTGGGTAGCTAGTAAAACACTTGAGGAATCATAGACAGTTTCATCACAGCTTTTTCTCTCTGAGCATGAGCCGGCCTGTACGCAATCTGTGGGTGCAAGCCACAAGCCATATGTACAGTGTCAGCATGGTAATTACATCTTTTACAGACAATAGTGGCTTCCAGCCAAGCATGAGCTCACATGGGTGATCATCTAATGTGCCACACATGGCATTGGATACATATCATGCAGAGTTGTGTGCCTGCACTCCAAACCTGCTGAGTCACACTGTGTCAGAAAGCCGCCTTGGCCTGCTCCTGACTAAAGTGAAACCATCTCCCTTACACTCCACCCCCTAAGCTGAGGGCATCCTCCAGGCAGGGACACATGCCCACAAGGTGGAACCCTGGATCCAGAGGCCACAGCAGTAATAAAGGGAGCAAAAACTCCAGGTTATGGCAGGCAACCACTCCACATGACATTACCACAAGGCTGCTTTATACATTAAGTCAGGTTTCTATTTCCCTATCTTTACAGGCATTGGGCCAGGCAATAACAGGTTACTATTCAGCCCCATACCTGGTGGAGAAAGACATCTTTCCTACCATATGTCTTGCCATATGGCCTGGCCCCACATGGGCCGGTGACCAAGTAGTCACTTTTGTAACTTATAGGCAGTTAACCACAAGGTTAAGCCTCGATAAACTGCCCAGCTAACAGTGCAGATTATCATAGGTGTCACTTTCTTAGTGATCACCATTCATATTGCTTTGAGTTCAGCCCATTGAGCACACTGTCCACTTCCAGTTTCAAACAATATGGTGTCAGTACTAGGTGGGACTGCAACAGTGGTCCAGACAGCAGTAGCAGCTCAGCTAGACCCATGTCTAGGGGTGCCTCAGGCCCCATGGCCTTATCTTGCATTAGGACTACAGGTTCCAAGATCTCTTGCAACTCTGCTGCTAAGGGGCTTATACTCAGCATACTCCACTGGTCTAAGTTGGTGCCCCACTTTGCTAAAGTGGATGTCTATGCCATTCCAGTCTGGGGGGTTGTTACCCATGAAAGCACCCATCTCGCCACTGGGTAAGTCATCCATACGACAACTGCAGCCTATCCTGTCACACTCTCACTAACCTGAAGGGCAGCATATGCAGTTACTAGCTGCTTTCCCAGTCCGAGGGACTGTTATCCATGAATACACCCATCCCACTATTGAGTAATTCATTGCATGATGACTGTAGCCCATCCTGCCACACTCTCATGAGCCTGAAGGGCAGCATATGCAGTTACTAACTCCTTCTATATCAATGAATTCTATAGCTCAGCTTCTTTCCATAGTTGGGACCAATAGCCTACTGGTATTCCCAGGCGCTGCATGCACTGCCGTAGGCCTCAGCCAAAACTACCTGTGGATACATGCACATCCAGTTCAAATGGGCTCCCCTGGTTAATTTTCCATAGGGGTTGTGCCTGCTGAATAGCCCACTTGGCTGCTAGAAAGGTTGTCTCAGCCTCATCATCTTAATTCTAGGCAAGGGGAGCATTGCCACTTCAAAATCTACAAGAGAATCAGTGGCTAACATAATATCATTAACAAGACCACAACATACGGTGAGGCTATGCATATAGACCTGTGGCAACACTGTGAAAGTCCATTGTCTCTCTCTCATGAAGGCAAACTGTTCCTTGCTTTCTGGAAAAGAATGCATTAGTCATGTCCACTACATAGTGGTACTGTCCCAGTTCTCTTAAGCAGTGTATCAAGTCCGTAATAGACGGCACAGCTGCCAAGCCATGTAAAATACCCACCCCCAGAATGTATCTGCACTATTATCTACCAGTGCCAGCACTCGTGGTATGTTGGTGGTGGACCAGTGGATTGTAAACCTCACATGGGACCTCCAGTTGTGGTGTCTCCCCACGCCAGGAACCTTGGCCAGTTCCTTCATCAAACAGAAAAGGCTTTACACCCCTACCTGGTTGCAGCACATAGCCTTTGAGCTGAAGTGGCCAGGCAGGACTGGGTCATGCAGCAATGTCCTTCCCCGACTTGGGCATTTTCTAGAATTGCTGCTCCGGAGACAACTGTCTCCACAAAGTTAAGAGTACTTCATTGGGCTGCTTATTGATTGTCTCTCAGTCCGAAATCAAATGTATCCATATCTGTGAGTGTGTCACTCGTTGGGGCATTCTTATCTCTCGTGGGGGCGGGGGAGCCTGCAATTGGAGCACCTTCCCCTTCTTTACGGTGTGAACCCAGGTCTGCATTCACAGCAGCCTGTAGTTCCTTTTCCAAGTTCTGTAGCTGGGCCTCCAGGTGCCCTGCCTGCACCTGAAGGTCCCCATTCATGGCAGCTTCTAACTCCTTTCCTGAGCTGTGTAGCCAGGTTTCCAGGTGCCCCACCTGCTCCTGAAGGGCCCTAAACTCTGCTGGATCTCTCAGGGACTGGGTGTGTACTTCTCCTAGTGCAGTTAAAAACGCCCATCCAACTCTGCCAGCAAAGACTCATTCCTTCTCGGTGTTCTGTGTTTCCAGCTGCTTCACTGCCTCCTCCATGCAAATGGAGGACCCATCTACTGCCACCCAGGTTCCCACCGAAGGCCACCGGAGCAATATAGCTGCCACCAGGCACCACTACCCATGTTGTGGCTACATGGTAAACCTGAAATCAGCATGGACCAAAGGCTCACCCAGCTGGGGATCCTCTTCATGAAATTAATTGTTAGGTTCTAACTGAGGTCTAAGGGGAGTCGGTGAAGTGGTGGGTAGCTGGAAAAACATTCGAAGAATCATAGACAGTTTTGACATAGCTTTTACTCTCTCTGTGTGTGAAAGCCAGCCTGGATGCAAGTCGTGGGTGTGAGCCACAAGCTGTATGTACAGCATTAGCAGTGTAATTATACTTTTTACAGACAATAGTGGCTATGAATCAAGCATGAGCTCAGGTGGGTGATCACCTAATGCGCCTAACGTGGTGTGGTTATATAATGTGCCTCATGTAGCGTGGTTACATAATGTGTGGAGTTGTGTGCCTGCGCTCCAAAACTGCTGAGTCAGGCTGCACTGGAAAGCCACTTCAGCCTACTCCTGACTAAAGCATAGCCACCTCCCTTACACAGGTCATACTGAAATTCTGTTTTACTAAATTATAACTCAATTTTCCATGGATGATCTGACTCTCTCACACTAATTATTCTTAAAATGTTCTAACTTCTGCTTATTATCCTAGCACCACTCAATTGAAAATTAACTTTGAAATGTGCTAAGAAGATTAGAGCTTAAGAAATGAAATATTCACTTCCATGAAATGTATCCTTTTTTGAATTTTTTAAAAATAACATTACCCTCCTCTTTTTTGTTATGTTATGGTTTTATATTTTGTCTAAACAATGGCATTTCATGCAGTTTAATCAAGTGTTATTAAATACCTTCTTGAAGACAGAAATCAGAAATGAACACAAAAAATAAAAAATGAATACATTTTAATGAAATTATTCATGATAAACTAAGTTCTTTCTGTTTTAAAAGTAAATGAGTACTATTTTACTTAAATTTACATAAGAATATAAGAAAATATTTTTCTTTTGGAAAACAAAGCATACAGATGGATGCCATACGTTAACTAATTCAATAAATATTTGAGTACTTCATGTGTGTTCGCATTGCATGGGCTGCTGGGAATACAGTGCCCTCACAGGCTTTCTTAAATCATTATTATGTATACATTAAGTGAGATTATGGGTATATTTCAATCAGTTTATGATGTTTGAGTATAGATTCCCAACATTTCTATAAATTTCCTAATATTAGTATATTACACTTTATGCACAATTTTAAAAATAAGCCCAAATAATGTTTTTAACAATGATAATGTTTCCAAGTTAGGAGAGCATCATCCCACATGTTGCCAGCTGTTTTCAATTTAATGGTATACAGTATTCAGTTTTTATTTCAATTAAACTACTAGTCTAAAAAAGTGGCATTTCCCTCACTTAACTTGACAGTCATTAAATAATAATTGCAACTCTTATCAATCTCATAAAATGCAATGACATGATCTCAATATTAGATTTTGCTTTAAATTTTGGAAACAGATATGAAATAATTTTCTCTGATGTCTAAAGGTAATTCAGCAAATCTTTTAGTTA
Organism: Homo sapiens; assembly: GCF_000001405.40. Classification (NCBI taxonomy): domain Eukaryota; kingdom Metazoa; phylum Chordata; class Mammalia; order Primates; family Hominidae; genus Homo; species Homo sapiens. Next base: position 389,467 of record NW_025791754.1, read on the forward strand.
CTAGCCACTAAACAATAATTAAATATAATACATTTAAGTAAAAGTGTATTATATATATAAATTATATCTATTATATCAAAATGAGTGATGATATTAGTTACAGTGGCATGCTGTTAGTTGTTATTACTTTAACAACTCTGTTCAAAAAATTGGATAAATTTCTTATATACTCTGAAATAATTTATTGAAATAAATTAGTGTTATCCAACAAGGGTATGATCAAATTTGAAGAATTATAAAGTGAATTAAAATGCGTTGCCTTAGTTGAATTCCATTTTTAAGGGTAGCTCAATTTTCCATACTACCTACATTATGAATATAGTTCTATGCTGTTGTTGAGTAAAAGGATCACTCTTAGTAGTTTTTAAGTCCAGAAAAAAGAATATGCACTTTTACATGTTTTATAATCTCCAAATATGAACACTTCCTTCTTTCTCTAACCACTGTCAAAAATAATCTCTTAATACTGATGCATCATCAAATGTTCCGAAAATCCAAGAATTCCAAAGGAAATTGACTAAAATTGCAAAGTTAAAACTTAAATTATAAACATAACTTCAAATCAGGGACCATGTTTGGGGAAAAAAGAAACTAATCTGTATATCAAACTTTATTTGCCAATGTTCCAATCCAATTCTCCTCAAAAGGAAGCTAGATGGAGCAAAATCACTCAGCTGAAAATTATGCAATGCAAAATAAATATGAATTCAATTTTCCTGTTTGTGTCTTTGAGATTATAGCAGCACTGAATACCAACCAACCAAGAAACAACAACAAAACTTTAAACACATAAACATGAGCACAGTACTGTGCTAAAGTGAAAGTAGCATAATGTGGCTGAATCATAGTTGTTCAGTTCTACACAGAATCATAAAAACCTATGTATAAAAATTATATCCCAACTCTCAGCAAGTATGTAACCTTGAAAATATGTCTAATCCCCTCTCTTTCTCATTATTTCAGCTATGAAATAGAAATTAAAGATATCTATTTAGGCCAGGCGCTGTGGCTCACGCCTGTAATCCCAGCACTTTAGGAGGCCGAGAAGGGTGGATCATAAGGTCAGGAGATCGAGACCATCCTGGCTAACATGGTGAAACCCTGTCTCTACTAAAAATACAAAAAATTAGCCAGGCGTGGTGGCGGGCCCCTGTAGTCCCAGCTACTCGGGAGGCTGAGGTAGGAGAATGGAGTGAACCCGGGAGGTGGAGGTTGCAGTGAGCCGAGATCGCGCCACTGCACTCCAGCCTGGGTGACAGAGCGAGAGTCCGTCTCAAAATAAATAAATAAATAAATATATAAATAAATAAAAATCTATTTATATTCGTTAAGTAGGTGACTGTACTGAGATAAAAAAAAGCATCTAATATCTAATTATCACTCCAAAATTATTATATCTCTTAGTTCCTAAGTAATAAATAGAATATACGAAACCAAAGAAGTCAGTAAATATGTTTTAAATCAATATGTTGAATACATTTGAAAAAAACAGAAATAAAATGAATTACATTATATAACCCAACAATATAACTTGCTACAGAGTGAGGTCAGGAAATCCAGGGACCTAATCCTGCCCATTGCCTCTTTTTTTACAACCTATAAACTAAGATTTTTTTTTTCTATTTTTAAATGTCTCAAAACAAATTTAATGAATAGGAATGTTTTATGGCATGTTAAAGTTACTTGAAAATCAAATGTCAGTGTCCATATACAAAGTCTTATTGGCGCACAAACATACTCATTGCATATTGTCAGAGAATGCTTTTAAGTTACAACAGCATAAATGAGTATATTTAATAAGAGACCTTATGGCCCCAGAGACTAAAATATTTACTATCTGGCATTTACACAGAAAAACTTTGCTGATCTTTTTTCTAACAAGCAGGATATTTTATATTCTACTAATGTGTTACACTTGAGTGTCACTTTTAAAAGACTCAGTTTTTGATTGCACAGGATTTATTATTAATTATCTGATAATAATTCTATACTATTAACCACTAGGACATGAGATATGCCATAAAGTTGGGAGAGATAATGTCCAATGCACCATTATATATTGATTAGTAATATATTTAAATATACCACCTATTCAATTATTAAATAAATATGTTTTTTGATATGAGGTAGTCAAACACTTTAAGAACAATTATTCCCTTTTCCAGATAAAATACAAGGTGTCTAGCACCTAAAAAATTAAATATACAACATAATTTACAAAATGAAATATACAAGAGCATTTATAATTTTAAAAATAATTATTTAAGAGATTTAGATAAAAGTTATATATAAAACATAATTTACAAAAGGAAGAGTTATATAACAATATTTATCATTTAAAAAACCATGATGTGAAAGGTTTAAATAACCAACTCATTTACACTAACCCAAAATCCGCCGAAAGTCTAGTAAGAGAATATAGTTTCTAAAATGAGCTTTTGTCTCATTAGAATTTGTTAATTACTTTTTAAGAACTGACCCAAATATGCATTACCTTTCCATAAACATAGTCAGAAAATTATATCAAGTCTTTTCAGGACAAGAATATGGGGCAACCTGGTGACACTGCATCTATGGACACAAAACGTCAGAGTGTATTAATTTGAAGTAAAAGCTTAAATATTTTTACAGAGCTCTGAATTTCCAAAAGATAGCTTACTGGATAAGGAGATGGAGTTATAAGTCTAGTATGTCTGAAAGTGGCTGGAGGAAAAGAGATCACAGGACAACTTTCTACAGTACACCTTTCTTGTATAATCCCCCTTCTGAGTTCATTCACCTGCTCATCCTCAAAGAACTAGGCATTAGGAGCACATAACTCACTGGAGAAATAATAATTAACATATAAATGGATTGGGGAGCTTGGGAGGTGTTTTTAGGTCCATTATTTCATTTTTCAACCAATCAATAAAAATACATAGATTTATTGAATGCCTATTAGGGGTAAGGTGCCATACTTGACTATGGGAAAATGGCAATAAATAAGATACCTGCTCCTCCTCAGGAAGACAAGAAACAAGTGGTTCTGTTAAAGGATGATCAGTATTGAAGAACTGTCAGTCTATGTGTTATGAAATAAGAGTGAAGGAAATATAAAAAAGGAGGATTTAATTCAGTCAACTCTCTTACTGAGAAAATGACCAAGATACAGAATTCTGAAGGATACAAGTCAACTACAGAAAACGCTGGTGGAACATTAAGGAATAAAACACGTTCAGAGTAGTGTTAGCAACATAAATAAATATGGTGAGACATTTTATATAGTTATAAATTATGAATTATTTAGCAAATGTATAAGCAAAATATTAATTTAAAATATAGTTGTGGTAGTCTTGAAAGCTATTGAGCTATAATTCTTAAACAGAATTTACTAGAGTTAAGCTTTATGCATGAGAAATTTTGCTCATGATTTAATTTGTAGCTTTCAAACAATTAAATTTGATATGAAGATAATTATCCCATCTGTCTTTCAGCAATATCTTAGAGAATTAACATTTTAACACACTGCAGTTGTGAGGATTCTAAAATCAGAATACTAAAGTTTAATCTCAGTAAAATGTCTTGTGTACATCTCATGAAGTATTATTAATCTGAAGTCTCTTGCTATATAACAATAGAAACATAAATTTTGTCAGAGTGGGTAGCAATAAATCACAGTTACTTCCATCTTATTACTCTCAAATCTGTGAAAGTAGATGTAGAGGAAAAGAAAATCTTGGGAAATAAAATAAGTCCAGACAAAACCAAACTTAATTAAAAAGTCATAAAGTATAATCTGTAACTCTGATTTTTATCTTTGAAGAATCATACTGTGTTCGGAAAATGGATGTCCACGATAATTTTCTATAATTTTCTGGATGGTTCTTAATGAATAAGGTATGTAATATTTCATGTTTTAAAAATTAAACACATTACACACTTATCAGATGGCCAAAATAAAAAATAATGACAACCCTATATGCTGTGAGGATATAGAAAACCTGGATCCCTTATACATTGTTGATTAGAATGTAGGTGGTACAGCCACGCTGGAAAAAACAGTTTGTCTGCTTCTTAAATTAAAACATGGAACTGCCACATAATCCAGCAGTCGTACTCAGGCATTTATGCCACAGAAATATAATTGTGTATTTACACAAAAAACCTGCACATAAATGTTCATAGCAGCTTTACTTGTAATAGCTCAAAACTGGAAACAGCCCAGGTTTGCTTCCGTGGGTGACTAGTTAAACTATAGTACATCTGCACCATGGGATACCACTCAGTGATAAAAAGGAACAAATCACTCACGCACAGCAACAACTGAAGTGACTCTCCAAAGCAACCTAAATATCCATGAAAGGTCACTATAACAATAAGTTATGGCATTCACATGCAAAAGATCACATCACAAATTTTAAAATCACAAGAAAACTTGATGCACTATTGTAGACATATCTCTATGACTTCCTGAAAAGTGAAAAAAGAAATATACAAAACAGACTATATAGCCACCATCATTTGTAAAAAGAAATATATATATTTAATTATAGATGTATAGAATATGTTTTGAGGCATATATTGGAAAAAGAAAACCCACCTAAATTGATGGTCTTTAGAAATGTAAACTGGAAGAAGCCAGAGATACAAACGAATGTTTACTCTATTCTTGTTTACACTAGTCTTAAAATTTTAAACCACATGACTGTATTACCTATTCAAAAATAAATATTTTTAAAATAATAATATATACTTCAACTTCTAATAATGCTCTTCTGAAAACAGGAGTTGTTTTACTCGTAAATGGGATTGCATTTAGAAGGATGAAAGGGCAATATGGGAAAATTTAGACTTGGAAACTGGAAACAAATTGATTTGAAATTGAGTTGCTGGATGTTAGAAATGCTTGGATGGTTTGGTGACTTTCTTTGGTATGATTCCATATTCTCACTAAGCAGGCTTTTCATCCTAATTTGTTTTCAGACATAAAGTTCACTGGAAAAAGAATGCCCTGAGCAGCACAAAGGCACATTGACGAGCTTGCACTTTCATGTCTTGTTATACATGATCACATTTGTTTTATAGTACAAATGATGTCTCCTGTGAGACTAAGCAATGTGATTTTACTCAGGATGTGAGCAGTTGAGAAAAACTTTGAAATAATGACTGCTTTCACAAAAAATAAAAAGTTTGGATTTAAAACTAATGTTTATGAAATGTTTTTCTGGACAGGAAAAAAGGGGGAAAAAACATTAATCCTCATTCTTAGCAAAATATTTTTTAAAAATCCTAGCCCAGTGGACCTTTCAAAAGCTTAATATTTGGATAATACTCAATTTGATTCAAATATATTTATAGTTTCTTCATACATGCTAAAAGTTACTAGTGGAACCTCTCATAATTGCTATAAATTATGAGAGTTTCCCCACAGGTCTAATCCCGCCAACATTTTAAAATTGTCCAGGTTCAGATTTATATTTCCATAAGAGGTAAGCAGGATATAGTTATAACATAATTATAAAATTAAAAAGAGAATAAGGGAAGAATAAGACCACCTTTGTTTGCTTAGCTCCTTTCTTCATCACCACCATGAAGTAGATCACCAGTGTAGAGAAAAAGAGAAAGTGCATTCACAGGGACATACCAATAGTTTAGGGGAGACTGAGCAGAAGACATGACCTTGAGGAAACAGGATCAGGCTGGAGAGGTTGCTAAGCAAGTCCAAATAGGAACCTGCAAGCAAGTCCCCAAACAGTGCTCCACTTGGTCTTTTCCTTTAATAGATTTTTTGCCGTATAATTTATATAGCATACAATTTACCTATTGAAAGTGAATAATTCAATATGTTTCAGTGCATTAACAGAGTCATGCAATCATCACCAAAGCAAATTTTAGGATATTTTCAGCACCCCAAAAGAAATGGTGCACCCATTTGCCCAGTGAGCTCTCCATCCCACCCACCCCCCCAGCTCCAGCAACTATTAATATAATTTGTGTTTTCATAGATTAGCCTATTCTAAATATTTCATGTAAATGAAATTGTACAATATATCATCTTTTTATGTCTGACTCTTCTCATTGAGCCTAATGTTTTCAAACTTCATCCATATTGTACCTTGTATCATACTTGATTTATTTTTATTACTGAATAATATTCCTTTGTACGGATATACCACATTTCTACTTTTGGGCTATTATGGGTAACACTGCTGTAAATATTAACGTACAAGCCTTCTGTGAATGTATGTTTCCATTTCTCTTGAGTATATACCCAATAGTATTCTGGGCCATATAGTAAATCTATGTATAACCTTTGAGAATTGCCAGATCACTTTCCAAAGCAGCTTCATCAGTTTATATTTGCACCAAACAATTTTATGAGAGTTGTAACTTATTCAAATCCTCAACAACGTTTGTCTATTCCATCCCATGCTAAATATTATTCTTCTATTCTGTGAATTATCTTTATAATTTCTTGATGATGTACTTTGAAGCACAAAAGTTTTCAATTTTAAAGAAGCCAAATGTATCTATTTTTGTCTTTTGTCACGCATACATTTGGTGTTACATCATTTGTCTCTAGCACAGTGGAAACTATATATCTTCTGAAAGATGGAGTGTAATTAGCTACTCTTCTTATCTTTGCAGCATATGGGCCTCCTAGTGATAGCAGCCAGCAATTTGACATTTATATTATCAACAGATGGACACCTTCCCATAACACTGAGTGCTTTCTAAGTCACCTCTGCTTATACCCTGTGGCACCTGAGATCACAGCTCAGAACATGCCTTAGTCTTGTAAACAGAAGATTAGTGTTAATTCCTCAAAAGCAACAGTAGTATAAAAGGAAAAACCTAAGCATCAGATTCTAATGAGTGATGAAATCTCCCAGTTGTTACAAAACCTATTCTACTGTGGTGAAACAGAAGTCAAGAAAAAATCTACACACACAGATAAATAAACTTCCCTTAAAAAAAGAACAAGTAAAATCAGAAAGTCAAAAAAATCATTGAAGATATTATTGAAGAAAATTGGACTGAAATCAAGAAAACTTGAATCATCAGCAACTTAAGGCACAATGTACGTCATGGAACATTGATTGCAAAACTAACACATATTCTGGTAAAGGTACTAAACTGCATAGAAAAAGAATGTAATAAATATTTGGTAAGGTACAAGGACAGCATATGTAAATTAGAGTAATCTGAGATTTTTCCATGGAAAAAAAAATCAATGCCTGAAAATACAAGAATTATCTACAGGATTATGCAACATAGAGTAACAAAAGAGCTATATACCCATGGGATTTAGCCTTCTAGTAAAAAGACAACGTATTTTCATAAGCATGCAAGAAGTTAAAGAGTACTCATCACACTTCCTTGTGGAGAGAATAAAAATATGTAATTAAATATTTGAATTTAAGAAGTGTGTCAAAATTAAAAACTCAGGATGCTCAGGGTGGGAGATACTGTTGCTAAGTACTATTAGTGAGACAATTATACCCCTAAATAGGAATAAACTCAAACGACTTTTGAAATTATGATTTTGGAATCAAATGTGAATATTAAAAACCTTGCCATTATTTAAAAAAAAATTGGGAGGTGGAGGTGTGAGGCAGTGTGGACACTTACTTTCTCATCCTTCACTGGACAGACGATGGATGTCTAAAGTTGAAACATTTAATTTCACAATGTTCTCATTATAGATGACTTGTAAAATCTAATAGCTCTTCTTGTAAAGAAACATTTACTTCAAGTTCAACAATACTTTCAATTTCACTTAAGTTTGTTTCTATCAACTTAAATAATATCTTTCATTTTAAAAAATTTTGTATGGGATGATTTCATTTCAGTAAAATTCTTTCTTACCCTTTCACTGTCCATTCATCTGTCCATTCATCATCCATCCATTATATCTACATATAAATGTAGAAATGTCTAAAATTATCACATCAATAATATTTTTGAGTGAGTTTCCTTATTTATATTTTTCTGTATTTTTTATTTTTTAAATGGAAAATTTATAATTTGAAAAAAAGCAATACATCTTCTTTTAGAAAATTGTTAGTAAGAATCAATCATTTCATAAAATTATAGATTAGAAACAAACTCCAGTATGGTAACATCCAGAAAAAAACTATTTCAGATATAAATCAGCTAGGGATAGTCTAAAATGCAATTCTGATCTGGTACGTCTATAGTGGGCCCACAGATTCAGCATTTCAAAGTGTCTAAAGCCATATATTGAGTAATAGAAATTTTAAGAAATTTTATGGTGCTACTCATTAAATAAGTAGAACATTATAAGCATAAAATGATGATGTGAGGGAGAATTTAAGAAAATAATAATAACTAAAAAATAAAAATAGTAAAAAAACATTTCTTTGTATTGTACTTCTGTGCTGAGTAGGTAAAGGGAGATCTGTTTTTATAGTTCTTTAAAGTATTCCTTTACCTGCTATATTCTGATAAAACAAAATTTCTCTTTGAATTTAACAAGTGAATCTTAAATCCAGAATCTACAATGAACTCAAACAAATTTACAAGAAAAAAACAAACAACCCCATCAAAAAGTGGGTGAAGGACATGAACAGACACTTCTCAAAAGAAGACTTTTATGCAGCCAAAAAACACATGAAAAAATGCTCATCACTGGCCATCAGAGAAATGCAAATCAAAACCACAATGAGATATCATCTCACACCAGTTAGAATGGCAATCATTAAAAAGTCAGGAAACAACAGGTGCTGGAGAGGATGTGGAGAAATAGGAACACTTTTACACTGTTGGTGGGACTGTAAACTAGTTCAACCATTGTGGAAGTCAGTGTGGCGATTCCTCAGGGATCTAGAACTAGAAATACCATTTGACCCAGCCATCCCATTACTGCATATATACCCAAAGGACTATAAATCATGCTGCTATAAAGACACATGCACACGTATGTTTATTGCAGCACTATTCACAATTGCAAACACTTGGAACCAACCCAAATGTCCAACAATGATAGACTGGATTAAGAAAATGTGGCACATATACACCATGGAATACTATGCAGCCATAAAAAATGAAGAGTTCACGTCCTTTGTAGGAACATGGATGAAATTGGAAATCATCATTTTCAGTAAACTATCGCAAGAACAAAAAACCAAACACTGCATAGTCTCACTCATAGGTGGGAATTGAACAATGAGAACACATGGACACAGGAAGGGGAACATCACACTCTGGGGACTGTTGTGGGGTGGGGGAGGGAGGAGGGATAGCATTGGGAGATATACCTAATGCTAGATGACGAGTTAGTGGGTGCAGCGCACCAGCATGGCACATGTATACATATGTAACTAACCTGCACATTGTGCACATGTACCCTAAAACTTAAAGTATGATAAAAAAAAGAAGTAAATCCAAAACTTTCTGTTACTCAATAAAATGTATAATTTTGGCAGTTTATTTTGTTCAATTTTTCTCTATTGTGACCCTGTTTTGTTTGTTTGTTTGTTTACACATGGACCCTAAGTATTCCAAAGTGAATTATGATGTGGGAAACTTCATATGGGAAAAGTAACACAGAATTATTTTACAGATAATAGGCCCCCCCACACTAGAGAGTGAGAAGAAGCTACAGAGTAAAAACACATATAATTTTATTATGTGTTATGTATTATGTTATTATGTATTTTGTTTTTTCATGTATGTGACACTCATAGTTTCACAAACATCTCTGTGATACATAGTATCACATTTCATCTCTGGTCGGCTTGTGACTTAAGTTAAATCCTTCCAAAATTCTAGTAATATACAGACAACCTAGAACAATGTTTCTCAACCAACATCAGAATCTGTTGGAGTGTTTATTAAACATGGACAAGAAATAACTCTGGGACCAGCCTTCAAAAGCGCATTTTCAGCAAGTAACCAAGGTGATTCTTATAATGCACACTAAATTTTATGAGCCATGTGGGTCTTTTATTCAGATATGTTTGAGTATTTCTTTTTTATTGCTAGCTGAAAGCAGTTTTCTTGAATAGAGTCTGAGTATAATGATGGAGGCTAAACTAAACAGCAAGCTATAAAACACACAACCTTTTGCAAGAAGGAAAGAGTTCAGTAGGAAATCTCATGGGCTCTAAGTTTCGGATGCCTTAAGCAGAAATAGGCTGAGAAAGAAACAGAGGCCTGAGTAGCAACGAAGTGGAGATGAGAAGGCCCCAAAGACAGACATCATGTACTTGACAAACGATTTAAGATCTATTCCTTTCTCTGGCCCCATATCAGAATGATATACCAGTTTACCAAACTTCTGATACACTTTAGCCCATCACTGGATAGTTAAAAAAATTTTTTGATACCTTACATTTTTTGAGTGTTCAATAGAAATCAAAAGCTTGTCTCCAATTCAATCCCACTCCCATATGCTTATTATCAGTTTAAAGGATAAAAAAGTATTGCTCAAATAGACCAAATTTCAAAATGTATGTGCACTTTCTCAGCATGAGTGAGAGAAAAAAAAATTTAAACCCAAAGATCCTGGCAAATTTATTTGAAAAATCAAACATTTGGATTGTCTAGATTCTTCTTAACTGTTTTGCTTCAAGCACCATGTGTAAGAAAATACACAGAATGAAGATTTCTTATTTTAACCAAGGCACATTTTATGATCACTCTGTCAGAAAAATGTAAATTTTTAGATTGCATTTAAGTAATATCTGTTGTATATGCTATTATAATAAATGATTATCACAATCAAGAAAATAGCTTTAGACTTGTAGTCTTTACTATGTCTCTTATGTTAACATACAGGAAACCATTTAGGATGTTAAACCTAAAGAATATTTTTATTTTATCCATGTACAAATGGCTTAAAAATAAGCACAGGACCACTTGCAGAGGTTCTAAAATAAATCAGCCAGCAGACACCAGAAAACTGCACATGCTCTGTTTCTTACTTCTGTTCCCTTTCTGCTCAATTATCATGGGAACCTCTGTTTCCACCAGGCAGATGCTTCTATTCTCTGAACCAAAGGCTATGGGGGCAGTAGAAGGGTAAAAAATGATACCAGGAAGCTCTGAGAGAGATTGCTAAGCAAATTCAGATGGATCCCATGGAAAATTTAAAGGCAATGTTGGGAGATTACATTCCTGAAAATTTTCTAAATACAGAAAAAACTTCACATTCATATATTTATGATTCATTATTTGAGATATTTGCAGAATTTGTGCCAGACTATGCTGTCTCAGTTCACAGTTCATAGTGCATGCTTTTACATCACTGCCTCTAGGGAAGTCAATGAAGGAAGGGAATAAATTCAACTTTGCCTCCAGGAGATGAGTGAAGCTCAGAAGTTCCCTGGACTTGGCTCCTCTATGCCTACCACTTTGAGATTGATGATGATTAACTCATGCTTAGATATCCTCTGGGATCATTAAATATGTCTTAAATCTGTGACTTCTGTTGAATTGTTTTCATCGGATTGTAACACAAAGGCACTAAGTAGTATAGCTGTATTTGTTTTGGTTTGAAGAACAAACATAAATTTTATATTTGGAATTGCTTGTGTGAAGAGTAGGGCTAGATGGAATAGAAGAACCAGTGGCAGGTAGATGTGGGGATTCTGAGGATGTTAAATCTGAGAGAACTTTTGTAAAGGGGGATTCTTTGGTGGAGAAAGAGAAATACCAAAATAAACTTTGATTACTTTGCTATTTCATTGAGATCTTGGTGACTGCAGTTTTTGTATGCTAGAGACACATGAGTAGGGTGATATACAATCAAAATGTGAATATCCTTAGATGCTACTTTCTTCTATTCCTTAGAGAGACATCTTCTAAATCATCCATGAAAGATGTGCATCTGGCACTTGCAGTGGGGGGTCAGTGATAGAGAATACATCTCATTAGGATAAAGTCCACTCTGAAATATGGAACGACTCTTTTTTTATGTGTTTTTCTGCAGTTTCTTACAACTTAGTGTTACTCTGAATCATGACCTGAAAAAAATGTTTCCTTTCTCAATTACATTCACTTACAGAATATCCACTGTGGGCTCATTTAGTTTTACCACACTCTCTACCCTTAAGTTTCCCCTTTTATAATGAAAAGAAACATTCACTCTTCCACCTGCCCTGGTTGGTATACTTGAATTGTTGTGCCTATAACTAAACACAAAATGTGAGATTTATTGTAAGGAGTATATAATGGAAAAGGAATCTGGTCACTATATTAAAAATAATGTGATTTTCTGATGTGTTAGAAATGTTTATAAATATAGTGAACCTCAAACTCTTGCCAGTTCTGTTCTCCCTCCTATTCTCTTCTTTCAAGTCATCACATAGTTACCTACAAAATTCCAACCCCTTTTCTTGAAACTAACTAAAATAAATAGAAAAAATGAGAAAAAAAGTAAATATTTTATGCCAATGGGAAATAATAAACAACAGTCTAATTATAAAATAACACTCTCCAATTCTCTTGATACATCAATTCTCTTGATACATGTGCCCATACCTACATTATTTTTGTTTTTAAAAAGAGGAATTACTGATTGTTTTATTTGTGAAATCATGAGTTTCTTCATTTTCTAGGAGTCTTTATAATAGTGCATGAAAACTAAAACATCCCTGTTTTACTTTTACCCTAGAATAATGTATCTGGCAAAAATATCCTTTAAGCATGCAGGAGAAATAAAGACCTTCCAGACAACCAAAAGCTGAGGGATTTCATTAACACCAGACCTCTCCTACAAGAAATGCTAAAGGGAGTTCTTCAGTCTGAAAGGAAAGGATGTTAATAAGCAAGAAAAGATCATCTGAAGGTATAAAACTCACTGGAAATAGTAAGTACACAGAAAACACAGAATAATGTTAAAATGTAATTGTGGTGTGTAACTATGCTTGACTTAGGCAGAAAGACTAATTGATGAACCAATCAAAAATAATAACTACAACTTTTGAAGACATAGTACAATAAGATGTAAAGAGAACAATAAAAAGGTAAAAAGCAGGGAAATATAGTTAAAGTGTAGAGTTTTTAATAGTTTTTTTCATGTGTCTTTGTTTATTCAATCAGTGTTAAGTTGTCAGCAGTTTAAAATATTGGGTTTAAGATAGCATTTGCAACCCTCTTGGTCACCTCAAATCAGAAAACATACAATGGATATGTGAAAAATAAAAGGCAGGAAATTAAAGCATACCATGAGAGAAAATCAACTTCACTAAAAGAAAGACAGGAAAAGAGAAGAAAGAAAAGAACACAAAACAACCATAAAACAAAGAACAAAATGGCAGGAATAACTCCCTACTTATCAATAATAACAAAATGTAAATGGACTAAACTCTCTGGTCAAAAGACACAGAGTGCCTGAATAGATGAAAAAACAAGACCCAATGATCTACTGCTTAAAAAAAATCACTTCCTCTATAATGAAAATAATAAGATAGAAAAATATATTCCATGTCAAGAGAAATCAAAAAAAGCAAAAGTAGCTATACTTATATGAGACAAAATAGATTTCAAGACAAAAACTATAAGAGAAAAAGAAGCTCATTACATAATGGGTCAATTTAGCAAGAAGATATAATGATTGTAACTATAATGCACCCAACACTGGAAAACCCCGATATGTAAGGCAAAATATTACTCCCAGAAAGAAAATCAATAAAGAAACATAGGACTTAATGTGCACCATAGAACAAATGAACATAATAGATAAGACACCAATATGTAAGGCAAAATATTACTAGAGCTAAAGGGAGGGACAGACCTCAATACACTAATAGCTGATTAAACACATCACTTTCAGCATAGGACAGACCTCCCAGAAAGAAAATCAATAAAGAAACATGAGACTTAATGTGCACTATAGAGCAAATGAACATAATAGATATTTACAGAACACTTCATCCAATGGCTGCACAATATGCATTCTTTTCCTCAGCACATCGGTCATTCTCAAGGATAGACCTTATGTCACAAAACAATTCTTAAAACATTAAAAAAATGAAATAATATCACTCATTGAGTCTAACAAGGGAATAAAACTATAAATCAATAACAATAGCAATTATGAAAGGTGTAAAAACACATAGATATTAAGCAGTATGTGCATGAATGACCATGGGTCAATGAAGAAGTTAAGAGGAAATTGAAAAATTTCTTGAAACAAATGATAATGGAAGAACAACATACCAAAACCCATAGGATACAGCAAAAGCAGTACTAAGAGGTAAATTTATAGTTTTAAGTGCCTACTTCAAGAAACGTTAGAAATATTTATAAATGCAATGAATGTGAAACTCTTGCCAAACATCAAATAAATAACTTAATAATGCATCTTAAAGAGCTATAAAAACAAGAGCCAACCAAACCCCAAATTAGTAGACCATAAGAAATAATAAAGATCAGAGCAGAAATAAATGAATTTGAAATGAACAATACAAAAGATGAATGAATAAAACATTGGTTTCTTGAAAAAATAAACAAAATTGACAAGTGCCAAACCAACTAAGAAAAAAGAGAGAAAAACTAAATAAATCAAATCGGAGATGAAAAAGGAGATAGTACAACTGATACCACAGAAATTCAAAGGATCATTAGTGAGTACTATGATCAACTATATGTCAACAAGTTGGAAAATCTGGAGGAAATGGATAATTTCCTAGACACATAGGGAGTACCAAGATTGAACTGAGAAGAAATCCAAAACCTGAACAAACCAATAACAAGAAATAATATTGAAGCCATAATAACAAGAAAATCCTTTGACCCCATGGCTTCACTGCTGAATTCTACCAAACATTTAAAGAACTAATACCAATCCTACTCAAACTGCCCTGAAAAGTAGAGAGAAAGGAATACTTCCAATGTCATTCTACAAGACCAGTATTGCCCTGTTACCAAAACTGGACAAGAACCAACAAAAAAAGAAAACTACAGGCCAGTATCTCTGATGAATATTGATACAAAAATCCTACACAAAATACTAGCAAACCAAATTCAATATTATATTGAAAAGATCATTTATCATGACCAACTGGGATATATCCCAGGGATGAAAAGTTGGGTCAACATATGCAAATCAATCAATGCGATACATCATATCAACAGAAGGAAGAATAAAAAATATACGATTATTTAAATTGATACTGAAGTAGCACTGGATAAAGTTCAACATACCTTCATGATAAAAACTCTTAAAAAACTTGGGACACAGGGAACAAACTTCAACATAATAAAAGCTATATATGGCAGACTCACAGATAGTATCATACTGCATGGGAAAAAAACTGGCAACCTTTCCTCTAAGGTTTGGAGCATAACAAGAATGTCCACTTTCTCCACTGTTATTCACCATTGTAATGGAAGCACTAGCTACAGCAATCAGAAAGGAGAAAGAAATAAAGGGCATCCAAATTGGAAAGGAAGAAATCACATTATCCTTATTTGCAGATGATACTTATATTTAGAATAATATTACATTTGGAATAACCTAAAAGACTACACAGAAAACTATTAGAACTGTTAAGCAAATTCAGTAAAGTCGCAGGATACAAAATCAACATACAAAAATCAGTAGCATTTCTATATGCCAACAGTTAAAAATCTAAAAAAGAAATCAAAAAGCAATTCCATTTACAATAGTCACAAATATAATTCAATACATAGGAATTAATGTAACCAAAGAAGTGAAAGATGTCTATAATAAAAACTATAAAATACTAATGTAAGAAATTAAAGAGGACACGAAAATAATGAAAAAATTTTCCATGTTCACAGGTTGGAAGAATCAATATTGTTAAAATGTCCATACGACCCAAAGCAATCTACTTATTCAATGCCATCCCAATTAAAATACCAATGACATTCTTCACAGAAATAAAAAAATATATAAAATTTATATGGAATCACAAAACACCCAGATAGCAAAGGTTATCCTAAGCAAAAATAACAAACCTGAAAGAATCACATGACCTGATTCAAATTATACTGCAAAGCTGTAGTAACCAAAACAGCATGGTAGGTACTGGCATAAAAACAGACACACAGACCAATGGAAAACAATAAAGAACCCAAAAACAAATCCACATCCCTATGGTGATCTCATTTTTGACAAATGTGTCAAAACTATTCATTGGGGAAAGGACAGTCTCTTCTATAAATAGTGCTGGGAAAACTGGATATCCATATGCACAATATTGAAATTTGACCCCTATATCTCACCTTATACAAAAATCAAATCAAAATGAATTAAAGACTTAAATCTAAGACCTCAAGCTGTGAAACTACTACAAGAAAACACTGGGGAAACTCTCCAGAACATTGATCTGGGCAAAAATTTCTTGAGTAATAACCCACAAGCACAGGCAACCAAGCAAAAACGACAAATAAGATCACATCAAGTTAAAAACCTTCTGCTCTGCAAAAGAAGCAGTCAACAAAGTGAAGACACAACACACAGAATGGGAGAAAGTATTTCCAAATACGCATTTCACAAGAGATTAATAACCAAAATATAAAGAGGTCAAACAACTCTATAGGAAAACCATCTAATAATTCAATTAAAATTGGGTGAAAGATTTGAATACACGTTTTTCAAAAGAAAACATACGAATGGCAAACAGGTATATGAGAAGGAACTCAACATCATTGATCATCCGAAAAATGCAAATCAAAACTGTAATGAGATAACCTCTCACCCGAGTTAAAATGGCTTTTTTCCAAAAGTCAGCAATAACAAATGCTAGTGAGGATGTGAAGAATTGTTGGTGGGAATATAAATTAGCTCAACCAGTATAGAAAACAGTTTGGTAGTTCATCAGAAAACTAAAACTAGAGCAACCATACAGTCCAACAATCCCACTGCTGGGTATATACCCAAAAGAAAGGGAATCAGTATATTGGAGATATCTGCACTCTCTTGTTTGTTGCAGCACTGTTCACAATAGCCAAGATTTTGAAGCAACATAAGT
This sequence comes from Homo sapiens, assembly GCF_000001405.40. Taxonomy (NCBI): domain Eukaryota; kingdom Metazoa; phylum Chordata; class Mammalia; order Primates; family Hominidae; genus Homo; species Homo sapiens. Next base: position 406,413 of record NW_025791754.1, read on the forward strand.
GTCCGTCGACAGGTGAATGGGTAAAGAAAATGTGATACTTACACACAACAGAGTACTATTTAACCATAAAAAAGAATATGATTTTGTCATTTGCAACAACATGGATGGAACTGGAGGTCATTATGTTAAGTGAAATAAGCCAGGCACTGAAAGACAAACATTGCATGCTCTTATTTATTTGTGGGACCTGACAATCAAAGCAATTGAACTCATGGAGAAAAAGAATGGAAGGATGGTTACTGGATGCTGAGGTGAGGGGTATTGGGAGAGGAGGGTGGAAGTAGGGATGATTAATAAATACAAAAAATATAGAGTTAGGAAAAATGAATAAGACTTAGTATTTGACAGCACAAGAGGGGGTCTATAGTCAATAATAATTTAATCATATATTTTATAATCACAGTATAATTGAATTGTTCAGAACAAAAAGAATAAATGCTTGAGGGTATAGATACCCTATTTTCCATGATGTGATTATTATGCATCATGTACCTGTACGAAAATATCTCATATACCCCTGAAATATATACACCTACCATGTACCCGCAAAAGTTAGAAATTTGTTTTAATAAAACGTTCCTTGTTTTAGAATGACATAAAGGGATGGTACGAAATTCAACTTTTCTAGAATTCTCATAGTATTTGGATTTTTATCATAATTTTGAATGAGGATTTAAAAATCATAGCAAATGCCATCATATCATTTCTTGAGGAATCTAATGGTCTCAGTGAACACTGTAGCTTAGTCTTAATTAATAGTCAAGATGTCATTTTTCATGGCCCCTGCAAATATTCTCCTCATACAAAGTTCATGACTCAACAAGATCTCGTGTAGAAAAAAAAAATGGTGGGCTGACAATAGAATAATAGTCTGGCCCATCATGTACACAAGGTTTATTAATTAATAGCAATGTTATTCTATTTTACTTACCACTGAGCATCTAATCTCATCAAAGTGATAAGTATGCAAAAATAAAAGTATAGGATTATTAAAGAGGGTAAATTAAAAAAAACTTCAATTTTTTGAAGACTTGTTTGTGAATAAGCTCATGTAATTTCCATGATCAAGTAGGTCAATAAGCCAACTTTTCAGTTATTTACATCTTTTAAATTAAAAAGAAATTTACTATTTTAAGGTGCGTCTTTTGTTCCAAATGAAATCAAACTTCCTTATCAAAGAATGCCTTTCAGAAATACTAAGAAAAAGCAATGAGATCTCATTGTCCTTATGTAGCAAAATGTGAGAAGTTGCACAACCTGACAGAGAATGTTCTGTAATATTTTATCTCACTGTTGTCATCAAAATGTTACAAATTAGCATCATGCCAAAGTGGATGAGGTACACTTTCCAGAAAGCACTTTTTAATTGTAAGCCGATATTAAGATAGAGTGAATTATTGATTCTTATTTCTAATTAGAAAATGACACAATATAATGAAACAAAAAAAATCTTCAGTAGAGGCAGCTTATACACTGTTGCAAAAATTGTGCATGTAACTCTCAAATGTCACATGAAAATATGCACATTCAAATCATAAATGGAAAGTAGAATCAAATAATTAAATCTAGAAAAATCTACATCATTAATAAGGTCATAAAGTAAGGATATATCTGACAATTTTATAATAATTTGAAAATCTAAAATAACGTGTGTGTGTGTGTGTGTGTGTGGTTTTTTGTTTCTTTTGTTGTTTTTGTTAATTTGGGGGGTGTTTTTTACTTGTTTTTGTTTTGGCTTGCAGCATTTGCAGGAAAATGGGAGGAATAATATTTTCACAACCAGTGCAACAAGGCAATTATTATGTAATTTACAAGAATGTCTAGTGTCTTCCGAAACCTGGCCAGTAATTTGCCAGGAAAACGAAACAAAAAGCAAATAGGCTGTGAGCTTAGGGTAAGAAGACAAAATGCTGACTTAAATAAGTTTATGACTCATCACTTATCCTTGCCTTTTCTAAGTGTTTTCCTGAAGGGATTCTATTTATTACTCTTTTTATAAAGTTGACACATCTTTTCTCAGAGTTAAAATATTTCTTATTGTTTTGCAGAAATGTAGTAAACCTGAAAAATACACATTAAATCAAATGTGTGAGCTTTTGAATTTTTATTATGTATAAAAATTTGATTATAAATCTTTAATTACATCACACAAGTTTATATAAACTTTTAAGAAAAGGTGTAATATCTTTGTAAACAAGTAATATCTTAATAAAACAAGTAATAGCATAAGAGGCACATTGATTTGAAATACAAATGAGGTATGCATAAGAAAGTCACACCTAAATTTGTTTTAAAAGGTATGTAAACAGTAGCTGTTTTACTTGGAAACAAAAAAAAAAATCACTGAATATAGTCCTATGTTGATCTCATTTAAAGCACAGCTTTTTAAGATCACTTGAAAACAACAGATCTTTTCCACAAGTGTTTCACATGTAATCTATTTACTTCAATAGAAGTCACAGTAAATAAATGGAATGCTCTTTCTCTTATTAATTTATATTTTTATTTTATTGCATATTTTATGCATAACCTGGCAGTAATTTAAAAAATAAAAAACACCATATTTCCCATGTTACAATGGGATACGTGGTATTTTATGCCTGCACAGAAACTCATCCCGTGAATACATATATTTCATTAATTAATAGGCCATTCCTCCAATTTTGAATATTTCGATTGTTTCCAGTTTTATGCTGTTATAAATGAACTATGAATGTCATTTCAGATACGTTCTTAGGGTAGATTCCCAGAAGTGGAGTTACTTGGTCAAAGAGTAGAACATTTCAATGCTCTTGATAAATATTGACAAATCTTTTTGCAAAGGGTTGCACAAATTTACCTTCCCATTAGCAAAGTAAGAAAGTTTCTATTTTAGCAAAGTAAGAAAGTTTCTATTTTACTATATCCTCTTTCACACTAAACAGCTTAATTGTAAAAAGCACAACTAAATATGGCATTTCATTTTAATGTGCATTTCTCTGTTTTTTAGTGATGTAATCTTTCTGTGGTTAGAATATATTTCGATTGCATCTTTTCTTGATTTTCTAATTAGTTCTTTGCAAAATATTCTCTGAATTTTTTTATAATACAACAATCAATCCATTGTTGAATTTTCCCAGTGTATTATCCATCTTTTAATTTTCTATGTGTATGTATGTGTGTGCATACAGGACACGTTAAATAAGACATTTCATTCTTTTTCTTAGAAAGACTGCTTCTTCAGTCTTATTTGTAATCTTAGGAAGGTTTTCTCCATTCAGATGTTATTTGATAAATATTCTAAATATTCGATTAATTATTTTTCTTTTTAAATAATTTAATTTGCCGTATGTGATTCTTTTACATTCATTCATCTAAAAAGTTGAGTAAAATGCTTGCTTTGCATCCAGAGGAACTGCACTAAACTTGGCATAAAGCAATAGTGAACAAAACCTGATGCAGCCCCTGTGCTTGTGTAGCTTAAAATTTGCTGCAGGAGACAGCCCTTAATAAAAGGAATGTTATGCAAAAGACGACAAAACCTAAATTAGGTAAAGGGAACGGTGAAGCAGAAAAATAATCTTTCACTCAAACAATGTGGTATTAAAGAAATTAAAATGATTTTGGTGTTGTAAGGACAAATGCAAATTAAAAACAAGATGATTAATTTTCCATGTTGAAAATATGGAGACTTCTCTCTCCTCCTTTTTCTTAATTTACTTTTTAAAAATTAGAATTGTGAAGTACATCGTCTTCTCTTTGAAATGTATATAAGTCCTTTGGAAAGCTAAGTAGGCTTTTTGTCAGCTTTATGATCCATTAATATCTTTCTTAAGAACCTGAATGCCATCTCTTTGAAATATAAAGAACAAAAGGGGTAACATCCCTACCTATCTCACTCTCTGTGGGAAAACAGGAGCCTAACTTTAGTGGGCACCTTGTTCCAAGTGGCAAAATGACTTCCTGTAATAATGATATGATGTTTTTTCTTCCCCCCTCTGGATAAAAACAATTAGTCATCACACACGGTCACCCCAACTACCAGGTAAAGCTACTTGTGACAAATGGTGCTGCCTTGTCCTCTTCCTTGAGGACTGGTTATTGTGTATCTTTAAAACATTTATATAAAGTCCCGTACCTAGTTGGCTTCAGAATTTCCTTCCATCTTTGTAGTACCTTAATAGATTGCCTGTGATGTGTATCACATTCCAGTTTAATACTTATTCAGCAATGAAGGTTTCCTTTTTCTACTGCCTTTGTGGTGAGAATTTCTAGGTAGGAAGATTTTGTTTTTCCATGTGAAAAGAGGGGAAATATGCTTAGTTTTGTATTATAAAATAATATTTTAAGTGACCTAATGATGAATTACATATTTCAAAATTACTAAAAGAGTAGTTTTGAAATGTTCTTATAATTAAAAATGTATAGGCCATAATAGATATATTAATTAGCTTGATTTAATCATTCCACGACTTATACATATATCAGGGCATCACATTATATCCCATAAATATATATTATTACTATCTGTCAGTTAAGTTTAAAGAGAAAAAAAGGTCAAAGTTTTAGGAAAAAAAAGATCTCTCTAACTGTAAAGGAGAAAAGAGATTAGAGGAATGGACTAGTCTTTCCTAACTAATAAAGGGTTCAGGTGAGAAATGGTAGGAATTTAGAATAGGGTGGGAGTGATAAAGAAGAGAAGTATATGTATTTATGATATCTCATATATAAGATCAATAGGATCTGGTGGTGCGTTGGATATCACAATGAGAGGCATAAAGATGACTCCTAAGTTGTTGATATTGTAAACCAAAAAGTATCTGAGACAAGTTTCAATCAATTTAGAAGTTTATTTTGCCAAGGTTAAAGAATGCTCACGTTGCAGTGAGCTGAGATCACGCCACTGCACTCCAGCCTGGACACAGAGCGAGACTTCATCTCAAAAAAAAAAAAAAAAAGAAGAAGAAGAAAGAATAGAAGAACAGAAATGCTCGTTACACAGCCTCAGGAGATCCTGACAACACGTGTCCAAAGCGGTTGGGATACAGCTTGGTTTTATACATTTTAGGCAGACAAGAGATAAGATATTAATCAATACATGTAAGATGTACATTGACTCCCTTCAGAAAGGCAGAACAACTCCAGGGAGTAAAGGAGGAGTCTCCAGGTCATAGAGGGATTAAAAGATTTGGCAACTGGTTGAAAGAGTTTATCTAAAGACCTGGAATTCATAGAAGGGAGTGTCTGGGTTAAGATCGGGGATGAGGAGACCAAGGTTCTTAATATGCAGATGAGTCTTATCAAGCTTCAGAGAAAATAGATTGCAAATGTTTCTTATTGACTTGAAAAAGGTGCCAGGCCCTTAGTTAATTCTCTCCTGGATCAGGGAAAAGACCTGGAAAGGGAATGGAATTCTCAACAAAATGTAGATTTTTCCCACAAGAGACAGCTTTTCAGGGCCATTTCAAAATATGACAAAGAAATATATATTTTGGAATAAAATATTTTGATTTATTTCAGGACCTGCTATCTGTCATGACACTATACTAGTGTCAGGCTGGAATTTGGTACCTTATTGCTACAAAAAGTCTTAAGATCTCTGTTTTAATGTTAATGTTGGTCAGTTGTGCCTGCATTCAAAAGGAAGGAGGGTATGTTGAGGCATGTCTGTCCACCTCCTTACCATCATGGCCTGAACTAGTTTTGCAGGCTAACTTTGAAATGCTCTTGGCCAAGAGGAGGGGTCCATTCAGATGATTGGAGGACTTAGAATTTTATTTTTTAGTTTACAATAACATGGTAGATAGTATTCCAAGAAATTTGGACATGAAAGGAGCAGCAAATATGGGGGAGAGTCATGTGCTAGGTTTGAGAAATTTGAATACTGAATTTGAGGGAACTGGGGGAAAAAAACAAAAATAATAAATTGGTCATGATATCGTTGATTTTGAATTGATTACTACAGTAAGGTTCTGATTTCTTTCTTCTCTTTTTTTTTTTTCCTGAATTGCTAATTACTCCCAAGGCAATTCTATTTTAGCTCAATGTCTTTAACAATCAATGTCCGCTATTGACAAAAGTAAACAAGGAAACCAAACGAAATACCTGAGTACCCAATAAAATACTATTTTCTTTCACACCAGATATTTTCTTTTCAATTTAGCTAAACTCTACCATCTAAATATAGTGCAGAATCTTTGCTTTAAACTCATCCTAGTTGTCCATTGACCTTCTGTGTAGAAAATTAACATAAAGGAGTAAATACTTTATTATTTAGAGGCTGTCCCAAAATTTGAGGTTTCTAACATCCAGGACTTGAGCACTACATGTAAGAATAGTAATTACTCTACGCCTTCAACCTTCAGTCTTTCCCCAAAATTGCCAAAAATGTAGGAACCTTACTCTAGGTCCTAATCACTAGCCTTGCCAGTTGCCAGGAGAGGAAATCAGGCCTTAGAAATACGAAAGAAAGACAGAGTATTTTTTTGTTGTTTTGGTTATTCTCTTTTAGGGGTTAGAATTTTTGTTCCAACACTTTTCTCCCATTCCTTTTCCAATCACTAGTAATGAAGAAATACCGTGACTGCTTTGGTATAATTTTCATGAGATGTTGGGGAGTGACTGTGTTATTAAAACCATCTGTTTGGGTTGCCACCTGGAAATGCAGTCTGTCATTTCAAAGAAGTGGTATTCATCGTTATCATTTTATCCCCAATAACAAAAAAAAAAAAGAAAAAAGAAAAAAAAAAAAACTTTTCAAACTCTTCCAAAAAACAGAAGAGCAAATACTTCTAAACTCATCTTATGAAACCAACATTACCTTCATACCAAAAATAGACAAAGAAACTACAAGAAAAGAAAATTTTAGCATAATATGTATGGTTAATATAAATCCTCAACAAAATACTAGCAAGCCAAATTCAATAGCACATTGATAAGACCATTTACCATAACCAAGCGGTATTTATCCATTTAACGCAACAATTATTCAACATATGCAAATCAAAAACTGTGATACATCACATCAACAAAATGAAAGACAAAATCATATGATTACCTCAATACATACAGAAAAAAATTTGAAAGAATTCAACATCCTTTCATAATAAAAGTATCAAGAAAGTACATGTAGAATAAACCTTAACACAATAAAGGCCATCTATTACAAGCCCACATCACACATCATGCTCAATGAGGCAAAGTTGAAAGTTTCTTGTCTCAAATCAGGAACAAAAAAGCAATGACCATTCTTGCCACTTAAATTCAGCATAGTACTGTAAGTTCTAGCCAAAGCAATTAGGCAAGAAAAAGAATTAAAGTCATCCATATTAGAAAGAAAGAAGTTAAACTGACTATGTTTGCAGAGAACATGATCTTATATATAGAAAATACAAAAGACCCCACCAAAAAACTTCTGAAAGAACTCAGAACTAATAAAGGACTTCAGTGGAGTTGCAGGATACAAAATCACATACTAAAATTAGTAGGATTTCTACACACTAACAAGAAACTATCTGAAAAAAAATTCTTAATCCTGTTTATAATAGCTATAAAAATACTTAGGAAAAAAATTAACCAAGGAAGTAAAAGACCTGTATCTTGCAAATTACAAAACACTGATGAAAGAAATTGAAGAAACAAATAAACAGAAAAATATTGCATGTTCATGGAATATAATAATTAATATTGCTAAAATGTCCACACTACCCAGTGATCTACAGATTCATTGATATCCATATTAAAATTCTAATGACATTATTCACAGAAATGGAAAAATCAATTCCAAAATTTGAATGAAGCCACAAAAGACCACAAAAAGTCAACTCAATCTTCAGCAAAAAGAAAAAAAGTCAAAGGAACCACACTATCTGGCTTCAAATATACCACAAAGCTATAGTAATCAAAACAGCATAGTACTGGTATAAAAACAGATACAAAGATCAATGGAACAGAATAGACAGCCTAGAAATAAATAGATACTTTAAAAGTCAATTGATTTTCAGCAAAGAAGACAAGGACACACAATGGAGAAAGGACAATCTCTTCAATAAATGGTGTTGGGACAACTTGCAGAAGAGTGAATTGAATTCTTATACACAAAATTCAACACAGATTAACTAAAGACCTAAATACAGACCTGAAACTGTAAAAGTAATAGATGAAAACATAGGAGAAAAGCTCCATGGCCTTTGTTTGGGCAATAATTTTTTGGATATCACCCCTTATGCATAGGCAACAAAACCAAAAAATAATCAAATAGGGTTACATAAAACATCCCAGGAAAACAATCAACAGAGTGAAAGTAAAAGACAATCTACAGAATAGGAGAAAATATTTGCAAACCATATATCTGATAAAGGATTAACATACAAAATAAATAGAAAAAAAAACAAATCAATAGCAAAAAAAAAAAGCAATTTACAAATGGGTTTCTCAAAGAAAAACATATAAATGGCCAATAGATATATGAAAAAATCCTCAACATCACTAATCATTAGAGAAATGCAAATTAAAACCACAATGAGATATCACCTCATGCAGATTAGAATGGTTATTAGCAAAAAGACAAAAGATAAGTGTTGGCTAGAATGTGGAGAAAGGGGAATATCTGCATACTGTTGGTGGAAGTGTGAATTAGTAGAGCCATTATGGAAAACTATCTAGAGATACTTCAAAAAAATAAAAAAATAGAACTGCCGTGTCATCCCATTGCTGGGTATACATCCAAAGGAAAATAAAATAACGTGTTGAAAAAATACCTGCACTACTATGTTCATGTAGCATTATTCACAATAGCCAAGATATGGAATCCACCTAGGTGTCCACCAATGGATGAAAACTTTTTAAAATGTTGTATATATACAAATCATTATACATATATATATATATATGTATATATGTTGTATATATTATCATCACTTAAAAAATGAAATACTATAATTTGGGACAACATGCATGAACCTAGAGGACATGATGTTAAGTGAAATAAGCCAAACACAGAAAGACAAATATTGCATGATCTCATTTATTATAAGTGGAATCTACAAAAGTTAAACCCATGGAAGTAGAGAATAGAATAGTGGTTACTAGAGGATGTGGGTGGGGAGGAGGCTGGAGAGATGTTGGTTAAATGATACAAAATTTATATTAGATATGAGGAATAAGTTCAAGAGATTTAATGTACAACACAGTAATTGTAGTTAATAACAATGTATTATATTCTTGAAAATCACTGAGAGTAGATTTTAAGCTTTCTCACTATAAAAATAAGTATCTGAGATGAGATTATATATGCTAATTAGCTGTATTTAGCAATTCTATAATGTATACATATTGTAAACGATAAATATATACAATTTTTATTTGTCAATTTTAAAAATGAATTTGTAAAAAAGAAATAAGCAGACAGTGAAGGAAAAGACTACTTGAGACAGGAGATCACTAAAGATCCTTTATTGCCAAGGAGAGTGAGACTATTTCTGGGTCAAATTTTATCAGATTCAAACAATGAAAAAATGACCTTCCTGGCAGGAAATTTGCTTATAAAAAGTAACAAAGCAGCAAAGGGCACAGTGACCTGAATAAAGCAGTTTGAGTGATTACATAGGCAATTTGGTGTCATAATTGGTGGTTTTTGAATGTTAAGTTGCAAAGTTTAGATTGTGTCTTTTCAGTCATGAAGAAGGAATGGGGATACACAATAAAAATTGTTTCAATAAGAAATGACATATTCAAAGATATGTTTATGAGTAGGAACATGGCAATTGTGTGCAAGATTAATCAAATGGGTTGGAAAAGGAAAGTAACATCTTGGGAGGCCCTCTCCATACGTCAGGTGTGAAGTAGTAAAAGGTAGATTAAGGTGGTGGGAGAGAGAATGGACAAAAAGGAAAATTTTATGAAAACTAAATGGAAGTTTACCCATAGTTTCACAATGAATAAACTGTTTTTATAGTTTTACCATGCTAGTACCAAGTAACAAAGTTATTTAAAGGACATTGCTTCAGAAATAAGAAGGAAATTTTGTATATCACCATAGCAAAATGTGGCAAATGAATGCCTTATAAAGATGTCAAGTTAATATGGGTACCTTCCAGGAGAAAAGTATAGAAGGCATATAAATAAATTATTAGATTTAGTACTTTATTCTATTACAAGATTGTTTTTTAAGCCAAGATAAAAATCTTGCTAGGTTTTCATTATATACTTCAAATGTTTCATATAATACCTTGCAAAATCAATCAACAAATACAAACAAGATCTATAAACTCAAATATGTACTAAAATGCATCAATAAATACACAAATAAATGCAAGAATCATATGACATCAGTTGAAAGTTATTATCTATATAGTTCTTAATCAAAAACTTTACTTGATGCATATTAATTACAAAATTAAATATGAATTCCTTAATTACCATGGTCCATTATAGAACAGTTCACTCTATATTTCAGCCATATCTCTCACTCCTCCTCTACTTGAACGTTAATGTTTTAAATAATCTACACTAGACTATGTAGCATTTCTTGAACACAACTCTCTTTCCTATGCCCTCTTCCATCTACTAGACCACTATGCTTTCTTCTCAGTGTAACCTCATCAAAATCTCCTTATCTGTCAAGGGCAAAGATCAAATGTCCACTCCTCCCTGAAGTCTAACCTTCTGATCACATTGCATTTAAGTCCCTGCATGATAAGGTTGAATAGCAAGTGCTGTTGTCAGCATAAATCTCGGATCTTCTATTTTTTCTTTCATAATTTTTAGAAACAGGATGGATAACTGATGGTTGGGATCCATCAGGAAGTACAAAAGATGAGGTCCAGAGAAGGCATATTATTCATTATCTGGAAGAATAGCTCTTACTTTTGTCATGAGCAATTCACATGGGACTATGTTCATTTAGATGTTGTTACAAGAACTTAAGGGAGTTCTTCTGTGTGATGGCTTCTGTCACATCCCTGAAGTGAAAAGTTAGATGTTCTGTGGAGAAAGAGATAAAGGTGGTGAAGGACGGCTGAGGAGAGAAGAGAGCATTTCAAAAGGGCTTATGTAGGAAATAGGATATGGAAAACAGCAGCAGAATTGCTGAACAGCATTTACATCTCTAACTATCCCTCAGTACTGGAACCTTTCTTTATCCAATACTTTGATTGCCTTCAGGATAACACTCTGCCTTTAGCATTAGGTTTCAATTTATGTGCTTGGGGTCTTTTTCACAATTCTTAGCAGCTCTAATATTGCAGCATAGAAGTCATCACCTCTAAGGAAGCAATGAAACAAAACCAAAAAATCCTAAGACTTGATCTCAACTGGGTTAAGTATCTTTTGTCTGCTCTCTCTTAATACCCAGTAAATCTCCATCTGCATTTACCACACATTAAAGTGTGTTATTTATGTCAACGGTCCCCAACCTTTTTGGCACCAGAGACTAGTTTCATGAAAGACAAATGGTGGTAGAGATGGTTTCGGGATGAAACTGTTCCACCCCAGATCATCAGGCATCAGATTCTCATAAGGAGCTCGCAACCTAGATCCCTTGTATGTGCAGTTCACATAGGGTTCGCCCTTCTATAAAAATCTAATGCCACATGGCCAGGACGGTGGCTCACATCTGTAATCCCAGCACTTTGGGAGGCCGAGGCGGGCGGATCACGAGATAAGGAGATCGAGCCCATCCTGGCTAACACGGTGAAACCCCGTCTCTACTAAACAAAATACAAAAAATTAGCCGGGTGTGGTGGCCGGCGCCTATAGTCCCAGCTACTCGGAAGCCTGAGGCAGGAAAATGGAGTGAACCCGGGAAGCGGAGCTTGCAGTGAGCAGAGATCGCGCCACTGCACTCCAGCCTGGGCGACAGGGCTAGACTCCGTCTCAAAAAAAAAAAAAAAGAAAAGAAAAACACGCCACCACAGATCTGACAGGAGGCGGAGCTCAGGTGGTAATGCTCTTTTTCTGGCAACTCACCTCCTGCTGTGTGGCGCTGTTCCTAACAGGCCACAGACCAGTATTGGTCAGTGGTCCTGAGGCTGGGGACCCCTGGTTTATGTTAATAATGAGCTTTTTTTTTTTCTCTCCAGGTTCCAACATAATTGAAGCAAATAGTAAATACTGGTTGAATGCATGCCAGAAAGACACTATGCTTGGCACACAGAGAAAAAATTCATAGCTGTTGGTTCAAAGAACTCTGTACGGTAAAATCTATTGATGTGCTCTCTTGTGATAACTTTCTGTTCCTTTAAAGAAGCAATAATCCAGGACAATGGATGAGGCAGGAGTCACTCATCATTGCTGTGAGTGTGAATCATTGCTATTACAAATTTATTCCTAAAGGATTTCCATCCTTTTCTTGATATCTTAAATATCAATTTCTACTTTCTCCTACTTTTTCTAAGATTTTATTTTAATTTAGCCTCTTAATCTGTTGAAAAATTTTAAGTTAATTTGATTTTTATGTTGTTATATTTTTTAATTTATTTCTTTCAAGTTAATTGATTACTTCTAACTGCAAGTTCTAACTGCAAGTTAACTTCCTATCATTTCAGGATCATATTGTTTTAATAATTTCTAAATTTACTTTGAATAAAATATTTTTTAAAAAACACATTGTCTTTTTAAAATATGCCTTAATATTTGGCAGTGTCTGTTCCTATTTTTAAAAATGACCTCATATTCTCAACATTTATGTTTCAGATTAATTTGATAGTGTTATGTTGATTTTCAATAAAAAATATTTAACTTTTATTGGGATTGAAATAAAGCTGTGAATTTATCTGATATTTGGTCACAACATTAGGATAAAGCTATCATTTCATTTGTTTCAGTCTCTATTTGATATGTACCAGTTAAATTTTATAGATTTCTTCAGGATCATTTGGAACAACTTACTGCTATAGCTATTTATGGCAAAACAGTGCTGAGGGAGTTCAGACTTCTGGAGAGAGCTAAAAAAAACCCTCTGAATTCATTTTGTTAATGAAATTAATTCAAAAGGATAACAGGAAAGGCAGGGCTGAAGGAAGAGAATGGCAGCCCTCATACTGCAAGTCCCTATTCATACCTAAGCAACTGGGGTTTATGTTCGCCCAAATTGGCCAGATTGGAAAGAAAGCTAAAAGACTAAGATTACATATGCTGCTAGAAATTTCTATTAAAAATAAAGGCATGCTTTTGTTTTGATTATGAGGTAGATAAACAACTTCTAGGGGTGAAGAAAGGTGTAGAGATTGGGGGAAATTTTCAACCAAGTTAACCAAAGTCACTCAAGGGCTACAGGAAACTTCTGCTATGCTAAGAAGTTCTAACCAACAAAAAGCCTCCTGAGTCCAGGAAGCTTGAGCTAGAGTAAAAAAAAAAAAAAAAAAAAAAAAAAAATTAAAGGCCTTTGAGTATGGAGGCTTTGTGTAATGATAGGCAAGGACATTTGAGACAACACTTCATTCCACTAAAAGCAACCAAAAACAGTAACAACAGCAAGAATAACCTGCTTTTTGGGTGAAATGCAGTAAGTATGAAATAATCCCAATTTGAGGAATTGTTGGAATTTGATATTCTTATTGTTTAATTTTTTTAAATTATGTGTTGGTAGATTTTCACAGTGCATTTGATTACATAATTTTAATTTTGCCTGAGTAAACCTGACTTTAAAACAATTGGAAAAAACTATATCACAATATAAAGAAAAGAATCTGAAAATGTGCAAAGGAAGAGAGTTAGACATACTTGTGGGAACCTCATCCCAACACTTTCATATCACATATTGGTGTTATACTCTGACACAATACCAAGTAAACTGAAAAGCTTGAAACTATGAGTAGAGAATCCTACTCTAATCCTACTCAAAGTAGGATTCTCTAAACAAGAAATACTTTATACATGTTATAAACTGGCAGATGCAATGATACTCAAAGAGTCTACAGCAGATTAGGGTGCTATACAGAATATACAAGCCTTCATAAAAAGAACATAATGGGGATGCCTAGGATTCTCACTTCTTAGGTGAGTAACTACTGTCCTTTTCAGAAACAGCTAGATAGATTCTTACTTGCTACTGGATCTTGATGAAGATTAAAGGTCTGACCACAGAACACAGAGAGTTCATCTTAATAAACAATTAAAAAACAGTTGCCCATAACTAACTAGCTGCATCTGACCTATTCCACTAAAAAATCAAGTCTTTATTTCCTCTAACATAAGTGCCATTAAGGCACAAGTAAGTTACATGAACAGACAGCTCACTCTCCTGGCCTACTCCTACCACACTGTTCTAATATGTCCCATATGGCAGACTACCTATATTAGTTCATCTTCCCCTCCCCACTAAGAAGTAAGCCCCATAAAGGCAGAAATCTTTACTTATTTTGTATGACTTCAACACATTAAATAGTATCTCATAGTACCTGAGACATGCTCAACACATATTTGTTGAAATAATAGATGTTTTAAGAATAGATATTTTTGCAAAGATATGGATGGCATATTAGCATTAAACAGAAAATAGAGGAATAAGTTCAATTAGAAAAAAATGCTTAGGGGTCCATTTACAGTATCTGTTGGAAGAATTTAGGCAGCATGAGACAAGAACTGAAAAATTCCCCAAACTTTTCTGTGCCCAAGATATTCTAAAGGAGAAAGAATGAGAGAGGTAAGGCTATCTTCAGAAAACATCCCAGAATATAATAGCATTGAAATCCAACTGAAACAGAGAGCTGAAAGAAATGTGAGAATGAATATAAGAAGCCCTTTCATGTGCAATTTTTGATCTCCAAGGGACTGAAGTTAAGTTAGTTTGTCAATACAAGTCAAAATTGTTCTTAAAAGACATCTGGATTCCTGGTCATTAACCATATTGATTAGTTTACCTCTATTGTGGAACACTTGTCTATAAACAAGGTAATTGTGATCAACAGATCAATCATGCCCTAATGCATATCAAACTAGAGTCCAAATGGTACAAATTCAGGGGAAGATATAGGGCTTCTGAGATCTATGTTTCCAGAGATCCAGCAGATTCATTATTCCCCTAGACATGCAGAAATTCTTCCACAGAAAGGGTCAGCTCAGTAGAGAATGAGGTGTGTTCATGGAGAAGTGATGTGAGTTCTTGAGATTTCATGAAACAGAAATATCAGTTGTTTTATTTCAGCAGTAGAAATGGTATATATATTTGGTAATGTGCTTCCATTCTGAAAATATGACCTTGATTGTGCAGGTGTTAAAATCTGCTTAAAGGAGGTTTTAAAAGTAAGAAGCAGGACCTGAAAGGCAACCTCTCAATACCATGAAAGAAATGGTTCTATGTACACCTTTGTCCTCTTGTCTCACATAAGGCTCAGATTCTACTGAGAAATGCTCATGAGCACATGCTGTTCACCATTTCATCTCTTCCAAATGGTAGCAAACCTTGGCTATAAAATAAGAGAGTAAGGTAGTGACATATTCTGAGAATTCATCCAACCTTCTCACCAAAATTAAACCTTGCCAGTTCAAGTTTTGGATTCAATATGAAGATCCACTAGAGACCTGGAACTTCTCTCAGTATAGGGAAATCTCCACCTGGCATAAGATCCTCCAGCTCAAGAGTAGTAGCCTAAACTTGGGTAGTAGTAGATGTTGGTGTGATGACCTAGTCACTGTAAGTAGTGAGTGAGGATCTCGCTCAGCATCTAGGAAAGAAGGCAGACTTTGATAACAACACACAAAAAGGAAACTTAGATGTCTTAATCTTGGCTTTCTAGGAGATAAAGAGAGAGAGAGTGCAATGAAGTGAATCAGAGAAGGCTAAGGAAAAAGTATTCAAAAGAGAGAACTGCATACGTTTTGCCATTTTGTCAGCAATTCCTATTCACTATCACCACTTTGGGTGGGATTACTTGTAGGTCATCATTATCATGGAATGCAAAGGCTTTCTAAGGGTGATGGATACTATTATTGAAAAGTTGCTATATTTTATTGAGTACTATGATGCATTTAGATAGTAGGTTAATGTAGACTTTCAATAAAATCTGATGAAGAGGAGAACATTTACTGAGGAACTTTGTAGAATGAATTAACGCATAGGAACCAACAACAGAAGAGTTGCTGCAAAAGCTTTTATGGAGTAAGAATGTCTAACATATAATTTCCAGTTGTTTCTTGATGCATGATGACACTTACCTGCTTCTCAGAAAACTTTAATGAGTTCTACTCCATATACATGGAGAAGAAAATAGAAAGGGACTCTAGTGTCTCAGGTTTAAATAGATGCTAGGATAAAATAAGCTATTGTTAACCAAGGCAGGCCTTGTCTCTTCGGGATTTTAAAAAATTTGGATGGTTTTGAATTGGCACACAACAGATACTTGGCCATGTCTTTCCTAATGAGAGAGACAGAAAACATCTGCTTATCCTTCACAGAAATTTAGTGTATTATATTTAACTTCAAAGAATGGTCTTAACAATCTACACAGAAAAATATGAGAGTTATGGCTATTTTTAAGATTTAAGGATAAAATAAAAGCATACTAAAAAAGAGAGAATTGTGAGAGACACGTTTAAAATTCTGTGAAAGCACAAATATAACTCATAAAGATATTTGTGTGTGTGTGTGTTTATTCACTTCATGGCTTTCTTGATCTAAAATCAAGTGCACCTTCTGTGATGGGAATTTGCAGACACTGTTCTTTTGATATGCTTATTTATCCAGCACTACATTTAATTGCTGAATCATGTTTTTTTTTAAAGTTCATGATGGGAAGTCTTGATTTCTAATCACGCCAGGAGAAAATGATCTTAACAACTTTGATGAGCTACTCTGTAGAACTCAGTTAGATTGAAGATTTGTTACATGATCTTCATATTTTCTTTAAGCTGTTTTTCCAATATCCTTCAAAGTGTTTCAAACACTAAATAACTAATAAATAAAATATGAAAGAAGAGAAAGGAGGAAGAAAGAGACGGAAGGAGGAAGAGGAGGGAGAGAGAAAGAGGAGGGAAGGAAGGGAGCTGAATGAGCTACCTCAGAAAACTGGCTGAAATGTTCATGAGATTGAATAATTTTATTTTTCACAATATGCTTAATGGAAGAGATATAAAATGTTTTTTCCACATGGCAGTTATTTTATGTTTTTTTAACTTTATCTTGGTATGTTACTCTTGTTTACTTTCTCAGTCACTTAGAGGACTGCAAATAAGTTAATAGCATTAATTAACTTATAATAGTGTCAGATACTTAGTTTCTTGAAGGGGGAGAGAGAGAGAGAGAATGAGAGAGATTTCAAGGATATGGAAAAATCATCTAAGTATACAAAACCGGATGATAAAGGAACAATACAGTATAGTGGACCAAGGTCTGAATCTCAACTTCATCATAGTTACATGGTCTTAATTAAATCATTTACTTTTTCTGAGAATCAATTATTAATAATATTATTTATTCTGGAGAAAGGAGAAAATAATATCTAATTTTTGGGTAGGCTCTTATGAAGCATAAATAAGAGTAAATATGAAAAGCTTCCTGGTAATAAAAACCAACGAATGAAATTTTGTGTCTTATTGTATGTTAATCAACTTAAGAGTCTATCTTCATACCAAATAATCCATACATTTTTAAAGTGTTTTACTAATCATTTTCAGATACACTATCTAGTGTGACTATCACAGCAATCCTACAAGAGAGTGAAAGAGAGTGAAAGTTCTGTCTCATTTTAGAAAGGAATCACTTAGAGTCATAGCTGTTAAACAACTAACCAGGAAGTAGGTAGCAAGGGAAGACTAAAAAACTTGGAATCCAGGTTTGCTCTCATGCATTTCATTACTTTTTACACTTTACAACAAAATTCCTGTTCATTACAAACCTCAAGCAGAATACGTTAAATATTCCAAATTTCGAATTGTTTTTCTAAGGGAAATAATTTCTTGATGAGGCCTTTTCAATAATAACACAACTTGTTTACAGAGATCAAAAATATTTTATGATTTAAAGAGATACATTTATGTTTAAAATTGTTGAGAATCTAAAACTTTGGAGCTATTATAGATAAATTATATATATGATTTATGTACAATTTTACTTGCATTATTCTATTATGATTGAATATTACAATCTTAAAACATACATAAGAAGGGTTTTTTCTTTTTTCTTAAAAACTAATACAAGATAAAGCAGAGTTTTGAGTCTCTCTCTCTGTCTTTCCCAGATATTTCTCCCTGTTTTCAACAAGTAACATGGTGCCTTCAGTTCAAAGATTCCAGAAAGACTCATAATTAATTGAGTATATTATTTAGTAATTTATATACTAAATTTCATGGTGTCTATAATTAAGCAATTTTTTCAAAATTATAAAAGTATAAAGAAAGTATAAAGGGAGAGTTTTAGAAGTGAAAGTTTGCCATTTTCCCAAAGAAAGTAATGGGGTGAATGGTATGAATTAATTAATCATACAAGGTGAAATTTTCAAGATCTATGATCTGCATTGTTTTAACTCCCTAACAATGACTGACTGATCTCTATACACAATTATTGAACACTCTCTTAACTACCCCCTTTTAAATTTGGAATTCTTTGTATCTAGCATCATTCATTTGAATAATTCAATGGTATCTATATTATTTTTTTCATTACATTTAACATTTCTCTTTTGAGAAAATGGACATAATGACATACTACAGTTTTATGTTGAATGAGTCATAAGTAAAATGTCCATAGCGCTAAACTATGTCCCTTGACTCTAGCAGAGCTGTGAACCCACCTAACGTCTAATGGGAAAACATTTCAACCATTGTTCCAATTATAAGAGGTTTGTCAGTTCAGCTGACTTTTGTAATGTAGACATTCATCGTGCAAACCAACAGATTACTTGGACATATGAGAGATCTAACATATATTTACAATAATATAAATATAGATATAATAAATAATATATAGATTTGATATATTTATATATACATAAAATCTAAGAATCATTAGCTCGAACTGTCTTCTCAGTTTAAATTGAGGAAGAGGGCGGAATGCAGTGGTTCACACCTGTACTTGGGAGGCTAAGGCTGGCGGATCACCTGAGGTCAGGAATTCCAGACCAGCCTGGCCAACATGGTGAAACCCGGTCTCTACTAAAAATACAAAAATAAGCTGGGTGTGGAGGCGCATGCCTGTAATCCCAGCTACTTGGGAGGCTGAGACACAAGAATTGCTTTAACCTGGGAGGCAGAGGTTGCAGTGAGCCATGGTCATGCCACTGCACTCCAGCCCAGGCAACAGAGTGAGACCCTGTCTAAAAAAAAAAAAAAAAAAATTGAAGAAGAGATCATAACTAACATCTAATGACTAATCTAATGACTATTTATAAAATACTAGGCAGTGTGTTAGGTTTTATATATATATATATGTGTGTGTGTGTGTGTGTATATATATATATCCTTAAAGAATCCTAACATCGATGCTAAATAGGTATGATTATACTCATTTTACAATGGTAGGAATTAAAGCTCCCAAGATTAATTAACTCAAGGCTAGTAAACATAAAAAGAGTAATATAAACACAGATATATCAGAAACAAAAGCCAGTTTTTTTGTTCCATTACTACCATTGTATAAAGAGAAAACTGAGATCCAGAGAAATTAAACTAATTATCCAAAAAGACAAGCAGTATTGTCACTAGAATTTGAATAGATGTTTTTCTATTTGAATCTACTGTCTCCTGAAGGACCTAAAGTAGCTAGAAAAACATTCCACGCCAAACTTGTTGGGAATACCATAGCATACTTCAGAGTAAAGTAGATACTGTCCTACATAAATTATATAAAAATTTTGCACATTATTCTTAGTGTGTGATTTCTAAAAACAGCTGTAAGTTCTCTTAACTAAAGTATGAATAAACATATGTATTTCATAATTATAAAGTAAATGGAAAATATGGAAAATACTGCCAATATGTTCCTCAATATCTAGTATCATTTCTTCTCATCTGTACAAACTTATTCTTTTGAAATAATAGTATCTCTGGCTGTATTTAAATATGTATGTTTATAGTATGCAGTTAATTAAAGCTTTCTATGTCACTAGGCAGTGTTGGTTTTGAAGTTCATTTTTAAAGACCACTAAATGTGCATTCATAGAACAATCAATCCAATCAGTGATATTAATATTTCCTCTTCTATCTTGCCTATACTTATTTAAGTGATGAATTCAATTAAGTTAGTTAAATTCCTCTTTCCCAGCAAAACATTTTCTTGGAAAAGTGATCGATTTTTCCATATTTGCATAAACAATTCCCAAGTAAGAGCTTGTGATGATACATTGAATAGAAAATAAAATTTCAAAGAAATTTTGTTTTCTTTTTAATTATGCCAACAGATTACTATTACTTTATTAACTGTTTATGAAAATATGGTATTCTGTAAGAATGTACAATATAATCAGTTAAAAGCCAACATCTATCCTATAGCTTCTGCTGCTGGCAATGATAGAGTAATAGGTACCAGATTTACTACCCCATCCTACTCCACTCCCAAAACAACAACAACAACAAAAATGACAACATACGCACACACAAAAATATTTTAAGGTGATGAACATGAGACAACAAAGGATGGCAATTCCTGAGAAACGAGAAACAAATGAGGTGAACCTACAACTGCCTCAGTTTATTCTTACTGTTTTGAGAAAATTTCCCACAGTCAGGAAAAACAGATGAAGCCTGACAGACTGAATGGAGAAGGCACAGAGATGAGTGTCTGAAAAGACAAAAACAGCAAGCATTCACACAACACAGAATTAGGGAGAAGAAAGCGGCACAGATAATAGATTCCAGAGATCAGTAGATATTCTCCCTTAAGCACTCAGCTGACCCTTGATTAACATATGTATGTTAGGAAACTATTCAAGGCTGAGGAAAGAACCAATGGCAATGGTGCCTGGCCCTAACACAAATCCAGGAATTGTGCTTGAACTAACCTAGAAAACCTCAAGATTCCGAGAGCACTGGTTAGAGTCCTCACAAGGGTCTTGCCTCAGTGATGGGGAATAAGTCCTAGACTGAGCATTGCTCTGGTACTGCCTAACTTAAAAGCAAGACCCAAAAGGATCAAACTGTCTCCAAATATTCTAAAACAAAGCTCAAGAATATTTATGGAAATCCAAAATATCTGACAAAAAAGTAGAATTCATAATACTCTCAACCCAATAAAAATTATTAGAAATGCAAAGAAGCAAAAAAATATAATACACTAACATTTTAAACTCTTTCTCTGTTTCTCATGCATGTTATTTTAAAACGTGTAATTTTTTTTTTATTAGGAAAACCAGGCAATGAGAAATGAAATCTGCACTGCTTTTAGCACATTATGGGATTTTACTTAATGCTATACTTTCTGCTGTAGTAGCTCATTGATATAGTACAGTGCTCAAAGAAAAGTGCTATTGATATTTTTTAAGTATTTTCATTTGGAATCAAAATTAGGAAACCTGCAGTCTTACCACACTCCATAGTTAGGAAAAAAAACAATCCCAAACCTGCAGTCTTACCACACTCCATAGTTAGGAAAAAAAACAATCAGTTGTAACCGATCCAGAACGGACAGGATGTTAGATAGCACAGAAAGACAAGAAGAAGCACCTCAGTACCTGGAAAGACAAGTCACTCAGGGAACTGGGAGCCTTGAACGCGGAGAAAGGATTGGTGCAAAAAATAGAATGGCTGCAAAGTCTCTTAGAACCAACACCTCCTTCTTCACCACACAGAATTATGCAAATATCACTCCCTGACCTCACAGAGCACTGGAGGATGAAACAGACTAGCTGTAGATCAGAGTGGGCCAGGAAGGAAAGAAATTAGGAAGGGGAGTTGGCACTTCCGCTTATGTTAAAGTCTACCTACTGCAGGGGCTATGTTAAAGTCCACACATTGCAACTTAACGTATGAAGAATTCTTTTACAATTAAGCCTCTAGAAGATAGAACATTAGAGAATTCAAATCTAGAGGGACTGACCAAAGAGACTAAAAATATTGGCATTCGGGATTTGGATGGGAGGAGAGGGAGTAACAAGGAAATAATCAGCTACCCCCCATGTCACCCACAGTAAAATCCTCAGGCAACAAATCCTGTCGATTCATAAAGAGCTTCCAATTATTTTTTTGTATTAGAGTGAAATGAAATAGCATTCAATTAACATTTTTTAGAGTTTATTATAAAGACTTTATTTTTTAGACCACTTTTATGTTCACAGCAAAATGGAGAGGAAAGTACAGAGATTTTTCATATAATCCCTAGCTCTACACAAGTGTAGTTTCCCTCATTATCAGTATCCCTCTCCACGAAGGTACAGTTGTTATGACGGATGAGCCTACCTTGACACATCACAATCACCCAAAGCCCATAGTTTACATTAGGGTTCACTCGTGGTACTGCACAACGTATGGGTTTGGACAAAGGTACAATGACATGTTATCCATGTCATATAGATTATTTTCCTTTTTCCCCCATTTTGTATACACTATGCTTAGCAAAATAACGCAGGGACAGAAAACCAAATACAGCATGTCCTCACATAAAAGTGGGAGCTAAATGATGACAACAGATGGACACAAAGAAGGGAACAATAAACCCTGGGGCCTACTTGAGGATGGAGGGTCGGGGGAGAGACAGGATCAGAAAAAATAACCATTGAGTACTAGGCTTAGTACCTGCGTGATGAAATAATCTGTATGGCAAACTCCCATGACACAAGTTTACCTATGTGACAAACATGCACATGTACCCCTAAACCTAAAATAAAAGTGAAAAAAAAAGTAGAAATTCTTTTTTTTTGAGATGCAGTCTCACTTTGTCACCCAGGTTGGAGTGTAATGACACGATCTCGGCTCACTGCAACCTCCTCCTCCCGGGTTCAAGTGATTCTCCTGCCTCAGCCTCCCCATAGCTGAGATTACAAGCATGTGCCACCACACCTGGCTAATTTTTGTATTTATAGTAGAGAAGGGGTTTCAACATGTTGGCCAGGCTGGTCTGGAACTCCTGACCTCATGTGATCCACCCACCTCTCCCTCCAAAAGTGCGGCGATTATGAGCATGAGCCACCACACTCCTCCCAGTTAAATTTTTAAAAAGACCTACACTAAAGTACAGCATCATGAAATATCAGAAAAGTGGTGATACAGCTTTCATTGGTGATACAGCTTTCATTGGCTGGAAGCAAGTCTCATTCGAATGTTCATGGTCCTCTCAATAGAAACATGGAAAGATAAAAGAATGGAAAAATGGCTTCCACATTCTGACAGAAAATAATTTTCCAACCTAGAAATGTTTCCATTCATGTGGAAAGGTAGAATAAAAAGATTTTCAGACATGCACAAGCTCAAAACTTTTCCTCCTGAAACCATTTCTAGGGAAGCTTCTGGAAAATGTGCTTCACCAATACAAAAGAATAAACAAATCCAGCAAATAGGACACTCGAGTAAAGAAAGTGAAGAGCATTCCTAAGATAATGGATTTATTATGAATGGAAGTCCCAGCTCCAGAAATACTAAATGGAAGAAATAATAGAATGGAAGCCCCAGCTCAACAGAGAAAAAAGTGATAAACAATCCCACAGAAATGTGGGTACAGAATGAAGCTTGAAGATGGTTCAGTGGGAGGGGAGGGAGTTCCTGAGTAACTCCACAGAAGAGAACCACGGAGGATCTGAGAGTGTTTCTTTCCACAGCATAACCTGGACCTTCCCCACAGGTACACTGTCTGATGTGTTTGATTACCCTGAGAAAGGCTTTATAGTTCTACCACAGTGCTTGGTGAAACACTATCAATAGGTAACTAGAAAACTTAGCAGACAACAAAATGAAAATGTGTATATACTTAGAAACAAAGACAGTTGAATAAGAAAATGATAATCATAATACTCATTACTCAGTTCTGAGCAAAACTGAAATAGTCATATAATATGCATACATGGTATTGCTCTAAACAAAAATAATTACTGTATTGGAAGAATGGGGAGTGAGATGTGTGTTGTGATGGTATAGTTAGACTGCTAAATCCTTATATTTCATAGTAGGAAGTCAATGAATACTCCCTCAAATTGAGAAACTGTGAAACTGACTATAGAGAATAAAAGCAGGGAAAAACACTCAAAAGGCTTCAAAGTGTTTCTTTCTGAAAAGTACATCATGGAAAAGCTGACAAGGTGAAGGCAGGGGCCAGATGGTTTTTGTTATTGTTGTTTTACTTGTTCTTGTTTTCTTGTAAGCCTTCTAATAATAGCTGATTTTTGAGCTATGTACAATCATTATTTTGGCAAGAACATTTTTTAAAGAACAGGTAATTTCTTCTCAAGAAATCATCTTGACTATAGCTGCTACAGCTATTTACAAAACGTACAGTTTTTTTTTCAGAAAATTAAACATTGAAATATTAGTATATATGTGATATAGTCATTCTTTTAGCATTTTTACCTTTCTGTACCACATAGGCTTAGAATAAGATCACATAAATGCTAATCTGTGGCAAGAAAATATGGGTCAGATTGTAGTGTTTCGCTTTTTTTATTGTCATAGAAAAATTATTCTTACATGATACTTGAGGAGTAGGAAATATTTATTCTTAGAAGTTAATTTTGTAACCTCCAAATTCCATATGCCTATAAATATCTAGATCTGGACCAGTTTAGTAAAAAAAGTTCTATTTTTATATATGTGAAATACACATGTATATTCCAAACTAAGCAAAAATAAAACATTAAATTTAATAAAGGGTTTTACTTGCTCTTTACTGAAAATGAATGCCACCGGGTGAATATTGCCCCATTTTTTTCTGTCCCTTATTCCCTGAGGCTATTCCAAAATTTCAATATAATGAAGTTAACACAATACAAAGTCCTCTCAGTGGCCGACTCACTCTAGAGACATTCCACAAGTATCCTAAGGAGATGGGGGAAAGATGGAGGGGAAACTGTTATTAGTAAGAACATATTTTCTTTCATTTATTTATAAAAACTTTCCAAAAAGAGAAAGAAATCCCACTCAAGCATAAATTAACTTCAGTTCATTTTAAAAGTATTTACTAAAAGCTGTCATAAAAATATATCAAATTCACTTTCTTCCATTACTTATGTTTTGAAAACTAAGTCTTTCATTTTGTTGTTCTCCTATTTAAATTATAGTAGATGTGTACAACATGAATAGACAGATGACAGCTGGATAATAGGCATCACAAATGCCTCTATGTTCACATTTCAGGAAAATTATGTCTTTCATAAGAAAATTCTGTGGGAGAACCAATAATACTGCCAGTTCTTCAGGTAGACTTTAAAAAGTCTTATCATATATTTCAAAACCAACATGTATGTATTTAATATTTACTTATCAACTTCTCTCCATATGCCAGTACAACGCCAACTTTTTTAGGAAAATCAACAAAGACCCTCATCTCCACCTTCCCTTCCTACATCTTAGTATCCCCTTCCAGCAAGCCTAATGGCCAAGAAAAACAGGGTTCAAGTTCCTGGCTCTGCCATTTTCTAGCTTTGTAATCACCAACGGATTACTTAACTTCTCTATGCCTGTTTCTTCAGCTGTACAATGGGGATAATATTATGCTTTCTCGTTGGGCATGTAAAGTACTTGGAAGAATGCTAGTAAAAAGTAATGTTATATGCATGTTCTCTTAAGGAGCTAAAGATCCATGAATAGATTTCAACTTGACATGCGCAAAAAATGCAATGTCTAATTTGAGCACCTTTGGTATTTTTGATGAATACCGAAGGTGTTCAAATTAGGCACTGCAATTTTATGCAAGCAGGGAAGATAAACTTGCAGAAGTGGAGCTGAGATTTTTAGAAGTTTGGAAGGGTTGGTTAGAATGATAGAGGGCAAGTTTTGTAGCTGCCTTATAAGGTCAAGTTCCCAATTTCTTCAGTCCTGGCCACTACCTTAGTGCCTCCACAAACACCCAAGATACAGCAGCATTGACAGCATTGACTAGGCTTGGTTCAAACACTGAGTCCTTTGAATTATTCTCTCACCACCAATTCATTTACATTTCAGTGATGCATCAGGCAAGGATACAGATGAACCATGTCACCTGCTTCAGCTTGTCCAAACTAAATAAAGTAGAACAAATAGAGTACAATAAAGGTTTGAAAAGCATAAAATACAGAAGATAATACAGATTGCATAGGATTATAAAATATAATTATACAGGATTATAAAATATAATTATACAGGATTATAAAATACAGAGATTTGCATAGCGAAAAAGCCTTCCTAAAATGCTGAGATAAAGATTATGTAAGTGATAACTGGTCAAAAAATAGGTGAATATCATGTGACATGTAGAGGTGGAGTGGGATGTCTTCAGAGGTTGTTATTCATTCCAGAGAGAGGAATTGTCCAATGGCAGCCAGAAGGAAGACCTGAGGCAGAAAAATTAAAACACCTCTCAAGAGTTCAGATGAGAAAGGCAGGCACATTAATTAGAAGCGTAATAATTAAAATGGACTCATGAGGACAACAATTTGAGCCATCTATGAATTGAATCAATGAGATCTGTAATGAACCAAGCTTTAAAAAGAATTTAATAATCCAGCCTTGGGTGGCTGGTTGCATGTTGGTACCATATTTAAACACAAAAAATACCAGAGGGTAAATAGTTTCAAAGAGATGACAAAATTAATTTTGGACACTGTGGATTGAAATGTCTGCTGAACATGAAAAGACACCCAGTGGAAAGCAGTCTATATAG
The DNA here is from genome assembly GCF_000001405.40 of Homo sapiens. Taxonomy (NCBI): domain Eukaryota; kingdom Metazoa; phylum Chordata; class Mammalia; order Primates; family Hominidae; genus Homo; species Homo sapiens. The sequence continues at coordinate 433,105 of NW_025791754.1, forward strand.
TTTTAGAGCTCTGCACAGAGAAGTAAGACAAATATCATGATTTGGAAATCATCAACATATAATTACATTTATTGAAGTTTAAACAAAGCAAACTAGAAATGAAAAGAGCAAAGAACCAAGGAAGAATCCTTGATAAAACATAATTTTTAGTGCTAAATAAAAGAAGGGAAGACTGTAAAGGAGAACTAGGATAAGATGAGTAGGACATAAAACAAAGAAGAATGATATCATAGAAATCAAGAGAAGGAAGTTTCAAGAAAGAGGAGGAGAATCAGAAAAAAAAAATTGTTCATTGGACCTGGCATGAAAAAGATCATCAGAAATTTTAAGAGAAACGTAAGTAGAGCCATAGGGCAGAAGAAAGAATGCACAAGATAGAAGAGTAAATAAGAGCCAGGAAAGAAAAGTTCAGGTTAAAAATGGGTGGAAAGCATGGAAATATATAGGGTACTGAAGGTCTTGATGATATGTAAAAATGAATCAGTTTGGTGTTAGTAAGGAAGTGTGAACACTGAAAGGACAAGTTAGAGTTACATGGTGGGATGTTGCCACATAAGTTTCCAGAAGTAGAGCAATCTTGGTCATACTCAGGTCCAGCCTAACAAGAGGGTGCCAGGCAGAATTGGATATAAAAGTCACCAAACTAAAGGAACTATAAAGGCAGGGTCTGGAACAGGGTATTACCTGGGCAAAGAATGCGAAAACAATGATACTAGCATCTGGAATTAAGATAAAATAAAATAAAATAAAATAAAATAAAATAAAAAGAATAGAAGCTCCCGCCCAAACCCTCCATAATTGTGGAGGAATCACCAAAGGTTGACAAAACACAGTGACAAGAAAAAAGCAAAGGCTGTAATAAATAACATACGCCTCAAATAAGGGGAAATGTAATGGTGTATAATTTGTAAGAAGAGGGGTAACACATTTCCAAACCTGTGATATATGGGGAGCAGTATGAAAATGAGCAGCTTTTATTAAAAAGATTCTAATGTTACAGTTTGTTTCCTATTCAAATTAACAAATGGATGAACTCTCCTTGAAAAAACTGAAGGTGCTGGAAAATTTATTTGTAAGGGTGCACGTATTCCAAGAGGCTTAGAAGAAAAGATTAGCAGAGAGGGGCATGCCTGGACCATTAAATCAACAGAGTATGAGGATGAGACAGAAAGAGTACAGATGAATGAACATATTCTCAGAAAAGTATATTGTCAAACATTGTAGTAACTAGAAATAATGTTGTCAAGAGAAAATTCCTGTCAACTTTTATATCAGATTTTATTTTAATAGTAAATATATAAGCTTTGCTAGAAAAAGAACCTTGGGACTCAGGAGGAAGTTAATTAGCTTGAAGATTCCAAATGGAATTTGGGTTAAATTTTACCCAAGTACAAATATGATTCATGATTTATCACCCAGTCTAATATTCAGGAGACTTTGCCCAGGGTTCCAAACAAAACATTTTGTTTGTTTGTTTGGGGGTGGGGTTTGCAAAGATGAACTCCGAATGGAGAGGGTGCTTCCAGTAGGCGTGGGTCCCATGAAAAAGAGTCAGCACACATGTGTTCTGCTCAGAACAAGGACCATTCACAGGCAGAAGAGGCTTATCATTCAGTATTTGCCAAGCATTTATTATTTTCAAGTATGAGTACAATACGATGTAGAAGAGACTTGGAGTCTAGTTGGAGAAACTGCAGATATTTAAAAAATGACAACTCAAGGGAGTAGTTATAAAAATGAAATAATAAGCGCAAAAACTGAGACTAGGAAGAAAGCTCAGTAGTGAGGAAGAGGCAAAAGGAAGATCAGAAAATTAAAAACTAGCTATAACCTTAAGATACTATGCAATCCTGTTCTGTGTCAAACACTTTACACAAATTATCTCTTCAAAGAGAGGATGGGACTTGACTTACACATCAAGTAACTGGTAGTGAGTAAATAAACTGTGAAGAGAGGAAAAGAAACGTTTCCTCTAAAGGTTTTCTACACATATATTTAATTTATATTTTGATTATTGGACCACACATATTTATCTAAACAATTAATACTAATGAATTCTCTTTGTCATTCCACTCAGTCGATAATTCAATTGCCCAAATAAATGGAATGGATGGGTCAATTTAGTGGAAATAACTGAGCTATTTATTACAGCCAAGAGGAAGCTAACTAATTAAAAAAAAACATTATAGAGATCACAAAACGAATTTGATGACTCACAAATAACAGAGCAAGAAAGAGAATGGGATTATTTTAGAGTATTTTTTTCTTGTAATCAAAAAAGAAAAGGACATTCACTCACTCATCCATTAGGTTTGTCAGTGTAATTCCTTGGACATAGTCTTAGCAATTCATAGACTGAAAATGGAATAGCTCATCTAGAAGTACAGGATTTAAAACTTTAGATACACTCATACTTTCAAGTACTTTAGTTTTTATAGCCCATCAGTTACATTTTATAGAGGCAATAAACATAAATGAAACTTTTTTTATTAAATGCACATAAATCTCAACTCTATTGAACTCTTAATTATATAATTAGCAGGCCAAGCATGATGACTCATGTCTATAATCCCAGAACTTTGGGAGGCCAAAGTGGCAGATATCTTGAGCTCCTTGAACTCAGGAGTTTGAGACCAGCCTGCGCAACATGGCAAAACCCCATCTCTATTTAAAAAAATACAAAAAATTATCCAGGCGTAGTGGCAAGTGCCTGTGGTCCCAGCTACTTGGGAGGCTGAGACAGGAGGATCACTTCAGCCCCAGTGGCACAGATTGCATTGAGCTGAGATTCTGCTGCTACACTCCAACCTGGGTAATAGAGTGAGACTCTGTTTCAAAATAAGGAAATTAATTAATTAATATGCATATAATTAGCAGATTAATCAAGCCCTTCACTTCTTTTCTTGCTGCTAAATTCCCCATTTTGTTGTTTTATTTAAAAATCTCATGGGGTTTTTAAACTCTTGATTTAAAGTTTTAAAACTATCAGTAATATTATTAAGAATTCAATCATTTTGGGGAAAATTTGTTTGACACTAGTCAATTGATAATCTAGACATCTCCTGCTGCTAGAATAATAAGAATTCTTACCTGTATTATTATTCGTTTCTGTTATCATTAATAAGAGTACCTGATTTATCATTGAGTCACTTTCTTACTCTGCTATTGGAAAACCCAATATCAAACCACATTTTCTACTATGAAACATGAGTTTTCAGGAAGACAAGTAGAAAGAAATAGTCAGAGGCAAATAATTTAGAGGCTACTAACATTAAAATCAAGAGGATTAAAAAAAAAACAACAACAACTGTAAGTAGTACAATTTACAATCTCTTCCACCATATCTTACCATTACAAACTATATATTCTTCGTGTTCCTCCCCTGAGCTCTTATTTTATTGATAAAATGTGTCCACATTGAATAATAATCACAATATTTAATAAGTGCTAATAGGAGAACAGAACTCTTGCTTTCCACAAGTATGAGAGAAAAAATATTTGACGTGAAGCTTGACTCTCTAAAACTCAATTAGCATAATATCATTCAAATGGACTGAGTTTATGAAACATGAAGAGCAATAAACTTCTGCTGTGATGATTCTACTTTCCTCAAAGCAACTTACTGAAATATAGAAAATATTCGAATCATGGAAAAAATTTGAATAAAATTTTAACAAGAACTGGCACTTTATACACTTAATGTGTTTTCAAAAATATTTTTTCCAAATCCTAAAAAATCGAATAACAACATATTGATGACTTCTAAAGACTAAGAAGGTATCATTTAGCAGTAATTATTACCTAGCACTGAGCTAAGGAATTTTCATAAATTATCTATTACCTACCAACAGCAGTAAAATTATTATCTTCATTTTGCAGATGAGAGCACTGACAACTAGAGAGATTACATAATTGCCCAAGACCATACAGTTACTAAACGCTGGAAGAGGGACCAAACTCATCAGAAAGAGTTGGTTAAGATTTTATACCCTCAACAGCTCTAATATAGTGACATTAAAGAAGCATATGACTTTTACCTTATATTATTTAATTGCTACCATAATAATCATACCAGAATTCACAAGATATTATCATTTATTAACATTCCATATAATTATTCAGATAGCTGTGTATCATGTCTTAATTTCAGAGTCCTGATTTAGATATAAGGCTATAAGATTTAGCTTTGTAGGCTTTGATTACAATAATCTATAGACATATTTTTATGTAAGTACTCAATAGAAAAAAAATTACTTTCCATTTAAACTTAAATCTTCTGTTTTAATGAAAAGAAGTATCAAAAATAACCCATAGAGTATGTAACCCAAACTCTTTGATATTTGCTTTTAGAATTAAATTGACTATGCAATGGCATGGGTAGGGGTAACATGATGAAAAGTAAAATAAAAGTCCACTGCAAAATTAAGACAGTTCAAATTATCCTGCTTATATACTGACATGCTCCACTGCTCCCAAATATCTAATTAATTTGAGAGAAAAATTCATTCATCTTTTCAAAAATGGTAGCACTTGCTGGCTCAATGCCTGCCTGGTTCTTGCCTTGATAAGATAGTGTGGAAAAATTACAATAATCATAATCAATACTTTGAAAAACCTTTTCTATCAGCTGAGGCAAAGAAAGGGGCAAATTCTCTTTTATTGTTAACCTGAACTGCTATTTCAAGACGGAGTGGCTTTTGAATATCTTAAATCTTGCAGTTCAACTTCTGCAGGTTATTTGAACATGGTATTAGTAGCATTGGCAGTACCTAAACATTTGACTTGTAATATCTGACTGAAAAGTGATATTCTGTAGCACTGAATGTGAATTAAATAGATGGGAAAAAAAAACAGGAAAACAAACATTTAAAGCAAAAGCTGTTGCCCTAATGCCCCAGGTGCAGTACACAACAAATGTGATGATTTACTTAAAATAATGAAAACATGAATATTATCTATTTTTATCATTAGCTTCTCCAAGAAGGCAATGTCAAAGTGTGATTTATTAATCTGTTTCCTTTACTTTCCTTACTAACACATAGCAAAACAAAGATTTTATTAGCAAAACAAAAACTGTACTGTCTTATTGCAAACATTCTGTTGAGATTTTTAAAAAGCAGTCACTTTTATTGTTATTCTTAATACATAAGCTGTGTAAATGTCCTTGTTTGCCTTTGTTTTCCCAATGACACAAATCTACAATGATATAATAGTATACCCAGAAAGTAAAAAGGATTAACATAGTGTTTTCTAATCAGTCATGTTAGAAACTTATATTTTACAATGATTTATAGAAGTTGTATAGTTATGGGCAGCAATTAATTTTTACCAAGGAACAATAATACATAGACTACTAACTGTGTATAGGAACGAAATCTTATTTCTAGGGTATGATATGGAAGTATGCATTAAACACCATGAAATATAAATACTCATACTCTTATTCCTCAACAGGGTAATTTCATTTATTTTAGTAAATGAAAGAATTTATTTAGTAAATGAAGAATTTATTTTAATAAAATCATCAGTGAATCCCCCAAAAAGCCTATAAGTATTTAAAGACAAGAATGTAAAATATCAACATCAAAGCAACCTAAATATCTAACAACACCTAATTAAATAAACACGATATATTCATATTATAGAATATTATACTATCAAAAGTAATCTTGTTTTGGAATCTACTTAGAAATACATGTCACAAAACAATGGATTTAAGTAGGTTTACGTAACAATATGTTAAGTGAAAACATCAGTTTGTACAACAATATCTTCTATTGTATAACTCCACTTGTGTAAACATAATCCTTAAAGTCACTATATATATAAAAAAAAGTGTGTGTGTGTGTGCACACGTGAATAGTCAAAGTATTTTACATGTTCTTCTTTTAAAAATTCTATACATTAAAATGTACCAACTTTACATTTTTTAATGTTCTTGAAAGAATTTAACGTAGTATTTGTAGTCTAGAGGTGTTGGCATTAAATGTCAAAAATATATTTTTAAGATAAAATAATAAAATTATTTGAATAGTTTATTAGCAAATAAATTTTCTAAGTTTAAGCATAACATTTTTCCTCATGTTTCCATTCTGAAACCGTCTCTCTTTGGGGAGTTTACCAAACCAAAAACCAATCCCTCTGAGGCCAGCCCCTTCATAATCAATCTAATGAATTTCTCCCTTTCTTATAAAAGTATACAACATGAGTATGTGTATTTGTGACATTTATTCATTAACTCTGATTATATGTGACTACTGTTCCACATTCTTGATATTCTTGGCTCTCTGTAGGTGTTTTGAATATACTGAATCGTCCCTTTCATTCAGCCAGTTTTTGAACCTACAGTCTATCATACTCATCCCATTTCATTAAAAGAGTTTTTTAATTTATGCATACAGATTTCTAAATCAATTTTTACTAAGCATTACCTACAGTGTACTCCTAAACCTTCTAAATGCTACTTTTTAAACAAAGTGACTCTGACTTTCCTCTTGCTTTTTTCATTCCAACACCAGAGAACACATTTTTGTAGCCATTGTTGTTTTAAAAATAGTGTGTAGAGTACAATATACATTATACAGGTTTTAGCTACACTAAAAGCCACAACTTTACCACTACGTAGTGTATCCCCGTAACAAAACTGCACTTGTATCCCTTAAATTTATACAAATAAAAAAAATGCAAAGTAAACACACTGTGACCCTCTAGTCTTTGGGAAATCACCAAAATGTTAAAGCAGACATTGAAAGGAATAAAGCCAAGTATACTGCTACTTGCCAATCTTTACTTTTCCCACACTTTTGACCGAGTATAGCTGTTCTTCACACAAGGCATTTAAAATATGCCAAATGAGCAAAAATACAAAAGGCTGAGGGTAAAAAGAACTGTATAGAAATCCCACATCTGCCACAGGTGATCAGCAGATGCCAGCTACTGACAGATAATATTTGTTAACAAGCAGGACAGATTCTAATTATGAGATGGCTTGTTATAAGAAAGAGAAATAGTGTAATGGTCACTGCAATGGAGGACGGGTTTCAGGTGACAGCCCCAAGCCCGCACTCCTCCTCCAGAGCCTTGCTTTCCTGCTTCCTCCCAGACCCTGGCACTAGCCTCATTCCTTTCTTCACTGCCCTTCCAGATAATGTAGGACATGCTCCTCCAGGTGAAAATGACTTTTTGGTGAGGAGGTTGGGGTGGGCAAGGGCTCCATCACTCACAAAATCCTAAAGGTTGATCTACTTTAAAATTTTAAGTAAAACAAAGCTCCTGTTTCTAAATTGTTATTTTCACGTTACTTGGCAGTAAAATCGAGTTCACCTCAACCACATTTTATAGGTGTATTCTCTTCCTTACTGATATGGTTGAGATGTTACACCACCTCCAAATCCCATGTTGAAAAGAGATCTCAGGCCGAGTGCAGTGGCTCATGCCTGTAATCCCAGTACTTTGGGAGGAGGAGGTGGGTGGATCACTTGAGGCCAGGAGTTCAAGACCTGCCTGGGCAACATGGTGAAACCCTGTCTCTACAAAAAGATACAAAAATTAGCCAGGTATAGTGGCATGCACCTGTACTCCCAGCTACTCGAGAGGCTGAGGCATGAGAATCACACAAACACACAAAAAAAGAGAGATAGAGAATGATCCCCAATGTTGGAGGTGGGGCTAATGGGAGGTGTTTGGGTCATGAGGGCGGATCCTTCATGAATGATGTGATGCAGTCCTCACTGCAATGAGTGAGTTCTCACTCTGAGTTCACAAGAGAGTTGGTTGTTTAAAGAAGCCTGGCACCTCCTTTCTCTCTTGCTCCCTCTCTTGCCATGTGACATTCGAGCTCCCCTCTTACAACTTCCACAATAAGTGGAAGCTTCCTGAGGCCCTCCCCAGAAAAAGGATGCTGGTACCATGCTTGCACAGCCTGAAGAACTGTGAGCCAAAATTAATCTCTTTATAAATCACCCAGCCTGAGGTATTCCTTTAGAGCAATGCAAACAGACTAACACACTTGTCATATACCACCCCCGCACCAAAAATACCAAGACTTCCTCAACACCTATATGATGAAATGATGGCTTTGTTAAAAGAAGTTTTGCATTCTGAAGACTCATTAATCAACATACTACAGGGCAATGTGGACTGACCTACAATATTCCAAGAATGCAAATCTCCAATGCTCTCATAGTACAATCCTTTGTACCAAATTCTAACTTATATAATAGTTAATTTGTATGTCTTATCTCTCCAGCACAATATAAGGGTCAAGGATACTGTAAGTGTGGGATGATATCCTTCAAGTACTTCTTATGCATTATCCCACATCATAAGGTAGCAAGATTAAGTTAAATTTGAACATAATTTGGGATGCACAGAGGAGCTGACCCTGGCTTCATTATAAAAGTTTACTAGAATGAGATATTACATGAAATATGTTGTAGGAAAAATGGAATCAGTAAGTCAGAGCAACTCGATAATAAAAATTTTAATTAGTGTTTATAGGCATGCATTTAATTATATGTTTCTGTAAGTACTAGAATTTCTTTCCTATCTTCCATGTGGTAGCAAAGCTTCAAGTGTAAAGAGATGTATTACAAGCTTCTTTCTGGCACTACAAAGAAGAGGGAAGTAAATCAAAAGTGCTCTTCACACCTATGTTTGTTGCGGCACAAGATTTGGAAGCAACCCATTTCCATCAACCGATGAATGGATAAAGAAAATGTGGTACATATACACAATGGTGTACTATTCAGCCATAAAAAAAAATGAGATTCTGTCATTTGCAATAACATGGATGGAACTGGAGGTCATTATGTTAAATAAAATAAGTCAGAAATGACATCTTTTCACTTATTTGTGGGATCTAAAAATCAAAACAACTGAAGTCATGGAGACAGAAAGTAGAAGAATGTTTAATAGAGGCTGGGAGGATAGTGTGGGGGTGTTGGGAGAGGAGGTGGGGATGGTTAATGGGTACCAAAGATAAAAAAGATATATATATATAATCTTATTCATTCTAACTGTATATTTATATATTTATATTTATAGCACATATATTAATATATAACTTTCTAACTATATATAAATATATTAATATATAACTTTCTAACTATATATAAATATATAAATGTATTTATATAGTTATAGTTTTATATAGTTAGAAAGTTATATATTAATATATGTGCTATCAAATGCTTCCTAACCATATATATAGTTAGAAATACATATATATGTCTATAGACATACATATATGTATCTGATTATATATGTATGTATATACACATATATAAATATATATATACATATATATATATAGTCAGAAAGAATGAATAAGACCTAGTATTTGATAACACAAGAGGGAGTCTATAGTCAATAATAATTTAAATGTACTTTTACTTTTATGTATTTTAATTTTTTATTTCTATAAAATAAAAAATAATTTCTATTAAATTTAATAAAAATTACTTTTAAGAAAATTTAATAAATTAATTTAATAAAATAATTTTTTATTTCCATAAAATGTGGGGGGAACAGGTAGTATTTGGTTACATGAGGAAGTTCTTTAGTGGTGATTTGTAAGATTTTGGTGCACCCATCACCCAAGTAGTATACACTGAACACAATTTGTAGTCTTTTATCCCTTACCCCCTCCCACCCTTTCCTGCCGAGTCCCCAAAGTCCATCTATCATTCTTATGCCTTTGCATCCTCATAGCTTAGCTTCCACTTATGAGTGAGAACATATGATGTTTCGTTTTCCATTCCTGAGTTACTTCACTTAGAATAATATTCTCTAATTCCATCCAGGTTGCTGCAAATGCCATTAATTCATTCCTTTTTATGGCTGAGTAGTATTCCATCATATATATAATATATATATATATATATACACACACACACACACACACACACACACACACACACACATATATATGTGTATATATGTATTTTTTTATTTTTTTCTTTATCCACTCATTGATTGAAGGGCATTTGGGCTGATTCCAAATTTTTTCAATTGTGAATTGTGCTGCTATGAACATGCATGTGCAAGTATCTTTTTGTATAATGACTTCTCTTCCTCTGGGTAGATACCCAGTAGTGGGATTGGTTTCGAAAATAACTAAAAGAGTATAATCGGATTTTTTGTAACAGAAAGGATAAATGCTTGGGGGGATGGATATCCCATTTTCCATGATGTGATTATTACACGTTGCATGCCTGTATCCAAACATCTCATGTACCCCAAAAATATATACACCTACCATGTACCCACAAAAATTAAAAATTTAAAAAACTGGTCACTCCATGTAACAAAAAAGAAACCCTACAAAAGATATGACTTTCTACACATTTAATAACAGGAATGTACATATTTTTGAATAGCGTACCTTCTATTCGAATACTTAGAACACGTTGTTTAGATAATGGTCACAGATGTATTTCACATACTTTTTATTCTTCAAGAAAATCATTCTTTATTCATACTAACACTGCAAAACTAAACAGACCCTAAACTATTATAAGCACTGTTTCTCAATAAGGAAAAGAAAAAGATTTTTACAGAAGACCAACACACACACACACATACACACACACAAGAATTCAATACCATTCATCTCAATTCTGTATAACTACCACTACCTATGTGAGTATGAGATGGAGTTGATCATTTACAACACCTCCACATGTCCCTTGGACAATGGCACTGCTGGCTGTCAAGCAGATTGATGGTTTTCACTGAGCAGTTCCCTGTGTAAATTTCAGAATTCACTTTAACAGTCATTTGAACTGTCACAGTATGAATTATGGACTGAAGCACATTCTGCTTTGCTATTTCCACAGAAAAGCTCCTTGTGAATATTAAATTAGATGTAGAAAAGACATTTTCAAGTCAAATACCTTAAACTACAATGCCTAGGCTTAGAATGAACATTAAAAACTATTTTGTTTCTAAGGGGGATCAGAATTTTAATTCAAATGACTCATTTTTATTATAATAATGTACACATATATATGTGGTGGCCTATATATTCATAGCTGTGACATATTTCTTTTTCTTTTGGTAATATCTTATTTATACTACAGGACTAAAATTCTTGGAGCCTTTGTATGGACTACTTGCGTTAAATAATGTAGGAGGATCCAAAACGAATTAAAGACATGGCTTTACCTCTAGAAAGTTATGTTATACCTTCAAAAATATAAGCATAATTATAAAACAAAATAATGGCATGTAGAATATATGGAGTAATCAGAGTGATTTCAAAATGTCATTAATAACTCTGGCACTGCATCCAATTTAGAGTCTGGTAATGAAAAAGGGGGTGACATGATACCAGACAGCCTCAGATCATGGTATGACACAAGCAAAGGCACTAAAGCAGACATCAGCTTGTGAAAAGAGGGATGATTTCTGTGAATAAATACACAGATCAAATTTCAAAAAGCATTTTAGGAAGAAAAGCCAATTAATAAAGAGCTTTGAATGTTGAGTCAGCAGTTTATATTTCAAATAATAGCATTAACGGCATACCATAGGTTTTTAAATGGGAATATGATATGGTAAAATCATGTTTAAGAAGACTATGATGAAAATGCATAGGTTGACTGAGGCTCGAGTTAAGCATTGAAGATTATTGGAGATAGGGTGCATAAAACAGACCTGGAATAATGAGCTATGCTGGCAAGTGCTGTAGTAATTTAAATAAGATAGGATGAAACTGTACCAAGAAAGAATAGGTGGAGCTCAATACCTAATTGAGGAGGGAATTTGAAAAAAATAGTACAAATCTACTGTAAGTTTTTGAAATGGAGAATTGAAATAATTATATTGATATTAATGAATTAATTGATATTAATGAATTAATGATATTAATTCACTATAATTGAAATAATTATAGTGATAATAATGGTGATAGACAAATTAAAAAGCTGTGCACTAGCTTGAGGTTATTCATATGATATGAATTACTTAGCAACCAGAAGTTGGCTACAATAGTCATGTGCTTTATATATATCTCTATCTATGTGCATATAAACAGTCATCCCTTGGTATCTAGAGGGGGCTGGTTCCAGGACCCCTGGGGATACTAAAATCCACAAATGCTCAAGTCTCTGATATAAATGACATAACGTTTGCACATAACTTAATCATACCCTCCCATCAAGTATAAATCTAGATTACTTATAATAACTAGTACAATGTAAATGCTACGTAAATAATTGTAATACTGTACTGGGTTTTCATTTTTATTTTTTGTAGTAGGCTTTTAATTCTTATTTTTATTTCAATAGTTTTTGGGGCACAGGTGGTTTTTGGTTATGTGGATAAGTGTTTTAGTGGTGATTTCTGAGACTTTAGTACACCTATCACCTGAGCAGTGCACACTGTACACAATATATAGTCTTTTAACCCTCACCCTTCCTCCCGACCTTCCCCACAAGTCTCCAAAGTCCATTATATCACTCGTAGGCCTTTGCATCCTCATAGATTAGCTTCCACTTACAAGTGAGAACACATGATGTTTGGTTTTCCATTCCTGAGTTACTTCACTTAGAATAATGGCCTCCAGCTCCATCCAAGTTGCTCCAAAAGACATTATTTTGTTCCTTGTTATGGCTGAGTTGTATTCCATGATGTATATATATATATATATCACATTTTCTTTATCCAGTTGTTGGTTGATGGGCACTTAGGTCAGTTCCATATATTTGCAATTACAAGTAATGCTGCTATAAATATGCATGTGCATGTGTCATTTTCACACACATAGTGACTTCTTTTCCTTTGAGTAGGTACCCAGTATGGGATTGCTAGATCAAATGGTAGTACAACTTTTAGTTTTTCAAGGAATCTCCACACTGTTTTCCACAGTGGTTGTACTAATTTACATTCCCACCAGCAATGTAAATGTGTTCCCTTTTCACCACATCCAAGCCAACATTTATTGTTTTTTGACTTCATAATCATGGCCATTCTTGTGGGAGTGAGGTGGTATCACATTGTGGTTTTAATTTGCATTTCCCTGATAATTAGTGATGTTAAGCATTTTTTCATGTTTGCTGGCTATTTGTGCATCTTGTTTTGAGACTTGTCTATTCATGTCCTTTGCCCACTTTTTGATGGGATTATTTGTTTTTTAAAAATAATTTCCCTCCATGATTGGTTAAATCCACAGAAGCAAAACCCATGGATATGAGAAGGCTGGCTGTATATGGCTATATTAATAACCAAATTCAGGATTCTTACAAAGTCTTTATTTTTCAATTATTTATTTTGTTTGTTTGAGACAGGGTCTCGTGCTGGCATGCAATCATGTGATCACGTTTCACCGCAGCCTCGACCTCCCAAGCTGAAGCGATCCTCCTACCTCAGCCTCCCGAGTAGCTAGGATTACAGCACACACCAACACACCTGGCTAATTTTTTGTACTTTTTGTAGTGATGGAGTTTTGCCATTTTTCCCAGGCTGATCTAGAACCTGGGCTCAAGCAATCTGCCTGCCTTGGCTTCCCAGAGTGCTGGGATTATAGACATGAGCCACCCACCCAGCCCTTACAAAGTCTTAATAGAACATTAAATTGTATATTTACTTTGGGCACTTGTGGAAAAAGAAAATAAATTAGTTAGTCCAATATAGGTGAAGAGGAGAGAGTAAACATAATTCAGGTTTGTGTTTTGGTTAGAATCCTAGTATGTTCTCCATCAAAGGACAGCCATTCTATTATAGTATCTATTGACTACATTTACATATCAGGTTCTCAACAAAGAATGTAACTTCAATCTCTTCGCATCCTTTATTATTAATCAAAGCCACCTACACTAAAAAAAAAAAGGTTTTTAAGGAAGATTACATGAAAGACTGAGCAGTGTACACTGTACACAATATAATATATCAATAATATAATCAATCTGTAACCTCACGTACTTTTTTTTTTTTTCCTATAGGATATACCTGAAATACAGTACTGGGTGTGTCCTGTAGATCTACTTTAAGAGAACAATTCTCTATAGTTATATCAGCACCAGGGAGTGAGAATGTTATGAGTCTTATGAAACTTGCTATTTTATGATAGGAGAGTGGATAAGAATACTGTACACTAATCAAAGATCCACAGGATAAATTTCCTTTAAATTTGAGCCCCAAGGAAAGCTGTGTTTCTTCTGAACTACCAGTTCATTTCTCATCTTATGCAACTGATCATGCCCTTATCTTTGCTCTGGCTAACCTCGCAACCCATCTCCAGTAAATACATACAAATTTGTGGAAGTCATACTATGTACCTACATACTCCTAACTTGGTTTTTTCCTTATTATCTTTTCATTCTGTTGTACTTTCTGTTTACTCTATGCTATTGCATGAATTTCTGTGAACCACTGCAAATCTTTAGAATAGGCAAAACATACTAATAAGTAGGTGTAAGTGTTAAGCCCTAAATCAAGTAACTTCACTTTATGATATGTAAATTTCATAACATCCCTGCATAGTGTTTTCATTATCCCAGTACAGTGTTGAGAAAAAAATCAATTTCACTCTAGTACAAATACTTCAGGAGATAGAAGCATAAATAGGAAATCTTAAAGTCTTACTGAGAAAAATATTAAAAAATAAAACACATAGCTATAAAAAATAGTAATAATTGTGGATTAACTAAAGTAGCAAATAAATGGATGACCCTGTCCAAAGCATTCAAAATGGACATTTTAAAACGTCTTAGTAAGTTAACTATTTGATCTTACATGATGTCTTTTTGATTGATATATGCTCATGATTCATTTATTATTCACTTGCTTTTTCATATTATCCATTGTGCTGTTTTTATTTTGTTCCTGGGATACTGTTTTCATTTTGTTTCTGGGATACTAACTACCTTTACCCTATTTCAGTCAATCAATCAATAATAATCTATACCCCCATACACACACAAATAAAACCATTGCCTTAGTTTGTTTTGCTGATTTTCCATGTCATTCTACTTTCTCCAGACTATCAAAAGAACCATGCTCTACATCTAGAGGCAAAAGAGGTTTTTCTTTCAGAAAGTATGACCAACTTCAAAAATTCCTTAACACTTATTTTAATCAAGTCACTATAACACTGGCCTATGGGGATGCAAGAGCTGTATGACTTTTCTGTCTTCAAAAGCCTTTAAATTTGTTTGAATTTTGTTCTTCCTATTATTTAAATAGCATTAAATCACATTTGTGTATGTTGTAAACATAGTGAATAGGCATAATAATTAGATTCTAGTTACCTCTTACAGGTCATGTGACTTTGAACAAGTGATATATTTCTGTAACTTGGTTGATTCATTTGTAAAATGGGAAAAATAACAGAATTTCTCAGAATTGGTATAAAGATTAAATAAAGTAATACGTAATACATGTAACATGCTTAGAAAAATGTTTGACACATGCTAAGTAGTTGGTAAATGTTCTCTGATGCTGTGATAAATACTATATTCAATATTATCATACATTTTCACCTTATCTTCTGCATTTTTATTGGAAATGGATGAAATAGCACATAAACTCTTTTGAGCAGAGAAAGGTAAGAAATGGAAACAAAATACTGACAGCTTCCATCTATAATTTGCCAATGTAATCACCACATGGTGTGGCAGTGACAGAAGTCATTACCATCACTCCTTAATGGAACCTGTGCAGCTTGCTGATCACCCTATCTGATCCCTAGGGGACAGAGTAGTATTTCAGTTTTTGACAGACTTGAGACAGCAGGCTGTCCATTATTAAACTAGACATCTGGACCCTGTTGTTAACAACTAGTTGTTTATAATATGTGGACAATCTACAAGTTTTCCCACAGGGAGTTAAATGAGGTTGAAATGTGTTAATCCACTTTTATCCCTATTCACACAGTGATTTACAAGATGGCTAAGTGTGCCCTTGTAATAACAATTCATCATTATGATTCTGTGTAAGTCCAGTGCAAGAAAGCCAGGAACAACCAGTTCACTGTTTCTTAGATTTACTGTTTTCTGGCTTTATATGCAAAGTCCATTTCTTACCCATATTTACATACTGTGAAAATTGGAAGTAATACAACTCTGAATTCAAGGAATGTGTACACAGAGGGATATGATTCTCACCCTTTAAAGCCATGGCATAATTGCAGTAGTGCTAAGACTACTAAAGCACTGATTGGAAGAGAGGTACAGCTAAGACTCTAAAGAGGAAAGAGGTCAAAGAGTTGGAGATGTGCTGCCAGGCGATTGTCCCCTACACATCAGCCATGCTTGACAATTGGGTTCTGTTTCTGTTTTCCTTCACTGCTTCTATTTCTCAGAAAAGACTAAGATAAATACGTTCAATCTAAGGCAAAATTGTGGAGAGAAATCTCACTGTCCTTAGTCTCCCTCTTTTGCTGATTATCTTCTGCCTCACATCCAAGAGCATATTTTTCTTTCTTTCAGGCAACTAGGGCTTTCCAGGTTCTCAACTCTTTACCTCCAAACTCCAAAGCCATCTCCACTTCCCAGTCAAGAGAGACAAATAAGTCTAATATCACTGAACTAATTTATTTCATTTACGTTAATGATTTATTTTTTCATGTATATGCAGTGGTTCCTCCTTAATCTGAAATTATACTACATGTAAGACTTTATGTATGAGTCAGCTTGTTCTAGTTGTACCTAGTTATTAAGGAGTCAGGGTCAGAAATTTCTAATTCACTCCTCTGCTTTTATATGACCAGCTACAGAGAATCCAACATCATTTCACGGTGTTTTCTGGCCTCCATGGAGCCTAGTTTTCTATTCATCTGCTGCAAGCATGTACGTGATCACTCTTCTACATGAGAGGTATGCAATGAAATATCCCTGTGTCTTAGGGTCCGCCAATACCGAATTTTCTGGGACAAATTGTGAAGCCAAATACACATAAACAAAGCTGTAAGCTGGAGAGATGGAGGTGGTTGGCTGCAAGGCATGCAAAGGAACCACAGCTCCTAAGAGCACAAAGTTTTTGTTTTTATTACATGAGCGTTTAATTAAGAAAACTACAGTGACAAAACACATAATATCAGAAAAGTTGTCACTATCAGTGATTGTTTTAGGCAACAAAAAACTAATGATGTAGTTTGGTTGACGAAGTAAAACATGGTTATGATGTGTGGTGAATTTCTTGGTTTCTATGTTATGGAGCACAACAATAGAAATACATTTATATTAGATATCCATACTTGATATGGATCACACTGAATGTTTGACAGATTAACAGTGTTCTATATTTTATTTAATTGCAAGAGTAAAACAGTATCTATGCTCAATATTGACAATTTGTTTATTCATAAAATTTGGTCATTTGCTGATACCTTTAAAATTTCACACACCACCAGCACTTCTACTTCTAAAGAAGTTTCTGGCCTTGCTTATCCATCTCTACTCTACATAGGCAGAAATCTCAAGATGAGAAGGGACTTAAAGTCCCCCACCTTCACTTGTATCCTACCATCTACAACCTCACCCAACCAGTTTTGACTTTGTACTGTGTATGAAATTGTGTCAGTGCTCCAGGCCCATCCTTCTCTTCTATAAGTGATTTTCTCCATAGCTATGGATAGCTTCAGTAACAAGCCACATGTAAAGCCTAGTTTGGTCTCTTGAACTCCAGACCCATACTTCCAAATGCCTCCTGACTCTCCTCAGTTCCTTGAAAATGCCTTGCTCTCTCCCAGCACTGGCCTTTTAGGCAAGCTGCTCCTTAGCCTGAAATATTCTTTTCCCATTTAATCTACCAGCATCTTCTCATCCTTACACCTCGATCTCAACACAGATTTCTTTGAAAACTTTCCCCAGACCACTATTTCATCTGCCAGACTAGGCTCATCTTCAATCATGCTCTCTCATAACATTGTGCCATTCTCCTTTATAGCCTAGCACAACTGTAATTAAGTTCGCATATGTATTTTTAAATCTAATATCGGTTTCCACTACTGTAAAATCATTTACATCTGAACTAGGTCTATTTTGCTCACAATTTTATCCCTAGAGCTTAGTGTGCTTCTTGATAATTAGTAGGGTGTTTAATGTCTGTGAAAGAACGATGTCAATGCTATTAAGGGTTTCTGCAGGCTATCATTTAAATTTTGAAATGATAAAGACCAATATATCCACAACTGTCAGAAGTTTCTGTAGGGAGATGTTATTTAGCAAAAACAGAATTGGCTCTACTGATACGGTGATTATTTTAAACCACTTATTATGATGGTGTTTCACCAATTTTATAGCCATCTTACCAATTCTCTGACCCTGTATGTTAGCCTACTTCCTTTTTTTAGAATTGCCACATAAAATTACAAAACAATGTAAAAGATAAATTGCCCCATACTGCATTTTTATTCCTAAATATTTTATCTAAAAGTCTTATTTCTTTGGTAATATGTCTGACATTCATATCCATCCTAATTTCAAAAAGAAGTTGAGCAGATGATTATAACATATTGTTACCAGTATGGATACAGTTTATCCTATTTACTATCTCACAATGTTTAGATAGACGTCTGTTACTTAAATTACAATTCAATTGCTAATGATTAAGATTCTGTGAAAAGGATTTTTTTCTATGACCCATTAAAAAAAATCCCATATCCAATCAAGGATTGTGAAAGATTAAAAATAATTGTCTTTCTGGATAATTATTTATTGTTTTGATTGCTTTTGCAGAGAAAATTTTAATTCCAAATTTAAAACTCAGAAAAAGACATCTCAATGAAGGATACCGCTAAACATTAAATATTGCTCAGAAAAAGGCCAAGTGAACTTAATTTCAAATTGTAAGTATATAAAGCAACTGGTTACCGTTTTACTGTAAAAAATATTGCTTTTTGCTTTATTTTCTAAAGACAACTTAGACAAGCATGGTGCATAATAAATAATATGACATAGGCAATACATAAATTAATAAAAACAGATGAACCATCAATGACAAAAGGATCAATTGCTGTGATCTCAATGTTGGTGTCCCCATGAAATTCATATATTGGAACATAATACCGAATGTGACAGTATTCAGTGGAGCCCCAGGGAAATGATTAAGTCACTCACAGAAGTACTACTAATACATAACCAAATGCAGAAAGTGGCTATATGATAGCTGTTAAATTAAATCAAACTTTAAAAATAAAGTATCAGTAATTTGAAAAGTCACATTTCAATTTTATTTATAAGAATTGGTTAAAAGAAAAGAACCTTGTGTGTTTTATATAAAATATTGATGTCTGAATTCTTAGTAGTGATTGAAAAACAATAATTATTAAATAATACATTTTTCTCTGCATTTTATGTATTACACTATATATATTCAAAGTCTATTTTTTTTTTTTTTTTTTTTTTTTTTTTTGAGACGGAGTCTCGCTCTGTCGCCCAGGCCGGACTGCGGACTGCAGTGGCGCAATCTCGGCTCACTGCAAGCTCCGCCTCCCAGGTTCACGCCATTCTCCTGCCTCAGCCTCCCGAGTAGCTGGGACTACAGGCGCCCGCCACCGCGCCCGGCTAATTTTTTGTATTTTTAGTAGAGACGGGGTTTCACCTTGTTAGCCAGGATGGTCTCGATCTCCTGACCTCATGATCCACCCGCCTCGGCCTCCCAAAGTGCTGGGATTACAGGCGTGAGCCACCGCGCCCGGCCCAAAGTCTATTTTTTATACCATTATCTGTTTAAGTTTCTAATTTTCTATTGCCTTATTTGTGGATATTTTTCTTAATAAAGTCGATATTGATAAGAAACACAGGATTGTCTAAACTCTCTTTCTAAAGTAAATGCTTAAATCATTTTTGTAGATATTGTATATGCATAGTTGATGCCACTATCGATTAAAGAGTAAAAATAATGTGTCATTCATTTTAATGGCGCTCAAAAATTTAAAATTGTCTTTACTAACCTGAACTTAAAATTTAGAATAAATATTTTATAATAAATGGCTGTTTTTCAAAACAATATATAATTTATAATGGAGATAAAGTTAGTAATTTATAAAATGTTTAATATGTCAATACAAAACCCATTCTCACAATTGAATTTGATTATGTAAAGCAATATATTTTGCAGTGTATATCTAAAATTACACATATTCCAAATGCTGTGGAAATATTTTTCTATTTTTGTAAATACCTCTTAAACTGTTAATGGATTGACTTGTACTATGTTCAAATCCTTTAATGTTTTAACAACTACAATGCATTAGTTGACTTCCTTGAATTACTTCTAAAGGCCACCTATAAAATACAAAAGGTATACATGATTATTGGATTTGAAACAAGTGACCTGATTTTTGAAAACTAGAATGGTCTTAAATAAATGACCTTCTCTTCTATGGCTACAACTGAGGATTTTCCATTAACAGTAGTTGGAATTGTGACAATTTATTCACATTAAGTGTGTTGTGTTCCAAAGTTTAAAATTACTAAATCATGATGAAACAGGAGAAGACTTGTATAACTGGCTGATGACTTTTAAAACCTGTAACTTATCAGTGTTTAACTGCAGGAGAATACTCTAAATCTTTACTGCTTTGTGAATCATAGAAATATTAAAACAGAAAACAGGCTTGGAGCAGTGGCTCCCACCTATAATCCCAGCACTTTGGGAGTCCAAGGCAGGAAGATGGCTTGGTGCCAGAAGTTGAATATTGAATGTTGAATGCCTTGAGCTATCTCTAATATGTGATTTCAACTACTTTATTTTCAAGCAAATGCTGAATATCCTTTCTACAAATGGTGCAGAATCTTCTTGACAGTATTAAAATGGAAATTCTATAAGGACATCATCATAACATAAACAATACTGTCAATATTCTGAGGTGAATTAACCTCTTATCATATCTGTGACCCCCTCCAGACTGAGCGTTATTTCATATTCTTTTCCGTATTTGTCCCAAAACCTAACTTAATGGGGCCCTGAGACATAGCAAACATTCAAATATTAGCTGAATGAATGAATGGCCATTAAAGACATATCATACAAACCACTTGAATTAGATTTTTGTTTTTTGCTCAGGATGTCAAACAAGTAAGTGTGCATCATATATACAAAAGACATCCCTACACATAAGCAATATTCTCATTTAGCAACTCAAATTTATTTCATGGCCTCACAGAAGTAGTGTTATCCATGTGCTAAATTCTCTGCACTGCTGTGTCTAACCCTATTCCCATATGTCCTACTCAGAAAAGGATATCAGAGTGCAAATGAGAGAGAAGCAATTATCTAAGGATGGCGTAAAGATAATACAAAGACATATCTATTCATTACATATATTATAATATATATTATTAATCACATATTTGTAATATATGATGCATTACATAATATACAATTTTAGCATACAATATACAATATTTTATAATACATATATTACAAAAGCAATGCATATCTGTTACATATACACTATATACATTACATGTACATTATGCCAGTGTATGTGTATGTGTTTTTTACCTACACAAAAGGTGGCACAATATAAATTTAGATGACCTACTTATCCAAAGTTGATTCACAGAAAATCTATGGTATGGAATACACATTTCCTACACCTAATAGGCCCATCAATATTATGTCTTTAACAACACCCATTTGAGCATCTATCATATGCTTCATTCATTTTCATGTGCCAGTCAACTATGACCTAAGATGGAGTTTGAAATTCTTACAGTGAGGAACAAGGTAGAAAGTGTTTATACTCCTACATTTGGAACACAATTCCCCCATCATTACAAGGATGTGGCTCTCTACATCCAGAAAACAGCTATCTTGATGCAGATTCTCCCAGAAGGTAAGCTTGAGATAGGATTGCAGCAAAAGCAGTTCATTTGGGAATTGATCACAGATAAAATACCAGTAGGGGAGAAGAGAGACAGAAGCCAATAAAGCTTTCAGTATTAAGCCAGTTATCACTGCGGGCAAGTGGAGCTCAGTCCCTTTGGACACAGTGTAGAACATGCTTCAGAATTCTCCAAGCTAAGGAGCAAGGAAGCAAAAGTATTGATTCAGAAACAGCCTATTTACTCAGTGACACTCCAGCTTGTTCTCCAAGCAGGACTTGGATGCACCTGAGGTTGGTGGTGGGGAGAAAACCTCATGCAGGAGGTGTTCAAAGAAAGTTGCTTTGAGAATATGGGCAGAGCACTAAATGTATCTGTTGTTGGAAATGATCTACCTACTCCTACATGAAAGAGGGCTTCCTCCTCAACTCTATAAGAATTGAGTCCAAGAAGATAACTGAGTAGAATGAGATTGCTATCCAGGCGTAATTGCAAAGAGGAATTTGTCACCATATTATAGACAAGGAAGATGACTTTACCTACCACATATTAGCTTAGGAGTCTGAAAAGGGAGAACAAAAGGATTGCAAAGGGCAAATCAGAAGTGAAGAAGGGAACTAATATTTAATGAGCACCTAAACTATGCTAGGTGCTGTAAATTATTCTTATAAGTTCAAATAAATTAAGTGAAAAGAACTTAAGAATTTCTTGAGGGATTTGAATAATAATAAACTGAACTGAAGAGTTATCTTTACACTGATAAGATATAATATCCAAGACACGTATTTAATTTACCAAAATTTCAGTTTCCTTGTGCCTAACATAATTGCCTGCTATTCAGAGTTTGTCTGAGGATTAACTAAGAAAGAACATACCGCACAGTTAAAAGAACTTGGGAGTACTTATTTCCAACTAAATGTTAGTTCTGCGCCTCTCCATCCTTCCTCTTGTCACAGTTTTATAAGGTAGACAGTATAATTCCCATTATAAAAAATAATATTGCTGAATCTCATAATGGCTGAATGACTTTCCCAAGGCCACTCAGCTAGTGAAGGAAACAGCCAAGGACTGAATCTGGGTTTCTCTGATTCCAAGTATCTTGCCTTCAAAGATTAACAACAAATGGAACCAAAACCAAAGAATAGTTTTCCATGAAGCCACAAAAGTAGCCAAATCCTTAAAAATGGTTGAATGATTGTTTTAAATATTTAATAACTTATTTTAGTAGTAAATGTGGCCTGCTTTTTAAGTTAAAGTTGGGCTAGCATAACCTTTTAATAGAACATAAAATTTTAACCATTCTGCAAAACTTTTTTAATATGGCACTGATCCATTTAGGCAGTGTTCAACTAACCAAAATTCTTAATTACTAAAATATTTCTGCAGCATCCTTAGAAAAATGAGGGCAACCACATGAAAATTAACATATTGGATATGATATTTAAAACAAACAAACAACAATACCATCACTATAACCAAAGTATGTGCTTTATGTGTTTAATCTATCTCACACTTTCTACAAAGAGGATTTCTATTCTATATAATGATCCTGAGGTCCTGAACTAAATATACATTCAGTCACTAGGAACACCATGCTACACTTACTAAGCCATTTAACCAGGCTAATGCAGTTTATCTAAATGTCAATTTGTATTACAAATTCACTTAAAAATTATTTTCTTTATCTTCAGTTTACCCAAACACTTTACAAGAATACTGAGAAATTGGTATTACTTCTTTAAATTTTTAGCCAATATGTGTGGTTTTGCCTAAAAAAGAGATTGAACCAAAATATCCTCTACAAAACATCCATCTCCTTTCAAATTACTAATATGAGACCAAACAAGATGCCCATAATTGATGCTCAAGATAAAATCCTCAGTGTGTAGAGACAGGAGTTGGTATTGGGAGCTGAAAAGGTGAAGAAAAGAAATAGAGTGTATTGGTCAGTGGTGAATGAGGAGGGGATTTTGGATTGGACCAATAATGGATCTTTTATATAACTAAAATAGCACATCAATACTAAACTAAACTTCAATGAAACATTTCAATTGAGTTGAGAACCTAGTTAGTATACATGTATTATTTTAAAACAAAGAAATGTGGCATGTGATATATGGGATGACTATTCCAGAAAATACTAAATTCGCTGAAATACAAAATGTGCTTGAGACAGAAATAGACAGAGGAATTTCAGAAGTTTGTGCAAAGCAGTAATGCTATAAATAAAACACATGAACAATATTTTGCTAACAATAAATATTCTAGTTTTGAAACTTAATTTTAATTTTGAGACATATATTCTGTTTCAGTTAAAAAAATATACTAGTTATGAAAAGGTTGTATCATGTTATACAAACATCATTATTCATAATGGTCAGAGTCACCTGTTCAAAGTGAGTATATTGTATTAAAAAGGTTGTCATTTTCACTAACTACCTGTTACATATTTAAACCAATTGTCTACTTAAAACTCCAAAATGTTTAAACAGCATAAAATTTCCAGTGCCAAGTAGATACCTACTCAAGACAACACAGACAAGGAGGAGGTAAATAGACTCAGGAGATTTTAAGTTTCTAATGTGCTTTTTCAAACAACTTGCATGCAATTTTGAGTTTGATTAACCACACCTAAGGAAAAAATGCAAATTTTCTGGAAATGATATTGCATACCATTTGGGTGTATTGTACCTCTGATACCAGCCTTATACACATCCTAGAAAAGCACAGATAGACAAAAGAATAAGCACCAAATGAATGCAATAAATACCTTGCAAGAATAAGAAAAGTGTAAAGAAAAAGAGTTCCTTATCTATAGCAACAGTTATATAGAGTCAAAATGGAGAGACAAATCAGAGTCTCTTTTACTCCCTCCCCCAGCCTAGTCTCCCTCTCTGGCTCCGTTTTCCTTTTCTCCCTCCTTTCCCCACTTCGGCCCTCCCATTTCCGTCTCTTTTTCAGCAATATTTACAGAACAATCCTCCACCACACCACTCACCTGTCGTCGTTTTGCCATCCTTGGTCCCCTAGCAGCAAATCTCGAAACCTGTACCTGGGAGGCAGAGGGGGCACTTCGCTCTCCAAATCAACCATCCTTCCTCAAAGAGTGGGAAACATCAAACAACAAATGGAGGAGAGGAGGGAGAAAGAAAGAAAATATTGCGGAGTACAGGGAGAGGACTAACAAGACGCTGTGGCCGAGAGAGGGATGGGAGAAGGGGAAGGGGACAGGGAGGGGGAGGGGGTCCGCTTGGAGCCGGAAGCTAAGGCTTGAAAGGGGGCTGGCTCCTCTTTCCCGAGGGTGTAATGGGGATGATGCAAACCCAACCCAGGAGCAAAAGTCTGGCTCTGACAAGAATCAACGCTGCCAAGGAACCGCCCCCAGGCTCGGCACCGCCTCTGGTCCCCAGGACTAGGGGGAGGCGGGTATAAAAAGTTACTTCGCCGAAAAAGACGCGCGGTGCCTAGAAAGAGGGGAGAGGGGTGGGAGTGAGCGCCGCTTGATGGTGAAGCACTTTCCTTAAAGGCAGTTGCCAGATCCTCCCAGAGGGCAGCCTCCCGGCTACTGTTCCCTCGGGCGGGCTTGCATCCGGCACAGCCCTGAGCTGGCGGGAATCGGGGGCGGTGGGTTTCGGCCCCAGACGCGGCCAACCCGGCTCTCCCCGCAATCTCCCTGTGGAGATGGAGCTGGAGGCCCAGCCAATGAGACTCCCCCTCATTAGCATAGCACAGTGACGGCACGGGGGTGCCTTGGGGACAACCAATGGGGGCGAGCTAATTAGCGGATTGCGGGGCTCCAGACCCTTCTCTGGGAGGAGGGGGGCCAGGGTGCTTGGAGTGTTCCACTATGCCACGAGCTCCCTCGCTTTGATTGCCTTCAGTCCAGGTGGGCGGGATGAAAAAATTGCACGTTTCTGGAAAGGGAATCCCCACTCTCAGCCCCAGGAAAATCCCATTTTTTTCTCACATTCTGAAAGAAGGGAGGTGTTTCCCTGAACTCGGGGAAAAAGAAGGGCCACCTTAGGCCGCTGAAGAGAAGCATTTAGATGACAGGGAAAGCACATGGAAACGCACTGAGGATTTTACAGTGGTGAGTTGCTGTTACTGCTGTCGCTGCTACTAGCAGCGTTGTGGGCTTCCAGGTGGCCTGGCCTCAGCCTTCGGTCCCCTCCTATTAGTGGTTCACACGGAGGAAGAAGTGAGCCCGAGAGAACAGGGTCTGTTTTTCAGTAAGAACCACTGCTTACATGAACCCTGCTACACAAGCTATGGTTCTATTTGCGCTTACCGTTCTTTCCTTCAAAAACTGATTGCATCAGAGTATATACAGACCGAATACCAACCACCTGACAGCCTGGGCCGGAGGATACCCATATGGCTTCTCCTGCCCTTACTTAAGAACCGCTCTGTGTGGAGGAACAAGCTTGTTCCTTGATAAATGGATACGATGTGAGAGACAATAATCAAAGAACATACAGAGGGATTTGGAAATACCTGTGAGGTACACATACTTCTTCGAGGTGGGGGTCAAGGAAGACATTGAAAATGAACCAAGCCTTCTATATTCGTTCGCAGCCTACTTTAGGGAAAAGAGCAAAGGTGAAGCAAGCAGAGAGAATAGTATGAGTAGAGGCATAGGGATTTTTTAGAATATTTGGCTTATCCAGAAAATAGTGATTAATTTGGCATGATTAATGCTCAGTAGAGGTCATGTAGCAGAGGGTTTATTTAAGAAGCTAGAAATGAAGGAAGAAATTACCAAAACTTGTAACATCAAATGAAATACAATGACTACTGAAACCTGAAGAATAGCAGTTGAAATAAAAGTCATACTGTTTGTCTCTGTCTTCAAAATCCTACTCATCCTTCCAGACCCATCTCAAATTACATATCCTCCATTAGATTTCTTGGTTTTTCCAGCTTCTTATGATGTCTTCTTCCTTTGAACCCCTTTGTTTGAACCCTTCATAACCCATGTGAGTATTTTGCCTGGAATGCTTACTATAACCTGACCCGCTATACGATTATCTGTGCGTTTTTCTTTCAACTCTTCCCCTCTCCCTGTGGCTTAGCTGCCTCTAGCACGGGACCTTCAAAATAGCCACATTTCAACAAATAGGTGTGGAGTTGCATTAAAAGCTATTAAATCTAGGAAATTAAGCATGTTTTTTTCCATCCATGCTTGCACTCCTGTGGTATGTGTTTGTTTATGAAATCATAATTTAGCACGAACTTTTGTAATTACTTTGCTAAATAAGAAAGTAATATTGCTACATTATTAGTTTATACAGATAGAGATAGAGAGAGAGATCTGGTTTATATTTTAGACCTTATCATCTCCTATTAAAATGATTCTATTAATTTTATTTGTAATGTTCCAAGTTAATATTTATAGTTACAGTCTAACTGTATTATTTGGATGACAGAAAATCTGAAATATTTACATATCATTAACAGACTAAAAATCAAGACACTGAAAAAAGAAAAAAAATAGCAATCGATTGTTAGTCCTGGGATGCTGGAGGTTAGAGGGTAAAGTAACATTTTACTTAAAAGAAAGCTATGTGCCTCTATTTTACCTTTTGTGAAAATCTTAGTCATTTGGCTTCCAAATACTCAGATAAAAGTTTAGGAGAGAACAAATAGTACATTAAAAATAAATAAATAAGAAAAAACCTACTCAGCTAATACTATGTGCCATTATGGATACAAACTATACAAAGTAATGTGCTCAGGGCAACCAATTGGAAACTACCACATTGATGATATTTTGATTCTCTGGTGTGTCTTGAAATTGTCCAAGTGAATTTTTTTTACTATAAACTTAAGAAAATTAGAAGAATAATGTATTATAGGAAATGCTATTGATATGGTTTGGCTCTGTGTTCCCACCCAAATCTCATCTTGAATTGTACTCCTATAATTCCCATGGGTTGCAGGAGGGACCCGGTGGGAGACAATTTGAATCAAGGCAGTAATATACGCCGTACTGTTCTCATGATAGTGAATAAGTCTCGTGGGATCTGATAGTTTTATCAAGGGTTGCCGCTTTTGCATGCTCCTCATTTTCTCTTGCCACCGCCATGTAAGAAGGACCTTTAGCCTCTCATCATGATTCTGAGGCCTCCTCAGCCATGTGGAACAACTGTAAGTCCAGTTAAACCTCTTTTTCTTCCCAGTCTCGGGCATGTCTTTATCAGCAGCGTGAAAATAGACAAATACAGTAAATTGGTACCAGTAGAGTGGGCATTGCTGAAAAGATACCCAAAAATATGGAAGCGACTTTGGAACTGGGTATCAGTCAGAGATTGGAACACTTTGGAGAGCTCAGAAAAAGAGAGGAAAATGTGGAAAAGTTTGGAATCTCCTAGAGACTTGTTAAATGGCTTTGACAGAATTGCTGATAATGACATGAACAATCAAGTCCAAGCTGAGGTGGTCTCAGATGGAGATGAGGAACTTGTTGGGAACTGGAGTAAAGGTGACTCTTGTTATGTTTTAGCAAAAAGACTGGCGGCATTTTGCCCTGCCCTAGAGATTTGTGGAACTATGAACTTGAGAGAGATGATTTTAGGGTATCTGGCAGAAGAAATTTCTAAGTAGCAAAGCATTTGAAAGGTGACTTGGGTGCTGTTAAAGGCATTCAATTTTAAAAAGGAAACAGAGTATAAAAGTTCAGAAAATTTGCAGCCTGACAATGCAGTAGAAAAGAAAAACCCGTTTTTTGAGGAAAAGTTCAAGCTGGCTGCAGGAATTTGCATAAGTAACAAGGAGTCAAATGTTAATCCCCAAGACAAAGGGAAAAATGTCTCCAGGACATGTCATAGGTCTCCATGGCAGCCCCGCCCATCACAGACCTGGAAACCTGGGAGGGAAAAATGGTTTCATAGGCCAGGCCTAGGGTCCCCATTCTGTATGCAGCCTAGGGACTTGGTGCCCTGCATCCCAGCTGCTCCAGCCATTGCCAAAAGGGGCCAACGTACAGCTCAGCTGATTGTTTCAGAGGGTGCAAACCCCAAACCTTGGCAGCTTTCTTCCATTTAGAAACGGGTGTATTTACCCAATACATGTACCCCATTGTATCTAGGAAGTAACTAGCTTGCTTTTGATTTTACAGGCTCATAGGTGGAAGGGACTTGCTTTGTCTCAGATGAGACCTTGGACTGTGGGCTTTTGGGTTAATGCTGAAATGAGTTAAGACTTCGGGGGACTGTTGGGAAAGCATGATTGGTTTTGAAATGTGAGGACATAAGATTTGGAGGGGCCAGGGGTGGAATGATATGGTTTGGCTCTGTGTCCCCACCCAAATCTCATCTTGAATTGTACTCCTATAATTCCCATGTGTTGTGAGAGGGACTTAGTAAGAGATAATTTAAATCCTGGGGGCAGTTTCCCCCATACTGTTCTCATGGTAGCAAATAAGTCTCATGAGATCTGATGGTTTTATCAGGGGTTTCCCCTTTTGCATCCTCCTCATTTTCTCTTGCCACTGTCATGTAAGTGCCATGTAAGTGCCATGTAAGTGTCTTTCACCTCCCTCCATGATTCTGAGGTCTCCCCAGCCATGTGGAATGTAAGCCCAGTTAAACCTCTTTTTCTTCCCAGTCTCAGGTATGTCTTTATCAACAGCATGAAAACAGACTAATACAGCTATTCTGGCATTTTTTAAAATATAGCAATATTTGGGCATTGAAACACATTTATAATTGGAAGATCATTTTGCTCCTTGTATTTTTTTTTCAGTCTTCTGTAGGTGTACTTTTTCTTTTTTGTCGTTAATTTTGACTTCTGTTTCTCCCATCTGTCTTTCTACTCTTTCATTCGTTTTTTTCTTGTCATGTCATGTCATTTCCTGCTGTTAAAATGTATTTTCCTCTTTCACTCTTTTTACCTTTGTTTCCCTTTTTCACTGTGCTCTTTTAATTGCCTACCTCATAGAGCCTTTCCTTTCTCTATGTTTTATTCTACTATGACTTGAGATTTGCTTTTTGGAAACAATTTTAAACTTAGTTCTGAACATTGCAATTTTGTATCTTACTCACTGATGTTCTTAAATCTTCTAATCAACATCTAGTGTAAGTTAGAGCAACAGAGGAGATTGCCCCACACTAAGAAAAAAGAACTTTGTAAAATGTCCTGAATGATTATGCCAATGGGGTAGAGTAAGTATTTAAAAAATGAAGATTAAGGAGAATGGCTTCCTGGTTTTAGAAATTTTATTCTTTTTATTTTCTAGAAAACATATGTGATACCTTCTCATTTCTCCTTCTTTTTTAATAAAAACATTCGTGTTTTAAAAATCTCTGGTTTCCAATACACTGATTGATTATACTGATGTTTTAACACAAAAAGAAAAGATTCATTCCCAAGGGTGAAGAATAATTTAATTAACAATTTTAACACCTTATTGATAATTAAGTTGTGATGAACTCATAAATGTGTAATGAACACAGTTGCATTCATAGAATATGATGGGGATTTTTACCCAAAACTCAAAATATGTGTCTATCACATATGTCATTTTTATGATAAAATTCCTAAAGTTGTCAATGATTATGTCTACATAGCCCTGTAACTACTATTTGAAAATAAAATTTAAAAAGATAAGAAACTTACTATATATTAGGCTACCCACTTATAGATACTTCATCTTTGTAGGCAGAAGATGCGATAATCCACATACCTTCAAACAGCATCATTAAGCTACATAATATCTCTATGAAGGTGGTTGTATGTTCTACTATGGGTTTCTTTTTGTTGGTTTATTTGTTGTGTTTTTGTTTTTGTTTTATGCCAAGTCTCTTTTATACCAATCTACTATTTTTTATCAATAAAAATGTATTAAGTGGTTACTATGAATTGAACTTTTTGTAGTCTAATGAGTGAGGGTAAGTAAGTGCTGAGAGACAGAGAATCCAGCAGATAAACTAGAATATAATAAGCCTCAATAGTGATTAGTACAGGCCGCTGTGCTGCTAATGAGCACATAATGACACATGATTCCAGTTTTGGAAAATCAGGGAAGGCTGTCTGTAGAGGCTGATATCTATACTGAAGAATAAAAAATTGGGTGAGTAAGGTGGAGGCAAAAGTAGCAGCAAGTAAAGTATACAGGCACAAATGACAGCAATGAGAAAGCATGGGTGGATCCAGCAAATGCAAAAGCTTCATAGACTTTGAGCAGGGGCATGAGTTTGGGTGAGAAGGAGTCAAAGAAGGAGGGTGAAAAAAAGGCAAGATTGGCACCTTCATTTATTAACAACCATATCAGAAGAGCCTTGTGTACTATGCCAACAAGGTTGGGTTTTATTTTGAGGACAATGATGAATCTTTTAAGGATTTTAAGCAGGTAAGTGGCAAAGCCCAATTCATGCTTTGGAAAGATCACTGTGGTAGCAGTGTAGGTAAGTGATTGGTGGGACAAGAATGTAAGAAAGGAGACCATTTATGAGCTATACAGTATTTTAGTAGAGATATGTCAATTGTCTGAAATGAGGCAGTGGTGACAATGCACATGAAATCAAACAACAGATTTATAAGAAATTAAAATGACAGAATTGATGGGATAGTAATGGAGAGATTGTAAAACTTAATGGAGAGTGAAGAATCAATGATAATTCCTAGGCTTCTGGGATTAGTAAGTAGGTGGAGGGTATTACTGCTGGATGAGAGGGAAATACAGAAGTAGGTTTGAGTGAGAAAATGATTTTGCTTTGAACCATTTGCAAAAGGTCAAATGGAGAATTCCCGAGGGTTTGAATATATGGGTCTGAATATCAAGAGCAAATATTTTTCCAGAGATACAAAACTGGGAACGCTCAACATGTAGGTGGCTGTTGAAATTGAGGAAGGATAAATGCACCTGGTTCTTACACTATGAAAGAAGAGGTGGGTAGAGACTGAGCCCAAAGACCACTAGGGAGAAGGATGAATGGAGAGGTGGGAGCAAAACCGACGGGAATTCAACTTCTCCCACCAGAGCAGAGAGACACGTGTTCCTCTATTTTCTTGATTAGTTTTATTCTGTGACCCTTGATTCAAGCTAAAATAGATTCTATCTACAGAAATAAAAATGTAACAAAACGTGTCCTATATTCTAAGCATGTCCAGCTACATGAGCAAAATCATTTTATTTCAGCAACACTGAAAAGAGGAAGGAGTAGAGATAAAATAAAAAAGGCAGTATATCACATTTAATTCACAAATTTTACCCAATTAGCACAGGTAAATAATACAAAGAAAAGCCATTTAGAGATTTATGTATAAAGATATTCCAATACATAATATAATTTATCCAACACTTCTAGTATTTTTTTTTTGTCAGCCATTCTAAAAATACAACTTGTGGCCAAGGTTAAATGTGTATGCAAACCTTATGATGAAAATCTGTAAGGAGACAGTTAATGTTTTATTGTGTTCATAGTAATATCCTCTGATCTTCCTGGTATTTCTTTCCCTCTTCTCATACATCTCTCTAAAGATACATGCTGTTCAACACTACTCTTAATGATAACACATAACACCTTCATTTATCTGTTTTTAAATCTCCTTCACATTGACTGAATTTTGGGGGGATAGAGAACATAGAACCAAAGAAGGAATTATTTAGTGGCAAATGTGATTCAGTAACATTGAAGTATGTTCTCCTACGACAATCAAGAAATCACATCCTCATTATTCTTCTACTTACAAAACATTTTCTTTGTGAGAAAAAAGTCTCCATCAGGTTTGGAAAACTCCAGATTTTTTTTTAATATTGAATATTCCCATATTTATGTTGCTAGTGTCCCAAATTCTGCCACGGATAGATTGAAGGGTGTACCTCTCTTCATGACTATCCTTCAGCTTGACTATTGGCATATCTGTACCTGCTTAGAAAAGGCTACTAAAGTACCTGGCAATCAGTGGATGATCAATAACTGTCTAATGAATGAATGAGAAATTAAATACAGCTGGTCTTTCATATCCATGAGTTGCACATCCATGGATTCCTCATCTGAGGATTCAATCTACCATGGATCAAAAATATTCCAAAAATAATAAAATGAAAATAAAAAGCAATATAAATAAAAACACAGGATATCAATTATTTCTATAGCATTTACATTGTATTACTTATAATCTAGATTATAAGTAATCTAGAGATGTAAGTGCACAGAAGATTGTGCATAGGTCCCATGCAAACACCATGCTATTTTATATAAGTCGCTTGAAAATTCACTCATTTTGGATTTGAAATTGGAGGATAGGAGACTATCTCTCAGTAGACAATGTCAGAATTGAGTTAAATGTTGGTATCTGCATGGGCTCCTGAAACCAATTCCCCATAGATACTAAGGGAATGCGAATGAACTAAGTCAGACCTTTGTTACTATTAAAGGTTGAAAACATAACGTTGCTAATAATATTGATAAAACATTAGTAGCTACAGTGTGAATAACCATTATGTGCCAGGTAGTATTACAGGAGCTTTACAACAACTCTGAAAAATAAATAACGTTGTCCTAATTTGAAAGATGAGAGAATTTAGGCTCAGAAAATACCACCCAGCTAGAAGATGCTAAGCCAAGATTTAAATAATTTTCTAACTCCAAAGTGCATGTTCTTCTCAATATACCTAAGAAAGAAGCTTTTTATTTAATAACTAGCAGATGTTGGTGCTTACCAATAGGTAATACAAATTATAAAATAAAATTATAAAATTGCTTTATCACTATCTTATTCATCTACTTTACTCCAGTCTCAATTACCTTCATTCATATTGTGATATATAAGAAATATATATGTAGTTTCAGTCCCTGGTTCCTGACATACAGCTCCTAAAACTCTTGAAATGTCTGAAGTAAGAAATGTGTCCTTTGTATGCTAATTACTGGTGGCTGGGACCCTTAGATAGTTTCAGGATGAGGGCTGGTCACCGGAAAGATCAAGCCAGGATTAGACAGTTGGAACTTTTTTCCCAATCTCCAACCTCCAGGGAGAGGAGCAAGACTGAAGATTGACTTGATCACCAATGGTCAGTAATGTAATCAATCATGCCTATGTAATGAAACCTTCATAAAAACCCCAGAGGACAGGTTTTGTAGAGCTTCTGGATTGCTAAAAACATGGACATGCCTGGAAGGTGGCATGCCAGGGAGGGCGTGGAAGCTTCATGCCCCTTCTCATGTACCTTGCCCTATGCATCTCTTCCGTTGTTCATCTGTATCTTTGTAATTTCTTTTCAGTAGACCAGTAAACACAAGTAAACTGTTTCCCTGAGTACTGTGAGCTATCCTAGCAAATTAACCAAACCTGAGGAGGTGGTCATGGTAACCCCATGTCCACAAAAAAAAAAAAAAAAAAAAATTACCTGGGCATGTGGGTGCTCACCTGTAGTCCCAGCTACTCGGGAGGCTGAGGTGGGAGGATGGTTTGAGCCTGGAAGGAGGGGATTGCAGTGAGCCAAGGTAGCGCTCCTGCACTCCAGCCTGGGCTATGAAGCCAGACCTTGTCTCAAAAAAAAGTTAATCACGTAAATTTTAAAATTCCAATCTGGGAAAATTGTATTGCACATGTAGACACTGTTTTTAAATGTGTGTATCTGCATGTGCGTGCATGTGACATACTTAACTAAGGTATGCAAATTTTTAAAACACTGTCAGAGCCTTATATTGAGGTCTGTTAGGTCCTCTCCCATACAGGGTTTGATTTGAGAAGTAGGATAATGCTTGTAAAGAAGAAGAAACATACTTGGTATATCTTATTAATTGAAAGTTTTACTGACGTGAAATATTGTCTTTTATTTTTATTAATTATTTGTATTGAGAAGTTTAATTGACAAAGAGGAAAACTTTAAACGTTATTGCTGAATTATGTCTAAAATATATCAACAACTTATAAATATACAGTTACTATCTATTCATTCCAATATTAAACATGACTTCAGATTCATTAGTTTAAAATCTATCATAATTTGAAAATATTTTATACTTGTAAGGTAGATATTTTCTTCATTTTGAAGATGATTAAACAAAGACCAAAAAAGCCAAAGTAAATCACTTAGTGGATATTTTACTATAATTAATATGAAAATTAAATTTTCCTGATTATTATGCAATACTCCTTAGCTACAAGCTAACAGTAGTTTTCATTGCAAATGCTATGATAGTTCAGACACAGCACGTGACAATAAGTCAAAGAAAAAAATGTTGCCTATTGGCGGGAAATTAGGAAACTCATACTTTTTAGTACAGAAGAGTATTACATACATCAAGAGTGTTGGTGTGCTATATATAAACACATAAGTGGTTTAATATTCATATATTTTCTTTTCCCACAAAGATATGTTGTAAATATTAATAATATTGTCATCATATACCAAATTTGTATTCTTATTTATTTTTAGGTAACTCACAACTTCCAAGTGTTAAATGGTAGCTATGTTTCCATTAACACTTTGATTTGTGCAGTTTCAGTGTACAAATTAAATATGTGAGTGTTTACTGTAAATTTTTTATTGTCGAAATATAAGAATGAAACAGAAAAACACAAATAGTGATACTATTGTCAAGACATCGAATGCACATACTTACAGATTGAGAAAAGGGAGGAAGTCAGTAGGTAAGGCCATAAGCAGCAACTGTTTAGCTGCATTTGAACATTCTCTATTCAGTGCTCAAGAAAAGAACAAAATTATAGAACATGAGATGCTATAGGTATATAATTGAATAGGTTTATATGTAAAAGATTATATATTATTAGTGATTTTACATATTGTTAGCTATCTGAGATTGGACTAGTTTATTCAACATGCGTATTTATTATTTGAGAGTAGTGAGTCAGCATGCATCTCTTTCTCAATGTAAATGCTACCTTTGCACCCCCAGATCACTCCAGCCTGAAGAGTACAAAAATTGTATCCTATCTTTTACACATACAAACACACCCACACATAAAATCTTAGAAAAGCTTCTTCAGCAGTTCCATCATTTGGGCTGTGAATTCCAGAATCGGCATAGCTTAGTCTAAAGCCTACCCCTTACCCTTTACCTTCCTCCACATCTGGGCTTATGGCCTCTCCAGTCCACTCTTCCCCACTGCCTCACTTTAATCAACTACCTGAGAAGTAATATTGTTTGGCAATATACAACTTATGAATCTGGGCTATTTGGATTTAAAGCCTGAAACTGGCATTTACCAGCTGCTTGACCTTGGACGATTTACTCACTGTGCTTCATTTTCCCCATCTGCTAAATGGAGTAGAGTGCTTATTTGGGGGAATAAAATACATTAATACATATAAATAATTTATTACGGTGCTCACCACATAGTCTGCTATTGCTATTATATGTGTTTTTCAAAATATAGGTATCAACATTTTTAGAATTATTTTTCTTAATATAAACTCTTCTTCTATGTTTAGCAACTAATGAATTTAATTATGCTTTTCAAGTTTTACTCCTCAGGTTGAACAGTTTTGATTATATCCAAAAAGATAAACTAAAGTATGTACCCTCAGAGCGACTGAAACAACATAAATGCACTAAAGTTAAACAGAAAAAAAATCTGGCTGTTCAGTGATTCTTCTGGACTCCCCTGGAAATAATAAATATGGATAATCAGAAAACCTTAAATATTCTGTAGTTAGAAGCCAGAGCATGTAGGCATTTAAAATTAAAACAAGCATCTTGAATTACATTCACATGCATAGCAAAAAAATATATGCACCATATTGAGTTCAGATGCAACAAGCTGAACATGTGCTACAGAGCTAAATGAGTAATGCAATTTTTACACTGGGTCCACGCAAGCTTTACGGTTGCAAAAAATAAGGATATGGCAAAAAAGCAATCTGGAAATGTCATAACCAAATCAATAATTGAGAGAAAAATTCACCACCTCCCACTCAAATATCAATGCAAAGTATATTAAAATACCAATTAATATGCAGAAAGAGAAGATATGATATTTCAGAATATTAGGACTATTAACACTTTTGACAAGGCATCCACCCAGATTAAGAAGCAGAAATAAAAAACAACTCTAATCTGTGCTTTACACTTTCTATTTCCTTTCTTTTTGCCTGCAAGCCTACAAGCTCACTTGTACTTAAGCCCTGGGAAAATCCCCAGGTTACGCAGTGTGGTACAAAAATACTGAATGCCATTAGATGTTAATGACCTGACAGCCAAAATGAGTTTTCAACTAATTTCCTGAATCAGGAATAGGCTCTTTTCCTAGGAGTTGACTATCAAATTATCCTAGGCCATGATTTTTTGATGGCTTATCGTTTATTCAGGCAACTCTTCAAAAATATTTTCTTTATAGTTTAATTAAACTAGAACATGAGTCAAATGAGGCTAAGATTGTGAATATAGGAAATCAAAGAGCTTTGTTTTTAAATGCCCCACCTATTTTTTGTTCTCATTTCCCTTCATTGCTAAAACTATTGCTAAGGATAAGTTCCTAATAAAGCCAACCACAGGTGAAGGACAGATTCCAAGTGCATAGGTGAAGCTCAATCATAATTAGAAAGAGTAATCTAGAAGCCAGGTTATTCATGCTAAAGCCATGTGTGAACTAATAAGCAGCAATTCATCAAATAGGGGAGAAAATATAAATGCCCAAATCATAACCCAAAAGGAAAAAAGGTATCTTTTTGTTTAGTAGAGATAGTGCAGAAACTGAACTGTGAAAGAAGAGCCAAGTTAAGAAGTCAAGTCAAATGTGAAGTGGGGATGCCCAAAATAAGGAGAAGATTCTATCGGTTAGTTAGAGCAAGAGGAGTCATAAGAAGAAGAACATCAAAGAACATCCAGGTCAATATGACTTATCCAAATTAGCAGATTGTAAATTCTCAAACAAGGAGGTTTTGCCACTATTCATAAGGGCCAAGGACCAAAATGTCCCAGTATATCCCTTAGGATGCTCTGAATTATAAGTAGCAGATATATGATCTACAATGTCATTTTAAAAAT
The DNA here is from genome assembly GCF_000001405.40 of Homo sapiens. NCBI lineage: Eukaryota > Metazoa > Chordata > Mammalia > Primates > Hominidae > Homo > Homo sapiens. The sequence continues at coordinate 470,840 of NW_025791754.1, forward strand.
TAAATAAATTTATTATCTCACATATGGGGAAATTCAGACATAGGTCAGCTTTAGCAAAAGCTTAATATGGTGACCTACAGATGCCACAAAGGACTTAGTTCTTCTGTATGCAATTGCCATTCCTTCTACATCCCTTCCTGTGATTTCAAGATAGCTGTCAGAAGCTCTGAAGCTTATTCACTTCCAACAGAAATAAGAGAATATCTTTAAATCTAGGATTCCCAACAAAACCTAGAGCTACCAGAACAGATACCCCAAGTCTTTGGTTTTCCAATCTGCAACTAAAGAATAAAGATTGCTAAAATAGTCTAGTTTGTCTTTGTCCAGTTTTTTTCAGAACAAAACAAAGTAGAATAGACTTCAGAGTCTCTGCATATACTGTACTCAAAATAGAAATGTAAAGCCTATTCTGAGATCACACTGCAATCAGGATATTATAATATTTGTCCCAATTAATTACATTGGACTTATTAATAAATTTTCATCTACCAATATCCTGTTCCTATATATAAAAGTCCTATGTTTTTAATTAGATCATGGTGGCATTCTACTACCCCTTTCTATATACTTGCATGGGCATATAATCTAATGTGGTTCAAAGAGTATGGGCAATGGTGACAAGGAATATTTCATGTATGAGTATCAGGAGACAAAAATTCTTGTTCTGCTAGATTTCTAACTAGGGGCTATGTCTGTCCATATTGTGAATGGTCCGAAAATACCTAAACTTTGCAGCAACACAAGATTTATTTTTAATCTTCTGGATCTGGCTATGACTAAAGCAAGCACCACTCCTAGAGTACCCAGTCATAGGAATCAATAAGTTATCTTTTTGCTTAAGAGAGCTGAATTTCTATCACTCACACCTGAAAAATTCCTAGTAAAATACATCAATCTCTTCAATAGTGCTATGAATAATTATCAGTCATCATTGGCCCAATGCCAGAATCTTTTCCTAGTAAAACTAGGTAGTGTAATAACTTTCAATTTTTCTCAACAAATTTTATTGCTTTTTGGATGCTAATTTTCAAATAATTGGCATGGACTAACATTCCAGGTTCAGTTCCCAAATTTTCTTCTGCAGTGATTACACACCCACCACAAAGCATCAGTCCATCTGATCCCATAGAAAAATCAATTTCACAATAATAGCAGACTTTCAAAGATAAGCAATTAAAAATATTTTAACCAGGCTGGAACGGTGGCTCATGCCTGTAATCCCAGCACTTTGGGAGGCCGAAGTTGGTGGATCGCTTGAGGTCAGGAGTTTGAGACCATCCTGGCCAACATGGTGAAAACTTGTCTCTGCTAGAAATACAAAAATTAGCCAATGTGGTGTCGCATGCCTGTAATCTCAGCTACTAGGGGGCTGAGGTAGGAGAATGGCTTGAACCCAGGAGTCAGAGGTTGCAGTGAACTGAGATCACACCACTGCACTCCAGGCTGAGCAACAGGGTGAGACTCTGTTTTGAACAAAGAAAAAAAATTTTACCCAATATTTTACCTAATTTTAATATATTACTTTTACATCATTTTTAACTGCATGAATTGAGCATTCTTCACTTTTGCAATTTTATTCATCTCCTTCTGTATTGCCAACTGAAACAACCACCAAGTATAAAAGAAATATGGACTGCTGTGTCATCATTGGGACCAGGAGACAACCACATTTTAAATCACAAACTCCAAATAAAAGAAAAAATTTATTGGGACCAAAATGGGAAAAAGTGTCAAGAGTAAGTGCAAACACTTACAGATATTTTAAATAGTGCAGAGGTTCTTCAAAATATATAGCACAGCTCTGAAAGGATCAAAGATATCTTACATGGAAGATGTGAATACAATACAGTGTTTATAAAGCAAGATTGAGGAGTGTAGAAAGGCTGAATAAGAAGCCACATATATATGCCATCTTTTCAGAAATCAGTCAAGATGAGAGTACATACACCCCAATCACCTTGGTGACAGCTAATCAAAGCCAGCAGAAAATAAATTAATAGATTCTAAAAATGTCACAGACACCTGGAGCATAGGACTTTACTGTGGAAATGAAAACTCCAAAGATTTTCTGCTCAGCAGACATGAGAAAGGTAAATAAAGAGTGGAGATTATTACCAAGGAGATGACAAAACAAAGATGATGAGGATATGTCCTAAGTGTTCACTGCTTTAGCTCACATCTCTCACCTTTAATTTTATTTCAGCAGATATTTAAACTAGATATGTGCATCCCATTCAAAATAAGTAAGAATCAGAAAGAAACAAGCATGGATGACATACTCGTAGATTAAAAATTAAATAAGTAAGAAAAAAGCAATATAAGAAATAAAAGAGGGTTAAAAATACCACTAGAACAATTACCAAAACCCAAAATATAGTTTCTAATCAAATCTTCTTGAGTTCAAAAGACTTAAAGAAAACATAAACCAATTATAAGACCAGAAATGAAAAGTAAGTTCACAGAGCTCAGAAAAAGATAAAAGAGAGAAACAAAACAAATACAGAAATAAAAGCAACATTAGCAGCATTGTGTGCATATACACATACATAAACCCCCACCATGGACACACTCACACACACACACACATTTATCCCTGTTCTATATTTTAGGACATGAAAGAAAAACTTGAGAGAATCAACATGGAATTCTTAAAAATGATAAATAAAGCAGATTAGAGATCTAATTATAGATATAAAAGACAAATACAATATACGCATAATTGCTGTTACTGAGTATGAGGAAAAAACAATTATGTAATCAATATATGATAATAGAAAATATATTTTAAAAATTCAAAAATTTACTGTTTTTTTCTGAAGAGAATCCTTTATTTATAGGTTAAGACAGCATATTGTATTCTAAGAAAACAATCTAGAACAATAAAACTAAGAAAAACACTGGAGGAGCTGAATTCATTGACAAACTATTAACAATAATAAAAGAGCGCATGAAGGCCAGGTGTAGTGGCTCACGCTGGTAATCCCAGCACTTTGGGAGGCCGAGGCGGGCGGATCACGAGGTCAAGAGATAGTGACCATCCTGGCCAACATGGTGAAACCCCGTGTCTACTAAAAATACAAAAAATAGCTGGGCATGGTGGTGCACACCTGCAATCCCAGCTACTCAGGAGGCTAAGGCAGAAGAATCGCCTGAACCCAGGAGGCAGAGGTTGCAGTTAGCGGAGATCTCGTCACTGCACTCCAGCCTGGTGATAGGGCGAGACTTGGTCACAGAAAAAAAAAAAAAAGAGTGCATAGAGTGCATAAAGATTGCTGGATACAAAATAAACTTACAAAATCAATGCCTTTTCTGAACAAAAGAACAACTGTTAAAGTTAACAAACCAAACCAATGACAGATTGGGAAAATCTGACTTTTACAATATATAAAATCAATTAGGGGTTAGTTGAGAATAAGTAAGAAATATATAAGAAATGTATGCATATCAATTATATCAATAATTTAAAAGTATGGCTTCTCATAGAAAAGGATATGAAGAGGAATTTTACAGAAAAGAAATAAAAGCTAATAACCATCTGAAGTTTAAGAAGAAATGTTTACCTAGATTAGTAACTAGAGATATACAAATTTTAAAACAATAGTGAGATATAAGGATATAAGAGCCTTTGTATACTGTATTGTAATATAGACTGATGTAGACATTCCAGAGAGCAATTAGTTGGTATAAAATCGTATTTAGGATACATAAACTTTTTGGAAAAGGAATACAGCTCAAAAGCTATACCCCGAGATGTCTTCACAATCACCCATAAAGACACATGTACAAAGGGATGCATTGCATTATTGTTGGGATAGAAAGAAGTTGGAGCAGTTAAAGTGACTGTCACTGAGGGGATAGAAAAGTCATCTGTGATTGGTGTACATTATGAAAACTATGCAGCAATATATATATATAAACACGATAGGTATTTAAAATATAATACAGAATAAAAAATTTAAGACCTAGTATAAGATGTGTAAGAAAAATAATTTCTATGAAAAAGTGAAACATATGTTTTGGAAGAACATGCACACAAATGTTTATGCATCAAATATTTTAATGTGTTTGGCAGTTAGTAGGAGGAAAGAAAAATCAGAGAGGGAGTGGCGATAAGAGAGGATATGAAAATAAAATGAAACAACTAAGGTGCTTTTGAACTAAAGAGTATGATTATCTCAACTCACTGCTTCTGGAGCCGAATTAATGAAAAATTAATAATAAATTTAAAATGATGGTTAAATAAAAGCAAAAAACAATTCTTTTGAAAATATTGAATTTCAAAGATAGATCAAGAATTCTGCAAAGATAACATTCCATTTCTTAAGCAGAGGTAGGTTTATTTTACAGTAAGTCCTTATACATGTTATAAATAATTATTTGCATGATTAAATGTTAAATAACAAATGAAGATAAAGTAGAAAAAAATCATCTGTATATCTTTATATATGAACATAGAAGAAAAGCTGTAGAAGAATATAAAACTGTTAAATAAGTGCTATGGACTGTATGATTGTGTCCCACGAAATTCATGTTGAAAGCCTACCCTGCAATGGAATTACTTTAGCACACGGGGCCTTTGGGAGGTAATTAGGTCATGGGCCTGGGGCTGGAGCCCTTATGATGTGATTTTTTTCATTTTAGCTTTTTTTTTTTCTTTGTGGGTGAGTGGTAATAATGCATTGTAGTTTGAGGTAATTATTTTCCTTGACAATTTGGGCTGCTAAAATAGAATACCAAAAATTGTGTGGCTTAAATAACAAACATTTAATTCTCACAGTTCTGAAGGTTTGAAGTCTAAGATCAAGATGTCAGAATGGTCTGGGTTTTGGTGAGTGCCTTCTTTTAGGTTCACAGATGGCTGCTCTCTTGTAATATCCTCATGTGGTGGGGAAAGAGTGAGAGAGAGAGAGAAAGAGAAAGGGGGAGAGAGAGAGATTGAAAGAAAGAAGACTCTTTTGGATCTCTTCTTAGAAAGGCACCAATTCCATCGTAAGAGATATTGGAATTTTAATACATATCATGTCTGTCGGTGAACATGTCTATAAATTTTTTAAGTATATACCTAGGAATAGAACTGACAGACTGCAACATGTGGATATTTTCAAATTTGGTAGATTCCGCTACAGAGTTCTTTAAAGTAATTGTACCAATGTTCGTTTTCATTAGCAATATACAAAATTTCTGGTTTCTCCAAATCTTTCTCAATGCCCACGATTTCACATAAGTACAACCGTTGATACCTGCAGATATAAAAATTTAGCCTCCCTTCACATAGCTCACAAAATTTAATTCAAATATTATTATTAAGAATATACACATACCTTTTTGTGTGATGCTACACTATCTGTATACAATGCTTTCATTAATACAAAATATAAACAATATTATATCCCATTTATATTTCTGACTATGTGTATTTAAATTTTGCAAAAAACTTCTTGTTTTTTTATTCAAAAAAAAGATAAGCAAAACTATTTTAGCTGTTAGTAGTCAAGTTAACGGTTACTCAAGCTAATGGAAGGGGGCATGCAGGAACTTCTGGAATGCTACTACTCTTGTAGTGTTTCTTAATCTGCATGTTACTTACATGGTTGTATTTACATTTAAAATAGTAATTCATCCTAGACATACGATTTCCACATTTTCTCTAACTGTGTTGTAAGCAATAAATATTTATATTTAAAAAGGGGAAAAACTAGCTTAAGGAGGGGGTATATAAATACTACTGATATTTTCTTTTCTATATCTCGGTGTTACCTGACTTGGTAAAACAGTATATCTTATTTTGTGATTTTAACAATGTAAATGAAATTAAATTAAAATTGGTTACAAAGTAAAAAGTACCCTATAGGTATTCAGAGAAAGTCACAGAAAGGAGAAAAATCTGAATGACTCTTGCACGTAATCACAGACTAAAAATGAGTGCAATAATATTTATAAAGTCCTTAGAAAAAAGAAGTGTGACTCAATACTTTTTATATTTAGTCAAGTTGACATTTTAGTATAAAAGAAATAAATTTATGAATGTGCAGGAAATCAAGGAATAGAGTCCAACAACAGCTTATCCTAAAAATTTGATGATGAAATACAGGGAGAAAAAAGATGAATCAAAATTAAGATCTCAATAACAGAAGAGCCACATTTGGAAAGATTCGCGGCAAAAAATAAATCCACTTAGAAACAAAACTAAGATTTGAAGAAAATTGAAAAATTAAGTATGAAATTGAATGTAAGGTTGGAAACTCAGAATAAATGTTAAACCTAACAAAAATAGGAAACAATGAAATGAGAGTATTTGAGACTAACAGTAAGACTGTACTTCATAGTTTTGATACTAAATACACCCATGGAACCCTCTTAGGACAATTAAATGAGAGTTGTATTGATTTATATGATCTCTAATCAGAAGCTTTAAGAAACAGTGTACAATTTACCAGATTTCTTCCTTTCTCTTCGTGACTGATAGCGTTCAGATAGCCTAGATCTCAGACTGAGATCTCATATTGATCTCAGGGTGAGAAAAACATGTACTGTCAGTCCATGGGGGGCCCTTAAAAACAAGCAGCATGAGTGAGAAATAGAATAAACAAATATTAAAGAGTGTTCTATAAAAATATGTCTAAACCAAAATCTGTTTAAAATTATTTGTATTTTTGTATATTGTACATACAAACACAATATGTTGTATATTATACACACAAAATGCAATATTTTGTATATTATTATATTTTATGCATTTGTGTTTTTACATATAAAAACAAATAAAAACTCATTTTAAGCCACTGAGATTCTGAGTGTTTTTATTACTTCCACTTTAGTTAGTGGGATGCTTGGAGCTATCTAAAATGTTGCATGGCTCACTGCTGACTTCTGGAACCTGGCAGAACCAAATGAAAATTTCCTCTTTCTTATGAAAAATAATAGGCCCTCATATGTTCATATGTTCCCACATAGGAAGAAAATGTGAATTGACAAACACAGATCACTGAACACACAGAGAACCTTGTCTTCAAGAGTGGGAGTCAGAAAAAATGAGACCTAAAAATTTACAATGACACACACATTAGATAGTAAAATTATCAGGCACAGAATATAAAAGAAATATATAAATCTGAAGACATAGCCCCAAATATAAAACAGACAAAATCACATGAAAGAGAAACAGAGGCTATAAGCGAGGGTATCGTATACCTCTGAGTCCCAGAAAAAGAATATATAAAAGAAAAGAGAAAACATTTGAGGAGATCATGTCTGAGGATTTTTCAGAACAAATAAAAAATAGATAGGAAGCAATGAGTACAGAAGGGTTGTAAACAAGTAAACAGAAATGCATACCTAGGCATACATTAGTAAAAATGAGGAACACTAAAGACAAGAAGAAGATCCTAAAGGAAGCAGAGAAAAAAGAAAGCTCACCAACAAAACAAAGACTGCTACACTGTAAGAAGCCTTTTAAGCCAAGATGGAAGCTATGAGATAGTGAAATAGTCTCTTCACATTGTCAAGAGAAAATAAAAATCAGCTTCCAATGGAGTACTCAGGAAAACTCTCTTTGAAGAAAAATTTTGTATAAAAAAGCTAATAATTATTAAACACAGACTTTGTTAAAGAAGCTTTTAGCAGGGTGTGGCGGCTCATGCCTTTAATCTCAGCACTTTGGGAGGATGAAGAAGGAAGATCGCTTGAGGCCAGGAATTCAAGACTAGCCTGAGTAACATGATGAGATGCCGCATCTACAAAAAATAAGAAAAAATTAGCCAAGTGTGATGATGAATGCCTGAAGTTCCAGCTACTAGGGAGGCTGAGGCAAGAGGATCCCCTTGTATATCTGCAGAGAGCACCCTTTCTGCAGAAAGTAAAAACTGCCTTGCTGAGAGAATTAAGTTTATGTTCGAATGCTATTTCTTTGCAGCACTGGGGAACAAACAGTTCCAACACCCTGAACCCAAGAATTTGAGATTGTAGTCAGCCATTATCATGCCACTGCATGCCAGCCTGGGTGACAGAGCAAGAAACCCATATTAAAAAAAAAAGAAAGAGAAAAGAAAGAAAGAAGCTTCTAGAAGTTGTGCTTTCATAAATGACAACAGAGGGATAGTCAAAGAGACAATTTTGAGGTAAATTTAAGTAAATATTATTTCCTTAAAAATTAATAATCATAATTTTTAGTTAGTGGTGTTAAAAGAAAGGGCAGGATTAAGATACGAAGAAATAAGATCATGTAAATTGGGAAAGTCATAAACAGACAAGTATTATAATTTCTTATTGTTTGAAGGGTCATTGAAATATGGATTTATTTTATACAATTAAGTGCATTTTAAGATAATGATTTAAACAATTAAAATAAAAATGAAAAATGGAATAGGAACGATAAAAAAAAAGTCATTAAAGGAGAAAAGTAAAAAGTGTAAAAGAGGAAATAATTGTAAGATGACAGGAAAATGATTAAAACAATTGAAAATCACAATTGCACTAATTGGGCTAAACTCTGCAGTGAAAAGATAAAATTGTCAAATTAAACTAAAAAAATCCACTAGATTACAAAATGTTATTAAATTAAAGAGGATCAGTGCATAATGGTAAAATGTTCCCTTCTCAATCTGTAACAGTTTTACAATTTTATCTATCTAAGAACATAGGAGACAGGAGAGGGGAGAAAGAAGAAAGGAGGGGAGAGAGAGACAAAGAAAAAGAGGAGGGAGAAAAGAGAGTGAAATAATTCACACATCTACAAAGAGATATTGACAAATCTATCAACATTCTGTGTTATTTTATCATACCTCTCTTAGTGGTTAGTAGAATAAATAAATTTTTATAAAACAGAAACAATTTAGAGAATTTTATCAACACCATTACTAAACCTAAAGTAATAATATATATCAAATAGTGTACCATAACAATTCAAGAATATGCATTTTTATGCACATATAGAATATTTATGAAAAGTGATAGTGTGCCAAGTCATCAAGTTAGTTTTTAAAATTTTCAAATAGTTGCTAACACAGTAACTTCATGAGATGATGACACAATTAAGGAATAATAACAAAATATGACTAGAATAAAACTATACTTGTAAATACAAGAAAAAGCATACAACTCGTGAATCACAGGAAAAAGCACTAAGGAAATTAGGCAAAATTTGGAAAATGAGAATAACTTAAATACTATGTATCATAATAGAGTGTTAAATTAAAAGAACATATAGAGATAAATGGATAGCCTAAAATTCTTACATTAGAAAAAAATAGTGTTAAAATCAATGAGCTAAACAGCTATCTCATGGAATTAAAAATATAACAATGATATAAATCCAACAAGAGTGGAGGGAGGGAAATAATAAAGAAAAAAATAATAAAATTGAAAAACCTAGTTAACTAACGAATCCAAGAATTGATTTTTTTGAAATTACTAATAAAATAGGTAAACCTCAGATAAGATTAAGATTAAGGAGAACTAAAAAGAGAACAGACAGAATTAAATAATATTAAGATTAAAACAATGAGACAATTATGAACAAATTAATGCCAATATATTTGAAAATGCATATGAGATAGGCAAATTTCTAGAAAAATTAGAAGTTGAGAAAACTGATTAAAAGAGAAATAGAAAATCTGAAGAGTCATACAACTACTAAAGACATTCGGTCTTCAGGTAAGACTTAAAACCTGATTCCAAGCAATACCCTGAACACTCATTTCACAGTACAGGCAAAACATTGAATGTCTATGTGGACCATTACCAATATTCCATCAGGCAGAAGCCTACCTGTACAGGATGGATGTGGAAATGAGAATCACAAAAAAAGAGAATATGTCCTATCTTCTTGTTACAAATATTTAAGTTAGCTTAGGATGAATATAGAAGTGCATAATTTAATTAATAAAAAATGTTTCAAGGAATCTCAGGAGCAATACCAGGGACTAGGCATACTTACAGCCAAGGTCTGCAAAGTAAGTGCACTTGGAAAGACTTTGAATGACAAGAATGCTGATGTCAGCCAAAGACCTTGTTTCTCCCCAGATTGGCTCAAGCTGGGCCAGATCCTTGCTATACTACCAAAAAAAAAAAAAAAAAAAAAAAAAAAAAAAGAGAGAGAGAGAAGGAAATGAGCCTCCAAACCATTCATAATTTTCTCTCATCCCCTGGGGGCACTCATTAAGTGTAAGTAATTTAGCTCTGATTGACACAAACTCATAGTGGGTTTCACAGTATGTCTGGGAGTAGAGAGGGTTACACAGTATTTTCTGAGAATGGAGCATCAGTGAGAAACCACAAGCTGGATCCAGTGGAATGTAACATATCCAAATTTGTACAGGATTTATATCACAAGACATTGCCCAAAAGATTTGTAAAAGAGTATTTCAGGTTATTTTTACATATGTGTAATAGCAAAAGACAAAATTATTTATGAGTTCTCACCCTCCCATCCATCTCTCAGAGTTGGGTAGTTTACACCCAACCAATCAAAGTTTACATTCCCTCTTGGGACTGAGACAGACTGAATGTTCTTTCTCCAGGATGGTGAGTTTCACAGGGAAACAAGTCACCATATTATTTTCATAAGCAGTCCATGGGGGCAGAAGCGGGGGTGTGTAAAACCACTTGAGGCAAAGTCAATGTCCAAGTTCATGTCTGCTCAATTATCCTTACGTTGAACAATATAATCTTTCCTTTCACATATTGAAGTTTAAAAAAGCATCTAAAAAATTCTATATATCTTCAGAGGTCATGGTAGGCACAAAAAAAAAGAAAAGAGAGATGGCACATATATTTAACAATACTGTTATTAAAAGAAGGGAGGGATACTGTTCCTTCTCAAAATTTTATCATTCCCCACTCCAAGACTCATGCATTCCTAGTGGGCCAGGTGTTTCCTATGCTATCACACAACCACAGTCCTGAGTACGTATATTTTCAGGCTATTAGTGTTGGCCCAGAAGTCTGTGTAAAGGTAAATTTGTTAATATTGGGATGTCTAGGAACACCATTTGATGTGCAACTCATTCCGAAGAGCAATCAACGACATAAATTATTGGCAATCTATTATTATGTTGGAAGGCTGCTTCTTTGCACTGATTTTGTTTTCTCTGTATGCAGACTATTTTATAGACAGCCATGATATCTTTGTGTAAAGGTGGAATTGGTAGCCTGGCTAAGGTCTCAAGGACCAGTTCTAGCTTCTATTTGGGGGCTCTGCTAAGGAGTAACGACATTTTTTGAGGTGCGATAATCTAAATCTGTAAGAGAAATGGTAGGAGCATTTCTCTGTAGCAGGAGAAAGTCCTTGAGTATGAATCCTAGAGGCTGAGGAGTACTCATGGTCTTTTGCCATAGGTTTCAATCAACCCTGTGGCTAGAAACATTTGTAATGTCATGGAGTCTGAAGGAGATATGAGCTTCAGGCCTTGAGTTACTAATATTTGGCTTGATTTCAAAGCCATGAGCTGTAGATATTAAGCTGGTAGTCTGTTTGATTAGTCTAGAGGCTGTAGTACAATTTTTAATTGTGGTATGTGCTATCTGCAATATCCAAAACAATCAGTCAAGTGTTGAGGCTCCTTTTTTGTACTTAATGGCTGATGAATCAACAGCTCATCTTTACAATTTCTTTGAATTATGGTCCAAATAGTTCCCAACAAGGTACCTTGGATGATGCCTTGGATTTTGGCTATATTCAAAGTCAGCCTGTTTTTGTCAGTTGTGCTAGGATGGTATGCAATGTGATACATAGGCAGTTTTCTCAGTAGAAGCCATTATCAAAAATCATCATTGTAACAGAATCTGAACATGCATCAAGAGTTTATATTGTTCTAGAATTTATTGATGATTTGCCAATAAATTTGACAATATTGTCCTAGAATTTATTGATGATTTGTCAATAAACTCACTGATGATTTGTCATTAGCATATTAGCATGACTTGGTTTTCCTTTAGAGGGTTATTTTTAAAAAGCACTTGCAATGTTTAAGACAACATACCAGGGCCACATTTTGTCATTTCTATGTCAGTTTGAGAACATGACCCTTTCTTATCTAAGCCTCTGTAGTCTTCAGTGGCTTATACTGTCTTGTCAGGACTGTTAAACTTGGAAGTAACCTGGGATAGAGCCCCTACTTATATTAACTCTTCTGTGAGGAGACCAAACACTATTTCTTCTCCTGGTCTGAAACATTGCTTCAATTGTGCAAGCTAGGCAAGCATATTAGGTTTGGACCATTCTGTCATGCCTTCCTCTAGCTTTTTTAGATGCCAAAGACAAAGATCATGATGACTATAACCCAATAGAGATACCCATGCATTTGAGCAACTGAGACATTCATGTCAATAATATAAAGGACTTTCAGCTCTCATATGTCAAAATCTAAGAAGCAGGCACTCCTATTCTTACAACAAGGAAAAGATGGATAAATTAGAAATCAGTGACTTTTCTTGAGCCCAACAAAGAATTGATTTTGCAGGCAAACCACCACCCTGAAATCTGGAGAAGTAAATTCAGAGAGTCACAGCCCAGGTCTGCTTATTTCAAGCAAAAGTAGCTGAAGCCATAAACTAATAAGAATTAAATGATAATTTTGACAAATTTCTAGAGACTAAGTGTGGAATAGAATGAGAATGAGAAACTCCAGGGTCCACAGACTTAACAGGACCCCACACCCCCTAGTATACACACACTTTTGTATGCTTTACCTCCAGAAATAGCACCAGGTTCTCAAAATGAAGAACCAAGAAACACCTTCTTCTGGCATGAGGAATTGGAAGAGTAATCCTTGTGAAATATGCCAAGAACCTTTCCCATAACAAATCCCAACTCTCCAGGGAGAAAACTTAACAGAGCATTGTCCCAGAGCCATGGAGAAGGGTATTCTTATCACTCCAGCCTCTTCTACTCTTTCTGTCTCACCTTGGGAAGAATAATTAAAAACAAAACAAAACAAAAAAAATATGAGAAAAAACACTTGTGAAGATCACAGGCCAAATATACAGCCCCCCACCCCACAATTGGATTTAATTGAATGATTACAAAACACCCCCTCCCCTAACACCTTACCATCAAATCAACAGAGCTCTTGTTGATTACAGATGAAAGAACTGCAAGACACAGACTCTTGAGAAAAAAATACTTAGGAATGCCCAAAGTCAAGGAGGGAAAGTCAAGGACACTAGAGGAATATGAATTCTTTGATATCCATAGCTGCAGCAAGCATTAAATAAAATTCAGTTTCTAATCAGAACATAAATCTTCACAGTAGAACTCTATTTACCTCAGTTCCTATGATCTGATATAACATGTTTGGTGTTTGACAAAAAATTACAAGGTACACCAAAAGGAAACAAAAAAGACAGTTTGAAGAGAGAAAACAAATATCAGAACCACACTTACCACACTTATATGACACAAGTCTTGGACTTATCAGACAGAATATTTAAAAATAACTATAATTAATATGTTAAGGGTTCTAGTGGAAAAAATAGACAACATGCAAGAACAGATGGATAATGTAAGCAGAAATAGAAATTTTGAGAAAGAATATAAAAGAAGTGCTAGAAACCAAAAACACTGTAACAGAAACGGAGATTACTTTAGGTAAGCTCATCAGTAGACCGGAATAGGCTAAGGAAAGCATCACTGAGCCTGTAGAGAGGTCAATAGAAACTTTCCAAACTTAAATTTAAGGAGAAAAATATAAAGTAAAGAAAAACAAAAAAAGCTCAGTCAGGAACCTTTAAGAACTCTGGAAAAAATTCAACTGGAGTGACTATGTATAATTTGAATATTAGAAGAAGAAAAAACAGAGAAGGGAGCAGAAGAAAATTTGAATTACTAACAGCCAAGAACATTGAAAAATTAACGACAGACCCAAACCACAGTTCCAGGAAGATTAGACAACACCAACCAGAATAAATACTGAAAAAGTACTCCTAATATTTTATTCAAATTTAAGAAAACCAAAGACAAAACAAGAAGAAAATCTTAAAGAATCCAGAAGAAAAAAACACCTTACCCATTAGAGAATCAAGGATAAGAAGTACAGCAGAAATTACAAAAGCAAGAACAGAGTGGAGTAAAATACCACAAGTATTGAAAGAATGATCTATCAACATAGAATTCTATATCCAGAAAAATTATCCTACAAAAATGAAGGAGAAATTAAAAAACGAAGGAATTCATCACCAGTAGACCTGCATGAAATGTTAAAAGATTTATTTCAGGCAGAAGGAAGATGATCTAGGTCAGAAACTTGGACCTACATAAAGAAAATAATGTTGGAGAAGAAAAAAATGAAGGTAAAGGAAAATATTCTATTTCTCTTATTTGTAATTGATCAACTCTATAAGCTGGCAGTACCATATGTTACTATAGTGGTGAATATGGGACATTACGCTTTCAGCAAAAATTTATAAAACTTCATAGCACAAAGAGTAAATATTGATGTATCCAAATTTAAAAATAAGCAAGTAGGAAGATGATGGATCTCTGGGTGGAATTCAGATTATAAAAATTAACTCTATTAAATGTATGTTATCACCTCACTTAAAGAAGAGGGGAAAAGTTGCTTATCTAAGTAACTTTGATGATTATTGGAAACTGTAAGTCTGAAGGCAAAAGGAACAGTACGTAAGTACTATTCTAGCTGGCAAAGTTATGTCTCATGTGGGTGTGGATGAATAATTCTCAAAATTCTATACATGTGTACTGTGATTAAACAAAAGTAAATAGATGTTACATGGTAGGAGCCAGCTTCTCACTGTTGGAAGGGGAGGTTACATCAAACAGGAGGAAATCTAGAATAAACCCTGTAGCACTGGGTTAGAGTCAGAGACACTAGTCTGAACTCATGCTAGCTTAATATATGGATAGGTACAAATGGAAATTATTATAAATATGTGCATGCATAGATTAGTATACATAGGTACATTTCCTAGCTCTATTATTTGCTGAGAGGACCTATGAGAAATAACACCTCAGTACCGACAAAGCAACAAACCCACTCAGCACCCAGATCTTCGTTTCTAGAACTATCCTCCAATAGACGGAAACAAGCAGAAAGGGCTTGTTACTTGCAGAAAGGGCTGATTCTAGGACTGAGGCAGGGAATATACAAGATGAAACTAGATTATCCTGTAGTGTCAGAAATAAGGAAGCACTGAAAAAAATAAAATGATGGGGTCATGTCAAAAGCATACAAGAGTCAATCTGAAAGGTCTCCCAATGGCCTAATCTGGAATAATTTGAAAGACAAAATAAATAATATAGTTTTGGATCATAACCCAAAATGTAAACTAAACATCCATGAGTCCATATTTATATACATAAATGATTGAATGCATAAATTAATGGGAGGGAAGAAACAAGTTTCCAGCACTAAAGAATTACAAAGAATATATGTAGTATTCCCCTTTCAAAGGAGTGAAGCTTAATGTCCTACCCCTTGAATATAAGGTGTGCTTAGTAATGCTCTTCCAAATAAACACGGTATGGAAATAGGGAAATAAGTTAAATAAACACTGTATAAACCTGACAAACACTACTCCAGCCAAGTGATTCAGGTTAACATAATCAGTGATGTATGTTGGTATCATGTACCCTTGATGGGATGTAATGAAAATGACACTTCATGTGAGTGATCTTCCTCCAAAAACCCATAACCCTTATTTAATCATGAGGAAAACTTCAGACCAACTCCAACTGAGAGATGTTATTTCAAATACCTAACCAGTTCTCCTCAAATTTTTCAAGGAAACAAGGTAAGTGTAAGAAACTGTCAGTCTAGATGAGCCACAGGAGACATGATGACTAAATAGGTGATATCCCCAATGGGATCGTGGCACAGAACGAAGATTTTGGTAAAAATAAGGAAATAATTGTAAACCATGAATTTTAATGAATTATAATGTGGCAATATTGCTTCATTTGTTGTGACAAATGTACCATAGTAATATAAGATATTAATGATAGGGGAAGTTCTATATGAGGTATTCAGGATTCTCTGTATTCTATTTTCAACAGTTCTATAAATTGAAAACTATACTAAAATAAAAAGTTTATTAAAAGGTTAACACAAACAGAAATTAAAATATGAATATTTTATATCTATTAAAGAAATACACTTCATGATTAAAACCTTCCCACCAAGAGAAAAAATAGCAGAGCAGAAATTCACAAAGCTGGCCTGTCGAACACTTACTAATTTTATCAAAATCCAGTTTGAGTGTCTTCTCTAGCTTGACGGCTTTCTCCTTCCATTACCTGTATTTCTTTTGTACTCAGTTCTGCACTTATTGGCATATTTATATGTGCCTCTTTGTTCTACTTTAAGTTCTCTAAGTCGATGATTATACTTAACTTTTCTCCACACAATCAATGCCCACCAAACATAAATATATGTGGTTGCCAATATGTGCTGACTACCCTAACCCCCACTAATTATGAATGTGACTTATTTGGAAATAGAGTCTTTGCAGATATAATCAAGTTAACATCAGGTCATACTGATTTGGTGATTTTATGAGAAAGAAGAGGGAGATTTACACACAGAAGCAGAGAGACACGCAATGAAAAAGTCTATGTGATGATGAATGCAGATATTAGAGTGATGCAACTGAAAGCCGAGGAATTACAAGAATTGACAGCAATCACCTTATGCTAGAAGGATTCTTCTCTGGCATCTCTGGAGGTAGCGTGGCCCTGCTGACACCTTGACTTAATATTTCTAACCTCCAGAAAGTGATAAAATGTATTTTTAACCACCCAGTTAGTGGTAATTTGTGATAGCAGCCCTGGGAAACTAATACGTTGAAAAGGACTATGGCCGGGCACAGTGGCTCACGCTTGTAATCCCACCACTTTGGGATGCCGAGGTGGGTGGATCACCTGAGATCGGGAGTTCGAGACCAGCCTAACCAACATGGAGAAACCCTGTCTCTATCAAAAATACAAAATTAGCTGGGCGTGGTGGTGCATGCCTGTAATCCTAGCTACTCGGGAGGCTGAGGCAGGAGAATCACTTGAACCCGGGAGGCAGAGGTTGTAATGAGCCAAGATCATGCCACCTCACTCCAACCTGGGCAACAAGAGCGAAACCGTGTAAAAAAAAAAAAAAAAAAAAAAAAAGAAAGAAAGAAAGAAAGAAAGAAAATAAAAAGAAAAGAAAAGGACTAAATGATTAAGGAGCTGACCAGGGGATGTGTCAAGATAATAGTTTTAGAAAAACAGTGAGAGACAAATCAAATAGCAAATAGCTAGGAAGTATGTGAGTAATTAATAAATTAATATCATAGTCATAAACCATTCTTCCAAAAATGTCTGAAGTGATCAAAACAAGAATATATTATGCTTTTTCACTTACATTAACAGTAACGTAAAAGTTTTATATTAAGCAATTTTGCAAGGCTGTGGAAAAATACCTGCCTTTATGTGCAATTGGGAGTTTGGGAATTAGGATAACATTCTTGGACAACAATTTGTAATGTCTTGAAACATAAAAATTCATAGCATCTGTGGCTTTGCAAATGTATTCTCATTTTAGAAATTCCCTTCCTAAGCGTATTTTAGCCAATATTACATACATCCATTTTCACAGTTACATTCAAATGAAAGTAAGAGGTACTTTTTCTCTTTCTTTTATTTCCCTGCTGTGTAATCTAACTCAGCTTTTCTTTGCAGCCAGTTCTATGTGCAAAGAATCAGGATACCATTTCATTCCATGTTATGAAGGTCAATATGTAGTTCAATCTTAAAATAACACAAAGGCCAGAGAAATGCTTCTATCTGGCTCCAACTAGCCCTGAAGCCCATATTGTGTTGGCTATTAGTTAGATACTGGTAGTACGGGGTTTACAACAACTAGTCACTACCATTATTCCCTTAAGAATAGGTTTCAACTGACTTTGAACATTGTTTTTCAAATCATTTTATTGATGTATGATTAACACATAAAACTGTACATATTTAATGTATACAACTCATTTTTAAGAACAAAGAAGGCATCTATTACAAATCTCACTGTAGAAGTGGAAATTACTTCAGTGGAAATTTTTCACACTATTAATGACCTTTTAAATTTAAATAGTTTAATCATTTTAAGATGCCATTATAAAAATAGTCACCCTCAGCTGGGCACAGTGGCTTATGCCTGTAATCCCAGCACTTTGGGAGGCCGAGGTGGGTGGATCACTTGAGGTCAGAAGTTTGAGACTAGCCTGGTCAACATGGTGAAACCCCGTCTCTACTGAAAATACAAAAGTTAGCAGGGCTGTGGTGGCGCATGCCTGTAATTCCAGCTACTCGGGAGGCTGAGACGAGAGAATTGTTTGAGCCCAGGAGGCAGAGGTTCCAGGGAGCTGAGATCACACCACTACACTCCAGCCTGGGTGACAGAGGGAGGCTCCATCTTAAACAACAACAACAAAAAGTCATCCTTACCATTGTGTTCTACAAAAGTGATCATTACAATTAGCCTGACCTTGGACAACTGCTGAAACAGGACTAAGGATTACAAATAAGACACCTAGAATTGCATATTTTATTTAGCAGTTTAACCATTTTTGTATATAATACCCTGGCACTGAAACCATGGAGAAGTGAAAATTTTTATCTGTGAGTAATTTTTAAAGAAGGTTTTCATATGTAATCAAAAGGAATCTTCATCACCTTGGCATTCAAATTTATTTCTAATAATTCACCTGACAGAGAAAAATAAACACTTGTATACCATTAAGAAATCTCCCAGGGAATTAATAGTTTACTTCATCTTTTTTGGTTTATTGATTACTTTTAAAAAATGCATGCTTTTATGTGCTATTGAGAATTTGGGATTACCTTAAAGATTACTTTAAAATCACTTTTGAGGAATACTTTGTGAGTGGAACTTTATTCCCTGGGAATATCTAATGGAAAAAAGTTTCTCTTTTACAATCAAATGCTGTTTTGTTAATTTAGTGATGACATTAAATACGAATATTATTAGTAATGTAATGTTTAATGATTAATAAATAGGATTTCTTATTAGAATTAAAACTTAACAATGGAACTAGCAGTAATTATGTTGTTTTCTGATATATCAATAAAATATTTTATCAAATCTACTAAAAGTTGGTCATGTACCCAGATTAATTTTTACATTTTTTTTTTTGCTGTTGATTTAAAAATTAATTAGGGTTAAGGAATAGATTTTTTCTGGGGGGGGAATAGAGATAGCATAATAACTATCAAAATGTAAACATATATGAATTCTCAGGCATCATTTTGAATTTGAATTTCATTTAAATGATATGTATAAGCTAATCTAATTAGTTATATTAACTGGGTTATAAATTATTTACTTACAACTAATAAATGACAATTAACCATCTACTTTCAGTCATTTACTAATTATACATCATAGGTAAGACTGGTTTTATTTTTCCCAAGAAATGATTACTTCTATCTGATATGTAGCAGTACATAATTTGTTAGATATCTTGGAAAATTAACTTACAGAAAGCAAATACACTCTACTTAAGTATGATCATTACACAACGTATTAAATTATGTCTCTATGAATCTTCATTAGAGACTGGAGAATATCAGCTCTAAGAGTTCCCTCTGTCCAAAACCAAAATTGATAACAAAGCTTTGGAATAAAATACACTTGGAGTCAAAAAGGCAGCGAGACTATTGTGTACATGCTCAATTGAGGAACCAGACAGCCAGGGATCAAATCTCAAGTTCACTACTAACTTAAGCAAGTCATTTTAACCTCTCTGGAATTCAGATTCCCTAGGCAGAAAACGGCAATGATAAAAGTATATTATAAAGTTTTTGAGTGAATTAAATTAGATAATGCATTTAATACAGCACCTGACACATATAAATTAATCATTACATAGCAATTAAAATTGAGTCAGTAGAGCTTGGAAAGTTGATGCAGTGCCAGTGCTGGGCCAAAAAAGTGACTTTGCTCACAGATTTCTAATATGCCATTTAAAAGACAGAAATTTGCAGTTGTGTTGTGTGTTGTACCCTGGGATAAATGCCTGGGAACCTGGGAAAGAGAACATTAAAAGAGGCAGCTGGTATAGTGAAGGGAGGAAAATCAATTTTCTCTGAAGATTTTAAAAGATTTTGCATGCGATTTTAGATGACTGAGGAAGTTGCCAAGGATATGGTATTTTTTTTTCCTTTACCTTCAGATGGTTAAATTATTTGAAGAGCTTGCAATCTAGCTTTAATAATGCACCTAATAAAATAATTGCAATAAATATAAATGTAGGATCATGTGTGTTTTCACTTCCTTACAACTAAAATTAAACAAAATCTAAAGTCATCATTCTTCACTTTTGTCCAAATTATTGAATTGTGCTAGCAGTGTCCTTTTAGAAAGAAGTAAAGCTACTAAGTGGGAAAGGAAACTTTGAATGTTAGGGCTTCTTCATGCAATGAAAAAATGTTCTAAAATAAATCATAAAGGTGACCTTTATCTTAGGCAATGCATATAAGCACATAAGGGTATTGGGGCATTATTTTTTTCCTGCAATTAAAAGGGAAATATAACAAGGACACTTTTCAGGATTTTAAAACTCTTTTTTGGGAGAGAAAGGAGACCAGTATATGTCTGAGTCAGTAAGGGGAGGAAAATTTGATTTCAAATCAGGAAAAGTGAAAGAAAATGACAAGCTGATCATGATTTGAATTAATTAGAGAAAGGACAATGGACTCTGCACAATTCTCTTCTTTTTTGTAACTTTAATTTGTGTTGTGCTTTAATTTGTACTAGCTATACTTTCAAAGTGCTGGTGGTTGTGTGAGGGTACAGACAGAAAAGCCCAAACCATGACAACTGAAAAAATAAAAACACAGACTGAGTAATTGATGACTGAATCTTCACATGTGAATTATAACACTTATATTTGTGATTATTAAAAATAAATTGGCCGGGTGCAGTGGCTCATGCCTGTAATCCCAGCAATTTGGGAGGCTGAGGCAGGTGGATTGCTTGAGCTCAGGAGTTTGAGACCAGCTTGGGCAACACAGTGAAACCCCGTCTCTACCAAAAAATACAAAAAAATCAGCCGGAAGTGGTGGTGTGCGCCTGTGATCCCAGCTACTGGGGAGGCAGAGGCAGGAGAATCACTGGAAACTGGGAGGCAGAGGTTGCAGTGAGCCAAGATAGCACCACTGCACTCCAGCCTGGGTGACAGAGCGAGACTCTGTCTTAAAAAAAAAAAATTAAATTGGTTTACCAATCAGATGTAACTAGTAGTTTTATTATTAATAATTCATGATGTTTAATATCCTGCTCTTTTGAATATATATCAAGATCACCATATGGAAAATACTCATTTCCTTTCCATCCTTTTTCTGAGCATAATGGGCACCTGATTTGGACTACCATATCACTTAGCACTATCTTATGAAAATTTCTATGATGATGAAAATGCTCTGTAATAGCCATTACCTATATGTGGCTATTGAGTATTTGAAATGTGACTAGTGAGACTGATGAAGTGATTTAAAATGTTTAATTGATTTAAATGTTTAAGATGTTTTATGTATTCCTCATGGTAACTAACCACAAGGCAGAAACCTATAGTTGATGCAAAAGAACAAAAAAGAAAGGATTAAAAGAATACCACCAGAGAAAATTATCAAACCACAAATAAAGACAGCAAGAGAGGAAGGCAGAAATAGAAAGCCAGAAAACAAATTACAAAGTAGCAGTAGCAAGTCCCTACTTATCAATAATTACCTTAAATGTAAATGAATTAACTTCTGTAATTCAAAGATCAAGAGTGGCAGGATGAATATTTTTTAAAAACAATAACAAGATCCAAGTATACTATGTTAACAAGAAACTCAATTCACCTTTAGAGACACACAGAGACTGCTGGGATAGAAAAGGATACTCCACGCAAAATGAAAATCAGAAGAGAGCAGAGGTAGCTTCACTTGTATCAGACAAAATAGACTTTAAGTAGTAAAGTGTAAAAAGAAACAAAGAAGGTCACTGTGTAATGATAAAGTGGTCAATTCATCAAGATAATATAACAATTGTAAATATATATGCACTCAACATCAGAGCACCTAAATATATAAAGCAGTTATTAACTCTTTTCCCATTTAGGAAAAAAAAGTAAAGCTTGCTGCCAACATTCACTTGATTTTACATAAACAAAGTCTTTGAGGTTGAAGCAAATATGACTGATTTTCAATGTGAAAATAAAATATGAAAGTTTCTTGGAGTTATTTCTAAACAGAATGGACATCAGAATCATCTATTTGAGAACAATCAGATTCATCAAATGAATCTTCAGCCAACATCTGTTCGAGAACTATGTTAACGTAACATGTAGGAATGCTACGTTTTCTAGGATTTGACATTTTCAGTGATCAAGGATTACCATATTTTGTAAACGAAAATATCACTACTAAAAACAGAATGCTATAAATAGAATGACGTCTTTTGTTTCCAAAGTTGATATACTAGAGCAATGTAAAAATAATAGTAACACCAAGATATTTCAATGAAAAGTCATCTTGGGGTAAATGCTGCAGTCACAAATGCCACCAGCTAGTATTCTTGGGTCAAACAGGAGAATGGCTAAGCAATCTGAAGGGAAAGATAGAATGAAACATAAACATAGCAAAGGACTTCAAAACCCCATTTTCAACAATGAACAAATCATCTAGACAGAAAATCAATAAAAAATAAAATGGACTTGAATTACACTTTAGACCAAATAGACCCAACAGATATATACCAAAGATTCTAACCAACAGCAACAGAATGCACATTCTTTTCAAACACGTAAGGAACATCCTCCAGGATAGATCGTACGTTAGGCCATGAAATAAGTTAGGGTTTAAGGGAATTGAAATCATAACAATCTTTTCCAATCACAGTAACATGAAACTAGAAATCAATAACAAGAGAAATCATGAAAAATTTACAAATATGTGGGAATTAATCACCATGCTCTTCAACAATGTGTCAGAGAAGAAATCAAAATGAAAATAAAAAATACAGGATAAAAATGAAAAAACTACATTGCAAAACTCACGGGATGCAGCGAAAAAAGTTATAAGTGGAAAGTTCTTCATAGAAAATATATAACAACAAATGTCTATATTAAAAAAAGATCTCAAATGAACTATGTAAAATTCAAGGAACTGAGAGAAGAACAAAGTTCAAACCTAGCAAAAGGAAGGAAATAACAAAGAACAGAGCAGAAAAATAAAATAGTCAGAAAAAATCAATGAAAAAGTTGATTTTTTGAAAAGATAATAATATTTAGCTACATTTAAAAAGGAGAATGAAATAAATAAAATCATAAATGAAAGAGGAGACCTAACAATTGATACCACAGAAATAAAAAGTTGTGAGACAACTATGAAGAATCATACACCAATAATTTGGTTAACCTAGAAGAAATGTATAAATTTCTACATGCATACACATACAACATATCAAGACACATCCACATGCAACCTAGACATATACAATCTACCAAGCCTGAATCATTAAATAATAGAAATCTGAATAGATCAATAACAAATAAAATGATTGAATCAAAAAAAGTTTCCTGTCAAAGAAAAGCCAAAAGCTGTATGGTTTTACAGCTAAATTCTACCAAACTTTTAAGAAGAACTAATATCGATCTTTCTTAAACTTTTTAAAAGAATTGAAGTGGAAGAAGTACTTCTAACATCATTCTATGAAGTCAATATTATTTTGATACCAAAACCAGCCAAAGACACTACAAGAAATGAAAATTACAGGCCAGTATCTCTCATCACATAGGCACGAAAACCCTCAACAATATATTAGCAAACTGAATTCAACAACACATTGAAAGAATCATCCACCATGATCAAGTGGGATTTATCTCTGGGATGCAAGGATGTTGCAACATATGCAAATCAGTACGTCTGATATACCAATATAACAGAATGAAGGACAAAAACCAGATGATCATCTCAATAAATACAGAAAAACTATCTGACAAAATTCAATATCTTTTCATGATAAAAATTCCAACCGACTAAGTATAGAAGAAATGTACCTCAACACAATAAGCACCATATATGACAAGCCCAGAGTAATTCATATGGAAACACAAAAGTTCCCAAATAATCAAAACAATTTTGAATAGAAAAAATAAAGGTGGAGGCATCATACTCCTTGATTTCAAAATTTATTATAAAACTATTGTAATCAAAACAACATGGTGCTGGCATAGAAACAAACATATTTATCAACGAAACAAGATAGAAAGCCCAGAAATAAACCCATGCATTTACGGCCAATTGATTTTCAATAAAGGTGCCAAGAACACACAATGAAGAAAGGACAGACTCATCAACAAATTGTATTGGGAAAATTGGGTATCTGTATGCAGAAGGATTAAATTGGATCTTTATCTTACACTAGATACAAAAATCAACTCAAAATGGATTAAAGACAAAAAACTGTAAAATTACTAGAAGAAATGAGTTAAAATCTCCACAATATTGCAATTTATTTTTATTTTTATTTTTTTAGTGTCTCTGAAAGCACAGGCAACAAAAGTGAAAATAGACAAATGGGATTTCATCAAACTAAAGAGCTTCTGTACAGCTATGGAAACAAATAACAGAATGAAGAGAAAGCCTATGGAATGGGAGAAAACATTTGTAAACCATACACTTGATAAGGAGTTAATGTCCAAAATATATAAGGAACTCTAAACAACTCAATAGCAAGAAAACAAATAACATAATTTAAAAATGGGCAAAGGAACTGATCAGACATTTCTCAAAAGAAAACATACAAATAACTAGCAGGTTCATGAAAAAAATACTCAACATCAATAACTATTAGGGAAATGCAAATTAAAACCACAATGAAATATCATAGAAACACAAAATATAATAGGTATAGTCATTGTGTGATAAAGTCTTTGTTACCTTGAATTTCTACGTTTTTGTTGAATACTTTTTTGACTTTTCCTTCATATGACACCATTTTATAATATTTTCAGTGTACATAAAATAGAAAAAATAATTCAGTCTTTCTTTTAGTATGTTTGATTTAAATTTGTTTCTTGTTATGTGGAAATATTTGAAGTCATTTCAAGTTCACCACTTATGTCTAAACATTTTTAAGATTGTCATCAAATTTCGGAAAAAATCCTGTCAGATTTCCCTGACATAATAAGCTCCAAGGTTTCAGGACATTAAAAGAGTTCTAATGATATAATTAATATTAAATGTTCTTTAAATTGAAACATTGAAAACTAGTTTGACCTCAATGTCTTCATTTCAAAGGTGCGTTGTAAATTTTATGGTATTGTTATTGATGCCAATATATTGTGAATGACTTGAGCAAGTTTTCATTTTTACTAGGAGAAGAATCAATGAGAATGGAATCATCCACTTAAAATTTTACACAGCTGATCATAGTCTTTATACTTTTTAATCTTGTTTCTCCTTCACTACACATAGACTTCTGGTGTCGGGCATATTCATATGTGCTGTCTTCAGACACTGAAGTTTTGTGTTATGATGCAAATTGATTTGGCACAGGGGTGGTAGGAGTATTCCTGGAAGCCATTCTTACACTTGGAGGACCATCAGTTATCAAATTATATTTAATTGAGACTGTAAAATATACCACATAAATCTCAAACTAATAGCATTCTATGTGTAACTTTTTCTTGCATCCTTCAAATGCCTGAAACTGTAATGTCAACTGAATCAGTGGAAATGCAATGAAGGGGAAATCAGCATAGAATAAGAGAGACAGCCGTTCATTCTCTTGCAATTAAGAGATTAATTCTCTTCAATTTTTTACAAAAATAGATGACCATGCAGAAACGTTATTAAGGGCCAGCTCAGGTCCTTGATGGTGTCTGTTCAAATTAGGAGCCCTGAAGCTTAGACTTCATTAGCTTCATAGAAAAATCAAGCTCTGTTATAAATATTAGTTTTTACCCTTTTTCTTTACATTGAGATGCTGTGTAATAGTTGTATTATGAATTCATTCAGTAATTTATTTAATTTGTCATTTCTCTGAGTCCTTTTTCCTCCATCTATTTTAATACAACCGCCAAAGCACCATTACTTAAATAATGCATGACTTACATTTCTTCCTCAATTAGATCTATCAAAGATTCTTTATTGCCTGTAAAATAATTTGCAAGTTTTTGATCTGGAATTCAAACCATTCCTCATTTAAAGCTCCTTTTACTTCTTCCACAATTTCCTTGTGCAAAACCACTGCTCCAATGTGAGTCTTCTCATTAATTCTAGATTAGTCCCCACACTTTCCTATTCTTCACAGTCTCAGTGGTACTCTTCCCTTAAACTACAGTGTAATATCCAAGTGTTCTTAAAATCATCCCTGATCAAAACCAGTGTTCAGTAATTTCTCTTTCTTGTAAACTTCCTTCGAAAATTTTAATCATAACAGTCATTTGTTACTTAGCATAGATATTAACTATTTCTAATTTTTTAAATATGGATTTTTCTCTAATACAAATTTATATCCTTACTCTTCTAAATTTTTAATGTCCAAATATACATAGTATGTATTTGCTGAGAATGTGCCAACATGAATATTGAAAATAAATTGGATCCATTTCACGTTTAATCTTAGTATTAATAGTTAACTATTTACTATCTGGTCTTTCTAATGGTAATCTAATACTACATAATAATTTTATGAGTTTAAGGCATAATATGTTGCTAATTTTCTTATGTTCTGAATTTCTTTATAATAGACTTTTGTAGTTTTGAAAAGTATTGATGAAAAAAGGGAAACAAAAACACTCAATTGACGTTAGCCATCAGTCTTTGAAAAAAGGTAGGATAAAGAAAAAATAGTAAAAATAATACATCTGAAAGATATTTGTTGAAATTAATTCAAGAGGATTATTTCTACTTGGATAGTAGAGTGGCATTTTACATTCAACAATTGCAAATTAGGTGAAGATTTGTATAGCAAAATCATTCCTGTATGTACTTTAAATTATCCACAAACATATATATGTGTGTGTGTACCTTCAATACTTTTACAGTATATGCATAATTGTAAAATAAATAAATGTGAAGCATACACTAGAGTACATATGTGAATATTTTACTATATTTTTAAACACATATTTTAAACACAGACCACTGGATTTGATACCTGGCTCCAGCAATGTCTTGTGACCTTAAGGGAGTTGCTAAAATGTTCTGTGGTTCAGTTCAGTCATCTATACCTTTGAAAGAGTAATAGTCTCCCATTTCATTGTGTTGCATTAAGTATTGAATAAATGTGCTTAGATCTGTGCCTGGTATATAATTAACACTCAATAATATTAATCTTAGTAAGTTTCTGGAATACTCTCCAAGTGATAATATTGCTATTAGAATAGAAACCACTATTGGAAATTTAAGCCCCAGGTAAAATGTTTGGATTCATACTCAAACAGATAAAACTAAGGAAGGAATAAAGAAGAAGTTTAAATGATCTAGTATGTCAACATATGTGTTATCAGTTAAATCAAATTAAACTTCAGAATGATAGTTCAGAATTCGAATTTGCTTGATTATTCATATATCCATGCTATTTTATTTCTTATTTTTCTCAGAACAAATGACTAAGTCTAACTCTTATTCCTTATATTTTTATTACAAAAATAAAAATAAAAATAAAATAAAATGTAAAATTCACATTGGAAGCAAAATTAGAGTTAGGGTGGGCCATTTAATATGAGAAAATGACCAATGCAAAAGAAGGATATCACAATTCTAAATACGTATGCAAGCATCATCATAGCCCTAAAATATATAAAGATTCACAGCATTAAACAGGGAAATACACAAATCCACATTTATAATGGGAGATGTAATACACCCTTTCAATATCTGATGGAATAATCAGACAAAAACATAATAAAAATACAAAAGATTTTAACAAATTACAAACTTGACCTACTGACATAGGTAGAATTTTGACTATAATGGGCCATAAAGAAAGACTCATCAAATTTTAAAACAGTATAATTATTTAGAATATGAAATTAAAAAAGAAATCAATTTAAAAGATAACTAGAAAGCCAAAGTTCCCAGAAATTTACACTTTAGAAAAGTTTTAAAAATAAACTATTACAGTAAGAAGAGCTTGGTGATATAGACCCACACATATCCAGCACCTGACTTATGACAAAGGTGAAAGCATGTCAGTACAGAGGAAAGAATGATACTTTCGTTGAATAATGCTATAACAATTGGATATCTCTATTTTAAAAATGCATCTGGAGCTTTTTATTATGCTATACACAAAAGACAATTACAGTTGTTCTAAAGGTCTTAAATGTGAAAGATAAAATAATTCTTTTAGAAGAAAAGCATTGTGTTCTAGGACTAGGCAAGCTTTCATTAAATAGGACACATAATGCACTAGTCATAGAAAAAAATTGAAAATTTGCTCTATTTTAAAATTAAGGAATTCTTTTTATTATTATAAAAGACATGTAATACTGAATAGAAAGAAAACCCACAGACTGGAAGAAGGTATTTATAATACATATTAATAAGATTATTTTCATATCTAGAATATATAAGTAATTATATATAAACAGTTCCTACACTCCAATAAGTCAAAGACAAACAACTCAATAAGAAAAAAATATGCAAAGGATTTGAATAGAACCTTTACCAAAGAGGGTATCTAAATGACCAGTTACCACAGGAAAGTTTCTCAACTTCATGTTAAGGGCAGGAGACAGGGAAATACTGGGTAGAAGAGGGTGGTCCCCAAGCAAAGGCCCCACCCTCAAGCCTGAAGACCTGTGGCCCTAAATGAGGACAGGCATTTCAGGTTTCACACCCAAAAAGTTGCCTTTTGGCCCGCCATGCCCCGCTGTCGTACCCCCATATAAATCCCAAACTCCAAGCTCCAGAAGAGACCTACAAGTGAGGAGACGGAGAGGCAAGCCGACAAACAGGCCTGCGATGGCAGAATGACACAGCAGAGAAAGAGAGGAGGGACATCTGGACTCCGAGGGGAGTTTGGCCAGG
This sequence comes from Homo sapiens, assembly GCF_000001405.40. Lineage (NCBI taxonomy): Eukaryota > Metazoa > Chordata > Mammalia > Primates > Hominidae > Homo > Homo sapiens. Next base: position 499,866 of record NW_025791754.1, read on the forward strand.
GACGGGTGGAGAAGAGTCTGGCCACTGGGAGGCCTGACACTGGGCGAAGGTCACCTTCCCACTCCATCTTGCTGACAGCCACCTCCACCACTCAATAAAAAGTTGCCCTCATCCCTCGAGCCCCCGTGTGATCCGATTCTTTTGGGACACTGGGCAACAGCTGGGGATACAGAGGGCTATTTCACTGTCCCACTACCCATGAGATAAGGAAGAGGGTTTGTTGAGCTGATTAACACATAAACCATTTGCAGATGGCAAAGCTAAAGGAGCACACTGTAACATACGCCCACTTGGGCTTCGGAAATCGCAGACACCCACCCCTAGATGCTGCTGTGAGGCCAGAGCCCGAAAGCGCTCACTCCGGTTCCCGCACCGGTGCATCTGTGTGCTCCCCCTCCCCGTAAGGGGTTTGAGCTGCAGGGCGACCTAACTGGCAAGCCGCACACCTGTTGCATGTCCTTCAAGGGGAATCAGGGATCTCTCACATTTCAATTAGTCATCAGGAAAATTCATATTATAACCACGGAGAATTATTGCTTTGTGTTACCAGAAAAGCTAAAATTACAAGGATTAAAATTACCAAGTATCTCTGAGGGTATGGAGCAACTTGGACACTGCTGATAGAAATGTCAAGTGATGTCAAGTGTTATAATCCATTTGGAAAATTGTCTAATTTTATCCATTACACCTAAACATAAATTATGTCCCAGTGTTTCACTACCAAGTATGCACTTACCAGAAATGTGGATTGTGTTTACCAAAAACCTCATAATATAAGGCCCATAGCAGCACTATTCATACCAGCTCCAAACTAAAATCTGCTCAAATGCTCACTAACAGGCACACAGATAAATAAAATGTGAACTATTCAAAAAGTGGAGTATTAAATCGCAATAAGAATGAACTATCTGTAACTACATCTAACAATGTGTTTGAATGGTCCAAACACAATTTTTGGTGAAAAACTCTAAACATAAGAATAAACTGCTTCTTTTTCATTATACAAAGTACAAAAGCCAGACAAATATATTCCATGTTCTTGAAGATCAGAATCGTGGTCTCTGTGTGTGGGGGGTGTGGGAGAGGGTTGAGAGGCGTATTGACTGAAAAGGAGTACTGGGGTTTTCTGGGATGTAATAATGTTCAGTGTTTTGACCTTGGTGGTGGTTTCACAGGTATCTTTACCTTCTCAATATCCAGCATATGATTTATGTTTTCCTTATACATATTACACTACAATACAAAGTTTTAAAAATCAGCATTTCAATTTGTTGATTTTTGGATTATTAAACCTATTTACGTCAAATGAGAGTGAGCCAGTTGCTTCATACACATATACAAAAAGTATTTAGAAAACTAATTTCATAAATTGCTAGAAAAGCAGACCCCCAAATTCATCAAGCACTGCATTCTTGGCAAAGTTTGTACACATTGTCTGGGTGCTGATTGTGAAAACATTGCCTAAACCAAAGTTTTGTATGTGATTTCTTTTAAAGTTTCTCTTATTTCCTGTTCTGAGGTTTATACACAATAGACCCGAATAGAGTTTGAATAATTGAAGGGTTTATGAAATCCAGAGGATATCACCAGCTGCTGATTTGCACATACCAAGAACATGAACATTTTCCAACGGAGAATTTCCCTAGCTTAATAAGAAAAAGTCCAAGAGCCGGTCACAGCATTAACATTTAGTGGGAGTGCAGTGAGAATTGGGTTTAACTTCTGGCATTTCTGGGCTTGTGGCTTGTGGTTGATTTTTTATTTACTTTGCAAAAGTTTCTGATAGGCGGAGCATCTAGTTTCAACTTCCTTTTGCAGCAAGTTCTTTCCTGCACTAATCACAATTCTTGGAAGAGGAGAACTGGACGTTGTGAACAGAGTTAGCTGGTAAATGTCCTCTTAAAAGATCCAAAAAATGAGACTTCTAGCAAAGATTATTTGCCTTATGTTATGGGCTATTTGTGTAGCAGAAGGTAAGATTAAAAGAGACTCTTTTCTGAAAACTGTATTATGAAACATTTGCTAATGATGCTTTTCACAGGAGTAATAAAAATTTGATTTAGAAAATGTGCTTAAGTATTCTGTAACTTGACAATTGAGTGGCTTTTGACATTGTTGAGTTTAAAAAATGTAAGAACCTTATTTGAATGGTATATCTAAATATTCATCATAATTATATTTAATATAAAATAGAATAAAATGTTTTAATAAACATTTCTGAAAAACTATGATCTGGAATAATCATTTCCCTTGTAATTATCATAAAATGTAATTTACTTTTTTGCTTAGGAGTATAACCAAAATGTATTATGTGAAAGCATTAAGAAGGATGTGAATATACATAGTCAATAAAAGCCATCAAATCATAATGATTAGATTTATTTCAAATATGATTTTAACTCTTCCTAAATAAAAATTCATTTATCATTTACAACTGATATTGTCATGACCTTAGAATTCTTGTAGACAAGTATTACTTGTATTATCAGAATAAAAATATTATATAAATTTGAAACCCAATTGAATATACAATATTTGTAACAGTTAAGTTGTTCAATAGAGATTTTTTTCCTGTAGTTGTATATAACATATATTCTTGAAGAGCAGTCTTTTGGAGTAGTGAATATGAATGTAGGAGTTTTTTTCTGACCTCAGTAAGACAATTTCTGGATTCATAATAAAATTTAATTATATCACTGCTTCTTGATAGATTAAAAAGCTTATTCTTGGAGGAGGTTTGCTTTCCTAGTTTTTGATAGGTAACCAGTTATGTGATAGATATTTGGTAAACATTTTTAAACTGAATGAATTACATATTATTCATAATTTCTAAAATCTTTTCACTTAGTAAAGAAATTTTGATTGAGTGACCATTACATAGCCTCTAGGAACTGAAGAATATTAGCAAATAATACAAATCTCTGTTTCAGTCTTCCAATCTAGAAAATAAAAGCAGATATATTCTTATAGTTATACACTTTGGTAATTTAAAAAATATTCAAATATGTTTAATACCTTTTGAAAGGTTGAATTATTTTCAGTTATATTTTCTAATGTTATTGCTTGTTCTTTGGCTTGTAAACTTTATATGTAGCCACTTTTTAAATGAAGAAAACAATTATTTCCTTGTACATATAAATATTATAATTAGTATTTTAAAATGAAACCTTTTTGTATTTACAAACAGTTCCAGAACAATGTCAATATTACCTATTGTAAAAGACATCTTTTTCTGTTTCTTTGTGTAAATATTTCTGTCTTTTCTTACTAAATTTATGGGAATGTTTCTAACGTTTCATACCTACATACTGTTTGCTCCAGTTTTACATAGATACCATTTGTCATATAAGGGAGATTTGTTTTATTTCTAATCTTTAAAATCAAGAATCAATGGCAAGTTTAATAAACAGTTTAAGTTATTAAAAAGTTGAATTTGAAATATTATTAAAATAGAGTACATCAAAGTATATGTGATAATTAAACAATAGTGATTTAAACATCTTATTTACATAATTGATTATTGCTGACTTGTTTCACTTTTATTTTATTTTTCATCAATGTGTGTTTAAATGTGGTATCAGTTTCTACTGGTGAATTGAACATCGGCACTATATATGTTATGGTGAAAATGATATAAATCTGATTATTTCCTAAAAGATAAAGCACAACTTTGTATTTAAAGCAATGCTTAGGCCAGCCTCATAATTTTCATAAAAGCACATGTAATGCAAAAGCCAATGGAGAAAAACTACATGAATTTTCAGTGGATATCAGACTCCTAATTTATTCCTTGTTTCCCAAATACTCTCTGAAACTAAACTAGTTCGAGATGTCCATCAGTTCTATTAATCTACCATATCTAAAAAATTTTTACTTAACAGAGTAGCTTTGATCATGAAAAATACTCACATATATTTCAATATTTGCTTCTGTTTATATTTTCCACATTGAATACTGAATACCAAATTGAGAAGATAGTTTGAATACTATCACAATCTGCTTTATTCAACAGCATAACATTTTAGCATTACTTCTGCTCTGTTAAGAGTGAACTTTCTTCAAAAAAAACACTATTCATTACTAAGAAAGAATTATAGCCAGCAGGAATAATTTGTAATTTCAGCTTTCTATTTGTTTTCTTTTTTTAATATATTGGGTACTACATAGAACCTTTCTAATGCAATATATTGTCTACAATAACATTTCCAATTGTGTAGGAACGTTAATTGCCTCCTTGTTTTAACAGTCTGGCTCAGGGGGTCACTGCAGGCTACTAAGAATTGGGTCAGATTTACAGGACAAAGTTTAAAATAACAGTTTCTCAATCGTACCACCTAATTTCACCTTTTTGAAATATAGTATGACCAAGGTTTTGAATATATTATGACCAAGCAGATTTTTTAGATTTAGGGTCTAACAATTGTGTACTATATGAAATTAGGCCACAGCCCAGAAATTCCAAGATGATTAAAGTGAATAAATTAAAACTCTACTGAAACATGTTCAAGTAAATACTGGCTGTGTTGTTTGGGAGACATGTTTTTTAATCCTGGAGATTTAGAGTGCAGAAACGTTATTTCAGGTCCCAGAAGACTTTATAGATCAGAGATTGATGGATTCCATTACAGTCAGAGAAAGGAGAATAGTGGTCTAAAATCCTAAATTGTATGTTTGAATTTCAGTGTGATAAATAAGAATTCCCCTTTGCTCCCCCAAACCCCCATATTTTCAGAGATAGTAGTATGTGTATTTATCTATATGGTGTGATTTAAATTGTGCGATGGCCCAATTGGCTTCAATATCTCATCTCCTCCTAAAATACTTTACGTGTTGATATTAATATTACTATAATTTCAACCAATCTGTCATTTACATGGAATGACAAATACACTGAATACATATTTTAGGATAGTTAAATTTAGTATTATTCATAATTTACTTTGAATTATTATCATCTGACAACTTCCCTGAAACAATTTCAGTGGGCGGGGGAGGGTAGAAATGGATGTTGATGAGGATAAGAATAGAACAAAGTGATTCTGGAAGATGGGGTTTTCCCAGGTAGGACAGATCTGCTGGTTGAAGTGCTATAGTGAGTGCTATAAGAGAAGGGGTAGAGAAAATGCCCACAGAAATGGCACGAGCCTGAGACGTCTGCCAAGGCAAGCTTTGCTTATTTTAAATTTAGGCATATCCTGGGAATGCATATGCTACTCTTTTGCCTACATATAATTTAAACTAAAAATGAAATATCTAAGTATTGCTAACTAAAATTATTCTTAGGTAGAAGTAAGTTCCCAAATATAAGTTCAAAAGCAGATTGGTAAATGTTCTTCATGTGTGGCCTTTGGTTTCTAAGATCTGAGCCAGTCTACATTGACCCACTTTTATTTGCTTAATCCTCGATTGTTTATTCTGCAGTCTTTTGCCACTTTTCATTCTTCCCAGTTATGCCTTCTCCTCCTCCCCACACACACCATCCCCCACCTGCCTAGGCCTTTGAGATTCTGCCACCCAATCTATCCCGTGCTCAGTTAACTAACGTGTACTTTACCCATTTCTTCACAAAACCATAGTACATGGAAAGGGGATGATGTAATTGACAAAAAAGTATTGCATTTTAGCTTAAAATTATAAGGAGTCATAAAAAGATAGCTCAGAGGAAATAAAGTAACTGAACATCAAAAAATGAAACAATAAAAAGGAAAGAAAAAACATTTGACAGAACACTTTTATTTCTTCTGACATTTTAACTTAGCCAAGTTTTTCATAAACCTTGTTAACTGGAAATGTAATAGATAGAAAAGTGATTATTCTTCCAGGCCGGGCATGGTGGCTCACACCTGTAATCCCAACACTTTGGGAGGCCCAGGTGGGTGGATCACCATGTCAGGAGTTCGAGACCAGCCTGACCAAAATGGTGAAACCCCATCTCTACTAAAAATACAAAAATTAGCCAGGCGTGGTGGCGCGTGCCTGTAATCTCAGCTACTCAGGAGGCTGAGGCAGGAGAATTGCTTGAATCAGGGAGGCGGAGGTTGCAGTGAGCTGAGATCATGCCATTGCCCTTCAGCTTGGGCGACAGAGGGAGATTCCATCTCAAAAAGAAAAAAAAAAAAAAGAAAGAAAGAAAGAAAGAAAAGGAAAAAGCAATATTCTTTCAGAAACTCCTGAACTGTAACATAAATTTAAGCTTAGGACACATAGGTCAGATGTACAATGGAATTACAAATGTTAGAGTTTCCTGGGTTCTTGCAACAGAGTTTTAAGTGCACTAAACAGTTATCACCTTGTCTTCTCTTATATTTTCTAGTCACTACTGTCTACTACGCTTTTTCCACAGGCTGTCCATAATCTACAGATATAATGGAAAGGCTTCCAGATAGTTTCATTGTTACTCATCTGTTCTTTCGCTCATTCATTTTTCCATCACTTTAACTTCCACAAGTACTACTTAGTAATACTTGGTACAATGTGTGTTGCGTTTTTTTTTTTTTTTTCTCTATTTTCAGGGTCCTAATTGTACTGTCTCTTTGTGGCTGAGTTCGTTTTTTGTGACTGGAACAATAACTGGCATTAGAAATTAGCTATTCAAATACACATTTCAAGAAAGTTGTGGAATTTCAACCCATGTTCTGATAGTATCTTGTTTTATCTCTAATTATGACATACTTGTTATTCTATCCAACTTCATGTGACTATCGTCTATTCTCCTATCTGCTTTTTATGGTTCTGGAATTTTCTTCTTGCTCTTTTCACTGTTAAGTTGTTTGTTTGTTTGTTTGTTTGTTTTGAGACAGGATCTCGCTTTGTTGCCTGAGGCTGGAGTGCCCACGCTGGAGTGCAGTGGTGCGATCATAGTTCACTGCAGCTTCCAACACCTGGGCTCAAGCAATCCTCCTGCCTCAGCCTCCCACACCTAGCTAAATTTTTTTCTTTTCTTTTTTCTTTTTCTTTCTCAAATGCCTATTAAGTGTGACATAATCTCTATTCTGCTTTGTCTCTAGAGTTTGTTTCTTTAAACAATTCTTTACTCTGTTTACAAAGGTATATATGTTACTTCTGAAATGATCTTTATTCTCATGTTATTTATAAAATAATTTGAATATTTCTTATTTTGAAAAGCTAATTAGATCATATCGTATATATGCATATAGAATTGACCCTTGACCAATATGTGCTTGAACTTCAGGGGTCTGCTTACTATGTGAATTTGTTTCAACTAAACCTGGGTCAAAAATACAGTATTGGTGGGTTGCAAAACTTAAGCATAGGAAAAACTGACTTTTCGTACATGCGGTTTCCAGAGAGCCAAATGTAGAATTTAAGTATGTGCAGATTTTGGCCTGTGTGGGAGTCCTGGAATATATATCCCCTGTGTATACCAAAGCCAAAGGATTATTGAATAAATAGTATTACTATAGATCAGTGAGAAGATAAGAAAGAAATTTAATGCAAAATACCTATTTTTGCTATTTCTGTTTTGTTCATTTGCTTTATTTTTTTCCAAATTGATTTTGTAACTTTGCTTTATAATATATTCTGATACCTACTAAGTTTAGAAGTAGGCTATTTAAAAAATAATATCTACTGTTTTTTATGCACAAAATAATTTTAGAAAAATAGAATAATTGAACAAAGAGACCAACTTTAGTCTACCAAAACAATCTAGCACAAATTTGATTAAGGATTTCCCAAATATATAATTTTATCATGATTTATTTCATTTGAATAAAAACACTTTTCAACTAACAGTTAAAAGATATATTGACATTGAAAATAAGTAATTAGTTCTATGTTTGTATGTCAATAATAAGTAATTAGCTTGGTGTTTGTATGTCAATAATGCCCCCTTAAAATTTGAAAGTGAAAAAATTAGGTAAATTAAGATTATTAAAATATTAAGTAATATTGATTTTTAGCTTTGACCAAAATTATATAACTATTTTCCTCAAATTATAGTAAAAACATTCCTACTCTTTACCAGTAGTTAAACGTATTCACACTCTTAATTCATGGGCTAAAAAAAAACTTGATTTTGTTTAGTATTATTCTTACTTTTTTGAGACAGGGAATCACTTTGTCACCCAGGCTGCAGCGTACTGGTGCAATCATGGCTCACTGCAGCCTCGACCTCCTGGGCTCAAGCAGTCCTCCCACCTAAGCATCCCAAGTAGCAGGGATTACAGCCACCTTGCTCAGGTAATTTTTTTTTTTTTTTTTTTTTTTGAGATGGAGTCTTGCTCTGTCGCCCAGGCTGGAGTGCAGTGTCGCTATCTCGGCTCACTGCAAGCTCCGCCTCCCGGGTTCACGCCATTCTCCTGCCTCAGCCTCCCGAGTAGCTGGGACTACAGGCACCCACCACCAAGCCCGGCTATTTTTTTGTATTTGTAGTAGAGACGGAGTTTCACCGTGTTAGTGTTAGTCAGGATGGTCTGGATCTCCTGACCTCGTGATCTGGTGATCTGCCGGCCTTGGCCTCCCAAAGTGCTGGGATTACAGGCATGAGCCACCGCGCCCGGCCTGCTCAGGTAATTTTTAAAATTTTTTGTAGAGACAGGGTTTCACCACGTTGCCCAGGCTGGTCTTGAACTCCTGGGGTCTATTGATCCTCTTGACTTGGCATGTCAAAGTGCTGGGATTATAAGCATGACCCACTGCATCCAGACTAAAACTAATTTTAAATTGTAAAATAAAGCCAAATGAATTAAAGCTTCACCAATGTAGTGTTTTGTAAACAAAATTAACTGGCAATTAAATGACTTGTAAACGTAAGATGAAGTATTCATTGTTTAAACTCAAATACTTAGATATGATGGCTTAGTCTACTCATTAATCTAGAATGAGAAAAATGAGATGGCTATTTCTTTTAGTTTTAAGATAAATCACATCTCAAAAAAATGTTTCTGTGCCTTTCAATTTGTATGCATCCTATTTAATAAGCCCGTTGTACATACATGCTGAGAGTTTGACTACTTGGGCCAAAATAACCGTTTGTTGTCTACTTGAAGGTGGTTCAACTGAGCTTGAACATTCGATTGTTAGTCAATTCAGGCAAATAAAAGTTATGTCACAAGATATACCTAATTATTATTAGAACTCAGTGCAGTGAATCATTACCTTAAATACTTTTGCTATGGCATGAGTTGATAATGATGTAGGACAGCAAGCCCCCAAATTGGGTCTTAGCCTGGGAAGGTTCTTGGTTTTGTCCAGTAAAGAATTCAAGGGTGAGCCTGTGGTGTTAAACAGCAATTTTTGTTGAAGTGGCAGTGTATAGCAGCCTCAGAGGCACCTCTCCTTGCTAAGCAGGGCTACCCATAGGCAGTGTGCCCACAGTAGCAGCTCAGAGGCAGTTCTGCACTCATATTTATATGCACTTTTAATTATATGGAAATTAAGAGGTAGTTAATGCTGAAATTGCCAGGAGGAGGATGGTAACTTCCGGTTGTTGGGTCATTGCTGTGGAAAGGGCCTGTAACTTCTGGGTGTTGCCATGGTAATGGTAAACTGTCATAGCACACTGGTCTGTGTGTCTTACAGGGAGGGGCTTCCACTCAGACCTGTTTTGGATAATCCTCAATTTGGTCCAGTGTCCAAGTCCCATCTCCTATCTCAATAATACTCAATACAATAATGGTTAGAACAAAAGCAGACAGGAAAGTGTATCTGAAGTGAGAAGACCTAGACATTAATGAAAATTCTTCCACGAACTATGAAAAACATTGTTCTTCAATTGTGGGGAGCTTACATTTTGATGTGGGGAGATAGATAGAAAACCTAATGAACAAAAATAGTTATAGCATTGTGAAAAATTTTGTGAAGGAGGTAAAGTAGGGCCTAAGAGAAAATAGAGATGGGGATGGTAGTATGTAGAGACATTAGGTGGGCTTGGTCTTGGGGACTAGAATGAGTGGATCACTTTGAGGACAGAACATTTGAGTAGAGGCCTGAAAGATGAGACAAAGCCAGTCATCAGAAATCTGTCGTAAAATTATTCTAAGAGGAGGAAATAACCCGTGTAAAGGATCTAAGGAAAAAATAAGTTTGAAATGCTCAACAAAATATAAACAAATAAATCAGCGTGACTTTGCACAGTAAATACATGGGAGATTTAACATGATGAGATCCGAGAAAGTGGCAAGAGCCAGATAAGGGGTTCCCAAACCAAGGAAAGGAGTTAGCAATGCTGGATAAGTAAAAAGTGAAGTCATAGAAGAATTTTAATCACAGGAATGACATGACCAGATTTGCAAGAATCACTTGTCACTCTGTGAATAGACTGAAGTAACAGGAGAGTAGAGGACTGGAGGCTAGTTAGCAGGCAAGTTTCATGACCAAAGTGACAGATGATGATCTGAACTAAGATTTTGAAGATGGTAGTAGGAGCAAGGGAAAATAGAACAGGGGCGGTCATATCTTTTTCTTACAAGCAGAATCAAAAGATGCCATTTAACACTGATGGAAAAAGCACCAGAATTTTAAGTACTATTTGAAGAGAAAAGGTAATCAATATGATAATTCTTTATATATAGTAAACATATTCACAGAGTAAATATTGTGAGAAGTTGGTAGGAAGATTTTGTGGAAGAGATGTATCCTTGTTTTCTACATCTGGTTGTTAAAAGCAATGAACTATATTTGGAAATCAAGAATTAGGGGCACAAACGTATCACCTGGAAATATAATAATAACCAGAAGGGAAAGCATTTACTTCTCACTAGGAAGTGAGCGGGCTAAACTTTTTTTGTGTTAATGGATTACTTTACTTATTTATTTTTTCCAATAACCTGAACATCATCAAATGGATCTAAATTTTGAAAGTGAAAAACAAACATATCAGCTTGTAATTAATCAGTTTTCCTTTTGTGCGGAAGGGGCCGGGGATTGTGTTGTTATGATAGAGTATTAGCACCATCTAGTGGAGTAGAATATGTTTACTTAAATTATAAACATCGAAATAGTGCAATGTGGAATCACATATTATATGAGTTCACTAATACAAATTTGCAAAAAGGTCAAGGGAAAATTAGTGCCCATAAAAACTTTCACATTATTTTGTAAAATATAATTTTATATGGTGTTTTCTTTCTTATGAAATATTGCAAAATGTTTTCATATGGATTTGTTCCACCATGTTAATGGGCACTTCTAAAACTTTTTTCTTTGGGCTGCTACAACAAAATATTATTAACTGCCTAGCTTATAAACAACAGGAATGTATTTCTTACACTTCTGAATGCTAGAAAGTCTAACAGCAAGATAGTACCAGCAGATTCAGTGTTTGGTGAGGTCTGCTCTCTGGTTCATAGACAGTGCCTTTTGGCTGTGTCCTCCAATGATGAAAGGGACAAGGCAGCTCTGTGGTGCCTCTTCTATAAAGGCACACATCCCAAATCATGACAGCTCCACCTTCACGACCTAATCACTTCCCAGTGTCCCCACCTCCTAATACTATCACATTGGTAATTAGGTTTAAACATATAAATTGGGGGTTGTGGGGAGGTTGCATGTATTCAGAGCATAGCATATGCCTTCTTAACTTACTAAAGTCTAATAATAATTTATCACTCAGGATTCAATGCGGGAAGCTTAAGTAGAAGTAGAAGATTACCTATCTATCAGTCAATTAATTGATTGACATACCAATCTCCTATCTACCTACTTAAAAAGAGGTTTTGTTTTGTTTGTTTTGTTTTGTTTTGTTTTTTAAATAAATTGCCTCAAGGAATTGTGAGCATGAGATAAGCAAGTCTGAAATCCACAGGGCAGGTAGTCAGAAAAGGAAGATTACAGACAGGATGGAACTCACAGGAAAGGAAGCTGCTTTCCACAGAATTCCCTCTCTTTTTCAGAGGAGCCTCAGCCCTATGTTTCAGACCTTTCAAATGATTTGATCTGGCCTATCTAGATTACCTAGAATGATCAGCTTGTTTAAAGTCAACTGATTGGGAGTGTATCTGGCAACATATTTTCTCACCAACATTTAGATTAGTTTGACTCAATAACTGGGAATGCTGACTTAAGCAAGATGACTTATTAAGAAAACTGTCACAGCTCATTAATACCTTTCTGTTTTTCTGGACACTGTGAAGAACTTAAAAGACATTAATTTTATTAATCCTTCTCACAGTTTACCTACTATTGTCATGTGTTTTATGTATATGGGTGTATACACATACATGTTTGTATTTAAAACCATGTAAGGTAATATTTTTATTATTTTATAGTCAGTATTCATTTATATTTACTTGAACATTTACCATTTTCTTTGTTTTTCATTTCTTCTTTCATCCTAAGACCTTATATTTAGGATCAGTTTCAGTTTTCTGAAATATATCTTTTTTCTCTCCTTAATGTGTATTTATAGTGGCAAATTCTCTCAAATTTTATTAATCAGCCCGGGCACGGTGGCTCACTCCTGCAATCCCAGCATTTTGGGAGGCTAAGGTGAGTGGATTGCTTGAGCCCAGGAGTTTGAGACCAGCCTGGGCAAAACGGCAAAACCTCGTCTCTACAAAAAATACAAAAATTAGCTGAGAGAGGTAGTTTGTGACTGTAGTCACAGCTACTTGGGGGGCTGAGGCAGGGGACCACTTGAGCCCAGGGGGTCAGGGTCGCAGCGAGCTAAAATCACACCACTGCACTCCAGCCTGGGCAATAGAGATCTTGTCAAAAAAATAAAATAAAATAAATTTTATGAATCAAAACTTTATTCTCAAAAAATTATTTCTGTATATAGAATTCTATATAGATAGTTATTTCTTCCTGAAAATGGAAGTGATTAAATACCTGGTGGCATCTGCTATTGCTATTGAGAAGTCTTTGTAAATCTAACCATTACTGCTTTTAAATTAGTATTTTTCTCTAACAAGGTTAAGATATTTTCTCTTTGGTTTTCTGCATATTCCTTATGATGCATATAGGTGTGTTTTTTTACTGCTTGGAATTTTTTAATTCTTGGATATATTAATTGGTATGTTCCATTCATTTTTTAAAATTCTCTTCCAACATTGCTCTGGCTTTTCTATCCTCATTGACTCTTAGCTCATCTTGTGTATTTTCCACACATGTGTGTCTCCATGTTGCATCCTGTATTATTTCTTTTGACCTGCCCTCCTGTCCACGAATTCTTTTTACAGCTGTGTTATCTGCTATTAAGCTGTCCATTGATGATTAAAATGGGTTTTTTCATTTTTAGAAATTATATTTGGTTCTTTTTAAAATCTGCTACTACTTTGTTATAATTTCTTTCCTCAGATATCATTAGTCAAACTTTTCTCTTACATTTAAACAACAGAATTAGTATTGTTGATTATAGTCTGTATATATTTATTCCAATATCAAATATCTATTTTGTTCCTTATGAAGTTTATGGTAACTAGGTGCTTTTTCTCCCGTATAATGTCTTTGACATTTGTAATAATAATTTGGTGCTTAAGAAAAAAATCTTCCTCATATTAAAGTTACAACTTATCTTTTCTGGGTGGCTAGAAGAACTTTCAGTGTGAGACTACCTTAAGCCAAATTTGTGCTTTAAAATTCCTTGGTGCTCTAAGCAATTCAAAGCTGGGTTCCTGTAAGAAGAGTGTGGTTTACTTCCAGTTCTCCCTTATCCTGTGGGTGAATTCATTTAGGTTTCCAACTTTGAATTTTGTTGCTTTAGCCTAATAAGGCTATCAAAAAGCAAGCTTGTGTCTTCCCCAAATGGTGAATGCCCACAGTGCAGAAAAAAATTGGCTGCCTGTTTTCCTTTCTGGGTTCTGATTATACCAAGATATGTTATGGTAATTCTTTACTGTCTCGTCAGCTTTCTAAATGCCTCTATGAAAGTATTTATTTCAAAACATATGTTTTCCTGTTTTTTTCCCCTTTTGTGACAGGGTCTCACCCTGTCTCTCGGCTGGAGTGCGGTGACATGATCATAGCTCACTGCATCCTTAAACTCCTGGGCTCAAGAGACCCTCCTGTCCCAGCCTCTCACATAGCTGGGACAACAAGTGTGTGCCACCATGGGTAACTAATTTGTTTCTTTAATTTTTTGTAGAGATGGGATCTTGCTATATTGCCCAGGGTGGTCTCAGACTCCTGGGCTCAAGGGGATTCTCCCACCTCAGCCTCCCAAAATGTTGGGATTACAGGTGTGAGCCACCATGGCTGGCCACCTGGTTTTATTGTGAAGGTGTCCTAAGTGATAAGATTAATCTGAAATAATGAATCCCAAGGCACTCAAATTTTTTGTGAAATAGCCAGACAATAAATATTTTAGACTTCGTGTGCCATAATGTCTCGCTACTCAGCTCTTCTATTGTAACATAAAAGGAGTCATAGACAATATATAACTATATGAGCATAGCTGTGTTCTACTAAAATTTTATTTACAAAACAAGCAGCGATTGGATTTGGCCCACAGGTTAGTTTTCTGGCCCCTGACCTAATGTATCTCACTATAACAGAAAATATATACTGACTTTCCTTCTTACTATTATAAATTTTATGCACATAATTAAATATTACCCAAACCACAATTTTTAATTCAGATGGGTGTAGCATAATTTGACAATTTTCATAAATATTCTAATTATATCCATTATTAAAAATGCTGGAATAAACACTCTGTACCTAAATATTTCACAAAATCTTTAATTATTATTTGTTACTTTTAAAAAATTGAAATTATTTGTCAACTTACGTATGAGTACTTTTAAGATTCTTTATTGCTAAGTTGCTTTTTAGTGAAGTAATAGTCATTTATATTTCAGTTTTATTTAATAATAATATTTATATTACCTAATTTTCCAGCAAAATTGATTATCATCTCCTTTACATTTTTGTGTTAAAATTGGTCAAAAAATAATTTTCTTTTAATTTTTATCTCTTTTAATTATTGGTAATGGTCACGTTAATGCCTGTTCTTAAGTAAATGATCTATCCTACTCTAACATTTTTCTTTAGATAGTGTTTAGTGCTTTTGTTACTGCAAGAAGTGTTTGTGTTAAGAATAATTTTTCAGTTAAATTTTCTCCACATTTTGTATATATGATTTTTTCACAAATATAATTTTTAATTAACAAAGTTTTAATGTGTATATGTTCTGTTTGCAAATTGCTTTATGCATTAAGCCTTCCTTTTTTGATAATTATTCATACTTTTTAATAAATATATTTATAAAATAAATATAATTATAGATAGATGGCACTAAGATAATAGTAAGTTAAAATGACATATCATCATATATAGCAGATAATTAAAAAATTATAAAAGAATGAAACATATATGTATTTATTTTAAATTTGTTTAAACCTAACTCTTTAGTCTACCTGGCATTTGTGTGCATGTGTCTGTGCAAATAAAGTAAGGATTCAAATTTATCCCATTTCATTTCCAGTGGGTTTTATTTTTTATTTATTATTATTATATTTTTTTGAGACAGAGCTTTGCTCTTGTTGCCCAGGCTGGAGTGCAATGGCGTGATCTTGGGTTACTGCAATCTCCGCCTCTCAGGTTCAAGAGATTCTCCTGCCTCACGCCCCCACGTAGCTGGGATTACAGGCATGTGCCACAACAGTTGGCTAATTTTGTATTTTTAGTAGAGACGGGGTTTCGACATGTTTGTCGGGCTAGTCTCGAACTCCTGACCTCAGGTGATCCACCCATCTCAGCCTCCCAAAGTGCTGGGAATATAGGCGTGAGCCACCGCACCCGGCCCCAGTGGATTTTAATTGCAAGCCTGCCAGAGTGAGTTTCAATTTGAGGTAGTCCAAGTTTACACAGTACAATAGACTTACCCATTGCCAAGGTTACTTGGCTTGAAGGAAAATACAGAATAAGGATAAAGGCAGTATGCACAAGAACAGCTTGATGGAGATTTCAGGCACTGAAACTCAGCTTCTAATATCTTAACCCCCACCAGGATAATTTTGCTGATGAAGGATGAAAGTTGATGCCAGTATAGGTCACATCCATGCCCGGTAACAACAGAATTGGGTATCCTTAGTTTAAATACTTTAGTTGTCACCTTGAACTTGGAGGGTGATTTATGTGATCATCACTATTATTTGCTGTTTTCTATTTTCTTTAGATTTCATTTAATGTTTTACTAGTTTCTTGAATTAGAAATTTGGATAATTGATTTCCAACATTTTTTTATTTCTAATTCATTCGAGTTATATTTTTTTCTCTCTAATCAGTGCTTCAGCATCAGCCCACAAATTTTAACATATATTTCCATTATTGTTTATTTCAAATCATATTCTCATTTATATTATATTTTTCTTTAACTCATGAGTTATTTATAAGTGTTGCTTGCCAAGTGCGGTGGCTCACGCCTGTAATCTCAGCACTTTGGGAGGCTGAGGTGGGCGGATCACTTTTGGGAGGCCGAGGTCAGGAGATTGAGACCATCCTGGCTAACACGGTGAAACACCGTTTCTACTAAAAATACAAAAAAAAAAACCCAAAAAATAGCCGGGCATGGTGGCGGGCACCTGTAGTTCCAGCTACTCAGATGGCTGAGGCAGGAGAATGGCGTGAACCCAGGAGTGGAGGTTGTGGTGAGCTGAGATTGGGCACTCCAGCATGGGGGACAGAGCGAGACTCCGTCTCAAAAAAAAAAAAAAAAAAAGGGTTGCTTAACTTCAAAAATTTTGTGAATTTTCCACTTATTTTCTGTTAGCAATGTCTAGTGGTCAGGGAGTATACTTAGAGTGGCTTTAATTTTTTGAGATTGGTAGAGATTTGCTTGGAATGAATATGCATCTTGCAATTGTTGAAGACAGTGTTTTATTAATATAAAAAACTTAATTTGGTTAATAATGTTGCTTATATCTTGTATATCCTTATTTTTCTATTTCTTTTCTATTGGATATTGGAAACAGTGTGCTTAAATCTCAAACTATGATGGTGGATTGCTTACTTCTTTTATTTCTGTTATATTTTGAAGATGTATTAATAGTTTTATGCAAAGAGGCATGCTGGTAAATGTAAAACAACCAACTATTTTTTAAAAGGAAAGGGAACAACCATGATTTGTAAAATTTGCTGAGTTTCATGGTGTAAATTCTCACAATATGGTCAATTTCAAGTTACCAACGTGTCATCAGGAGACATTGTATTAGCAAAAGATGTGTATAATTGGCTCCTATGAGTCAGTATGAGCCAGCTCCAGCAAACATTGTTCAGACACATTTGCAATTATTACATCTTTCTGTTAAAGTAGCCTTTTTATTAATATGAAATGACTCTCTTTTTATCTAATAATACTTTCTAACTAAAATTATCATTTGCTTGATATTAATACATTAATATCATTCTTACTTTGGTTGATACTTTTCTAGCATATTGGTTTTTATCATTTACTCTCAATTTATATGTACAATTTTATTAAAAGTAATCATCATATATTTGAGTTTTCTTTTATGCTTTTATCCAGTCAGACAATCTTTGTATGTTTAGTATGGTGATGAATCCATTTATATTTAATGTAATTACTGATACAGTTCAGTTTAAGTCTAGCATATTGCTACTTACTTTTGCCTCAATTTTTCTCTCTTCTTTTCCTGCCTTCTCTTATTTTAATCAAATAGTCTTGACTATCTCATTACATCATGTATTCTAGTTATTTTATGTATCTCAATATTATTGGTTTAGTGGCTAACTTAGCAATTACAACAAAACATGCTTAAATTATTACAATTTATTCTAAATTAATATTTTTACCACATCAAGACTATGGGGAAAACATCACAACACTTTTATTTTCTTTACCTTTTCCTGACACTTTTGCTACTATTGTTTCATATTATACTCTTGAATTTATTAAAAACACTATTAAACATGGTCTATTGATTTAAACAGTCAAGGCTCTTTTTTATTTGAGTAAAATATACATAGCATAGGGTTTATCATGTTTCAATAGCTTTTTTATTTACTCTTCTATTTATTTTCTTCAGTTCTGCTTATTCCTTTTTGTACTTCTTTGCTTATATTTTAGATCAGTTTCCTTCAGCCCAGAGAACTTTTTTAGTATTTTTCTATAGTTGAGTCTGCTCTTGTTGAATTCTTTCTGCTTTTGTTTGCTTAAGAATGTGTTTCTATTTGCTTTCATTTTTGAAGTATATTTTCACCATTTATAGAGTTCTCTGCTGACTTTTAATTTTCAGCACTTTAGTAATGCTAAGACATATATATTCAGACTTCAGTATTTACTTCCACAGACTTGGCTGTTATTTTTACTATTCTCCTGGAAAAAAAATGTTTCCTCTGTCTGTGATATGGTTTGGCTCTGTGTCCCCACCCAAATCTCATCTTAAATTATAATCTCCATAATCATCACATGTCAAGGGAGGAACTCAGTGGGAGGTGACTGGATCATGGGGGTTGTTTGTCCCATGCTGTTCTCATGATAGTGAGTGAGTTCTTATGAGATTTAATGGTTTAAGCATCTGGCATTTCCCCAACTTGCACTTCTCTCTCCTGCTACCATATGAAGAAGATCCTCTCTTCTTCTTCACCTTCCACTATGATTGTAAGTTTCCTGAAGCCTCCCCAACCATGTGAAAGTATGAATCAGTTTAAACTTCTTTTTTTATGAACTACCCAGTCTCAGGTAATTCTTTATAGCAGTGCAAAATGGACTAATACAGTAAATTGGTACCAAGGTAGTAGGGCACTATTATAAAGATACCTCAAAATGTGGAAGTGACTTTGGAACTGGGTAATGGGCAGAGGTTGGAACAGTTTGGAGGTCTCAAAAGAAGACAGGAAGATGTGGGAAAGCTTGGAACTTCCTAGAGACTTGTTGAATGCTTTAGACCAAAATGCTGATAGTGATCTGGAATATGAAGTCCAGGCTGAGGTGGTCTCAGATGGGGACAAGGAACTTATTGGGAGCTGGATCAAAGATCACTCTAACTGTGTTTTAGCAAAGAGATTGGCAACATTTTGCCCCTTCCCTAGAGATCTGTGGAACTTTGAACTTTGAGAAAGTTGGTCTGAAATTGGAACTTATGTTTAAAAGGGAAGCAGAGCATAAAAGTTTGGAAAATTTGCAGCCTGATGATGCAATAGAAATAAAACCCGAATTTTCTTGGGAAAAATGCAAGCCCACTGGAGAAATCTGTGTAAGGAATGAGGAGCCAAATGTTAATCACCATGACAAGGGAAAAATGTCTCCAGGGAATGTTAGTGATCTTTAAGGCAGCCTCTCCCATCACAGGCCTGGTTGCCTCGGAAGGAAAAATGGTTTTGCAGGCCTGGGCCCCACTGCTGTATGCAGTCTCAGGAGTTGGTGGCTTGCATCCTAGCTGCACCAGCTGCAGCCATGTCTAAAAGGGGCCAACATACAGCTTGGGCCATTGCTTCAGATAATGAAAGCCCTAAGCCTTGGCAGCTTCCACATGGTGTTGGTCCTGTGGGTACACAGAATACAAAACCTCCACCTAGATTCAGAAAATGTATATAAGTGCTTAGATGTCCAGGCAGAGGTGTGCTGCAAGGGAGGAACCCTCATGGAGAACCTCTACTAGGGCAATGAGCAAGGGAAATGTAGGATTGGAGCCCCCACACAGAGGTCCCAGTGGGGCACTACCTAATGGAGCTGTGAGAAGAGGGCCACAGATCCTCCAGATCCCAGAATGGTAGATTCACTGACAGGTTGCACCTTGTGCCTGGAAAAGCCACAGAGACTCAATGCCAGCAGTGAAAGTAGCCAGGGCAGGGGGCCATACCTTGCAAAACCATTGGGGCAGGTCTGCCCAAGGCTGTGGGAGCTCACCTCTTGCATCAGTGTGACCTGAATGTGAGACATGGAATCAAAGGGGACTGTTTTGGAACTTTGAGTTTTAATGACTTCCCTATTGGATTTCTGACTTTCATGGAGCCTTTGGTCCCTTTGTTTTAGCCAATTCATCCCATTTGGGATGGGAGCATTTACCCAATGCCTGTATTCCCATTGTATCTTGAAAATGACTAATTTTCTTTTGATTTTACAAGCTCATATGTGGAAGGGACTTGCCTTGTCTCAGATGAGACTTTGGACATGGACTTTAGGGTTAATGCTGTAGTGAGTTAAGACTTGGGGGGACTGTTGGGAAGGCATGATTATGTTTTGAAATGTGAGGACATGAGATTTGGGAAAGGCAAGGGGCAGAATAATATGGTTAGGCTCTGTGTCCCTACCCAAATCTCATCTTAAATTGTAATCACCATAATCCCTGTGTGTTGAGGGAAGGACCCAGTGGGACGTGCTTGGATCATGGGGCAGTTTCTCCTATGCTATTCTCGTGATAGTGAATGAGTTCTCATGAGGTTTGATGGTTTTATAAGCATCTGGCATTTCCCCTGTTTGCACTTCTCTCTTGCCATCATGTGAAGAGGTCTTTCCTTCCCCTTCCACCATGACTGTAACTTTCCTGAGGCCTCCCCAACCATGTGGAATTGTGAGTCAATTATATCTCTTTTCTTTATAAATTACCCAGTCTTGAGTATTTCTTCATAGCTGTGCAAAAATGGACTAATACAATCTGCTTTTAAGATTTTGCCTTTATCTTTGGTTTTCAGCAGAGTATCAGTATAGGTTTTCTTGGTATACAGCATTTTGGGGGTTTTTAGAAATTTTGATTTTGTGAGCTGATTTCTTTCATCAATTTTGGAAACCTTTGAGCTATTGTTTCTTCAAATATTGCCTATGTTCATTTTCTTCTCTATTGTTAGAATTCCAATTAAACATGTTTTATAACTTGACTCTACACCACACATTTTTTTATACTCTGTTTTGTTTGTTGTTGTTTATACACTTTTGTCTTTCTATATTTCCTTTTGGTTATTTTTACATTAAACTTCCTCTAAGTTTAATAAGTTTGTATTGTGCTGTGTCCATTTGATTCTTAAAACCATCTGACAAGTTGTTATTTCTGATTTTTGATCCAATTTTAAGATAGCACATGATTTATGAGTCAATTTTATTTTGAATATCTTTTTTAAATTTTCGTTTCTATATTTTCTATAGTTCCTTTAATGTTCCTAAAATAGCTGTTATAAAGACCTAACACTAATTCTAACATCTGAATCTGAGTGTCTAGTTCTACTGAATATTTATTTTCTCTTTTTGTTCACAGTTGTTTTTGCTTTTTTGTGTATCTTTTAATTTTTATTCAAAATCGTATTTTTAAACAAAAACATGTAATGACAAAAGTTTATATAACTTACTCTCATCAACAAGATTGTTTGCTCTTTCTTGAGCCACTCAAAAATTTAACTCAGAGGGACCTGGGTAACACTTTTAGTTTGAGTCAGTCCCATTTCTGGTTTCTAGTCTCAAAGATTAAACCCTCTTGGGTTTTTAAAGTCAAGAATCTGGTTGGTTTCTTCTATCTCAAAAGACTAATACACACACACACACACACACACACACACACACACACACACACACACACAGAGTATATACATATACACATATATATACATAAATATAAATATGTGTATATATATATACTATATATGTGTGTACATATATTAGACTTTTGAGATAGAAGAAGCCAACACATATATATTATGTATGTGAGCATATGATATATATATAATAAAAGCCATTTATATATATGTTTGCTTTTCTGCTGTTTTGACTCTGTTCTTATATATATATAATCTTAAATGCTCATATATAAATGAAACAGCAGAAAAGTGAACATATATATAAGAGCTTTTATTATATATAAATAATATATATATGTATACAGCTTTTCTGCTGTTTTGACATCTGCTCTTAAATATCATCCAGAGTGACTTTCAAATATGGCATGTTTTGATGAGAATACTAGTTGTGTATTTGAGTCAGATCCATTTTCTTATTGAGACTTTTTTTCTATGAGACAACGGGAAAGTCAGTCTTCCCGTATGAAGCTACCTAGACTCTAGCAAAGCAACCTGATTTGGCAAAGTTTCAGAATTCTTCATGCTAGATATAGCCTCCTTATGTTTGGTTCTTTCTTACCTCATTACCATTCTTCCATTCAGACTAAATAGAGGCCTGATCTTCAATCCATATCCAGAGCTGACAAACATAACCAGGTAAAAAATGGCCAGAGACCCTATATTTACTTGAAACAGGTCCTTCCTACTTGTGTTTTGTTCATTTAATCCTCTTTGCTCCCACAACTTACCTTTGAACATACACATGCACACACAATTTGTTGTTGTTCCAATTTGGAGTAGAAACATTGTTCTTTTCCATCCTATTCTATCTTATTTGGAGTGCCTGTATAATTCTGTATTAACTTATCATGCTAATTTTTGTAAATATAATTTTTCTACCTGTAATGCATATTATACATCTCTTTGATTACTTAATAACTGGCTTCCCTAATAGAATGGAAATGCTTTGAGAACAGATAGTTTGTTTCTTCATTGTTTTTTCTTTATAACTTAGAATAGTGCTCAATAAATATTTCCCAAATTAATGGAAGAATAGTAGAATGCTCTCCAGCAATTAAGAGTAATATAACAAAATATATCTATTGCTTTGCAAAGTTTTTTAGGTGTTTTTCCACAGTGAACATTCTTATAAAATTATGTAGATACAAATTTTATAAGGTGAAATGTATAGTTACACTACATGCATGAAATGTATGTTTACTCCATAGATATGGGGTTAGGAGAGAGAGAGAGAGAGAGAGAAATTTAGATAGACCTGTGACTGTCTAGGCATTTTTAAAAGCAACAATTACCTAAATATACTGTACATTTAAATAGATACTTTATGCACTTATTTTGTTTTTATTGTTTGTAGATTGCAATGAACTTCCTCCAAGAAGAAATACAGAAATTCTGACAGGTTCCTGGTCTGACCAAACATATCCAGAAGGCACCCAGGCTATCTATAAATGCCGCCCTGGATATAGATCTCTTGGAAATATAATAATGGTATGCAGGAAGGGAGAATGGGTTGCTCTTAATCCATTAAGGAAATGTCAGAGTAAGTACTTAATACATTTGTGAAATTTATGAAAACTAGGTGTAAAAATACTTAAGATTTAATATTGTAGCAATTATGCCTGAATTATATCACTATTGCCAGTCAAATACAAAATAATACATAATCTTTTTTTTTTGTTTTGAGATGGAGTCTGGCTCTGTCACCTAGGCTGCAGTGCAGTGGCGCAATTTTGAGATGGAGTCTCCCTCTATCGCCTGGCTGGAGTGCAGTGGCGCTATCTCGGCTCACTGCAACCTCTGCCTCCCTGGTTCAAGCAATTCTCCTGCCTCAACTTCCCGAGTAGCTGGGACTATAGGCACGTGCCACCACGCCCGGCTAATTTTTGTATTTTTAGTAGAGATGGGGTTTCACCAATGCTGGGCAGGCTGGTCTCGAACTCCTGGCCTCGTGATCCACCCACCTCAGCCTCCCAAAGTGCTGGGATTACAGGCGTGAGCCACCGTGCCCAGCCAATACATCATCATTTTCAAAAAGGGGTGGTCATCCTCCAAAATTAAAAAAGCAAGCATATAGTTTAAGTTCAATTATGAAATAATGGCTTTGCTATGTTTAATTTTCCTTACATTCAATCTGTCTTCTTATATAATATCAAATATACTTGTTCCCCCACTCCTACATAAAATATATTCCTTGCTATTACATACTAATTCATAACTTTTTTTTTTTCGTTTTAGAAAGGCCCTGTGGACATCCTGGAGATACTCCTTTTGGTACTTTTACCCTTACAGGAGGAAATGTGTTTGAATATGGTGTAAAAGCTGTGTATACATGTAATGAGGGGTATGTAGTCCATACGAAAAGAGGTTTATAATTAAGATAGTAAATAGGAACTCTACTACTTTATATATTTTTAAGGTTATTATATTTTTCTATGAGCATTTAAAAAAGTAATACACAAGTACCTGAAAGTTTAACTATGATGGAAATAATTAAATCTGGATACCATATTATCTCCTTAACATTGAAAAATTTAAATGAAGTATAACTTCTCTGATAGAGTATAATTATGGGAGAGTGGGAAAACAGTATGCACATATATAAGTATTCACCCAACAAGTCTTCACGACATTCTATTTTGTGCAGAGTATCATGGGAGTTCAATGTGTCAGGAACAATAGGAATTGTAACCAATTTATATTGTATGGTAACTGTTTTGACAGGTTTTATAAAATTTAAGGAAAGCAAGACTTTCACCTGCTTATAAGTTTTACTTACAACTAAGGTTACTTAATGTCCCAGGTCTGCAAATTATTCTTACCACATGGATTAAAAATACTACTCTTTCAGAATCATTGACTCTGTTCCTTCTAACCAACTACTGGGTTTTCATTGCCAAAATCATCACTGTATATCCTCAGTGTTATTTTATCCCCCTTATTCTCTGCTAGATGAAAAATTATTTTGGAGAAAAATTTATGTATGGGAAAACCAGGATTAGATCACTATAATCGTATACTTCATAAATATAAATGTAACCAAATATTACAAATGGAATAACATTATTATTTCCCCATTTTTTCCTTAATTTGAAGCAATAAAATATAATAGTTTAAAGCTTAGTCACTGGAGTAAGCCTGCCTTTCAAAACTCTACCACTTAACATTTATGGGTATTTAAAAATATATCTCTTCACTACCATTTCCTCTCCTACAAAACAGACACATTTTATGTGCATCATGGATTGGCAGGAAAAATAAATAAGACACACATCTGCAGCCCTTAGAAGAGACCTTGAGATATAGTAGATTCCAAATAAGTATAATTTCTTATGAATTTATTCTCTCCTTAGTCACTACCTGAGGGAGGTTTTTCAAATACATTTTTAGCCCTTCAATCATTACTGCTGATCTTATCACACATAACCAAATAGGTTATAATATCCTGGGGCTGAATTTTTTAATTTGCTACCTTCCTCACCTCTGAAATATTTCTTTTATCACAGGCTTGTGTCCTCTCTTTAAGTTCAGCACTTGACTTGGCTAAGGAGATAAAAATGTATAGATCTGAAGCCTCTAGCAATGATTGCACATTTTGCACATGTCCCAGGGAACTCATATTCAAGTAGAGCATTTTTTAGATTCAAAGGGCAGGCTTGATGGGTTACTAAAATTACTTAAGTTCAACATTAGATGGCTTGGATGAGCAGATTTGACTCACTGGGTATTCTCAGGAAAAAATCTCTACGATAGAGATGGAGAGATGGAGGCAAGTGCTGAAAGTAAATCACACACTAACAACTTTTGGCTGGCACTATCTTTATTATGTAGAAACCCTAAGGTGTTCAGAAAATATCAGAATCATGGAGGACAGAAATACGGTCTAAGACTGGAGGAGAGGGAAACATAAGGTTAGTCGTTGGTTACTATGGTATTTTTAGCTTTTGTTTTGGTGATAGTTCATGGAGCTTACTATATTATTGAATTTAGCTAATTAGATAATTCAATGAAAAATAAGAATACTTTGTATGAAACAATAATGATTTTGTCGTGAACCAAGGATTATGATTATTTTCAGTCCATGCACCAAGAAGGAGAGAAAGATAAAGGGAGAGAGAGGTTAAGAGATTTTTCATCTATGAAAATTAGAGGAAGAAGATTAATGTTCTAGAGAACGTTAAGAAATCTAAGACAGAGTGAAGGAGGAGGAGAAGGAGGAAGGAAAAACAAACAAGAAACAAGAAACAAGAAAATGCATATGCTGTTCATTTTCCTTAATATGGAGTTTCTGGACACTCAGAATGGCATCGAGTTTAAAACTGCATGTAAACACACATTATGTCAACGTTCTGTTATTTTTTGGTTTTCAGGTATCAATTGCTAGGTGAGATTAATTACCGTGAATGTGACACAGATGGATGGACCAATGATATTCCTATATGTGAAGGTAGACATAAAATGTATTTACAAGTATATTGAAATAAATATCTAAGATTTAAAAAAAGTCTTACATTAAAATATCTTAAAGTCTCTATTAAATATTTTTATTTAATGTTTTTTTTTCTCATACAATGTAGAGTGGGAATCTAGTCTTTTTATTACTACATTCTTGGTGTTTCAAAAGCCAAAAACGAATGCAGCCTGATCTGATATAATAATTGAAGTATTAGACATTAAGGAATCTAAAACTGATTTTTATTTCCTTTTGGATTCTAATGACTAGAAACGCATATAAGCATCATTAGCTAAATAAAGACCAGAATTTTGCCTTTATTAATGAAGAAGAACTCACCCAGTAACCACCCAAATGCAGGGATCTATGGTAACAGCTGAAGTGGAGAACGTGATTGAGACCTCCCACTAAGGGAGGTTGCCTGTGGACTTACCTTTACTGAAAAGAGGAATAAACTAAGGGCGAGCTCTGTTATTTCTCACTGGTCTGTAAAGCAAACAGTGAAAATGAGAAAATGTAGATTCTGTTTTCATGTTTTGAGCTAATAATCCAAATCTCTAGTCATTATGGAAATAAAAGAAATCAACCAGAGTAGTATTTCCTAATTCCACAGTGAGTGGCAAGTGGAGAGAGATACAGAAGAAACGTGATAATCATTCAAAAACTGTCAACTACAGAAAATAATGGAAGATTTTTTCATCTATGAAAATTGGAGGAAGAAGATTAATGGTCTAGGGAACATCTACATTGAAATCACCTGGGATGCTTGTTAAAAACTAAAATCTTTGGTTACTAAAAAATGACCTACTGAATCAGTATCTTTGGGGTGAGCATGCAGGAAGATAGCCCTAAAATTTTTATTTTAACAAGCATCCTGAGTCATTCTATAGTACAATAAAGTTTGACCACAACTTTAGAGAAATTGGAAAATATTAAGTAGAATCAAAAGAACTACTCAAATTATTTTAAACACTGAGGTCGAAGAGGATGGAAAATTAACGATGATTTCTCTATTGAAGTTAATGTCATAAAGTTTGCTTTTACATCTTTTAGGAACACGGTGTTATATTATTCTAGGGCATAAATGAAAATGTATTTAATTATCTCAAGCTTTATATTTCTTAATTATTTAAAAATACTAGTTTGTTACTACAAAAATACAAGCTAGCATTGAAAGTAGTAATTTTCATTGTCCACTCCCATAGAAAAGAATCAGGAATAAACATTCCATTTGCTTGTTTCTTAGAGGAAAGTATCTCTAGCAAACAGGTATATCAAATGCTTCTAAAAATAATTTAAGTAATTTCCTCCAATCTTATCCTGAGGATGATTTTATACATACACATATTTTTCACAATAAACTTTTAAAATTCCATTAGAAAACATTACATGTATTTTCTTCAGTTGTGAAGTGTTTACCAGTGACAGCACCAGAGAATGGAAAAATTGTCAGTAGTGCAATGGAACCAGATCGGGAATACCATTTTGGACAAGCAGTACGGTTTGTATGTAACTCAGGCTACAAGATTGAAGGAGATGAAGAAATGCATTGTTCAGACGATGGTTTTTGGAGTAAAGAGAAACCAAAGTGTGTGGGTAAGATACACTTACTGTTTTAGTATTTTTAGCTTTTTAAATGTAAATATACATTTAAAACATCGTTCATTCTAAGGAATATCAGCAATATTAACAATAGCTAATGTTTATTGAGCACTTACTATCTGCCTGTAATTGAGCTAAGTTCTTTGCATGCATCATTTCATTTTAACTTTCAAAAAACTCCATGATTTACTTACTCATCACTTTCATTTTATAATGGAAGAGACTGGTGCAAAGAAGTTAAATCACATGCCCTGGATTATCATGGCATAAAGAGTCAAGTTAGGATTTAAATGTAGGTTATCTGACACCAGAGTCCATGCTTTAACCATAACTCCATTGTAGTTGTCTCTTAGGTTGAAAGAGAATGCTAAGTATTTCTGCTGCAAGCTGTAAGACCTCTGGAATAGACATTTGTTTTTATTTTGAAAGCCAAAGATTCATTATGTATTTCCAGAGATACATTAGAATGACATTCGTTTTTGAATAACACTTTTAGGAAGCAGACCTATTTTATATTTGTACTGCAAGTTTACTATAAATGTTGCTGAATTGAACAGAATCCACTAAATAAATTGTTGCCTCTTAAAAAAAGTTTTATAGTAAACTGTAAGCCAGGATTTTTTTAGTCATAATACTGCCAACCTGTGCATCATGACCAATCAAAGATTTTGGCTTCTGTGATAAACATCGTGGTTGATTTGTTTAGTAGTACCATAGTTCAAGTTCATTTTACCAATAATTGTTTGGCAGAAGTTTCTGGCATATTTATATTTTAATATTATCTAAAATATCTAAATTATTTTTACTATTAAAGTCTGTTATATCTTAGATACAGATAAAAGAATTTCTCTTCTTAAGAACACTTTGTAACAACAATAGTTCTTTATGTTAAATCTAATATTTTTATTCAGCATAGCAAATATTATGTACTTTAGAAGTACATGGATGGAATTTACATCCTTACAACTAGATTCCTGTGGTTAGTGAAAACTTCCTGGAATGGCTGATGCCTACGATTAAGTCTTAAAGAAAAAAAACGAGATTTTGTAGATGAAAATGAGAGCAAAAGCATACCAGAGTTCAGGGAAAGGGAAGTGGAAGGGCAGTGAGGCTTTAAGGAGCATGAAGCACCACTGATTCTTGTCCATTGTTCCTAGGCACCTTAGTCTAGGATGCAAGTAGGGAACGAGTCAGTGATAAATAGAAGGTGGGCCAATACATAGTGCTGAGGTGCTGCATGCACCATGCTGAAGAACGCGTCTTTTATTCAGATTGATTTGGGAATCAATGAAGGATTTCAAGTGGAGTTACGATGTGTCTACCTGAGAGGTCATTAAGCTATACACAAGGAAAATGGATTAGAAAGTGGGAGAACAGAGTTTGGGAAACTACTTATGATTGGCACAATCCCAGGTAAAAATGTTTGAGAGAAGTGGGTATAAAAGGTATAAAAGATGATGGCCATTTTTTTTTTTTCTGAGGAAATCTTGGCTAAATAGTGATGACACAAAAACAGGTCAGTTACTTTTCAGAGATGTAATGACAATGAGTTAAATCAATGTCTTTGACAAAAAGTCCTGTTGATAATTCCTGTCTTATCAATAACTAGAAGATGTGTTATTTTTTGCAGGTCATTCAGTGAAAACATCACAATAAAACTATATTTATGATCAATTTTATTTATACAGTTGATGAATGTTACTGGTCACTATTTATTTCAAGAAGGCTAATTTATCCTGAAACTAAATAAAATCAGAAGCATAATTTTAATCAGAATTTTAACTTTCTTCAGATAAATCATTTATTAAGTGGTCAAGTCAAAACAGAACTTTTGTTTGGTTGACTGATTTACCTGATGGAAACAACATTTCTGTTTTCATATAATTATGTCCTGGTCACAGTCCTTTAATTTGCAATAAACATTTTGGAATTTAATCCCTTTTATTTAGAAATTTCATGCAAATCCCCAGATGTTATAAATGGATCTCCTATATCTCAGAAGATTATTTATAAGGAGAATGAACGATTTCAATATAAATGTAACATGGGTTATGAATACAGTGAAAGAGGAGATGCTGTATGCACTGAATCTGGATGGCGTCCGTTGCCTTCATGTGAAGGTAATGTTACCTTTATTTTCTGGATCTTTATAAATTTATCACATATTTTAATTAATTCTTTTAATAAATCCACTTATTTTAATCAAAAGTAGAGTGCTAATTTATGTAAATAAACTATTATAAAAAACATATAGCATTTTCTGTGTTCAAGGTTCATTTTGAGTACACTTCGTACGATACACACACTCTGAAAACAGACATAAACAGGGCCAGAAAAGTTCAGTAGCTTATTAAGTCATTGGTCTATCATCAAAAACCATGTCTGGATCAGAGTGAGGACTATAATAGACTTCCTAATTCTCAGTAACATACAATTCTCAAACAAGTAGATTGCTCCACTAATGCCCAGAATTTATTTAAATTATATGAATATTTTAAAATACTTTAAAAGTAACTTGTATTAATACCAGGTGAGGAAACTCTCAACTGACAATGGAATTAAGTTGAAGGAAGTGAATATTTTTGTTAACAACAGGCCCAGTATGACTCAACGGTGATGATGGTCCTGGAAAATTACCAAAAAAAAAAAAAAAAAACCTCTCAACTTTCATTATGGAGGGATGTTACACAGAGCCAAAGAGTTCATCTCAACTGTGCTCTTTGCCCACCAAAAAATATATCTGGAATAGAGTGTTCTACTTAACCTACTTCATTTTAAACGGGAAAGTTTCAAACTATCATGGCCAAGAAGAGAGAATATGGACAGTTGTGGACTTTTAAGAAATTATGCCATAAGACGTACAGTAAGAAGCTACAGCTATAGTGTGGTGATAACAGTTTTGAGATATTTTCAAACATTTATAAAATAAGTGGGTTTGCTTTTGATGAGGTCTGCTGCAATTAGTGAAACAAGGAACAGTGTTACCACATATGGTCCAGAAATCTAAAAGGGTGATACTGCCATACTGTGAGAGAAAGAAGAGTTGAACTCTTAAGAGCCCTCTGAACTTTAAATCCCATGATTCATAAATACATGTTTAAACTGTGCTTTAGTAATCCTCTTTTACAAAAGAATAGTTAATTTTGGGTTAATTTTATACACTAAAAAAATTTTGGTTTGAGCCCACAAGTGTCTCCTTGGAAAACATATTTTTCTTCACAATTGCGTGATCTCTACTTTTAGGCACTGTTAAGAGAATATTTTAGAAAGAAATTAATGAACATGAGACAGTAATAACCCACATCAGATCCATGTTTGGCTAATGGTGTGTGGGGTCCAACTATTTGTCTTCATGGCATTCGTAGTTCCTAAGCAAAGGAAGTGCATGCACAAGTCCTTTGGCATTAACTTCTACCTGAAGTATATTATTTCCAGAGCCCCTCTCAAATCTATAGTGAATTTATCCATGCAGTAATCAAAATGTAACTTATAAACCACTTATTTTACATCAGGACCTTGCTGTGTATTGAAGATAAACATTGCAATAAACCATCATTCCAGCTTTCAATGAATTCAAAATAAGACTCTGGGAATTTAGTTTTATTTGAATATGTGACTCTGTAGCATTACTACCTCATTGTAGTCATCTGATTTTTTCGTCTCTTTTACTTCTTCACTTTGATACCTACTTAAAACTCTTCCTTAGCACATATTTGTTTTCACAATGAGAGATCCATCTGTTTTTCCCAAATGTATTACTGCATTTCTATTCTTGCTTCTCTTGAACACTAATTGATTCACACACACACACACACACACACACACCCCTCAAAGACTCTACATTTATAAAACATTTTTCTTTTATAATTTTTTTCCATTTCTCAGTCACAAGTACAAGTAAAACCTGAATATTCAATACTATGCTTGCAGGTCCTGCTTTCTTTAGGAAAAGAGATACCAAGAGAAGGCACTGGGATTGGGTACTCCTTTTCAGAAGACAGTTCACTAATAATCGATATAAATAAAGGAGGATTTATCCCAAATTAGTTAAGCATACACTCTCTCACCACGTTTTATTTTATTGAAATATACTTTACGCTGATTAGATATAGAGAAGTCTTTCTTAATAAAAGAATTCCACTCTTTGTATGCCAACTAATATAGCATAAATATGACTATTTTCTTGGTACAAAGCAAGGATCTACTTGCTGATATAAGATGAATTCAAAATCTATACACATCATTTTCTCTGAAATCAGGTAACTTCAAACTCTCTTTGTTGCTTCTAAATCTATAAGAAGTTTGGAATTAAATAATAAGATAATATTAAAGTGAAATAATCTACTTAAATTTTAAATACTTTAATTTTCTTCAATCTGGTCTATGGCACACACATGTCAGAGGACTGATTTAAAGGTGAATTGTCAAAACTTTGGTCTCTGTGTCCAATAGGGACAATCTGTAACAGAAAGTTATTTATAGAAACAATCAAAGGTACGAAGAACTGCTAAAGGAAAGCTATCTTTGATCCGAATCTATCTCTTCCCTGTACAGATTGGATTTTCTATTGGTTCAAAGCATAGAGTGCTAACCTTGAATTAGTATTCTAACTTCAAATGACCAATGGTTGTTTCCAATAGTAGGAAAATATGGATAGTCTCAAGTATTGTTTTGGATAAAGGTACAGGTTCGGGCAATGTTTTAATAACATGATGTATTTTTAAAAAGATTATGAGTGTAGGAAATTAAGGTTTATCACAGGATTTATGTCTACTGCTTGAGCATAATCACCAGAAGTCTTTCTATTCTTAATTAACAAAATTGTTCCATATTATTTTATTGATTTCTTAGTTAAACTCTTGTTTTTTGCATCTCATAGCTTTTGACTTCAAAAATTGGTATTAAATTGAGCTATATCATAAGGAAAAATAATTGAAGATACGTAAACTGAACTTTAATGGGTATATGAAAATATGATAGAGAAGAATGAAGTGACAGAAAAAAAGAAAAAAGGAATACATTTAGGACTCATTTGAAGTTAGTGTCAACATCAAACACTGAAGACATATTTTTACATAAAATAGTAAAATTTTAAAATAGTAAAGCTTTAAAACTTGTATATTAAGTCACATACATATTGTTTCTCATATAATTATTGCTAATCTAAATATATTATCCTGTTAGCTATAGAGATATATTAAAGCTTATTCTGTCAGAACGAAGTATAAACTTAGGAGCTGAATGGACACAGTGGAAGTATGGTATTGAGAAGAGGAAATATATAATGAATAATTAAAACTTTATAAAATTTTATGTTTGACTAAATATACAACTTATGAGAAAGGAATGGTGGTAGTATAGAGAAGAAGTAGAAAAATGGCAGGAGATGAGATGTGACAAGTATGCAGGGCCCAAAAATTAAAAAATTAAGTAAAGTACAAGAGGAGAAGCAAAAAATATAAAGTAAAGGAAAATAATAAGATATAAAAGAAAAGCATCACTTAGACAAAGACAAGGAGAAGCAGGAGAACATAAATATATAAGGTAATGGAGAACACCAAAAAGTATGTAATCAACAGAGTCAAATATTACAGAGTTTTATCTGTTCAGTTCAATAAATAATTAAGAAGTCCATAATATGTACCAGTGACTGGAATATGTGAAATGCAAAGCATTTCTGAATTTGGACATTGGGCTCATTGGTAGCTTTTATCAGAGCAATGGCAACAAAATAGAGGTCAGAAACTAGGTAGTAGTGAGTTAAAGAATAAATGTGAGACGGGAAAGTGGAGACAGCAATTATAAAATGGTATTTTAAGGGTTTTGGTTTTGAAGGGGAGGAGAAATGTAGTACATTAGCTAAACTTGAACAAAGGGTTGAGTGAAGGGACTGAAAATTGGAAAAGCTTCCATATCAATTTAAGAGTGTGGTTGATAAGGTAAGAAAGAGGGAAGGAATAAACAATGGTTTAAAATACAGGGGAAAATGAAAGAATTAAAGCTAACCTGAATTTGAAAGCAACACTTTACCATTGAAGACTAAACTAAAGACTTAAATCAGTATAGATACAGATAATGTTGAGGAGTGCTGGAAAGAAGTATAGGAAACTCACTACTGCTGGTCTCAATTGTTTTGTGTGAATGGAGACTTATTATCTGTTGATGAAGAGGCAATTGTTTCAGGTGGCTTGAGAAAAGAGAGGAGACTATGGATCATTTACCATGGGAAATCAAATAGTAAATAAATTGGGGGTATATAAATGGATTTCAAGCAATGCTGAATGTTTGCCACAGCTTTTTAGTCCAAAATAAAATATGACTCCAATAGAAGTGGTCATATAGTTTTTCTACAATACTTAAAATGCATAGTATTTTATCTTAAAACGAATTTTGCAAATGGATCCAATATTGAGATATAGCAGAGTTAATGGAAAGGAGTGAGAAGGTGCCTTATAGATTAAGATACACTGGGCCAAAGGATGGCAAACTATAGGCTGCAGGTAAAATACAACTTGCCCCCTTTGTGTAAACAAAGTTTTATTGAAACACAGCCAAGTTCATTTGTTTATGTATTGTTTTTCATTACTTTTGTACTATAATGGCAGAGTTGAGTTGTTGCAGCAGAGACATTTTATCTGGCCCTTTACGGAAAAGGTTTTCCAAACCCTCTGCTATTTTATCCTATTATAGTAAGAAAAATGTAATGCAGTATCTCAATGTTTAAGATATTAAGACTGAAGTTTATTTTCATTCATGTTCACTGTCAATGTAGATCAGAAGGGACTTTACTCATTGTATTAATTGTAAGAATCAAGTGACAGAAACATCATTTTTTTTCATGTCCTTCTTTAATCGCGGTATCTTTGGGAAAGAGAACATAAAAATTCACACAATGGCTTTTAAAACTTCTCTCTAAAGTGGAAGATATTACTTCCACTTTTATTATAGTCTCCTACGCAATCACATGGCCACAGTTACTTCAAAGAGGAAGGGTTGCGCAGTCCTATCAATTGTCCAGAAGAAAGAAACACTGAATATTTGTAAACAATCCTTATGAGAACCACAGAAACCAAAGAATAGAAGGAAAGTGAAAGTAAGAATTGAAGTTATATGTGATGAGAACATTGCCAGTTATGGAAAATCATGAAGTATGGGATGACTTTGGAGAAGAAGGGATTAAGAGCCCAGGAGGTACAAATATGTCAGATGAGAATATAGTGAAGGGAAAAATAAGTGATATACCAGAAAGGATACTATGATATGTTCATTTTAATGCCATTTTGTATTATGCTAAGGACAAATAAATAACACCCACTTTTAAATGTTTATATAAATGATTAATTTTAACGGATACTTATTTCTGCATTATCCATATATCCTTTTTCTTTTCAGAAAAATCATGTGATAATCCTTATATTCCAAATGGTGACTACTCACCTTTAAGGATTAAACACAGAACTGGAGATGAAATCACGTACCAGTGTAGAAATGGTTTTTATCCTGCAACCCGGGGAAATACAGCCAAATGCACAAGTACTGGCTGGATACCTGCTCCGAGATGTACCTGTAAGTTCCATTCATATCTTGACCCATTTCTTAATTCTGAAATTTCTTTTAAACACATAAAAAATAGGGACTCAATAAAACCAAATATTTGTCTTATTGTATATACAAAGTAAGGCTGTTGGAAGCATTCTTTAGTTTTCGAAGTTGCCGAAACTCATATTTTTTGCTACTCAAAATTAAATGTGTATGTGTGTTTATGAATGTATGTTTCCCTAATTAATAAATTATTCCAATATCTGAATTAAAACACTAGATAAAAATAATGTCATCTAACACATACTATATTAGTTATTTATTGCATTGTAACAAAATACCCCAAAAACATATTTACTTAAAACAACTAACCTTTATTATCTTACAGTTTCTATCGGTCAGTAATCTCAAAATGGCTTATATAAGTAGTTGTGAATCAGACTGTCTTCTTGTGTTGCAATCAGGATCATGGCCCAGGCTACAGTGATCAGAAGGCTTGGCTGGGAAGGAGGATCTGCTTCTAACATTACTGACACACATGGCTGTTGTCAGGAGGCCTCAGGTCCTTACCACATAGGCCTTTCCATGAGTTGATAAATGGCAGCTTTCTCCAGCACTGCTAATCTGAGAATAGAGGAAGCCACAATACCATGTATTAGTGTGTTCTCACACTACTAGAAAGAACTACCTGAGACTGGATAATTTATGAAGAAAAGAGGTTAAATTGACTCACAGTTCCACAGCCTGTACAGGAAGCATGGCTGGGAGGCCTTAGGAAACTTACAATCATGGTGGAAGGTGAAGGGGAGGCAAGCACATCTTACCATGGCAGAGCAGGAGAGACAGAGAGCAAAGGGGAAAGTGCTACACACTTTTAAACAACCAGGTCTCATGAGAACTCACTCACTATCATGAAAACAGCAAGGGGGAGATCCACCTGTATGATCCAATCACCTCCCTCAACATTGGGAATTACAATTCAACATGAGATGTGTGTGGGGACACAGAGCCAAACCATATCAATTATCTACTCACACACTGTTAACTTCAGCCATATCTATTCTTTCGAAGTGAGACACTAAGTCCAGCATATATCCAAGGGGAGAGAAATTAGGCACCACTATTTGGAGGGAGGAGTGTTGAAGGACTCCAAGTCTTAGTCATTTCCTAGTGTTGGAGGTAATTTCCAAAAATCATCACATGTAGCAAAATACCACTCAAGTCAATAGAGTATTTTATTTCTGGGATGCTCCTTTACCCCTTTTTAATGTTTTTTCTATCTCTACAATCAAATTTCTTTTCTTTCTATCTATAAGTACATAGACAAGAAGTACTACACTTAAACTATATATTCCATGAAAGAAAAATATGACACAAATGATTGATTAATGACTTCAACTTTCATTCCTGGCATAATTCCAATCCCTAAGAGAGGAAGCTATTATCAGTATGAAACATTTCAGTGTGCATAAGAATTATGAGGAAAATATTTAATGATTTTATGGTTGGCTTATGACAATGTAGTTCAGCCCAAATGTATCTAAACCAACTGAGACCCAACTATATTTGGATTTCAATTATTAATGTTTGACAATGAACCATCTGGAGTTCTCATGGACAAGATAGAGGAGTTGATGAGTTATATGGTTTATCAGTTTTTAATTTCATTAAATAACCATATCTAATTATCAGACGCATGACTTTATTCTCAGGCCTGCTTCATTACTCACTTGTGTCATTGAACAGTTTAATGATTTAGGGGAAGTGCAGTACAAATTCACAATTGGAATGATACAGAGGATGATAATAAGGAATCTGCATTAGGGCAGTTCAGCATTCAAAGAGACTCTTATGTGCTAAGCTGTATCTAATAAGATGAAATTTAACAATGTTGACTCTAAGATCCTGGACTTGGGTCAAATAAATTACAGTATGAATATATTAGCAGCAGTTATAAAAATTAGTGAATATTTTTATCAATTTTAAGATCTGTTTGAGCCAACTTTATGATGGAAACACCATAAATGCTGTGAAACCAAAAACTACATTTGTAGAAGTGTAACAAGTAGAATGAAGCTATTTGAAGTCCTTCTATTCTCAGCGCTGATGAGACTCTCTGTGGGTACTAATATTTGCTTCAAGGAATCAATTTGTAAAAGGGATAAAAACAGATGTAAATGTGACCAAATTAGAGAATAGCTAAATAGCTCGAGCCTGTGGTAATGTTATATGTTTTTAATTATGCCTCCTTTTTATTCCTTTTGGAAAGAAATCTCGGTGGACAATTTTATTTTATGACCTTCTGGGAAATACCATAATAAGATGGATACTCATACTTGCTTTGAAATCAACCACAAGCTTTGAAATCTCTACTCTACCATTTAATGTGAAATTCAATTGAGGCCTTTAAGGCACAGCTCCCACAAATCCAAGACTCAAGCTTTCCCAATGCAGAATTATTGTTAAATAATACATGTCTCAACAAATCATGATGAAATTTGTAAAATCCAATGGTAAATAGAAAATATTCCAAATCTTTAAAAAGTGGTGAGGAAAAATGTAGAATGTTACTTAAAAGAAATAAGACTAAGTAAATGTTTTAATTTCAACACTGGGAGCTTCAGATAAATAGGGAAAAAAATCTATCAATTATAAGATATATGGATTGTAGGCCAAGAAACTATACTGAAAGAAGTATCATTCACTAGTCTTTATTAGAGAAAGACATTTAAGATATACAATTATTCAGTTTATAATCCACATAATAAATGTAGAAACTACATGAAAATTTCTCTAATCAAATACAAAAGAAAATAAATCACAGAATTTAAGAAAGATGGAGATGTAAAAGAATATTTATATGTGTGTGTGTGTATGTGTGTATTGAAATTCTTTTTAACCTATTGCATAAGGTTTATTGAAATAGAAACATATTTCATGGAAAACATTAATACCATTTTGTTATTGAAAGTACTAGATAATCTACAAATAATCCCATGAAAAGAGCAAATTTTCTGAAAAATATATAAACCTGTTAATATAATAAACAAGATAGCACTCAAATGTATTTGTCGAAATTAATATATAATAACTCAGTAAAATGTAATTATATTGTACCTTACTTAAATATATTTTATGACATCAAAATTATTTTTCTCTCCAATTAAAATTAGAAATAAACAAAAAAGTTAATCAAAATCTTAACTATTTGGATATGAAGAAATATTTCTAGTCTGTTTCTCTGGTTAAATACAGACTGGAGAACTTGGCTTAATGAATTGTTTGAGGCATGAATTAACTATGTTATTTTTCTGTGCGGTATCATCAAAGAAAAATTTTTGTGTTTCTCTATATTTTTACGTTGTCTGCAATAAATAGGAAAGAGCCTAATTTATTTATTTACTTATTTATATTTTTCGAGATGGAGTCTCACTCTGTAACCCATGCTGGAGTGCAAAGACACAATCTCAATTCACTGCAACCTCTGCCTCCTGGGTTCAAGCGATTCTCCTGCCTCTGCTTTCTAAGTAGCTGGAATTACAGGGGCGCACCACCAGGCCCGGCTAATTTTTTTTGTATTTTTAGTAGAGACGGAGTATCACCATGTTGGCCCAGCTGGTCTCGAACTCCTTACGAGTGATCTGCCTGTCTCAGCCTTCCAAAGTGCTGGGATTACAGGCGTGAGCCACTGCGCCCAGCCCATGAATTCAATCTAAAACAAATAAAAACCTTAAATCCCTCAAAATACTACTTCCTTACATTGAATTGTTCTGAGAAGAAAATGCAGGGCTCTTGTTTACTGATGAGAATAGAAAAAAAAGAAAGAAAGAAAGAAATACATGAGCTAAGCGGTAAAATTGGCATATTTCTCAACCGAAAAGCTTATTTAATTAACCAGGGATAGGGTATGTGTATTTAAGGGAAATATATTAAACAGGTCTGTGCATTTTTCTTTCTGGAGAGCCTTCATACAAATTTACGCATCATGTGATCCACAAGACATAATTTCATCTTCATTAACAAAGACCTTCTTGTTACATATCTCAGTCATCTGAGTTCTATCATTTGTTTTGACCTAGAAACCCTAATGGAATGTGTAATTATACTAAGAAGAGAATATAATTCAGTGATAAAAATTTATCTCTAATATGATTGTTTATTACAGTAAAATTTCTTTATACTTTTTTTAAAATTTTTATTGCAAGTGAAACCTTGTGATTATCCAGACATTAAACATGGAGGTCTATATCATGAGAATATGCGTAGACCATACTTTCCAGTAGCTGTAGGAAAATATTACTCCTATTACTGTGATGAACATTTTGAGACTCCGTCAGGAAGTTACTGGGATCACATTCATTGCACACAAGATGGATGGTCGCCAGCAGTACCATGCCTCAGTAAGTAAACCTCTGAACTGCTATATATATGTATAAAACTTTCAAAGATCGAAGAAAGGAGAGCACATAAGTGATTACACCTGTCTTATGTAACAGAAATAGGGCCAAGAAAAGAGTTGTTCAAGCAAAGTGACCAAAATAGATCTTTTCTATTATGAGGATTTCTTCTTGAAAATCACAGGAGAAATAAATATAGGGACTTTATGAGAATATCTATATAATTTATACATCTATTAATTATAAAAACTAAAGATAAGTAATATTGAATATTGATATTTCTTTTTGTGCAAACCTTTGTTAGTAACTTTAGTTCGTCTTCAGTTATACATTATTTTTGGATGTTTATGCAATCTTATTTAAATATTGTAAAAATAATTGTAATATACTATTTTGAGCAAATTTATGTTTCTCATTTACTTTATTTATTTATCATTGTTATGGTCCTTAGGAAAATGTTATTTTCCTTATTTGGAAAATGGATATAATCAAAATTATGGAAGAAAGTTTGTACAGGGTAAATCTATAGACGTTGCCTGCCATCCTGGCTACGCTCTTCCAAAAGCGCAGACCACAGTTACATGTATGGAGAATGGCTGGTCTCCTACTCCCAGATGCATCCGTGTCAGTAAGTACACTACTCTGAAATCCTAGCATGTTCATGTCTTTCTAAGTAACATAGATGACATTCTAAGACTCATCTATATTAATTGTGGCAAAATGTTTATGTCACCTTGTTTTACCAATGGACCTATTTAGTTTTTGGTTTTTCAACTGTGTATAAATGAATATACAAATTTCTTGATAAGTACATAGTAAAATAAATTCTCCTATTAATGGGCATTAGTCAAGAATACAGTAAAAGAATTTGAACACAATACTTGTTGGTTAAATGAAGTCGTATTGAAGCGGCATCATTGTCTGGGTAAATATCTGAGGTTCGTTATCTCACACCAAGAAGATTAAGGACGTGGACACACACAAGGAGTGAGTTTAGGAGCACAGGTTTAATAGGCAAAAGAAAGAGAAAGGAGAACAGCTTCCTCTCTTGTGAGAGAGAGCGGCACCTGAAAGTGAATCCCTGCCCCTGGTGGAGTGCACTGGATTTTATAAACGGTCTTGAGGAAGCAGTGTCTGATTTACATAGGGCCCAAAGATTGGTTAAACTAGGTGTGACATTTACATAATATGCCAGGAAGCTGGCCGCCCCACCCTAATCTTATTAATCAAATGGGATCTTTGCCTGGCCAGCGCCATGTTGCTTTCTCCTTACTGTACACGTGGCTGGCAAAGAGAAAGGAAGATGCACCTGCCATATGAACATGCCTAGTCCCAGGTAGCCTTTTCCTATTGGCACAACTGCTGGCATTCACCTTGCAAGCTTCCAGCTTGCTTGTCTATGTTTGCAGTTCGATTTTACAGGCTCCTCTTGTTAGAAAAGAAAATGATTTGGGGGCTGCCTTTCATTAAAAGGAAAAACCTTATCAAGGACTGCTGTACCCTCATTATCTGCCTAAACGATTTTTTCTCAACTCCTATATCAATATTAATATGTACATTGGAATCAATCATTTGACTCAAAATAATTATACAATTATAGTTTAAAATAGAAAGTAAATACGATGATACCCAATAATTCATATATTCAAGCAGTGATATGACATTTTTACAGTAAAGCTATTTGACTTTCTCTAGTATATGTAAGTACAAATGGGTATTCTGGGATCTTGTGCATATTCTACTCTAGAAGGTTTCCTACAGTATTTATTCCAACATACATTTATATCAACAGTTACTTCTTTTTTTACATGTTAATGATTGGTGATGTCACATTTTAATATTTACAAATTGAATGGCTATAAAATGTTATAACATTATAGTGTAAATTTGCATTTCTTTTACCACTAACTGGGTTTAGAATATATATTCACAGTTTAATTGGTATTTAATGCTTCTAATCTTTGGAAATGCAGTTTGATTTTCTTTACTTATCTTTTTGAGAGTTTTGGTATTATTAGTTGGAATCATCTTAACAATTCTGAATATAAAATCTCTTTTAATTATACGTAATGCAAATGTATTCTCTTTGTGGCTAGTATTTTTCTTTCCTTTTTTCTGCATTATGAACATAAGTTGCTCATTCTACTACATAATAGTCAATCTTTTTTCATGATGAATGTTTCTTGTTTCTATTTAAAGGAATACTTCAAAAACATAGAGCCACTATACTATTCTTTATTCTAAAAAGTTATATGTTACCTTTTCTTTTCATATTTTAAAAATATTTTGTGTTGATTTTATTCATGATAATGGCTGTATTTCATGTTTAAATGAAATATGGTAAACTCAACATTTCCCTAACAATTTTTATAGTACCTTTCTCAAACAGTATATTTTTTATTGTATATTTTGTACATTGTGTGTGTATACACACACACAATAACTATTACTCTGAGTATTCTGCACTATTAGTAAACAATTTTTTAACCAGCATTGCAGTAACCCTCTATTGAATTTTATTTATTTATTTTATTTTGAGATAGAATCTCACTCTGTCACCCAGGCTGGAGTGCAATGTCGCGATCTCGCCTCGCTGCAACCTCCACTCCCTGAATTTTAATTAATATAGGTTTTTAATAAGTATGGATATGACTTTTCACCCTAATCATGACCTTTCACCCAAATCTTTTTGCTTCATCAGTCTCTTTTTTGTCTCATCATTCAGTGTCAGATGATCCCATTACTTTTATTTTTTTCTTCACACATTAATTGAGGCTAATAATATGCCTTGATTAGATATGCAATTTCTCCTGATATCAAACAACTCAATCAACGTTTATGCCTCTTGGTTTGATTTTGGAGCTGATTGTAGAATCAACTACTTATTTTTTCTCTTTCTTTCCTTCCTTCCTTTTTCTTTCTTTCTTTTTCTTTTTCTTTCTTTCTTCTTTCTTTCTTTTTCTTTCTTTCTTTCCTTCTCTTCCTTCTCTTTCTTTTTCTTTCTTTCATTCTTTTTTCTTTCTTCCTTTCTTTGTCTACGTTTCTCCTTCTTTTTCTTTTTTCTCTTTCTTTCTTTCTCTTTCCCTTCCTTTCTTTTTGTTTCTTTCTTTCTCTTTCCCTTCCTTTCTTTTTCTTTCCCTTCCTTTCTTTTTGTTTCTTTCTTTCTCTTTCCCTTCCTTTCTTTTTCTTTCTTTCTTTCTTTCTTTCTTTCTTTCTTTCTTTCTTTTTCTTTCCTTCTTTCTTTCTTCCTTCCCTCCCTCCCTTCCCTCCCTCCCTCTGTCACCTACCTACCTACCTACCTCCCTTCCTTCCTTCCTTCCTTCCTTCCTTCCTTCCTTCCTTCCTTCCTTCCTTCTTTCCTTTTGTCCCAAGTTTGTCTGGCTCAAGTTATTCTTAAGAATGTTACTATTTTACTCTTCATGCTAGACCCTGTACTTTAGTCAGGTTATTTAGCTACTTTACGGTTGTCATATAATTAACAAGTCTTAGCTTCATCTTCAGATTGAGATATCAACGTTATATTTTCATGTACAGTCAATTGTCAGTGAATCACATTGTTTTTCAATTTAATAAAATCTAAATTCCTCATAACCATGTTGTGAGAATATGCAGAAAAAATTAAACATACTTGAGTGAGTACAGTAGATATATATTGGAGTGTATCCTTTATGAATGCAAACTGGCTGTAGTTTCCTTTAAAATAGTCATTTAAATAAAAAATTTGCCAGATAAATCACAGAATATCAATTTCTCTTGACTTGTAAAACTTGAATTACTAGTGCCATCTGAATGATTCTTCTGAAGATAGACAGAGTAGTCTCTACTTACCTGTGAGAGAAAAAAGCTGCACTAGTCCCTCTTATTCATGTGGGATATGTTCCAGGCTCCCCAGTAAATGCCCGAAATGATTAATAGTATAAAACCCAAGTAGACTATGTTTTTCCACCTGATAACTTGGAATACTACTAAGTGACTAACAGGCTGGTGCATACACTAGACGAAGGGAGGATTCATGCTCTGGGCGGGATGGAGCTGAATGGCATAGGATTTCATCAAAGACTACTAAGTGACTAACAGGCAGGTAGTATAAACTGTGGATGCACTAGACAAGAAAGTATTCAGGCTCTGGGGAGAATGGGGCTGAATGGCATAGGATTTCATCACACTACCCAGAACACCTTTTTTTATTGCTAAGTATTATTCCATTATATCATGTATCACGGTCTGTTAATCCATTCATGTGTTGAAGGGCATTTGCATTGTTTTTGGCATTTGTGAATCATGCTGTTAAGAAAAATATTCATCTACAGTTTTTATATAAACACAAATTTATTCCTCATGGATACATATCTAAGACTGGGTTTGTTAGATAAATGGTGTGTGTGTGTGTGTGTGTGTGTGTGTGTGTGTGTTTTATTATTATTATACTTTAAGTTCTGGGATATATGTGCAGAACGTGCAGGTTTGTTACATAAGTATACGTGTGCCATGGTGGTTTGCTGCACCCATCAACCCGTCATCTAGGTTGTAAGCCTTGCATGAATTAGCTCTTTGTCCTGATGCTCTCTCTCCCCTTTCCCCGCACACCCCAACAAGCCCCGGTGTGTGATGTTCCCCTCCCTATGTCCATGTGTTCTCATTGATCAACTCTCACTTATGAGTGAGAATATGTGGTGTTTTGTTTTCTGTTCCTGT
This sequence comes from Homo sapiens, assembly GCF_000001405.40. Taxonomy (NCBI): domain Eukaryota; kingdom Metazoa; phylum Chordata; class Mammalia; order Primates; family Hominidae; genus Homo; species Homo sapiens. The sequence continues at coordinate 543,981 of NW_025791754.1, forward strand.
GTTAGTTTGCTGAAGATGATGGTTTCCAGCTTCGTCCATGTCCCTGCAAAGGACACGAACTCATTCAATTTATGGCTGCATAGTATTCCATGGTGTATATGTGCCACATTTTCTTTATCCAGTCTATCATTGATGGGCATTTGGGTTGGTTCCAAATCTTTGCTACTGCAAATGGTGCTGTGATAAACATATGTGTGCATGTGCCTTTATAGTAGAATGATTTATATTCCTTTGGGTATATACCCAGTAATGGGATTGCTGGGTCAAATGGTATCTCTGGTTCTTGATCTTTGAGGAGTTGCCACACTGTCTTCCACTATGGTTGAACTAATTTACACTCCCACCAACAGAGTAAAACTTTCCTATTTCTCCGCATCCTCGCCAGCACCTGTGGTTTCCAGATGTTTTAATGATCGGCATTCTAACTGGCGTGAATTGGTTTCTCATTGTGGTTTTGATTTGCATTTCTCTAATGACCAGTGACAATAAGCTTGTTTTCATGTATTTGTTGACTGCATAAATGTCTTCTTTTGAGAAGTGTCTGTTCATATCCTTCACCTACTTTTTGATGGGGTTGTTTGTTTCTTTCTTATAAATTTGTTTAAGTTCCTTGTAGATTCTTGATATTAGACCTCTGTCAGATGGATAGATTGCAAAAATTTTCTCCCATTCTGTAGGTTGCCTATTCACTCTGATGATAGTTTCTTTTGCTGTGCAGAAGCTCTTTAGTTTAATTAGATCCCATTTGTCAATTTTGGCCTTTGTTGCCATTGCTTTTGGTGTTTTAGTCATGAAGTCTTTGCCCATGCCTATGTCCTGAATAACCTACTGCCTAGGTTTTTTTCTATGGGTTTTATGGTTTTAGGTCTTACATTTAAGCCTTTAATACATCATGAGTTAATTTTTATATTAGGTGTAAGGGAAGGGTCCAGTTTCAGTTTTCTGCATATGGCTAGCCAATTTTCCCTGCACCATTTATTCAATAGGGAATCTTTTCCCTATTGCTTGTTTTTGTCAGGTTTGTTGAAGATCAAATGGTTGTAGATGTGTGGTGTTATTTCTGAGGCCTCTGTTCTGTTCCATTGGCCTATATATCTGTTTTGGTACAAGTACCATGTTGTTTTGGTTACTGTAGTCTTGTAGTATAGTTTGAAATCAGGTAGCGTGATGCCTCAGCTTTGTGCTTTTTGATTAGGATTGTCTTGGCTAGATGGGACCTTTTTTTGGTTTCATATGAAATTTAAAGTAGTTTTCTTAGTTCTGTGAAGAAAGATAATGATAGCTAGATGGGAATAGCATTGTATGTATCAACTACTTTGGGCAATATGGCCATTTTCATGATATTGATTCTTCCTATCCATGAGGATGGAATATTTTTCTATTTATTTGGGCCCTCTCTTATTTCCCTGAGCAGTGGTTTGTAGTTCTCCTTGAAGAGTTCCTTCGCATCCCTTGTAAGTTGTATTTCTACGTATTTTATTTTCTTTGTGGCAATTGTGAATGGGAGTTCACTCATGATTTGGCTTTCTGTCTATTACTGATGTATAGGAATGCTTGTGATTTTTGCATATTGATTTTGCATCCTGAGACTTTCCTGAAGTTACTTATCAGCTTAAGGAGTTTCTGGGTTGAGACAATGGGGTTTTCTAAATATACCATCATGTCATCTGCAAAAAGAGACAATTTGACTTCCTCTCTTCCTATTTGAATACTCCTTATTTCTTTCTCTTGCCTGATTGTCTGGTCCAAAACTCCCAATACTATGTCCATCCTAGACAGATCAACGAGACAGAAAATTAACAAGGATATTCCCAATTTGAACTCAACTCTGGACCAACTGGACCTAATAGACATCTACAGAACTCTCCACCAGAAGTCAAGTGTTCTTCTTGGCACTACATAGCACTTATTCTAAGATCGACCATATAATTGGAAGTAAAACACTCCCCAGCAAACGCAAAAGAACAAAAACCACAACAAACAGTCTCTCAGACCACAGTGAAATCAAATTAGAAATCAGGATTAAGAAACTCATTCAAAACTACACAACTACATGGAAACTGAACAACCTGCTACTGAATGACTACTGAGTAAATATTGAAAGTAAGGCAGAAGTAAATAAGTTCCTTGAAACCAATGAGAAGACAGACACAATGTACCAGAATATCTGGGACACAGTTAAAGCAGTCTTTAGAGGAAAATTTATCGCACTAAATGCCCACATCAGAAAGTGGGAAAGATCTAAAATTGACACCCTAACACCTCAATTAAAAGAAATAGAGCTTGATGGGGATGGCATTGAATCTATAAATTACCTTTGGCAGCATGCCATCCCCATCAAGCTACCAATGACTTTCTTTACAGAATTGGAAAAAACTACTTTAAAGTTTATATGGAACCAAGAAAGAGCCCGCATTGCCAAGTCAATCCTAAGACAAAAGAACAAAGCTGGAGGCATCATGCTACCTGACTTCAAACTATACTACAAGCCCACAGTAACCAAAATAGCATGGTACTGGTACCAAAACAGAGATGCAGACCAATGGAACAGAACAGAGCCTTCAGAAATAATGCTACATATCCACAACCATCTGATCTTTGACAAACCTGAGAAAAACAAGAAATGGGAAAAGGATTCCCTATTTAATAAATGGTGCTGGGAAAACAGGCTAGCCATATGTAGAAAGCTGAAACTGGATCCCTTCGTTACACCTTATACTAAAATTAATTCAAGATGGATTAAAGACTTAAATGTTAGATCTAAAACCATAAAAACCCTAGAAGAAAACCTAGGCAATACCATTCAGGACATAGGCATGGGCAAGGACTTCATGTCTAAAATACCAAAAGCAATGGCAACACAAGCCAAAACTGACAAATGGGATCTAATTAAACTAAAGAGCTTCTGCACAGCAAAAGAAACTACCATCAGAGTGAACAGGCAACCTACAGAATGGGAGAAAATTTTTGCAATCTACTCATCTGACAAAGGGCTAATATCCAGAATCTACAATGAACTCAAACAAATTTACAAGAAAAAAACAAACAACCCCATCAAAAAGTGGGTGAAGGATATGAACAGACACTTCTCAAAAGAAGACATTTATGCAGCCAAAAGACACATGAAAAAATGCTCAGCATCACTGGTCATTAGAGAAATGCAAATCAAAACCACAATGAGATACCATCTCACACCAGTTAGAATGGCGATCATTAAAAAGTCAGGAAACAACAGGTGCCGGAGAGGATGTGGAGAAATAGGAACACTTTTACACTGTTGGTGGAACTGTAAACTAGTTCAACCATTGTGGAAGTCATTGTCTAGATCCTCAGGGATCTATAACTAGAAATACCATTTGACCTAGCCATCCCATTACTGGGTATATACCCAAAGGATTATAAATCATGCTGCTATAAAGACACATGTACACGTATGTTTATTGCGGCACTATTCACAATAGCAAAGACTTGGAACCAACCCAAATGTCCAACAATGATAGACTGGATTAAGAAAATGTGGCACATATACACCATAGAATACTATGCAGCCATAAAAAAGAAGAGTTCATGTCCTTTGTAGGGACATGGATGAAGCTGGAAACCATCATCCTCAGCAAACTATGGCAATGACAAAAAACCAAGCATCGCATGCTCTCACTCATAGGTGGGAATTGAACAATGAGTACACATGGACACAGGAAGGGGAACATCACACACCGGGGCCTGTTGTGGGGTGGGGGGAGGGGGGAGGGATAGCATTAGGAGATATACCTAATGTTAAATGAAGAGTTAATGGGTGCAGCACACCACCATGGCACATGTATACATATGTAACTAACCTGCACGTTGTGCACATGTACCCTAAAACTTAAAGTATAATAATAATAAAAAAAGAATTAGAGAAGCAAGAGCAAACAAATTCAAAAGCTAGCAGAAGACAAGAAATAACTAAGATCAGAGCAGACCTGGAGATAGAGACATGAAAACCCTTCAAAAAATCAATGCACCCAGGAGCTGGTTTTTTGAAAAGATTAACAAAGTACACTACTAGCCATACTAATAAAGAAGAAAGGACAGAAGAATCAAATAGACACAATAAAAATGATAAAGAGGGTATCACCACTGATCCCAGAGAAATACAAACTACCATCAGAGAATACTATAAACACCTCTACACAAATAAAGTAGAAAATCTGGAAGAAATGGATAAATTCCTGGACACATACACGCTCCCAACACTAAAGCAGAAGAAAGAAGTCAAAACCCTGAATAGGCCAAACACAAGTTCTGAAATTGTGGTAGTAATTAATAGCCTGCCAACCAAAAATAGCCCAGGACCAGATGGATTTACAGCCAAATTCTACCAGAGGTACTAAGAGGAGTTGGTACCATTCCTTTGGAAACTATTTCAAACAATAGAAAAAGAAGGTCTCCTCCTTAACTCATTTTATGGAGCCAGCATCATCCTGATACCAAAACCTGGCAGAGACACAACAGAAAAAGAAAATTTCAGTCTAATATCCCTGATGAACATCAATGCGAAAATCCTCAATAAAATACTGGCAAAGCAAATCCAGCAGCATATCTAAAAGCTTATTCACCATGAGCAAGTCGCCATTATCTCTGTGATGCAAGGCTGTTTCAACATATACAAATCAATAAATGTAATGACAAAAAACACATAATTAACTCAATAGATGCAGAAAAGGCCTTCAATAAAATTCAACACCCCTTCATGGTAAAAACACTCAATAAACTAGGTATTGATGGAACATATCTCAAAATTATAAGAGCTATTTTTTAAAAACCCATAGCAAATATCATACTAAATATGTGTTCATTTTTATAAGAAATAGACAAACTGTTTTCCTGAGCGATCATATATTGTACCTTCACATACTCAGTGTATGTGAGTTCCAGTTGTTTCGCAACCTTGCCAGCCTTTGAGATAATGTGTTTTTTTTCCATTAAATTATCCATTCTAATATGTGTGTGATGGTATTGCATTCCCTAGTGACTAATGCTGCTTAGCATCTTCTTTGTACTTATTTACCATCTATGTACCTCCTTTGGTGAACACTGTCTAAATTTTGCCCACTTTCCATTGAGTTGTTTCTTCCATTACGGAATTTTGAGACTACATGATATATTGTGGCTACAAGCCCTTCACTGAGTAAATATTTTGCAAATATTTTTCTTGCATCTGTAGCTTTACTTTTCTCTCTAATAGTCTCTTTTCATGAGCAAAAGTATGTAATTTTGATGTTATCACATTTTTCATTTATAGATTACGCTCTTTGTGTCATCTAAAATTTCCTTGCCTAAACCAAGGCCATATACAGTTCTAGAAGTTAACATTTTACACTTAGTTATATGAGTTAATTTTTGTATGAGGTATGAGGAATATGTAGAGGGTTATTATTTTGCATTTGGATGCGTTACTGTTCCAGTATCACTTGTTTAAAAGACTATGTTTTCTTTATTGAATTGCCTTTGCTCCTTTTTTAAATTGAAAACATCCTCAAAAAATTTTTAAAAACAGTTAAGGAGGAAAAAGTAAAATTCAACTAGGCTTGTAGGACAATCAATGGTAATCATTAGGCTAGCTTTCCATTGACCCACTTCCTTATAGCTGGTCACTGATTACTAGTCCAGGATAACATAATCTTTGTCACTAGAATCTTTGTTCTTTTTCTGTTCTTTAGTTAAAATTTAAGACAATATGAGATGACAAACTTTCCATTTGAGTTTCTCCTTTAGGTTCTGCATACTAACAAAACTACTGATGCCAGCCATTCTGAAAGGCTTGACAAGAAACTCAACTTAGGGAAGAATGTACTTTCCATATCCTGATGATTTCAGCCCCCTTACCCGAATCAATTGATGACCTCAATTTTCCAGCCACTCCCCCTTCAAAGATTCTTGCCCAGAAAGCTTCAGTGAAATGGGTTTGAGTCTTGAGAATTCTTCTCATGTCCTTGTTTGGTGACCTTGCAATTGGTAAACTCTCTGTTGCAAACTCCACTGTCTTGGTATATTCTGTTGCTGCACAGCAGGCATACAAACCTTACAATCTTATAAAAATTCATGGCAAGCACCCAGACATGATGGCTCACACCTGTAATCCCAGCACTTTAGGAGGCAAAGGAGGGCAGATTACTTGAGGTCAGGAGCTTGAGACCAGGCTGGCCAACATGGTGAAACCCTGTCTCTACTAGAAATACAAAAGTTGCCCAGGCATGGTGGCACATGCCTGTAATCCCAGTTACTTGGGAGGCTGAGGCTGGAGAATCACTTGAACCTGGGAGGCAGAGGTTGCAGTGAGCCAAGATCGTGCCACTGCACTCCATCCTGGGAGACAGATTGAGATTCCGTCTCAAAAAAAAAAAAAAAAGAAAAGAAAAAAAAATTCATGGCAAGCCACTCTCCTTGCAGTCATTTACCTACAGTCCAGTGCCCCCATGCCACTGGGGCTGACCCAGAGAGAAGCTCAAGAAGCTGCTTAGTTATGATGAACTAAGGGCCTTAGCTGGGGCCTTCTGTGTTGGCAGGGCAGTGCTGACTTTCAGCACACAACCTTGTCTGCAGCAGAGAAACCATTTCTGGTCTCAGAAGAAGTCTCAGGTGAGTTTTCTCAGAGCAGCTGGCACCCCATTTCCTTCTGTGTGTGTGTGCCTGTTTTCGTCTTAGAGGTCTTGTGGCCTCTTTGAGGTCTTGTTGACACTCCCTAAGTCTAGGTAGGAACTTATTTGAGGAGATCTCCCTTCAGATGGAAAAAGACTAGAGGGCATTGCTTGGGAGAAATGGTCTTGGATTTTGGAATCTGAAACTTTATATGGAAAGGTCTTTTGTTTGTCTTTGTCTTGTTATATGTATTTATGTTTGTGGAGGGGATCCCTGAAGAAATTACTAGTGGAAGAAATTACTAACTCAGGGAACTCTTCTTGTTTGGTCAGTCACATTCAGTTAGTCCTGAAGGAGTTGCTAGTGGAATCTCAGCAAGCCTAACTCAGGGTAATCATCTGCTCTTCAATCTTTCCCAGGCTTTACCCTCTGAACTTCTGATCGAAGGTCATCCCTCTCCAGCTTGAGTGGATCAAAGATGACAAGGGCCAATGGAACCAAGTTTGAGTCTTGCCAGGTCAATACTTGGGTCCTGAGTATGGTGACTAGTATCTGTTTTGTTATGTGTGTATTATTCCAGCCAGAATGGGAAATGCTAATTCAGCTCCTCCAGGCAGCCCAATGGGGCTGGTGGCTTTGAGATTATTAAACTCTTTCTCTGCTGCAAACCCCACTGTCTCAGTGTATTGTTCTGTTGCTGTGCAGCAGGCATACAAATCTGACAATCTTGTAACTATTTGTGGCAAGCCAGGTCGAGGTCACTCTCTTTGAGGGCATTTACTCACTGCCTAGTGCCCCCTTTCCACTGGGGCAGACCCAGAGACAAACCCTAGCAGCTTACTTAGCTCTCATGAACTAAGGGCTGTCCCTTAGTTCTCCCAAAGTAACCCACAATGCAACCCTGATGGGCTGCATCTTCCAAAATTGAAAGGCCTTTGTCTATCATTCCATGAAACAAAAAAAGATTATCTTACTTTTTAACATGGCTTAACCTTAATACCCACTGGATTTCGGAGAACAGTGGCCACTGCATGGTTCTCATGCTTACAGTACGATCCTGTAGCTAGATTTGTTTTGTAAGAAGGAAGAAGAATGAGATGAAATACCCTATGTATAATGTTTTATGTTGCTTTGGAAAAGTACAACAATGTAGAAAAAGGTAAAATCATGATAAAGTAAGAAATTAAAAACTGTTTGGACTGATTTACAAGAAAAAGATGATGCTATGATGGTTCAGTTAAAGGAACCTATGACTCACCCCCCTCCACTTTATGGGGGAGCTGCAGCAGCACTACTGGCGCCTCTCCAGAGTCCCCACCACCAAAAAGTCACAAATCCGGGGCAACAGGTATGATCTCTACTTCTTATAACCCAACAGGGGACTCCATTTAGGCAGGGTGTCACTTCTTATACCCAACAGGGAACTCCATTTAGCCGGGGAGTCACTCTGGTTCTGAGAGGCAGTTTCCCCATAACAACTGCTTACAGGAGGTGTTGCTGCCACAGGCCAGCCTATAGGATTTATCTTGGTTTATTCTCTGTTCTCCACTTCCAACCTACTTAATTAGAAAAATAATATGCCTATTTATTGAGAAGATCTAAAGTTTATGGAAGGAACAGGATTGAAAAAAAAAAAAATCCAAAGCATATGAAGAATCTATTCTCCTCTGTATTTGCCACACAGAACCCTACCTGAGCAGGCACCCCCAATTTGCTCAATATTTTGTTGACTTCAGAGAAACAAAGAATGGTTTTAGAAAAAGCTAAGGAAAAGGCTGATCTTATTCACACTGACTCTCCCAGTAATCCAGTAAGGGCAGCTGCTCAGATTGCAGTTCCCACCTCTGACCTGGGATGGAATATAAACACTGGAGATAGATCTAACCTTGAACACTATCAAAACTGCATTTTGATCAGCCTCTGCAAGGGAGTGCCCAAGCAAAGGAGCCTCAATAAGGTCCAGGATGGTCAAGCAGAAGCCTAATGAGGGTTGCTTTGGAATTCTTAGAACAAGTCTTTGAAGCTTTCAGAGAATAAATGGATATTGACCCAGAAGCCCCAGAAAATTTGATGATAGCTAACATGATGTTTATCCAACAAAGTGCCCCAGATATTCAGAGAAAGTTACAAAACGTAGCTGAGGCATTGGACATGTTTTTGTCTCAATTAGTGAAGATTGTTTTTAATGTATTTACTGATCACAAGTTTAAAGAGTGGAAAATAAAACACAAGGAATAATGAAAATGGCAAGCTGACTTGTTATCTGTGGCTCTGACCCTAGTAGTCCCTGGACCACAACAAGGGCCGTCATCAGACACTCCATCTATGGTAGAACCACCTGGGCCCCCAAAAGCCAATAAAAACGGACATCCCATTGCAGGTCCCAACCAGTGTGCTTACTGCAACAGGGGGGACACTGAATGGAAAATTTCTCATGCCTTACAAAGCCTGATGTTAAACAGTCAGCCTTCTGCCCACCAAATGCCTGGGATAGCTGGGGAGCTTGAGAGAGATACTAAAGAAAAAGACCAGAAATGGTAGCACCCAGGGGCTTCTCCTGACCCAGACAACACCCTCCATATTTCCCACATGGGGCTTGAGATCCTGATGATGGTGAGAAATCAGCTTCTGGACTTTCTAGTAGACATGGTGCCATCTATTTGGTGTTAAATATCTGGTGGTCTAAACTTTCCTCAGAAATAATGAAGGTGACTGAAATCTCAGAAAAAATGCTGATGAGATCATTCCTCCAAATTTTGGATTGTCAGCTAGAGTAAGATCATTTAAAGCACAGTTTTTTGCTGGGCGCGGTGGCTCACTCCTGTAATGCCAGCACCTTGGGAGGCTGAGATGGGCAGATCACAAGGTCAGGAGATCGAGACCATCCTGGCTAACACAGTGAAACCCCGTCTCTGCTAAAAATACAAAAAATTAGTCGGGCATGGTGGTGGGCACCTGTAGTCCCAGCTACTCGGGAGGCTGAGGCAGAAGAACGGCGTGAATCGGGGAGGCAGAGCTTGCAAGTGAGCCAAGATCATGCCACTGCACTCCAGCCTGGGGGACAGAGCAAGACTCTGTCAAAAAAAAAAAAAAAAAAAAAAAAAAGACAGAGTTTTTCTATACATCCTTGAATGTCCTATCCCTTTGTTGGGGAAAGTCTTCCTTTTTTGTTGTTGTTTTGTTTTGTTTTGTTTTGAGACAGAGTCTTGCCCTATCGCCCAGGCTGGACTGTGGTGGCACGATTGTGGCTCACTGCAACCTCTGGCTCACTGAAACCTCCACCTCACGAGCTAAAGCAATTTTCCTGTCTCAGCCTCCCGAGTAGCTGGGATTACAGGCGTGTGCCACCACAGCCAGCTAATTTTTATATTTTTAGTAGAGACAGGGTTTCACCATGTTGGCCTGGCTCGTCTTAAACTCCTGACATGAGGTAATCTGCCCTCCTTGGCCTCCCAAAGTGCTGGGAGCTGGGATTACAGGTGTGAGCCACTGCTCCCGTCCTGTTAGGGCAGTACTCTTAACCAAACTAAATGCTAAGATTACTTTTTCTCTGAGATGATTGGACATCCAGGTGCCTTCAGACCAAGCATGTGCTCTGCAGGCCATATTATTACAACTGGAGATCCTTGAAAGTGCCTGCACCCCTGAAGAGATACTCCAAAAGGTTAGTCCGGAAACATGGGCAGATGGGAGGCCAGGGAAAACAAAAACTGCATCTCCAGTACAAGTCAAGTTTTGTGCAGGAGTGGCGCTGCCAAATCTAAAGCAGCGTCCTTTGAGAGAAAAGGCACAGCAATGCATTTAGCCTCTGCTAATGGCCTTCCTGCAATACAGGAAGAATTCCTTGTTTCTCATGTAACATACCTGTCTTGCCAGGACAAAAACATGGAACTGAGGATTATTGGTTTGTACAGGATTTGAGGGCTACTAGGCAAATTTTCAAAGCCATTTATCTGGTGATACCTGATGCTTATACATTATTCATGACTTTAACCAGTGAGTTGTACTGGTGTTCAGTCTTGAATCTGAAGGATGCCTTCATCTGTATTCCCCTGAGTCCAGAGTCCCATGAAGTGTTTGCCTTTGAATAGGAAGACTCTGACACTAAAGCTAAATGATAGTATTGCTGGATGATGCTCCATCAAGGCTTCAAAAACTCACTAACCGTCCGGGGGAAATACATGCTAAGGAGTTTTGGGACCTCCAATTGAAAAATGAGACTTTGCTTATATATGTTGATGGCATATTAGAAGCCAGCACAACTATGGCAAATTGACCAGAATATTATACTGGCTTTACATTTTTTTTTTTGTCTGGATGGGGATCCAAAGTATCCAAGAAAAAAATCACAAATATTGAAAAACTCAATTATATATTTTAGGTTTGAATTTTCTCAGGAGCAGAGTAATCTGCTTTCGGACTGGAGAGAAGCTCTTGTCAGGGTGGCCAGACTCAGGACATGGCAGCAGCTGTGAGGGGTTTTTAGGTATGGCTGAATGTTGCCATATTTCATTTTCTTATTTTGGGCTTATAGCAAAATGTCTCTATGAAGCCCTAAGACCAGACACTTGACTTCTAGAATGGACAAGGAATGTCAAAAGGCCTTTCTAACCATTAAGTAAAAATTACTAATGGATCTGGCTACTGAGACCCCCTGAACTAAGAAAGCCATTTGATTTGTTCAAACATGAGAGAGAAGGGATGGGTTTAGGAGTAGTAACCCAAGACTTGGGGAATATCATGAGGCCTGTAGCCTACTTTTCAAAACAGCTGGACATTGTTATGATGGGTTGGACTTCTTATCTCTGAGCCACTGGCACCACTTGTGATCTTCTCCAGGAGGCAGAAGAGTTCACTTTGGGTTAACCTAGCACTGTACACACCCCACACTGTGTATGCTATTTGTTGGAACAGAAGTGGAGCTACTGACTTACCTCTAGAAGACTGAATAGGTATCAGGTCATCCTCCTGGATAATCCTAGTGTTACTTTGAGAGCTGTTTCTGCTTTAAATCCTGCTAAATAAACCTATACATGATTGCATATAAATTACTGAGCAAGTGTGTTCTATTCAACCAGACATGACCAAAATTCCCTTTAAAAACCTGGACTTAAAAATATTCACTGAGGAAAGCAGCTTTATGCACCACCGACAACAGAAGGCTGAGTATGCTATTGTAACCCTGTGACAGATCCTAGATGCAGAGACACTCCCTCTGGGTTCATCGGCACAGAAGGCAGAACTTAGAGTCCTAATCAGGGCATCCCAACTAGGTAAAGACTCCTGAGTCACCGATTACTCTGATTCCAGGTATGTTTTTATTGTTATCCATGCTCATGGGGCCGTTTGGAAAGAAAGCGGGCTCTTAACCTTTGATGATTAAAAAAGAAAAACAATTAAGCATGCTAAAGAAATCTTAGCCTGACTAAAGGCAGTCTTGGTACCCAAGAAAGTAGCTATAATACACTACCATGGACATCAGTGGATGGACAATTTGGTAGCAAGAAAAAAAAAAATCACTAGGCAGAGCAGGCCACTAAAGGGGTGAACAGAGAAAAAAATGCCCAAAGCCTTCCTAATGCCATTAATCCCTGAAATAAACTTCAGCCTAAAATCCCTACCTAATGGAAGAAGATGTAAAGAGAGAATTCGATTGAGACTTTGACTCCAATCAAAGAACTCAAAATGAGTGGATATGTGACACGGAAGAAAAGGTTCTGGTGCCCAAGTATCTTGTGACAGATATCATCAAACACATACATGATACCACACAGTATGGCAGGCATGCCACCCTTCAATTGATCCAGGACTATGTCTTTGGGACACACTTAAAGAAGACTATCCAAAAAATAATTTAAAAATACCTACTTGGTGCCCAGAACAATCTTAAGACTGGTCCTCCACCCCCAGTACCAAGGATTCAAGCAAGAGGTGCAGGGCTATTAGAGGACTGGCAAATTGATTTTACCGTGATGCCAAGGGTAGCAGGAAATTTTAAATACTTGCTTGTATTTTTAGATACATTTTCAAGATAAACAAAATCATTCCGCTGCAAGACCAAGAGAATGTCTGAGGTTATGAGAGCCTTGGTAGAGAAGATTACCCTCAGGTTTAGGTGGCCTGTCTCCATCCAGTGTGACCATAGTGCAATTTCTGTAGCCTAGGACACCATATATTCCAGGCCCTCAGCATAATCTGGAATCTTCATACAGCCTGCAGACTGAAGTCTACTGAAAAAACTCAAAAGATAAATCATACTATATAAAACAAAACAAATTTTAGCTAAGATTTGCCAAGAAACTAACAACCTGGAATAACATTCTGTCCATTGCCCTGCTCAGAGTAAGGGTGGTCCCTAAAAGTGGGCTTAAATTAAGCCCTTTAAAAATTTTACATGGGAGATCATTCTTCCGTTACCTTCTCAGACTAAGGAATGCCAATAACATACACATAAATAAATTAGATATTATCAAATATACACAATCTTTAGGTTGTACTTTAACTACTATTCACGAGTTTGTGGTTCCAGCAGATTGTGGTATCCAACTGACATTCTCTTTCATCCCATCCAACCCAGAGACTGGGTTCTGCTCAAGACCAGGAAAAGTCGACATCCTGGGGACCACTTAAAACACAGTGAAAGAGGCCATGCAAAGCATGACTGGTGACCCATTCCTCTGTTCATCTTGAAGGACTTAGACCCTGGATTCACCACAGCCATATAAAACCCGCCCCGCCAGATTCTTGTCCTATCAAGAAATGTAGAGAGGCCACTTCAACTTCAGAGACTGTCTCAACCCTATCTGAATGGATAAGTAAATCTTTGATGGGCCTCAAATATCTTTTGAGGAAAAATATCAGATAAGTAACTTTAATGAAATTAGACAAAACATATGTCTTCTTGACTACTACAATAGTTACTTTGAGCATAACAGGAATGTTTGTTATTATAATTATTTTATATAAAAAGGTGAGATACCTTCCTGTCTATTCCCTGCCTTACTGAATGCTTAAGCCATATATTTACTTGGTCATTATAATTGCCTAGATAATTACAATTGCTACCCTTATAGACATTACTTCATAATTGCCTTGGTCAATACAATTGTTAGACTTATAGATTTTCTAGACATTATATGCCATGCTAACATAGTCTCATGCCACTCATTATGTGGACATTCTAAAATTTAGAAATGGTCACTCTTGTTTTAAAACTTCTAATTATACCTCTCCTGTTACTACAGTGCCTAGACAGGCATAGCAACACTGTAGTTCAACTGTTTCAAGGTATTGCCACTGGAAGAAACTTACCAGAATGATGGATCTGTCAGTAACTCCCCCAAACTATTCAAAATAAGCATTTTCTGTTAGTCATACTTGTCACTGACTTTCTGGATGTTCCAAATATGACTACCTATCTGCACCAGCTTCTTTCCATGGCTACTTTCCAGGTCCAAGTAATAGTACACCAAGAAATCACCACCCCATGTGTCAATCTCTCTCTGCCTATCATAAATGGAAAGTCATTCCATTACATAGGCCCTCCATGGCCCATGGCATACTGGGCAGACAAACGCAGCTAGGAGAAGGGAAATAAAACTAAAAGTTTCTCCTTACTATGCCAAAAATATTTACAGTGGGGAATATCACACAAATTCTGGGGAGCCTGTAAAAAAAGATCCCTAGTTCAATTCCATTTGTCTATATTCCCCATGAAAAAAATCCATCAATAAATGCACCCTTGAGGGCTTTACCTGTGTGCCCCCTTGGTACATGTTTATTTGTGGCATAGGATCAGACCCTCCTCTGTTAGGACAAGCCCACTGGTGTCTCAATAACCTGTATATTAAGGGCTCTCACTTACTGAGATACTTCTCAGTCCATCCTAATGACAAAATATTCTGCCCATTTTCCCACAGACTCCAAAAGGGACTGCCAGGCATATATCAATATATCTGGTGGCAGAGCCTTCTAGGCATCACGAGTCCTAGCTATGGAGTATACACTCACTGGGACATGATCAGAAACTTATTGGCAACCACAGAAATAATTGCAAAAGAGGCTGCTAAGAACATTGAGGCTGAGAAAACTCTTCAAATTTACTTGCCCAGATAGTTCTTGACAACGGAACTACACTTGATTTTCTCTTGGCTTTACAGAGAGGAGTCTGTACAGTGATCAATACCACCTGTTGTACTTATATCAATGCTTCTGGTAAAATAAAAACCAAACTAAAGAAAATATTTCAGCAGTCTCGCTGGAGACCATATGTCTCTACCACAGACCCTATGTCTGAATAGTTTTTTGAGCTTTCCGCCTGCATACTCCATGTTTTCCAGTCCATTTTTCAAGGACTCTTGAAGTTCAAGCTCACAATTCTGTTTATAGGGATTATAATTTACATCATTCAATTAAATATTACAATAAAACCATAGACTGAAGTACTAACATGTTCATCCAGCACCCTAAGCTGGGTATAACAGCTTGCAGGTTGTTACAAGACGGTTTCATTCCTCTAATCCTGACTCTCTCTCTGTGCCCCGTGTCAGCAAAAAGAAGCTAGAATGGCCATTGCCCAATTCATACCATATTAGCTTTTACACCTCAGAATTGAGAAGGGATCAAGCCCGGAAGGAACTGAAACTGTCCCTAGGAAAGTTATATAAAATTGATTAAGGGGGAAAAATTCAACTATGATTTCAGGAAAATCAGCAGTAATCACTAAATCAGCTTTCCATTTGTCCAACTTCTCTGTAGCTGGTCATTGATTACTACCCTAGGATAAAGAAGCCCTTGTCACAAGACATTTTGGTCCTTTTCCTTTCTATAGATAAAATCTAAGACATTGTGAGATGATAATCTTTCTGCATGAGTTTCTCCTTTAGGTTCTGCATATGAAAAAAAAACCTAGCAACATACTGGTCAACAAGGCAAAACCTCATTTTCACAAAAAATTAAAAAATTAGCCGGGCATTATGGCACAGGTCTGTAGTACCAGCTGCTCAGGAGATCTGAGGTGGGAGGACCACTTGAGCCTGGGAGGCAGAAGTTGCAGTGAGCTGTGATCACGCTACTGAAATCCAGATGGGCAACAGAGCAAGATCATCTTGCTCAAAAACAAAACACACACACACACACAAACATACACACACAGACACACAAAGACACAAACATCAGCTGGTCTAAAGAGCCCAGCAAAAAGCTGACTCAGGAAATAATGCAGGTTCCACATCCTGGTGACTTCATCCCCCTTACCCTGACCAATTGACAACCCAAATTTTCTAGCCCGTCACCCTCCATGATCCCCTTAAGGTCTCTTGCACATAGCCCCTTCTCAGAACAGATCTGGGGCTTGAGAATCCTCCCAATTCCTTGTTTGGTGCCCTTGTGTTGATTAAAGCCTTTCTTTGCTGCAAACCCTACTGTCTCCGCGTATTGGTCTATTGCTAAACAGTGGGCATGTGAACCTGATAGTCTTATAACAAAATAGAATAGAAGCTATTTATAGGATCGATCCATGCATGTGAGTCTATTTCTGGACACCGTTTTCTCTTCTATTCTTCCACGTGTTTGTCCTTTAACCAGTATCATGAGATCCTTTACTCACTGTAGCTTTTTTTAAGTCTTAAAATTTGGTAATGTGAGTTTTTCAACTTTTCTTATCTTTTGAAGAATTGTTTAGCTGTTTTAGCCCCTTTACCTTTCCATATGACTTTAGAATCAGCATGTTCGTATGTGCAAAACATTGTGCTTGGTTATTCACTAGAACTGGGACACATTCACAGATGAATCTGGGGAGAACTGATATGTAATAGTATTAAATTTTTCAATCCATGAATATTATATATCCTTTGATTTAGTAAGATCATACAGTCTTACCCTAGTTTTTTTTTATTTTAAGCATACAGATCCTGTATTTTACTAGATTTATAACTAAATATTTTGTATTTCATCCATCAACGAAAAATTCAATTTGTTTAATAGACAGAATTTATTAATGCTACCTAATCCTTCTTGAGAGAGCCATGATAGTTTGTGGCTTCAGTAATTTTTTAATTCATTCAAGTTCTTGAATTTATTGACATGGCATTATTCAGAATATTTTTTATTTTTCTTTTAATATATGTAAAAACCATAATGATGTCATTTCTGTCATTGCTGTTATAAGCAATTTGTGTTATTTTTTCTGATTTAGTCTGTCTAAAGGTTTCTCAATTATAGAGATCTAAAATAACAAGCTTTTGGTTTCCTTGTTTATATACATATTTACTTCTTTATTATTTCATCTCTGATCTTTATTGTAGTATTTCTTCTGCTTACTTTGAGATTAATTTTTTCTACTTTTACTAATATCTAATGGTAGAGGCTAAGGTTATTGAAGTGGAACACCGTCATTTTCTATCCCAGGTATTTAGTGACACCAATTTATTTCATACTGCTCTAGTGCCATTCCACAACTTTTGATATATAGTATATCAATCAGTGTTTGGCTGGAGTAGGGTGAGTATTCCATAAAAGATTTACTGTGATTTTTGGAGGGAGGTGTGAAGAGGGTATTATTACCAAAATGTGGATTTTTTTTTAACTCCATTCTGTATTTTGGCTAAGAGAAGCAGCTTTGGAACTTCTCAAGTCTGTACATCTGTGAGACCCCAAGGATTACTTGTTTTAATTTTTTTTTAAGTTTAGGTTTGTTTTGGGTCAACTTAGTTCTTTCAAGGCTTATTTTTAAGCTTTTAAAAAGCTTAAAAAACCCCAGAGATAGTTTGTTCAGAATATTAAGCTGCTTCTGATGTCTCTACTACGTGACCTAGATGTTCAAACGAGTCTTTCTACTCTGATTGATTCCATTTAAATGTCTCCCTGTGTTGTGTGTGTGCTCTGGGAATCCTTTACCTTTTTGTTCTCTGGTAGTGTTCTTCATCTGATAGGTATCCTTTGTCCATTCTTGGGGAGTTTTGCTCTACTCTCCAGAGGGTCAATATTCAGCCAAATAATCTAGGGAGTTGCTGTGGAAATTTGTAGAGCCCTTTCACTCCATAGTTTCTTCTTTTCTCACTCTGTTTCCTGCAGATTCTAGTGAACTCATCTTCTTTGGGAACACTGAGTTTTGTTTCTTCTACTCAGCAAGTGTGGCACTTTCTGCTGAATTCTCCTTCTCCATGCTGCTGTTTGGAAAATTTCTCCCAGCATAAAGTCACTTTGATGATGGAACTCATCTCATTGTCACTTTTTCTCTGGAATTAGGTGCTTCCTGCTTTCCAATGTCTGAAAATGTTATTTTCATCTATTTTGTTCCATTTCCTTATTTGTGGCAAGAACTCTGTTTTACTTGATTATTCTTGCCTGGCCTTTTACCTTTTTAAATTGTCTGTACTGATTGTTTTCTATTTGGTTTCTTCTCATATTTGGATTTGTTTCAAAATTTATACTCATGCTGGATTTTGTCTGGTTTCTTTGTTATAATTTATTATAAATAATAATTTATTTTCAGTTTTTATTCTTTTCTTTTATAGCTATATAATGATAAATTTCCCTCTGAGGATTGTTCGAGTGTCATCTCACCAAGTTTAATTTAATATGTTTTTATTATCATTCAATTCAAAATATTTAATGTTTCCTCTTCTGATTTTCTCCTTATCCATGAGTTATTTAAAAATGAAGCTGAGTTCTGGGAAGCAACCTAGTAAACGACAGTAATTTCTTTTTTTGGGTTATTATTATTATTATTATTATTATACTTTAAGTTTTAGGGTACATGTGCACAATGTGCAGGTTAGTTACATATGTATACATGTGCCATGCTGGTGTGCTGCACCCATTAACTCGTCATTTAGCATTACGTATATCTCCTAATGCTATCCCTCCCCCCTCCCCCCACCCCACAGCAGTCCCCACAGTGTGATGTTCCCCTTCCTGTGTCCACGTGTTCTCATTGTTCAGTTCCCATCTATGAGTGAGAACATGTGGTGTTTGGTTTTTTGTCCTTGCGATAGTTTACTGAGAATGATGATTTCCAATTTCATCCATGTCCCTACAAAGGACATGAACTCCTCATTTTTTATGGCTGCATAGTATTCCATGGTGTATATGTGCCACATTTTCTTAATCCAGTCTATCATTGTTGAACATTTGGGTTGGTTCCAAGTCTTTGCTATTGTGAATAATGCCGCAATAAACATACATGTGCATGTAACCGACAGTAATTTCTATCATCAGTTAACAGAAACAGTAACTTCCACTCTTTCAAGTTAAGTTCTACATAATTTGAGGAATCATCATTTTGGCCTTTCAAGATAAATAAATCTGTTACTGTTCCTCATCTTCTTTGAACTCCACATGTCCATTTACTTTGAAGCACACAATAAGAATGACATTTCAAATTCTTGGAGCCAAAGGCTATGAAAATTATTTTGGCAGATTTTCTAAGATCATCACAGGATCTCAGATACTCCAATTGGCTAAATGAGATTTGGAATTGCCAGAAGATCTAAAATAGGCAAGATTAAAAAGTCCTAAGAAATAATACTCATTGTCTATTGAGTTCTGACATGCTGTAGAATTCCAAATCCATTAGACAAACAGATTTCCAATAATTTCTTAGAAATAATTGTAAGTGTCTTAAATAGAGCCTTGTTTTAAAAAGTGATGAAGAGTCTTGATGTAATGTCTTTGGCAACTCTGAGCTTATTTTCCTTGACTTAAGTATTTGAATGCTTATGGTTATCCAGGTTTTCAGTTACAAATGACTCATTATTTTTTATATTTACATATTACTTAAATTCTTATAAAATGTTATTGATCATATGCTTGTCTTTTTCTTATTCTCTTCCCTTTTAGAAACATGTTCCAAATCAAGTATAGATATTGAGAATGGGTTTATTTCTGAATCTCAGTATACATATGCCTTAAAAGAAAAAGCAAAATATCAATGCAAACTAGGATATGTAACAGCAGATGGTGAAACATCAGGATCAATTACATGTGGGAAAGATGGATGGTCAGCTCAACCCACGTGCATTAGTAAGTAATTTATTATGTTTGTATTGATTATCCAGATGATACACAAAAGTTTACTAACTTTAGTCTTTTTGTGGGGGCTGATATAATTTCATTTGAAAAGATAAGAAAAAAAAACCTGCAGGAACAAAGCAGACATCAATTTTTTTTCCTTTTCACATTAATTACTCAGATATTAGTCTGTCTTTCCATTCAGGCTTTTCCTACTCTAAAGCATTCTGTGTTACAGAAACAAGTTAGGGAGCTTTATGTGTATTCTGGTTTAAACTGATTTTGCTTTAGCTGAGACCTTTATGACTGTTAATATATATCTGTTTTATATGATTAGACTTTTACATCAAATTCTTTACTCCTAGATACAAAAGCAATGTTTTTATTGAAGATATGGATGCCTAGTGCATAACATCAAAATAATTTAAACTCTATAATTTGTAGATTTGACACTGTAGGATATGTCTAATACTGAATATCTTCCCTCTTAGAAATTTTTCATAAATATTTAGGTAGTAGAGAGACAAAATATTCCTAGATGGTACCAATTTCTGCTCTGTTGTATGATTTCCCTACCACACTATCTAGATATTTATGAAGATTTCCCTACCACACTATCTAGATATTTATGAAAATTTTCTGGGAACAATTGGTTCAATTTGTCTTATTTTTTGCAAAACCACTCAGTAATATGTGTGTGTGTGTGTGTGTGTGTGTGTATACGTATATATGTATATATATATATATATATATATATATATATATATATATATATATAGAGAGAGAGAGAGAGAGAGAGAGAGAGAGAGAGAGAGAGGGAGAGAGAGAGAGAGAGATGGAGTCTTGCTCTGTCGTCGGCCAGGCTGGAGTGCAGTGGCATGATCTTGGCTCACTGCAACCTCCATTTTCCGTTTTCAAGCAATTCTCCTACCTCAGCCTCCTGAATAGCTGGGATTACAGGCACCCTCCATCATGCCTGCCTAATTTTCGTATTTTTAATAGAGACAGGGTTTTGCCATGTTAGCCAGGCTGGTCTCGAACTCTTAATCTCAAATGATCCTCCTGCCTCTCAGTAATATATTTGAAGTAATATTTAATATACTCATGTTAAGTGAAGTGAATAAGGTATTCATGTATACTGTTTTCATTTTTTAATGTCTGTGCTTAATATGAGGTCTAGTTTACAAAAAATGTTAGTCCTCATAAAAAAGCTAATTTTATACTAAATTTTTATTAATTATTCTTTTAAGATTTTCTTATTATTAAAGAGAAAATGTCTTGTATAACATAGGAATTTATCTTTTCAGTCTTTTTCTCCTTTTTACATATGTCTCAACTACGAATTAGTTTGGACTCTTAATTTACAAAATTCTGTTATTATTTTCTTTAAAAAATAATGTATACCTGTAATGGCCTGTTTTATTACTAGCATTGTCATAAATGCTTTAGTATAAATGAATTAAGAAAAATGTTTTTAAAATATATTTTGGGGCTTAAGCAATGAAAAAAAATGTTGTGTAGAAAGATATACTTTCACTTTTGACAACTATTTTACGACAATGAATTCTCACCAGTCATAGATTATTTTTGTACGGTACCTATTTATTAGTATATCTAATCAATAAAGCTTTTTCTTCTTAGAATGGGAAATACTCAGATTGTTTATTAGATGACATTAGAAATGACATTCTAAATTTTTTATGCACTAGAATCTTGTGATATCCCAGTATTTATGAATGCCAGAACTAAAAATGACTTCACATGGTTTAAGCTGAATGACACATTGGACTATGAATGCCATGATGGTTATGAAAGCAATACTGGAAGCACCACTGGTTCCATAGTGTGTGGTTACAATGGTTGGTCTGATTTACCCATATGTTATGGTAAGTACTGGTTTTTCAGAAATTCATTTTCAAAATGAAAATAAATCTGTTTTCCAATTTTAAAAATTTGAATTATATAGAGGAATTGTTAAGGAATGTTGATTAAAATCAAGATATCTCCTGATTTGACATAAACTGGGAAAAGAAGGGAGTTTTGAAAATATCTCTAAAGTAGTGCATTAAATTAATACTTCCTATGGGCCACCTACCTTCCAGATTTGTGATTATAATATAATTGCTTTTGTTACCCTAAATAAAAGCTTTCAAATTATTTAGAACCTAGCACTTATTACCAAAATTATAGTTGGTTACAACTTCCTCAGCTAATTTGTTTTTTTAATTTCTACTTTACATCTTCTATCTTGTGTGTTAATTTCTGTACTTTCTGAGTGTAGTTCTTTATTTTCTAAATTTGAAAAGTTCTGAAGACCATTACATGAATCTCATTTACGTTTCTCAATCAGCCATCTATTTTTCAGGGTTAGAAGAAGGATTGGCTCTGTGGGAAAACAAGTATATGCAGAGTGTTCCAAGGCAAAGAAAAATATGTGCAAAGCTGTAAAAACAAAACAATATATTTCAAGGTGGTAAAGCAGAGTCTATCCTGCTGAGGCTAGATGGGAGGCAAGGAAACAATTATCCAGATCAGCTCAAGGCATCATATCATTTGGATTCATTTTATGACTAATGAAAACCCATAAAAGAGTTTTAAGAAAAGGAATGGTATAATTTGATTTCTAGTTTTGTTGGATTGTTTTCCTGGATGCTGTACTTTTTGTAGGCAAGAGGCGACACCATGAGTCCAGGTAGGGTGAGAAAGTGTGGGGACTGAGAGAGAGTGATGATAGGGGAGGTGCAGAGCAGAAGGCTGATTTGGAAAACATTTAGGTGATGAAAAGTACAGGTGATGTTACTAAATGTTGGGTGTGAAAAAGAGTGAGATTAAGGGACTCACATGTTTGTTTTCAATTGTTTTCTCACAAGTATGTAGGTAAATGGCAATAACCATTTTGTAAAATGGTACTGACTGGATAGAATGCATTTTGAGAGGGCTTTGCAACTTTTGACTTGGACACATTATGATTGAGTCGCCAATGGAAAATCAAAACTGGATATGTGAAGTGTGGAGTTGGATATGCATCTAGAGAGGAGATATGCATTTCGGAATATCATCATATAAATGATGACGCTAAATTGGATAAGAATACAGAATGAAAAGAGCAAAGAGCTCAAGATGAAGCCCTGAAACATTACCACATTTATATATAAGACAGAAGAGCAATAGATAGTAAAGAAAATGGGGAAAAAAGGAGGACCCAGAGAAACAGGAGAAAAAATCTAGAATGTTGCCATAGACATAAAAATAAGGAAATTATTAATGAAAAGGTAGTGTAACAGATTGCTTAATAAGTCATCCTGTCTGAATTCTAATTCCACTGCTTGCTGGGCATGTATCTTTGGCCAACACAGCAAGTCTATTTGAAGCTTTGTTGACTCTTTCTTGTTGGTAAAATGTCACATATTTACAAACAGTTCTAATATTTCAAAGGATTGTGTTAGTTAGCAGACTAAAATATTTATAAATATTTATTGCCATAGTGCCTTATATAATAAAGTCAAAGAAGTTGTAATTTAATTACCTTAATATCATTATCAAAGTGATAAATATTTCTAATTTAGTTATTATATTCTGTTCAGAAATTGTGATGGATTAGGTAAGGTACAGGCCAATGACAAGTGTAACAAAAATGGTTTTTAATAGAGTAGAAGAGACAGACCCTACATAGAATCTGCCAATAAAAATAATGAGCTAGACATTCAATACAGACTGTAGACATAACTCTTTCAAGATTCTGGCTTTGAATCTAATAGGAAGATCAGAATATTGCTTGAGGAAAGTTGTGCACTGAAGGGATAATTAAAAGAAAAAAGATGGAAGACACCAGAGCAGATACAGCAAAAGGGGAGCTGCAAAGGCTGAACACATGACTTACATAGTTGCCCTGAGAAAATGCGAGAGGAAAGGACTCACAGCTACTGTGGAGGTATTGTGCTTTGGTGGCAACAGGACTGCTTACAACCTTGTGACAGGTGGCAACAGGACTGCTTACAACTTTGTGACAGGAGATGGGAAGGAAAATGAGCAGTAACGTTGGAAAATGGTAGAAGCTGATGGATTCTGTTTTGAAGTATGAGACATGGTCATCTGAGATTGAATAGTGTGTGGGCGAAGGAGGAGGAAGAGTACTAGGTAGAATAGAAAAGTTTTGAAATAGTCACAGCTGAGAAAGAGAATGAGTACATTGTAGATGAAAGGCAGTGTCAAAGGTCCAGTTAAATTTGACTCATTCCTGCTGTTGTAAACACCTATCATAGGACAGGAGAAAATGGTGAAAACACAAGCACAGGTCTACTTATCCAGAGATTTTTTTCTAATATAAGACAGTGGAAAACTAAAAAGAGATAAGCCAAATATCCAAGTAATAAAAATATTTAAAATATATTTTATGTATCACTGTGTACAGAGAAATAGAAAATCCAATAATTGAGATAGAAAATAGGAGGGAAGGAACTGGAGATCTGTTTTACATAGGAAGTCATCGATGCAAAGAATGGTTGAAAGCCATTTGTTATAGTGAGAAGGGTATGTGCAACAGCTGAGGCAGCGAAGAACTTGACCTTTTTAATAAAATTCAAAGATCATAAAATCTGAATCCTGGATTTAGTGGAGGAGAGAGACATTTGATAACATTGGAAGAGTAGGCATGGATCATAAAGAGGTTGAGTTTTGCTCTAATTGAGAGGGGGAGGCTTAATTTAAGAGACTCATGAATTTCTTTTCTGTGATGATAGGTAAATTTAGGTTTTATGAAGCCAGAAGCTTTTACAATTTTGAGGGGTCTTCTTCAAAAAAGAACACAAAATTGTGAATATATTGCTTCAGTAGTCTTTCCAATCACCAGACATGAAATGAAAACCTAAAGGAGAGAAAGTTGGAGTGGCGGACATAGCAGTAGAAGCTGATGTAGAAAATGTCTTTCTATTGCAAATTGTACAAAGACTTAGGATCATTTGAACACATAACTAGGAATTTGCTAGTATAGTACAGGCCTCCAAACATTAAACGAAGAAATACCAGCTTAGTATTCTTTTCAAATATTCTTCTCTCAGCCATGTAACAGAAAACTGCATGTGGATTGACAGACATCTGAGTATATTTCAAGTGTCCTAGGAGGTCTCTTCTTTGTGGAAAGGTTTCCACAGAATTGTTATTATGGAGCACTTAAGCTAAATAAGGAGTATGTATCTCAGAGTTAAAAATTCATATTAACATTTCACATATCTAGTACTAGGACTTAGGGTTTTGAGTTTTAGATGAAGAAAAATATTTCTAATTCATGGAGTGTCCATTCACATTCTTCTCTAAATCACGTTTTGTAAGTTATTACCTCTATATAAATACAGCATTTGAATAATACCCAATAATCAAGATCTTAACTTTCCTTTTTAAGATAATGCTTTTCACAATATTACAACAGACAGAATTTATATAAAATTAGCACAAAATACGTGAACAAACACACATACAAAAAAAAGAATTGCTATGTAGAAGATTGGTATAGACTTTTAGGAGAGAAATCCCAGTGATTCTCATTCAAGTGTGATTTTCTCAAATAATCTGCAAAACTCATTAAAACAAACACAAAAGCAAATTTTTGTAGTTATTATTTTGTGACATTACTTTTAAGAATAGTTTTAAATCTAATTTTGTAATTGTATTTTAATAATTGAGGTTATGATGTAATTAATTTTCTTTTTAGTATGATTCTAATTTATGAATTCTAGCTTGTACTTTTCTAAGTTAGCAAGAAAGGAGGATTCTGAATAAGAAAAATAATATTTTGGATAATATTTAGTAATGTTGCTGATTTTTAAAAATTATAAACATGTAAGAGATAATTTTACACATTTCTTATCTGAATCAGAATAATTATCAAATTTATTAAACATTGATATAAATAGTACATATAACAAAAATTGTTATATGTTAACATAAATATTCAGGATACCTAGAATTTGCCTTTCCATGTGAACTTGAAAATTTATCTTGGTTTGTTTTCTTTATTTGTAATATATTAATTATGTGTTTTTTATATTTTTTCTAACTTAAAATATATTAGAAATGCTATTTTGGGTTCTTTTTCCTTGATTACATTAAACAAAAATACCAATTTTAATTAATTTCTTAGTGCATATATCTTCACTAATAAATCTTTGATGAGAATTTACCTTTTTGTGATGTATATGTCAGTCATCAAGAATTATAAACATGATGAGACCAGAAATCATTTGAGGTTGTTTAGTTTCAGTTAAATAAAGTTATCATTGACTCTGCAATGACAGATATTATACCATCATTATTCTCGGGATCCTCCCCAGTTCTATTATAAATTTAACTTCTTAAGATATTTCCATGGTGTTTTATGATGTGTTCTTTTATTTTTAAAATTTTAATTTCTATGTTTTATATGTTTAGATGGTCCAAATGCAGTTTTGTTGCATGGATATATTGCATAGTGGTGAAGTCTGTACTTTTAGTGTATTCATCACCCAAATACTGAACATTGCACCCATTAGGTAATTTCTTATTCCTCACCCTCCTGCTATCCTGCCACATTTCTGAGTCTCCAATGTCTGTTACTCAGCACTCTCTGTCCATATGTACGCATTATTTAGCTCTCACTTATAAGTGACAATATGTGGGATTTTACTTTCTGAATCTGAATTATTTTACCTAAAATAATGGCCTTTAGTTTTATACATGTTGCTTCTGAAGGCATGATTTTATTCTTTTTTTTTCTTTTTATTTTTTGTTTTGGCTGAGTAGTATTCTATGGCATATATCTATACCACATATTCTTTATCCAATCATCTGTTGGTGGACAATTAGTTTGATTCCATATTATTGCTACTGTGAGTAGTGAGGCTATAAACATATGAGTCTGGGTATCATTTTGATATGATAATTGATTTCCTTTGGGTAGATACACAGTAGTGGGATTGCTGGGTGAAATGGTAGTTCTGTTTTTAGTTCTTTGGGAAATGTCCATTCTGTTTTCCATAGAGGTTGTACTAATTTACATTCCCACCAACAGCGTATAAGCATTCTTCTTTCTCCTCACTGTCACCAACATTTATTATTTTTTGACTATTTGACAGTGGCCACTGTGTCTAATGTAAGATGATAACTCATTTTTTTAATTCGCATTTCTCTGATGATTACTGATATTGAGTTTTTATTTCATATTTCTTGGTCATTTTCATGTCTTCTTTTGCAAAATATCTCTTCCTATCCTTTGTCCACTTTTTCATGGGATTATTATTTTTTTTTCTTGTTGTGTTGTTTCAGTTCTTTGCAGATTCTGGATATTAGCCCTTTTTCAGATTCATAGTTTGCAAATATTTTCTTCCATTCTGAGGTTGTCTGTTTACTCTGTTTATTATTTCCTTTGCTGTGAAGAAAATTTTTAGTTTAATTCACAATCACCCAGAAGCAGGTCATTTAATTTTCATGTATATGGATAGTTTTGAAAATTCTTTATGATATTGATTTATAGTTATATTTCACCAAGTTCTGATAAGATACTTGATATTATTTCTAACCTTTAAAATTTTGGGAACTTGCTTTGTAGCTGTAGCCTAGCATATGGTCTATTTTGGAGAATGTTCCATGCACAGGTGAGAAAAACATATATTCTGAGGTTGTTGGGTGGAATGTCGTTAAAATGTCTGTTAGGTCCATTTGTTCTACAGTCCAATTTAAGTATGAGGTTTCTTTGTTTATTTTTTTGTCCCTGCAATCTGTCTAGTATAGTCATTGGGGGTGTGGAGGTTGCTTGCCCTCATTATATTGCTGTTTATCTTTCTACTTAGCTCTAGTAGCATTTCATTTATGAATCTGAGTGCTGAGGTTTTGAGTGCATATATATTTAGAATTGTTATATCTTCTTGCTTCCTTTATCATTGTGTAATGAACTTCTTGTCTTTTTTTTTTCTTGTTGATTTGAAATCTTTTTTTATATATAAATATAACTATACCAAATGCTTTTTGTTTCTGTTGTTCAAAATATCTGTCTCCATACCTTTACCATGAGTTTGTATAGGTTTCTCTAAGTTAGGTGGGTTTCTTTTGAGCAGCATGTGGTTGGTTTCTGTTTTCCAAATTTGGTCCACAAATCTATATCTTTTAAGTGGAACATTTAATCTATTTATGTTAAAAGTTAATATTGTCATGTGAGGTTTTGTTCTTGTCATTATGTTAGTTGTTACCTAGCTGGTTTGTAGTCCCAACTGTGTAATTTTTTAATAAGACCTGTGAGTTTTGTACTTTTGCATGTCTTTATGATAGTGAGTATTGACCATCTATTTCCATGTTCAGGACTCCCTGGATCATTTCTTGTGGGGTGAATTCCTAAAGTGGATTTCTAGTGGTGATGAACTTCCTTAGTATTAGCTTGTTTGGGAAAGACTTTATATATTCTTCATTTATGAAGTTTAGTTTAGCAGAATACAAAATATATCTCTAATATATGTTTTTTCAATAAATATGAACTAATCTTTCTTTAAGAACCCTGAAAATAGGACACCAATATCTTCTGGCTTGTACAGTTTCTGCTGAGAAGTCCACTGTTAGTCTTACGAGATTTCCGTTATAGTTGATTAGATGCTTTTCTCTTGCTGATTTTATAATTTTTCCCGTTCACATTGACTTTAGATAGCCTGATGACTATATGTTTGTAGAAGTTCATCTCGCAATGCATCTTCCTGGTGTTATCTGAGCCTCTTGTATAAGGATTTCTATGTCTCTAGCAAGAGGGCAAGAGGAGATAAATTTTCCTCAAAAAGGTTTTTTTAGCTTTTTCTTCTCCCTCAAGAATATCTATAACTCTTAAGTTTTCTCATTTTTTAGAACGTCATTTTTCTCAAAACCTTTGCTCATTAAAAAATGTTATTTGCTCTTTATTTTTGTCTGACAGGGTTAATTGGAAAGACCTGTCTTCAAGCTCTGAGAGCAAGTTTTTCTGCTTGATGTAATCTGTAATTAAATCTTTCAACTATATTTTGTAATTCTTCAATGAATTTTTAATTTCCATAAGTTCTATTTGTTTTTTAAAAAATATTTTTAGTACATTTTTCATTCATATCCTGAGTTTTTTTTCTAATTTCTTTGTGTTGCTTTTCAACTTTCTCTTGGACTCCATTTAGCTACTTTAAAATAAATATTTTAAATTCTTTGGTATTTCAAAGATTTTATTTTGGTTAGGACTTATTGCTGAAGAGTTAGTGTGATCCTTTGCGAGTGTTGTAATACGCTGTTTTAAATCATACTTCCAGAAATGTTTCAGTGGTTTCTTCTCATCCAGATGAACTATCCCTTCTTATTTTTAAGTCCAGTTTCCAACAGACAGGATTTTTTTTTCCCCTTTGAGAATATGACTACGATGTATGTTGTATAGGGCTATTTGGTTTAGGTTCTGGGTTCTTTCAGTGGTAAAGACTCTGTTTGAGTACATTGGTTAGAGATAACTTTTGTATGATGGCTTTCTTAATTGCTGGTTGTAGTAGTTATGTACTGGGTGTATGACGAGGCTTACTGCCTCCTGAAGGGCTGGTATGGAGGACTACGCAGAAAACTAACCTTGTTCTGCATCATGCCCTAGTGTCAGCATTTTGCACTGGGCTGTGCAGTTCAACATTCAGGACAGTAGGTGGCGCGGACAGGTAAGAGCCAGCTGCAGCAGAGGCAGATGAGCCTATGCTTGTCACTGTTTATGGGAGACTCTCTGTTGCCCCAAGGAATGGACTGATCTGTGAAAGGTACAGTGGTCTGAGGAGCTGGGGACAAAGCGGGATAGATCTGTACCACTAAGCTCACCCTTGGATGCTCCAAGGATGAGCACAAGCACCAGCCCTGACAGGGGTGTCAGGGGAAGACCCTGGGGAGATACCCGTAGCTTGTCTTTCTTGCAAGCCTGGCTTCATTGGGCACATGACCAGTGGAGTTGTAGCCACCCCCTAATACCCCTACAATGTCCGTCCTCTGGTGTGTCTACACCAGTCTCCTTTGCGAGTGACCACAGCTATGAACACAGAATTGGATCCACGGGACATGTTCCCCTCTCTACATCCGTGCCCAAGCGCTGGGACCATTGGGCTCCTGGGATGGATCTATACTCCTCCCTTGCAGAGCCAAACACCGCGTCTGCGTGTCTGCTGGAAGTGGCGTAGTCATTTTCAGCCCACAAGCAGGTTGCTCTTGCACACAGGAAAGTGAATGCTACAGTCTTCTTTGCCACAAGGGGTGTTCCTTTGTTGCACTTTCCATTAGGAATAGCCTCCCTGGTGGTTAAACTATTGGGAATGCTGTAACTCCTTTGGGTCCAGCCAGCTATGGGTGACTGCCACATCCAAGCAGGTGACAGGGAATATTTGTGCGGCTCTGGTGTTATGGGGACAGAGGGCTGAGGTTCCTGGGTAGGAAACAGTCCCCACGTGAGTGCACTGCAGGCATGAAACCTACCACTGCAGCTCAGGCCCAAGGGGAAGGCAGATGACCCTATTCAACTAGTAGTTTGGTGTAATGCCCTCAAGAAGTTCCCAAATCTCCACTCACACCAGTGTGTGTGTTCACGAAGACAGAAGAGCTCTCTGATGGCTTGGATCCACACGGTGAGCTGCAGGGAGCCCAGAAGACTCCTACCTACACTTTCTATGAGGTCCCACAGGGTCCTAGTCAACCTTTGTCAGGCTCTTGCTTCTGTCTTTTTCCATGCTTTGGCTTCTCTCCATGGTTTCTCTATGACGCTCCTGCACCCTCTCTTAAATATTTTTCAAGTTATGATCATTTACCTGTAACTTTGGTTCTTCTTTCTGAGGAGAACTTGTGTCCAAACTCCTTAGTCAGTCATCTTGTTTTCAAAAAGCCCCAATTCTGGTCTATATGCACTTTTCTTTTTTAATATGAGAGAGTAATTTCATGTTTTGAGTAAAAAAAGTAATATTAAATTTCATTAATGTCAGTGATTAAAACTAGATTCATTGTAAATAAGTTGAATTTACAAATTAATTTTTAGAACAGATATATTTCAATACCATAACATTTATAATAAAGTTCCATTTCAATTTAGACAGCATATAAAACATAATATGTAGCATTCTTTACAGGGAAAAGGATTTATCTGATGCCCCTCTGTATGACCCAATATCAACCTCACTTTATTGTGGCATATGTAAAATTAACTTTGGCAATGATTAATTATATATTCTCATGAAATTATTTTACCTTTTTCAAGAAAGAGAATGCGAACTTCCTAAAATAGATGTACACTTAGTTCCTGATCGCAAGAAAGACCAGTATAAAGTTGGAGAGGTGTTGAAATTCTCCTGCAAACCAGGATTTACAATAGTTGGACCTAATTCCGTTCAGTGCTACCACTTTGGATTGTCTCCTGACCTCCCAATATGTAAAGGTGAATGCTTATCTTACAATTGCTGAAATAAGAATTAGAACTTTGAATACCAACTTTTTTCTTATTAATTTTGTTTGGGCTCCCATTGCCTGTAATCTAATGAATTAAGTCAAATATTTGCCTGTGAAGGACATGTATTGAGTACTGAATACCTGAGATTCAGTCACTTAAGTTAATCTCCACTGTTTCTTGAACGATGTGCTGGAAGTATTCCCAGACACACAGGTGTTGTCGGTCTTAGTCTACTTTAGGTTTATGTTTCTATAAAGGAATAACTGAGTCTGGATGATTTGTAAAAATGTTTTATTTGGCTCACTATACTCATGACTATAAAATTCAAGATCGGGCATCTGCATTCAGTGAGAGCCACAGAATGCTGGTAGAAAGGGAAGAGGAGCCACTGTGTCCAGAGAACACATGATGAGAGAGGAAGCAAGAGAGAGAGCAGGGCAGTGACAGGTTCTTTTTAAGAACCAGCTCTTCCAGGAGCTAATAGAGTGAGAACTCACCCTGAGAGGGGGCATTCATCTGTTCATGAGAGATCCATACCCATGATCCAAACATCTCCCATTAGACCCCACCTGAAACACTGGGGATGAAGTTTCAACATGGGGTTGGAGGTGACAAACATTTAAACCATACTAGTGGCTGACAATGGAGGGATTTCTTTGTTAATTTTCATTTTGCTTGAAATGTCAACATCCATTCTGGACATTTTATATAGTGTGGGCTGTAACTTAAGTTTCACCGGGTGTGTCTAAACAATATTTAAGCAGCTTATATTCAATTCAGTTGCTTGTATTGATTAGTCAAACTTTATGTTGATCAAATGCTTGCCTCAGTTATGATATTTTTCCAAAATGTTATGATAAAATGTTTCCATGAAATGTAAAAATTAACATGATTTTCATAACCACATTTGCTAATTGGTTTTCTTGCATCTTTAAGATATCTAGAAGTCTGAGCATATTTTAACATTTTAATATACCTTCAATATGACAATTTAGTATAAGTAATACAATATGAACACCATTCTTGATTGTTTAGGATGCTATAATAAGTTACATAATGAAGAATACATGAATAAAAGAAGAAAATCTTTCCATTTTACTGAATTTTTATATTGTAAAACAGACAATTTAACCATTATTTACATAGTATTTCTACTATAGAGCAAGTACAATCATGTGGTCCACCTCCTGAACTCCTCAATGGGAATGTTAAGGAAAAAACGAAAGAAGAATATGGACACAGTGAAGTGGTGGAATATTATTGCAATCCTAGATTTCTAATGAAGGGACCTAATAAAATTCAATGTGTTGATGGAGAGTGGACAACTTTACCAGTGTGTATTGGTAATGTATAAAATATTAATATTTAAACTTGTCAAAACTTTTGTATTTTGTATCTAAAACACATACATCATGTTTTCACAATAAACTTTTTTTGTAAAATTTACATAGTGGAGGAGAGTACCTGTGGAGATATACCTGAACTTGAACATGGCTGGGCCCAGCTTTCTTCCCCTCCTTATTACTATGGAGATTCAGTGGAATTCAATTGCTCAGAATCATTTACAATGATTGGACACAGATCAATTACGTGTATTCATGGAGTATGGACCCAACTTCCCCAGTGTGTGGGTGAGAATACCCTTCTTAAATCAACATTTAACAAAGTTTAATATTTTTATTGTAACAACAATAATTGCAACTATATTTTTGAAATTTACAGATATGCCTCAACATTTCCAGTCTTCAATATGAGACCAATCTTTTGCATATTGCTTATAATTCAATATGTGTCTAGAAAGAAAAAATAAAGCTAGTAATATAATTTTATGAATCTTTCTGCGTCTGATAACAGTATTGTTTATATTTAAAAGTGTGAAGCAACATTTTACTTACAAAAATTGTCATGTGAGGCCAGGGTGGTTGCTCACGCCTATAACCTCAACACTTCAGGAGGCCAAGGCAAGAAGATTGCTTGAGGCCAGGAGGTAGACACTAGTGTGGGCAATATAGCAAAAGCCCATCTCTATAAAAAAAATTTTGTAATTAGTTAAGGTGTGGTGGTGCATGCCTGTAATCCAGCTACTTGGGAGGCTGAGGAGGAATGATTGCTTAAGGCCAGGAATTCGAGATTGCAGTGAGCTCTATTGTGCATTCCAGCCTGGGCAACAGAGTAAGACTCTTTCTTTAAAAAACAAAAATATTAAAAAATTATCATATGATTAAATATGAGTACTAATTACTGAGAAATTATAACAGTTTTATATAAAATATAAATATTATTGTTATTGTATGGTACTCCTTTTTAGGCACTGAGAAGCAAAGAAACAAAGTTGACAAAATACCTACTTACTACTCTCCCATAGGATTCTTTTCTCTCTTAAAGCTTCCAAAAGTGATAATTTTTCAGTTTGTTCCATATCAGCCAAAATAAGTTAATGTGCTGCAGGGTTGGTGGGCCACAGGCCCTCTACATCAGTGGTATAGCTGAGTGACATGAGGTAGTCAGGGACTGAGTCAGGACGTAAATCTCATTGACGGACTTCACACTGTAAATCTCATGTCTTGATCAGCAAGAAGGCAAGGTGATTCACTTACAGTGTGACTTGAGATGTACAATCTTTAAAATCATTTTGCCTCTTTGATGACTAACCGGGAGGATCTTGGGGACCCTCATTCACTTTTCTCTAAACTGAGATTTTTCCTAAAGTTTTCCTGGGTCCTGAATTCTAAGAGTCCTAATGTCCAATCATACTTATTTATCCAATGAAATATCCAATGATATTTTGTATTTCCCAAAGAATAAAATGTCTTCTGATAGGTATCTCTAACATTTCAGCGACAGAATACAGGGCTTATATTTTGACATAATAGCATTTTGATGCAATGTGATCAGGAATAACTTGGTTGGTGAAATTTATAATGATTAAGTCATAATTTTACCATGCTAATACTATTTACTTTATAACTATTTTTATGTAATAGTTGGTTTGATTCCTATCATTTGAATTTTCATAAAAATATATTTATTTTATAGCAATAGATAAACTTAAGAAGTGCAAATCATCAAATTTAATTATACTTGAGGAACATTTAAAAAACAAGAAGGAATTCGATCATAATTCTAACATAAGGTACAGATGTAGAGGAAAAGAAGGATGGATACACACAGTCTGCATAAATGGAAGATGGGATCCAGAAGTGAACTGCTCAAGTAAGCTCTTATTTTGTTTTCAGAAATGTATTCTATTTCTCATTTGGAAAAGTAATAGGTATGTGTGTCTTTTAAAAACTTTAGCTATTTATTATTACAAATGCTACTGAATAAGGCAGGTAAACTAGAAACTAATGAAAACACTGTTCCTAATATTAACTGTGCCCTGTGAATTAGTTACCTTTAGTATAAACACACACACACACACACGCACACACACACACACACACACACACATAAACCAGGCACTACATGTCATCATTACTGTTGGAGGACCAGTGCTTCTCATTCCTTTTCTTGTCAACAAATGTTCCTGTGCCTATACCTCTGTCTATGCCAATAACTACTATGTATCTGTTTGTATATGTCTGTATGCATGTATGTATGTATCTATATCTATTTCTGTTGATTCATTTATTTAATCTATCTCTCTGTCTATTCATCTACCTGTTCATCTACCTAATCATCTATTTATCTATTAATTTATTGTTCATCTATCTTGAAAAGTTAGTCATATTGACACATACAGTTTCACTTGAATAGTGTAGGTTTTATTCCAGTCTTCTCATATTTTATATCTGTATTTTGCTATCCAATTGTGGGTTTCCTTGCCTCACTAGCTTCAATATTTTTACCAATGTCTGCCAGTCTAGGATATACAGAAAGCATTGACAACCAATACAAAAACTAATCTGCTATCAACATTTCAATATGTTTAGAGTCCTTAAAGAAGCAAATAATATATATATGCAGTGAAGTGTACATGTTCTACAGTTTTTTCTTGAAGTTTTATAGTTTTAGCCATTCTATGTAGATTTATTAAAATGATCGTATAGTTATCGTCCTTTCTGTTAATGGGATGCATCACCTTTACTAATTTGCCTATGTTAAACGACCTTTACATTTCTTGGATTAAACCCATTTGATCATAGTGAATGATCTTTTTAATGTGCTGTAGGATTTGTTTTCCTAGTATAGTGTTGAGGGGTTTTGTACCTATGTTCATCAGGGGATTTTGCCTGTAGTTTTCTTTTTGCGTTGTGTCCTTGTCTGGTTTTGGTTCCAGAGTAATGTTGGGCCACTAGAATGAGTTAGAAAAATGATCTCCTCATCAAATTTTTGGAGTCGTTTTAGAAGAATTGGTATTAGTCCTTTCTAAAATGTTGTTATAATTCAGCAATGAAGCCATCAGGTCTTGGATTTTCTTTGATGGGAAACATTTTATTACTGACTTAATCTGTTGCCTCATGATTACTCTGTTCAGATTTTCTATTTCCTCTGAATTAATCGTCTTAGGCTGTGTGTCTAGAAATTTATCCATTTCTTCTAGGTTATCCAATTTGTTGGCATATAATTGCTAATAACGGTCTCTCATTATACTTTGTATTTTTGTGATATCAGTTGTAATATCACCCTTTTCATCTCCGATCTTGTGTTTCTTTAAGCCGTATCTCTCTTTTTTAGTTATTCTGGTTAAAGCTTTGTCAATTTTTGATTATCTAAAAAAAAACTATTTTCATTGATATTTTGTACTGCTTTGGGGGCTCTATTTTACTTACTTTTACTCTGATCTTTATGATTTCCATCCTTCTACTAATTTTGGAATTGACTAGTTTGTTCATGTTTTTCTGCTTCTTTGAGGTGTACTACTAGACTGTTTATTTGAGTTCTTTCCACTTTCTTGATATAGGCAATTATTCCTAAAAACATCCATCTTAGAACTACTTTTGCTGCATCCCATAAGTTTTGCTACGTTTTGTTTCCATTCTCCTTTACTGAAAATATTTTTAAATTTATTTAAAATGGTTTGACCCTATGATTGTTTCAGAGCATATTGTCTAATTTTCACCTAATTTAAAATTTTCCATAGTTCCTCCTATTATTGATTTCTCATTTCATACCTTTGTTGTCAGAAAAGTGACTTGATATGATTTCAGTCTTCTTGAATTTGATAAGACTTGTTTTGTGGCCTAACATATAACATATTCTGGGGAATATTCTGTGCGCATTTGAGAAGAATATGTGTTTTTTTGTTATGTGGAATGTTCTTTATATGTCTGTCCAATCTATTTGGTATAAATTATTGTTTAAGTTTAATGTTTCCTTATTGATATTCTGTCTGGATGATCTGTCTCAACGTTGAAAGTAAAATATTGATATCCCCTACTATTACTGTGTTGCAGTCCACATCTCCATTCAGATTCCTAAATGTTTCCTTTATATATTTAGTTGCTTTGATGTTGGGTGCATATATAGGTTTATAATAGTTGTATTATCTTGACAAATTGACCCCACTATCATTATATAATAACTTTCTTTGTACCTTTATACAATTTTTCCCTTGTCTATTTTGTCTGAAATGAGTATAACTACCCCTGTTCTCTTTTAGTTTTTATTTTTATAGGTTTTTTTCCATGCCTTCACTGCAATCTGTGAATTTACGTTACAGTGAAGTAAGTCAATTGTAAGCAGTTTATAATTGGATATTAATTTTTGATTTATTTAGTCATTCTATGCCTTTTGATTATAGAATATATTCCATTTCCATTTAAAGTAATTTTAGATAGGTAAGGATTTATAGTGGTAATTTGTTAATTGTGTTCTGGTTGTTTTTAAAATTCTTTGTTTCTTTCTTGCTTGCTTTATTCATGGTTTGATGACTTTCTGTAGCCATATGCTTAGGATTTTTTCTTTTAATCTTTTGTGTATCTATTAGATGTTTTGCTTTTGGCTATCCTTAGGCTTGCATAGCATACCTTATAAAAGGCTATTTGAAGTTGTAGTTATCCTTAGGCTTGCATAACATATCTTATAACAGGTATTTTAAGCTGATAGGAACTGAATTTTGATTACATATAAAATATCTAAATTTTACTCTGCTCCTCCCATGTTTTCTATTTGATCACATGCTTTGCATCTTTCAATAATTCGTATCTCTTAACAAAGTTTGTAGCTTCAGCTGTTCTTACCACTTTTGCCTTTTAACCTTTATGCTAGCTGTATTTACCCATCACTATTACAGTATTAGAGTGTTTGAATTTCATATTGTGCTTACTTTTACTAGTAAGTTTTATACTTTAACATCTTCATGTTACTAATTAGCATCCTCTTCTTTCACCTTCAAGAACTCCCTTTAACATTTCTTGTAAGGCAGGAAAGTGTCCTTATGCTCTCTCAGCTTTTTTTCAATCTCAGAAAGCCTTTATCACTCCTTTGTTTTTAAGACAGAATAGTGGAATCTAGAATTATTCCTTGGCAGTTATTTTCTTTCAGAATTTTGAGTATATCATTCCACTTCCTTATGGCCTGCAAGGTTTCTGTTGAGTAATCCACTGATAGTCTTGTGGAAATTCCATTTTATGTAACCATTCACTTTTCATTGGCTTTTTTCAATACTTCGTCTAT
Source organism: Homo sapiens (assembly GCF_000001405.40). NCBI lineage: Eukaryota > Metazoa > Chordata > Mammalia > Primates > Hominidae > Homo > Homo sapiens. The sequence goes on from NW_025791754.1 coordinate 581,662, forward strand.
AACTTTTGATAATTTGATTGTGTTATGTCTTAAAGTGACTATCTTTCATTAAACTTATTTGATTTCCTTTGAGATTTCTGGGTGTGGGTTTCTATTTCTTTCCCAGTTGTTGAAAGTTTTCTGTCATTATTTTTTTGAATATATTTTCTGTATCGTTGTGTTTCTTTCTGTTTTTAACATGGTGATAATGCATACGTTATTCCACATGGTAGTATTCCATCTGGATTTTAAGCTATCTTCACTTTTATTTATTTATGTGTTTATTTTGGTTCTCAGATTTGGTGATTTTCAGTAATTTGACTTCAAGTTCACTAATTCCTTCTTCTCCTTCATCTAGTCTGCTGATGAATACCTCTTTAAAACTTTTCCGTTCAGTTATAGTATTCTCAAATTTGTGATTTTTGTTTGGTATTTTTAAAATACTTTCTACCTCTTTGTTGAAGTAGTTAATTTGTTTTTGCATTGCTCTCTTGGTCTCAGTGAGTATCTTTATGACCATTATTTTGAATTCCTTCTTGAGTAAAACACCTATATCCACTTCCCTCAGGTCAATTTCTGGAGACTCATCTTGTTCTTTTGTTTGGAGTTATGATATCTTGTTTCTTTATTTTCTTTAACTCACAGTGTTTCTATGCAATAGATAAGACAATGGCCTTTCTCAGTCTTATCAGACTGGCTTCATATAGGAGAAAGACCTCACTAATTTTTCCAGCCAGAGATTTTCATGTGCCTCTCAAGTCTTTGTGCGGACTGCTGTCTCTTATTTTTTGTGGCCCCCTGGAGGTTAGAATGTGCCACATCTTTTCAGGACCTGGGACCAACAAGTTAGGAGCCAGGAGGTCTAGATGTAGCTGAAAATATTGAAGACTTGGCTGTGTATTTACTTACTTCTATTTTCATAGTGAAAGTGAATGTGCGTGTTTATCTCCCACTCTCTCTCTGTATTACACCAAGTAAAGAATCTGTGGCTAATACCTGTACTAATATTCAGGCTGCATGCTCTGATCCTGAAGAGGTATCTGCTTGAAATGAGTCCATTGTATTACCAGCTTTTTGTATTCTGTGATGTAGGGCCTTTCAGGAATGCAGATCTCTATCATCTCCCAGTGTGAGTTTGTTAAGGAGACGATCTCTTGAGTTGGAGCTATAGAAGTGATGACCTTTGAATGCATGGCTAAACTTGGTCCAGGAAGAATGGATAAATCTGAATTTATCATTGGGGCGAGACTCATGAAGTGCCAAACTTTGGCTTTGGCTGCGGGAAGATTATTTTTTGTTTGCGTCATTAGATACCCTGTGCAAGCTCGATAGAGGCCAGTTCATTAAGTAGCCAGTGGAAGTATGTGCCCTAAGCCCTTTCGACAGAGAAATGGAAATTGAACTTTCTCTTTCCTTTTCTGCACTGCTCCAATTTGGCATAGCGCCTGGAGTTTTTACATAGCATTTTAAGACCATCTATTTGCTTTACGATCTATGGAGACTGGTATTTTTCTAATATCTGCTGTGACAGTTAAGAGTTTTAAGAGGAGTCCTTTTGGAGGTAACTGTAAAGGTTGTAGCACTTGATGGATGACACAAACCTTTTTGAGGATAAACAGGGGAGCTGCATTTTAAAAACCTTTTCTCTGCACTGCTCTTGGGCAATGAAGCTCCTGGAAGTGCTTACACACCCATATAAAACGCCATTTCTTTTTTCAGTGGTCTAGATAGACTCTGGATATATTTTGTGCCCTCTACTCCCAGAACTAAGAGTTTTAGAATACAGTCCCTGAATGAAAGTTGTAAAAGTTAGGGCACTCAAGTTTGTGTGGACAAACTTGTTCTAAGAGTGATTAATGTACCTGGATGTATCACTGGGGTGAGCCACGGGAACCGGCTAGAGAAGTGCCTGATGCAAGTTCATTAGAATCCAGACTGCAAGTTTTTTAGAATTCAGACCTCTAAGTAGCCACAGGAAGAATATATCATAAAACTTCTCGGGAGAAACAGGGGACTGTTTTTTCAGCCCCTTCTCTGAACTGCTATTAAGGAATGAAGTTTCTGGAAGCTCTTCAGCACTTGTATCATACCACCATTTTTCCTGTGATCTAGAGAGACTCTCATGTGTTTAATCTCCTCTGCTTCCAAAATTAGTGAATTAAAGGCCAAAACACAGGATGCTTTATGTGAGATCCAAAAACTTCTCCACAAGGAGAAACTGGGTTTTTGAGATTCCTTTTCTAATTGTGTGGTGCAGTGAACAAGGCTGGGGTCCATGCTCCATTGTGTTGCAACTTTTCTTACTTGTTCAATGTGAATGTTGTCTTTGTTGCCTGTTAAGTAGGAGTCCCTTTACTGGTCTTTCATTTTCTTTCAGGAGGAGTTCATTTATGAATAGATGTTTTTTTAGGACATTCTTGGGTGGAAGAAGAGTCAGGAGCTTCCACTTCTGCCATTTTGCTGACATCACTCCCTGCCTAGCTCTTTATTTTACCCCCAGGAAACTAGAGTATTGCAGGTATCGTTAAGTGCTCCTACACAAGCAAGAGAGAAACCTGTACTTTAGGATGCTCCCCCAAAAGCTAGGATGATAGATGCTTAGTTCACTCTTATCTTTCCTCTCTGAGGGAGAAGCAGTCAAAATATATTGGTCTCTGTTTACTTTAGGGGATTGCAGGAGGCTTTGAACTGGTTTCTTGATTTCTCATAAAGGGAATTGTTTCCAGTATCGTCATTGAATCAGTGTGCCTGTGGGGGGAAGGGAGAGTGGTGGCTTCCTATACTGGCATCGTGCTGATGTCACTGCCCTCTTTCATCCTCAATATTGATCATTTTTTAAATCTTGATCATTGTTTTTACTTTGTCCTCAATTTTATTAATATTTTCAAAAACCAATTGTAATGCCTTTAAATTTTCTCCATTTGCTCTGTATTTTTTAGTTTTATTATGTTTTACTGATTTTAGCTTTGCTAATTTTCTCCCTTCTCTGTGTTTCTTTGTCCATTTTCTCTTCTTCACTGATTTTACTGTTTTCTTCCTTCTGATGACTTCAGTTTTAATTTCACTTTTCTCAATCTTAGGGTGAAAAATGAAAACATGGTCATAAACTATCATACTTTGAAAATATAAAACTTTAAAGCTCTATTCTTTTAAGCACTGCTTTAGCTATGTCCCAGAATGTTACACACGTGTGTGTGTGTATGTTCTATGTGTCGGGAGACAGAGAGAGAGAGTTCATTTTTATTTGATTTGAAATATTTTCTCATTTGTCTTGTGGTTTGTCTGTTGATGATTAATTATATGGAAGTTTATTGTTTAATTTCAAAATATTTGTTTTTTTCTAGATAAGTGATTTTTGCTGGTTTCTAATTTAATTCTCTTGTGAAAGAATACTGGGAAAATTTCAGTATTTTGAAACACTCAGTTTTTTAATTGCTCAGCACATAGTCTACCTTGCTAACGGTTCTATTTACAAATAAAAATATGCATACACACTAAATGTAGAATTAGGCTATACTGGGTTACAATGTTCTTCAAATTTATTTGCCATGTCACAAAATGTTAAATAATCTCTTTCTTAATTGTTTACTATCAGAAAATACTTTAAATTAAATAATAATGATTGTGGTACACATTAAAATCAATGGGATACAGCTGAAACAGAGATGTATTTAGCATTATAACATGCATCAGAAAAAACAAATAAAAAAATAAAAGCAACAGGTACTACAATCTAGAAGGTAGACAGGAATGTACACCCAACAAAAATAGAAGGAAAGAATCATTCAAGCATAAATAGTTGACCATTAATCTTAAGAAAAATAAATTGATGAGAATGTTAAAAACATGTCAAAATATTGAAAAACAGAAATAAGCAAAATACTTTTGATAAATATGAAATACTTTATCATAAGCGAAAAAAGAAAACTCGACATTATCAATAACCTTTAATGAAGTTTTGTTCATCCAAACGTCTCCATGAATTGATAACAAAATGTCAGACACTTAAAATCATTGCCATGATTTCCTATAGTACGATTACATAAAGCTTTAGGTGAAGTAGAGCATACACTATGATAGGAGAAAGGAAAATCAAGGGATTATAGAATGCTCCCAGATGCTTCTAAACTCCCCCGTCAGTCAAACAGGACATGCTTCATTTTCATATTATGAAAAAATGAGATATTTCTGATGTATCGCAGTTTAACAGGAGCTTAGCTGTGAGTTTACAAAGGTGTCTTTATATGTGATTATACAACTAAAGCCAGGCTGTGCAATGCATTAAACTGGGTGCATAACATCCATTTAAATATCCCTAAACAGTACAGGTAAGCTAGTAAATAAAAGCTCTAGGGGAGTTTCAAGTTTTAAATAGCACACTATAAATCACTAGTGATTATATTTAATGCTTATATTGGTCAAGTGTCAGTACCAAATTGATTATTAACTACATATAATTCTACTTCTGGCTAATCAGATTCCATTGGCAGAAAATTTGTGAGTGTTTTAATCCAATCCTGATACATTTGATTATAGATATCAATTTTTATTTAATGCATGTAATTAAGAGTGTGTAATTCCATTAAAACATTCTAAAGGCTCAAAATAATTAAAATCAATATTACATAAATTATGCAAATTTATTAAACAAAGAATATATGAAAAAACTACAAGAAAGTCTATGAGAATACAAGCCAAAAGTTCTATTGTTTAATGTAACTGTTACACAGCTGAAAAGTATAATATTTGCATACAAAAACATCATAATTAATATGTGATAATTTATGAAACAGTTATTGATCTTTCTATTTATTCTATTTTAATCATATAAATTATTTTTCATCAAAAATTCTAATTTTAATATTTTTATTTTTTATTTTTTATTATAAAATTAATTATATTTTTAATATTTTTTAGTGGCACAAATACAATTATGCCCACCTCCACCTCAGATTCCCAATTCTCACAATATGACAACCACACTGAATTATCGGGATGGAGAAAAAGTATCTGTTCTTTGCCAAGAAAATTATCTAATTCAGGAAGGAGAAGAAATTACATGCAAAGATGGAAGATGGCAGTCAATACCACTCTGTGTTGGTCAGTAGTGTATAATTTGTTTTACATAATTCTTTCAAATGAGGTTAATATTCTCTTGTGCTTCGTGTAAACAAGAGAGAAGTTCTTTCTCTGTGTCTATTACTTTATCCTGACAAAATAAATTAGGACCTAGGCACATTAATCAATCACCACTCTTTCAGTTTTTTGAACAAAATACAGCCAAAATCTTTGGAATATTATGTAAATGTCAGATAACATTTCCATTCATGCATATTTTAATCCTTGTGATGAACAAGACATGAATGAAGATGATTATTGAACAAGAGGATGGTAACATAGATATGGTGGAGGAATATATCTTTGCGAGTTTCTAATATGTTTTTGTTTTTAAATAATTTTATTTGTTCAAATTATACTCACTTTAAAATCCGAAATAGTATTTAGTTTTATATTTCAATTTAAGTATTTTATTTGTTTTTAACCCTTTGATTTTCATTCTTCATTTAGAAAAAATTCCATGTTCACAACCACCTCAGATAGAACACGGAACCATTAATTCATCCAGGTCTTCACAAGAAAGTTATGCACATGGGACTAAATTGAGTTATACTTGTGAGGGTGGTTTCAGGATATCTGAAGAAAATGAAACAACATGCTACATGGGAAAATGGAGTTCTCCACCTCAGTGTGAAGGTTAGGCCAATATGAATACTCAATTTCTGTTTATAGTAGAATTCATAAAAATAATCTCTTGTTATCAAAGTGAGGGGAATAATTGAGATTACTGCATATATAAAATAATTTATATATTATACCATTAAAATACTTTTTGCATGATTGAATCTATTCTATTTATGTTAATTTTATTTGTTCATGATAGAGTCACTTTGTATTCTGGCATTAAAAAATAATATCTAGTGAAATTAAACCTATCTGTATTATTCTCATGCTGCCATAAAGAACTGCCCAATACTGGATAATTTATACATACAAAAAAAGGTTTAATTGGCTCACTGTTCTGCATGGCTGAGGAGGTCTTAGGAAACTTACAATCATGGTGGAGGGAGAAGCAAACGCATGAAGACAGGAAGGAGAAGTTCTGACCAAAGGGAAAAGGCCCTTATAAAACCATTAGATCTCATGAAAACACACTCACTATCCTGAGAACAGAAGCATGGGGATAACTGCCCCCATTATTCAACTACTTCCTACTGAGTCCCTCCCACAAAACATGGAGATTATGGGAAGTACAATTCAAATTGTTATTTGGTTGGAGATACAGTCAAATCCTATCATTCCACCATGGCCTATCCCAAGTCTATGTCCTCACAATTCAAAACACAATCATGCCTTCCCAACAGTCCTCCAAATCTTAACTTATTCCAGCATTAACTCAAAAGTTCATATCCAAAGTCTCATCTGAGACAAGGCAAGTCCTCTCTGCTTATGAGCCTGTAAAATCAAAAGCAAGTTGGTTATTTCCTAGACACAATGGGGGTACAGGGATTGGGTAAATGCTTCCATTCCAAAAGGGAGGAAATGGCTGAAACAAAGTGGCTATATGCTTGATGGAAGTCTGAAATTTAATAGGGCAGTCATTAAACCTTAAATTTCCAAGATTATCTCCTTTGACTCCATGTCTCACATTCAGGTCATGCTGATGCAAGAGATGGGCTCCCACAGCCTTGTGCAGATGTGGCTTTGTCCCCCTCCTGGTTGCTTTCATGGGCTGGCATTGAGTGTCTGTGGCTTTTCCAGGAACATAGTGCAAGCTATTGATGGATCTACCATTCTGGGGCTTCAATGATTGTGGTCCTGTTCTCACAGCTCCACAAGGCAGTGCCTCAGTGGGGACTCTATGTGAGGGCTCTGACCCCACATTTCCTTTCCTCAATGGCCTAGCAGAGGTTCTCCATGTGGGCTCCCCCCTGCAGCAAACTTCTGCCTGGACATCCAGGTATTTTCATATATCCTCTGCAACCTAGTTGTAGGTTCCCAAACCTCAATTCTTGACTTGTGTGCACCCACAGGCCCAAGACTACATGTAATCCACCAAGGCTTGGGGTTTCACCCTTTGAGGCAATGGACCAAGCTGTTTGTTGGCCCCTTTTAGCCACAGCTGGAGCTGAAGCAGCTGGGATACAGTCCTGAGGCTGCATAGAGCAGCAGGGACCTGATCCAGGTCCATCAAACCATTTTTCCCTCCTGGGCTTCTGGGCCTGTGATGGGTGGGGGTGTCATGAAGGCCTCTGACATGCCCCGGAGATATATTCCCCATTGTCTTGGTGATTAACTTTGGCTCCTTATTATTTTTGCAAATTTCTGCAGCAGGCTTGAATTTCTCCCCAGAAAAATGAAGTTTTATTTTCTATTGCATTTACAAGCTGCACATTTTCCAAACTTTTATGCTCTGCTTCCTCTTGAGCTCTTTGCCACTTAGAAGTTTATTCTGCCAGATACCCTAAATCATCTCTCTCAAGTTCAAAGTTCCACAGATCTCTAAGGCAGGGCAATATGCCACCAGTCTCTTTGCATAGCAGGAGTGACCTTTACTCCAGTTTCAAACAAGTTCCTCACCTCATCTTCATCTGTGACCACCCCATCCTGGACTTCATTGTCCATATCACTGTGAGTATTTTGGTCAAAGCCATTCAACAAGCCTCTAGGAAGTGCCAAACTTTCCCACATCTTGTCTTCTGAGCCGTCCAACTCCCTAGGAAGTTCCAAACATTTTAACATTCTCCTGTCTTCTTCTGACCCCTCCAAATGGTTCTAACCCCTGCCTGTTATCCAGTTCCAAAGCTGCTTCCACATTTTTGGTTATCTTTACAGCAGCACCCTACTCTCTGCAGTACCAATTTACTGTATTAGTCTGTTATCATGCTGCTATAAAGAACTACCCAAGACTGCATAATTTATAAAGGAAAGAGGTGTAATTGACTCACAATTCCACATGGCTGGGAGGCCTCAGGAAACTTACAACCCTGGTGGAAGGGTAAGCAAACATGTCCTTATTCACATGATGACAGGAAGGAGAAGTGCAAAGCAAAGACAGAAAAGCTCCTTATAAAACCATCAGATCTCAGGAGAACTCACGCAGTATCATGAGAACAGCAGCAGAGGAATAATCGCCCTCATGATTCAATTTTCTCCCACCAGGTCCCATCCACAACACGTGAGGATTATGGCAATTGCAATTCACGATGAGATTTGGGTGGGGACACAGCTAAACCTGTTCTGCAAGTTGTCATGTTTGCTTTGCCACTATGTTTTAAAACTTCTTTTACATTCTTCCCACAATGCCCCTTCTTATTTCCTACAATATATTATGTTTTACCTGGAATCGTTAACTCTCAATGTGTATCTTATTATCACTAGTAAGTTTACAGAGGCATTGTTTACCAGGCATAGATGATCTCTTTCTGAAATGTATTGCTATTTTTAGTTTCAAGTCCTTCTTCAGTTGGTGACAGTCCGATAGACAGACAGACACCAGAAGGCTAGTTTTAGGAAACATTTGTGTTACTTCTCTGTGATGTCATAGTAGCTCCTGTATTGTTTATTTTCAAATAAAACTACTTAATATTAAAACAGGCATATAAAATTAAATTTATGAGTTAGTGAAACCTGAATTCATTCTTTTTTTTTTAGGCCTTCCTTGTAAATCTCCACCTGAGATTTCTCATGGTGTTGTAGCTCACATGTCAGACAGTTATCAGTATGGAGAAGAAGTTACGTACAAATGTTTTGAAGGTTTTGGAATTGATGGGCCTGCAATTGCAAAATGCTTAGGAGAAAAATGGTCTCACCCTCCATCATGCATAAGTATGGTGCATTGAATTTTATTATATGTATGATAAATATTCTTCATTCAAAGTGTAAGTGGTACCAATAAGAAAGTAAACAGGGACTCTAGAAATTCATAAGGTTTTCTTGAATATTCTGGACTGCTGTGGGAAATTATAGCTGTAGTAATTAAAACATTTGACATTATAAGCCAAATTAGTTCATTTTCACATCATCTTGTGTGAACTTTAAGCATCCTCTGATGTATATTCTCAGACTTCTCATCTCTGTTCTTAGGGCACAGCTGCCTCTACTCATCAATCTCCACATTATTCAATCTTCTGTCAGTTTATCAACAATCTGCCTATAAGTACATTTTCTGAAATATTTTAAAAAATCATTATAAGTATTTCACATTTGATAGAAGCAAAAAATTTGGAAATGCACACACAATATAGGTGGTGTATTATTCCGTTTTCACACTGCTGTAAAGACCTTCCTGAGACTGGGTAATTTATAAAAGAAAAAATTTTAATTGATCACAGTTCCTCATGACTGAGGAGGTGTCATGAAACTTACCATTACCGCTGAAGGGGAAGCAGGCACCTTCTTCACAAGGTGGCAGGAGAGAGAGGAGTGAGTGAAGGAGGAACTTCTAAACAGTTATTAAATCATCATATCTTGTGAGAACTCACTCACCATCGTGAGAACAGCATGTGGGAAACTGCCACCATGATCCAATCACTTCCCACCAGGTCTCTCTCTCAACACCTGGAGATTATTATTCAAGATGAGATTTGGGTGAGGACACAAAGCCTAACCATATCAGGTGGCAAGTATGGACAAAAATAATGTGAACAAAAAAATGTGTAATCTCAATTGCTACGGCTACCAATATTTCTTCAGTCTTCTAATATCATTTCTATCTTGTATTTTTAATAGATTTAGAAGAATTTAATGTAATTAAGACAAAATGGCTAATATATTTTCTCAAGTTATAAGAAAAATGTTGTACAGTATTCATTGATTCTACATATCGCTATTTTAGAATCCATTACATGTATTGTATGTAACCTATTTTTAAAGATTTGCGGAACAAATACATATTTTTCCTATTTCAGAAACAGATTGTCTCAGTTTACCTAGCTTTGAAAATGCCATACCCATGGGAGAGAAGAAGGATGTGTATAAGGCGGGTGAGCAAGTGACTTACACTTGTGCAACATATTACAAAATGGATGGAGCCAGTAATGTAACATGCATTAATAGCAGATGGACAGGAAGGCCAACATGCAGAGGTACTTTGGTGAATTTTCAAAATTTATTTATATAATGTGTGGGCCCAGCCCAGTGGCTGGCGCCTGTAATCCCAGCACTTTGGGAGGCCGAGGTGGGCGGATCACTTGAGGTCAGGAGTTCGAGACCAGCCTGGCCAACATGGTGAAAACCCGTCTCTACTAAAAATACAAAAAAATAGTGGGGCATGGTGACATGCATCTGAAGTCCCAGCTACTTGGGAGACTGAGGCAGGAGAATCGCTTGAACCAGGGAGATGAAGATTGAAGTGGGCCAAGATCGTGCCACTGCACTCCACCCAGGGTGACAGAGTGAGATTCCGTCTCAAAAAAATAAATAAACCTGAAATAAATAAATATATAAGTACAATTTATTTATATAGAGTGTTTTGGGAATAAAATATAGAATTGTCTCTAACATCATTAAAATGGACATAAATTAAGTTTTTACGGCAGGACAAAGTAGTCGTATGCCTAAAAATAAAAAGATGGAACTGAGTATTTGATGATTAATCTTAGCTCAATAGTTCTCAAAGTGTGGTCGCTAAACCGGTAGCATCATCATCTTCTTGGAGATTGTTTGAAATGAAAATAAAATTCCGTAAGCTCATTCTAGACATCCAGAATCAAAAGTCTCAAAGTAAAACCCTGAAACTGTTTTACCAACACCTCCAGGGAATTCTATTTACACTTCCGAGTGAGAAGCATTGCTATAGTCTATTCACTACACATGGATATGAAACTCTCTGATGAATTTTGCATTGTTCAGCATAATATCCTTAATCATTGGCAATTAAATTATCTGAGGTTATTTTTATTATTATAGGCTTTTTAAAAAAATTTTTCCACATCTCCAATTTGGATCCTTTGATTAACCATTCTTCCTCCTTTTAACTTGGGTAATTTTCAAAATGTGTTTTTAATTCTTTGCTTATTCGCTAAGAAAATGCCTATTTGAGTTTATTTTTAAGAGGCTAAAATGTATAAGCAGGATGATTGCAAACAAAAATCTGGTATCACATAATCTATTTATGCTGACTTTTTGCATTTTATAAATTAATGTTAAATAAATAGAACTGGTAATATTTGTTTACTCAAACTCAAAGAGAGATATCCAGGAAAACTTTCGTTTACACTGGCTTCCAGAAGGGAAAAATAAAGGTCTATCAGTGTTCTAGCGAAGGATGAAGAAGAAATTTAAAACATCAACGCTTGTACCTTACAAAAAATAGTTTCATGTCTTTTCCTCAATATTACATTTAAATTTATTAAAATCAACAAAATATTTGATGAGATTGTCTACTTATTTTAAATTCGTCTTGAAATATATTTGTAACTGTTATCAGTTGATTTGCTACTCAAAATGAACACTAGGTGGAACCACTTCTTTTTTTTCTATTCAGACACCTCCTGTGTGAATCCGCCCACAGTACAAAATGCTTATATAGTGTCGAGACAGATGAGTAAATATCCATCTGGTGAGAGAGTACGTTATCAATGTAGGAGCCCTTATGAAATGTTTGGGGATGAAGAAGTGATGTGTTTAAATGGAAACTGGACGGAACCACCTCAATGCAAAGGTAGAGTATTATATTTCTTTTAACATTTTGGGGGAGTATAGCAGGGTTAAAATATGTTGATTTAAACAAAATGAAGTCATTTTTATTAATAGATTTTTCAAATGCAAATAAAATGACTGATGGTGCTTAAAATTCAATTCTTCCTGTGAACAGAACACAAGTAATAGGGTATATTATTTTCCAGAAAGATTCGACCAAATTGAGAGTTGGAACCTGAAAAACAATACTTTTTAAGCATTACAACACTTAGTTCCTTCTCAGGAATACGTGTAATAAAAGATACATTATGTGCATTTGACAGCCATAAGTGATGTGCATTCTAAGATATGGAATAGGCAGTTGAAGAGAGATCATAGACTGTGATATAAATGTGGGCATCTTCAGTATATGGATTATATTTAAAGGTGTGTGACTGACTGTATTTATAAAAAGAAGTCCGAGCACATAGTCCTGGGTCATTCTAATATAAAGAGATGAAATAAGGGAAACCAAAAAAGGAAATTGTATCTTACTCACCTTTATGTTTTAAAATTAATGTTTTTCTGTATTTTTTTTTTCACTATTTTACTTAGACTCTACCTATGTTTATTATTGAAGTGAGTTTTTGTAGACAGCATATAGTTGGGTCATGTTTACATATCCATTCATCCTTTCATGGCCTGTTAACTGGTGCACTTGGACCATTTACACTTAAAATAATTATTGATATATAGGACTTAAATCTCTGTCGTTTATTTGTTTCTGCCTGTTTCCTCTGGGTTTCAGTCCTATTTCCCTATTCCTCCATTCCCTGTAGGGAAATTATTAAGGAGATTAATTTCGATTCATATGTATTGTTTTCCATTCTATCTCTTTGTATAGCTTTTCTCCTCCTTTTAAAAAGTTGTTGCTCTAGCTAATACTATATATGTAATAATATATTACTGTCTACTGGCACTGACATTTAAATCTACAACTGGAATATGGAAACCTTACTTTCATGTAGATCCATTTACACTCTCCACGTTGTAAGTATAAATGCCACTAGTATTTTCTCTGCATACATTGAGCTCCATATTAAACTCACTTGCTTCAAATATCGAACATAATTGAAAAAACTTATGAGGAAAAAGATATCCTGTTATATTGACTCCTCTGTTTATCCATTCTATTTTTCTATTTTTTCAGGATCCTAAAGTCTCAAGCTCTTTCTTTTATCTGTTTTATTTTAATTTGAAGAATTCCTTTAGTTAATCTTTAGGCATAGGTCTACTGGAGACAAATTCCCTTGGTATCCCTTTCTCTGAGAATGTCTGTATTGATCCCCTTACTTGTAAAAGATCGTGTCACTGGATATCAAATTTGGAGTTGACAGTTCTTTGAACACTTGAAAACCGTGCCACATGGTTATAGATGAAAAACTCAGCATCATTTGAATTGTTGATCCCCTCGAGGAAAAGCATAGTTTTTGTCTAGTTGCTTTCAAGGTATTTTTTTCTTTTTTTAAAGTAGTTTTATTTTAATGTATATTGGTATAAATTCCAATGTTTTTATCCTCTTTGGAGTTCACTCAGCTTCTTAAATATAAGTTTATACCTTATGGTCAAAATGGGAAGTTTTCAGGCATCATTTTATTTATTCATTTTTCCAGCCCAATATCCTTTCTCTTCTTTTTCTGCATCGGCATTATTTGTTGTTGTATTTTTCTGAATGTCTCAGTTCAGTTTTTTGTTTTCAGTTTATTTTCAGAGTGGGTAATTTATATTGCTGTATGTTCAAGTTCATGGATTTATTTGTCTGTCAGCTCCCCATGTATTATTAAGTATATTCAGTGTTTTTAAAAAATTTTTGTCATACTTTTCCATTTTATAATTCCTATGGGATTTTTCGAATATGAAATAAGAAACTTCCTTTGTCATAGTTTTCTATGTTTAGCATGTATTCATTCGGAAAGACATTTCTTAATCCTGGTCTACCATAAGCAGCAATATTTGTTAATGTTTTATGTGTTCTTTCAGTACGGAGAAAAGAACTTAAATATATTACTTTCAGTTTAAAGGGTTAAAATTTCTTCCAGGACTCATTTCTTTCACCAGAAATCACAAAACTGTTGATATTATATACAGTGCTGTGTTTGCGTTTGCCTTATTTGAACTTGTATTTTGATTTGCTCTCACAACAAATCAAGTGATGAAATGATGTTTTTTAGATTCTACAGGAAAATGTGGGCCCCCTCCACCTATTGACAATGGGGACATTACTTCATTCCCGTTGTCAGTATATGCTCCAGCTTCATCAGTTGAGTACCAATGCCAGAACTTGTATCAACTTGAGGGTAACAAGCGAATAACATGTAGAAATGGACAATGGTCAGAACCACCAAAATGCTTACGTAAGTACTTTAATATTCACGTGGCTGGAAAAATCTCTGTGATGAGTCTGATATTTCACTGTTTGTAACAAAATACTCACAGATTATTGAACAACCATTCTGCTGAATGCTTGCCTACCAAATATTTCTGTCAGAAAGTAAAGTTTAGAAATTTTTCTCTTTAGGGCTGGGTGCGGTGGCTCACACCTGTAATCCCAGCACTTTGGGAGGCTGAGGCGGGCAGATCACGAGGTCAGGAGATTGAGGACCATCCTGGCTAACACGGTGAAACCCCGTCTCTACTAAAAATACAAAATAATAATAATAACCGGCATGGTGACGGGCACCTGTAGTCCCAGCTAGTCGGGAGTCTGAGGCAGGAAAATGGCGGGAACCCGGGAGGCGGAGGTTGCAGTGAGCCGAGTTCGCGCCACTGCACTCCAGCCTGGGTGACAAAGCGAGACTCCGTCTCAATAAAAACAACAAAAAAAGTAATTTTTCTCTTTATATTTATATTTTATTTTAAAGCATTTAGTTGACAAATAAAAATATATTTTGATGTTTGACAATATGTTGTTTTGATATATTTATGCTACAAAGATTACCACAAATTAATTAGCACATTCTTCATCACCTATGCTTAGCATTGGGTGTAGGTGGGTGTGTGAGTATGTGTGTGTGTGTTTGTGGTGAGGACACTTAAAATCTGCTTTCTTACCAATTTTCAAATAAACAATACAATATTATTAGCTCTAAATATCACTAGATCTCTATGTTTGATTCCAAGTTCTTATTCATATTATAGCTGAAAGTTTGTACTCTTTGACCAATATCTTAATCAAAAGCAGCAATGATAAGTTCTAAAACGCAGGGATCCTAAAATGACAACTGATGTAATGAATCATTGATAATACACCCCTAATTCTCATACATTAAACATCGAACCTCATTTTCACATCGATTACCATTCTAAGTTTATTCAAATCAATATGATGTTTCTACATAGTTGGTTTGGATAGTGTTTTGAGAAATAATTCCTGAACCATCATATAACATTCTACTTGAAAACCTGAAAGTCTATGAAGATTTGCATACTACTTAATGTTTTATGTTTACTGTTTTTTATTTTCAGATCCGTGTGTAATATCCCGAGAAATTATGGAAAATTATAACATAGCATTAAGGTGGACAGCCAAACAGAAGCTTTATTCGAGAACAGGTGAATCAGTTGAATTTGTGTGTAAACGGGGATATCGTCTTTCATCACGTTCTCACACATTGCGAACAACATGTTGGGATGGGAAACTGGAGTATCCAACTTGTGCAAAAAGATAGAATCAATCATAAAGTGCACACCTTTATTCAGAACTTTAGTATTAAATCAGTTCTCAATTTCATTTTTTATGTATTGTTTTACTCCTTTTTATTCATACGTAAAATTTTGGATTAATTTGTGAAAATGTAATTATAAGCTGAGACCGGTGGCTCTCTTCTTAAAAGCACCATATTAAATCCTGGAAAACTAACGGTTGTGTCCAGTTCATAAAATGTTTGTGGCAAGAAATTAGACGCAATTTTTCAGACTTTATTTCTGTTCATCACTCTTAAATCTCCCAAAGCTTTCTCCACAGCTTCTGAGGCTCACTGTTTTACAGAAAATGGAAAGCATATCATTGTCTCTGATTTCAAAATTATATCACTTTACAAAGATGTAAAAACCAAGTCAAGTCTTAACTCATGTTGGTAATGAGATATAAGTAATTACTATTTATCAATACATAAATGCACCAAAAGTGATATCAATACATAAATGCACCAAAACTGATGAAATGTAGATACTTCTACAAGATGTCAATCTAGCACACGTGATAATGCAAACTAATCATAAAGAGGAGTTAAAACGTAATAGGGTATATAAATATTACAACATAAACATACAAAAAATAAAAACACAGTATCAGTTATAACATGCTCACTTGCATGCACTCACTTGCAAACATAGAAACATGATACTTTTGCCCTGATTTAATGTTTATAGAAAAAATATTGCCAGGAAATTCAAAACTATAGATAAATGTGTGTGTGTGTGTGTGTGTGTGTGTGTATACATGTATATGTATGTGAGTGTGTGCGTGTGTGTGTGTGTGTATTTAGAGATACTAGGGGTAAAAGTTAGGGTTTAATTCTTTTGTATATATCGGTATCCTCTGATTTTTCTACCTTTAACATATATCACTTTGGAAACAAAAGCACAATTTATTTTAAAATAATGATGTCTAACAAGCAAGGCGGTGCATGTTGAGAATGATAAAGATTTCATCAGTAATGATCTTAACATCAAATAGCCTCTTAAGTATTTTTGGAGTAGAAGAGTTTTGGAAATTTCAATAGTAAGGTTCTGAAATGTAATTTTTATATTCATTCTTTTTAATCAGCACTAGTTAGGTAAAATCATTTTTGATTAGGAACATTTTAAACTCATAAAGGAGGTGAAGCCATTATGTGAAAAATAAAGATATCAATAATACAACACAAATATTATTTAATGATACCTTATTACTTCTTACTGTATAAAATCAGGTGGCTTATATACTCAGGCTGTCTCCTTGTTAGTGATCCTGATTTAGATAAATTGCTTGAGTTGAGGAAAGCCAGATTTCAAAAATCTAAAGGACATTTGTTATAATTAGCAACTTATGTTGATAGTAATGTTAACATTTGGGAATATACGTTTATTCCTAAATTGTTTTAGTACATTTGAGCCACTATAAGAAATTACCATAAACTGGCTAGTTTATAAAAAATAGAAATTTATTTCATACAGTTTTAGAGGCTGAGATTTTCCAGCTTAAGATACCAACTGATTTGATGTCTTGTAAGGGCTTGCTCCCTGTTTTGGTGCCTTCCCACTATGGTGCCTTCCTACTATGTCCTTACAATGTGGAAGGGGCAAGGGAGTTCCATGACTCTTCTTTGTAAAAAGACTAATCCAATGTATTAGGGTGGAATCCTCATGACCTAATCACCTAAAAAGTCCTTACTTCCTGATACTATCACCATAGTGATGAGGACGTAACACACATATTTTGAAAGGGTACTACTATGCACACCATAGCACAGCATAGGGATAAACAAATATGTTCCATGTAAATGGAAACCAAAAGAAAGCAGGGGGGCTATACTAACATTAACTAAAATTGAATTTTAAGTCAAATCTGTAAAAAGAAACAAGGAAGGTCATTATACAAAGGAGTCAATTCACAAATAGATTATAACTATTGCAAATATGTATGCACTCAACATGGGAGCAATGAAACTTATAAAGCAAGCATTAATACATCTAAAGGAAGAAATAGACAAAAATGCAGTAATAGTAGGGGACTTCAATAACCCACATTCAACAATGGATAGACAGTCTATACAGAAATCAATAAAAACATTGGACTTGAACTCTATATTAGACCAAATGGACCTATCAGACCTATATAGAACATTCCATTTGACAACAGTAGAATAAACATTCTTCTCAAGCACACAAGGTATAATCTCCAATATAGATCATATGTGGGGCCACAAAACAAGTCTTAAAAAATTTTAAAAAGATTGAAATTACATAAATTTTTTTAACATTGTCATATGAAACTAGAAAACAATAGCAGAAGAAATGTTAGGAAATTCACAAATACATGGAAATTAAACAACATGATCCGGAACAACCAATGGGGCAATGAAGAAATTCAAAGGGAAATTTAAAAATATCTTGAGAAAAACAAAAATGGAAAAGCAACATTCTAAAAAACATATGGTATGCAACAAAAGCAGTATAAAGGGATGTTTAGAGATATGAATGACTCCATGAAGATCCTAATAAAGCAAGTAACTTTGTATCTCAGGAAACTAGAAAATGAAGAAAAAAATTAACCCAAAGCTACTGGAAAGAAAAAAATAGTAAGGTACAGAACAGAAATAAATAAAACAGACTGGAAAAATAATAGAGGATCCACAAAACTAGAAGTTGGCTTTTGAAAATATAAACAAGATTGACAAACCTTTAGCTGAACTAAAAAAGAGAGAAGGAACAAATAAAATTAGAAATGAAACAGGAAACATTGTAACTGATAGCACAGAAATACAAAAAACCAGAAGAGACCGCTATGAACAGTTATATGCCAACATATAACTGTTGGATAACCTAATGGAAACAAATATATTCATAGACATCTACAACCTACCACGATTACTGAAACATAATGAAATACAAAATTAATACAGAACAGTAATGAGTAAGAAAAATGAACAAGTAATAAAAAGTCTCTCATCAAAAAAACAAAACAAAACAAAAAAAACTCATGGCTTCATGATGGATGGAATCCTACCAAACATTTAAAGAATCAACACTAATCCTTCTCAAATTCTGTCAAAAATTTAAGAGTGAACTCTCAGTTTTATTATATGAGGTCAAAAATCATACTGACACCAAAGCCACACATGGACACTACAAAAAACAATTATAGGTCAATATTCTTCATGAATATAGAGGCAAAAATGCTCAACAAAATACTTCCAAAGTGAAGACAACACATTAAAGGAATCATTCGCCATAATGAAAAGTAATGTATATCTGGGATGTAAAGATAGTATATATACACCAATCAATTACTGTTCCACACCGAATTAAAAGAATGAAAAGCAAAAATTGTATATTCATCTCAATAGATACAGAAAAAGCATTTAACAAAATCAACATCCTTTCATGATAAAAAGTCTCAACAAATTAGCCATAAAAGAAATTACCCCAAGACAATAAAGGCTACATATCACAGGCTCACATTTAACATTATACTCAAGAGTGAAAAGTTGAAACATTTTTGTCTATGATCAGAAAAAAAAAAAAAAACAAGGAGGCTCGCTCTCACCACTTATGTTCAACATAGTGCTGGAAATCCTGGCTAGAGCTGTTAGGCATGGAAATTGGAAAAGAAAACAGTTGTCTCTGTTTGCAGATGCCATGATCTCATTATATACATGGAAAACCCAAGGACTTCACCAAACTTTGCTAAAAGTAATAACCAATTCAGTAAAGTTGCAGGGTACAAGATCTACAGACAGAGCCAGTTACATTTCTATACACTAACAGCAAGCTATTGAAATAAGAAATTGAAAACAAACATCTAATTTACAATAGCATCAAAAATAATAAAATACTTGAGACTAAATCAAAGCAAGGAGATGAGAGTTCTGTACTCTGAAAACTATGAAATATTGATGAAAGAAATTGAAGAAAACACAAATAAATGAAAAGATGTCCTGTCTTCAAGGATCAAAAGAATCAATATTATAAAATTGTCTTCAATACCTAAAACTCCAGATTCCATGCAATATTGTCAATATTCTAAACACATCTTTCGCAGAAATGGAAAAAAAATTCTAAAATTAATATAGAACAAGAGACACCAAATAGCTAAAGCAGTCTTACAAGACAAAAAAGGAAGAGACAGCACACTATCATGCTCTCTGGTTTCAAATTACACTACAAATCTATAATAATCAGAACAGTTTAGTCCTGATACAAAAAAGATACATAGAATTAAAAGCTCCGAAATAAAATCATGCATATATAAAGGCACTTCCAAATATTCATGGAAAATTGAATTAAAATAAGAAAATTTTAAAACTACACTTTATTTCTTAACATAAGCTCCATCAAGTTCAACACACTTTTGAAAACAGTGATACAAGCCATTTAGTCCATCCCTAAAGACTCGATGGTTCTGGAACTATATCCATGTTAAGCAGTCTTTTTCACATAATTAACTGAAACAATGGGTACCCTTTGTAAGATTTTTTAAAATTAGGCAAAAGAAAGAAGTCAGGAGAAGGCAAACCAGGACTTTAATGTAGGAATGCTCAAAGATTTCCCATAAAAATTCTCACAAAATTGTTTTTGTCTGTTGAGAGGAATGAGCAGGAGCATTGTTCTGGTGGAGGAGGACTCTCTGATGAAGTTTTCCTGGGCATTTTTCTGCTAAAGCTTTGAAAACTTTCTCAAAACATTCTCTTAAGAAGCAAATGTTTCTCTTTGGCCTTCCAGAACTCAACTAGTAAAATGCCTTGGCCATCTCATAAACTGTTGCCATGATGTTTTCTCCTGACTGGCCTGCTTTTGCTTTCATTGGACCACTTCCACCTTTGGTATGCCATTGCTTTGATTATGTTTTGTATTCAGGATCATACTGATAAACTCATGTTTCAGCTCTTGTTACAAATCTTTGAAGAAATGTTTCAGGTTCTTATTCCCACTTGTTTAATACACTTTCCGTTAAAAACTATTCCCTTGCTGGCCGGGCGCCGTGGCTCACGCCTGTAATCCCAGCACTTTGGGAGGCCGAAGCGTGAGGATCACGAGGTCAGGAGATCGAGACTATCCTGGCTAACACGGTGAAACCCCGTCTCTACTAAAAATAAAAAAAAATCTGCGGGCGAGGTGGTGGGCGCCTGTAGTCCCAGCTACTGGGGAGGCTGAGGCAGGAGAATGGCCTGAACCCGGCAGGCGGAGCTTCCAGTGAACTGAGATTGCCCCACAGCACTCCAGCCTGGGCAACGGAGCCAGACTCAGTCTCAAAAACAAAACACTCTTCTCTTGTCTACTACACCTCATCTGGGTGCAATGGTCTTGGGTCTCACTGAATGGAAATTTTGCTATAACATTGATTTTCCCATCAGAATTTGTAAGATGAACTAATTATGGTGTTGACTATTGATTCTGCTCTTAGTCATCAGTCATCTTTAATCCAGATGTGAGCAAAATTATTTTTTTCTCTCAAATTAGTGTGGCTAGTCTGCCGCTGTGGGCTTCATCCTTAACATTGTCTTGCCTCTGCCTAAAATGAGTTATCTGTTTCTAAATGGCTGATTTCTTTTGGGGTGTTGTCCCCATAAATTTTTCAATAATTTCACTGAAGCTCCATGACAAGTGTTGGTTAGGATGTGGAAAAAAGGAAACACTTGTACATTATGGGTGGGAATGTAGATTGTTACAGCCATTGTAGAAAACTATATGGAGGTTCCTCAAAATATTAAACATAGAACTATCGCATGACTCAGCAATTCCACTTCTGGGTGTATAAACAAAGAAAACAAAATCAGTATGTCTAAGAAATATCTGCACTCTCATGTTTTTTGCAGGATTGTTCACAATAGCTATGATATGGAAACAACTTATGTTTCTGTCAAAGATGATTGAATAAAGAAAATGTGGTGCATATATACAGTGGAATACATTAAATTCTGCCTTTAAAAAGAAGGCAAATCTGTCTTTTTTAACAACATTGATAAACATGGCAGATATTAAGTAAGTGAAGTAAACCAGACACAGAAAGACAAATGCTGCATGATGTCATTTATATTTGGAATCTAAAAAACACCTGAGCTCATAGATATGGAGAGTAGAAGTATAGTTACCAGGGGTTGCACAGTGGGAGAAATAGAGAGATGTCAGTCAGAGGATACAAGTTTTAAGACAAATAATTTCTGGAGACCTAGTGTAAAGCATGATGACTATAGTTATTAATAATATATTATATATTTGAAATTACAAAGACAATAGTTCTTAAGTGTTCTGATGTCATTCATACAAAAGGTAACAAGGTGAGATATTGGATATTTGATTAGCTTCATTATGATAATCATTATAAAATGTTATGTATATCAAAATAATATGTTGTATAACGTGAATATAAAAATTTGTATTTGCCAATGATACTTTTATAGGGGTGAAAAAATTGATTACATTAATCAGTAAAAATGGAAGTTAATGGACCAAAATATTACTTCTAGGTTTTGAAATATAAATATGTCTTTTTGTAAAAACAGAAAGGTTTTTTGTTTGTTGTAGTTGTTTGTATCACCTTGGAGTCGTGTATTTTGATTTATTCAATCTGGATATCTCTGGAAACTGGCTCCTCATTGCTTCTCATGTGCCCTAATTTTATCTGAGTATTTCTCTCTTTTTTTTTCAGCATAACATGTTCTAAGTTCACTTTATATTTCCTCTGCCCAACATTCAAAATCATACACCTTTCCTAGAAAGTCTGATTATTTTTAAAGCAGAATAAAATTTAGAACTCAAGAACCATGAAGTATTGGTAATAGATGGGAATGTCCAATACTTTGGAAATATAATTATTTTCAGGGATTTTTGGTGGTAAAATCTTTGAAATATAAATAAAATATAAAAGTTTGTTGTTCTCACTGGATTTTACAATTCAAATTTAATAATACATCTGTGAAAACAACTTTAGTATATACATGTTTTCATTTTTGTGAGTATATGGTACGTCTATGTATGTATGAGGTACATAAAATATTTTGATACAGGCATACAAGGTGTAATAATCACATCAGGGTAAATGAGGTATTCATCATCTCTAGCATTTATACTTTCTTTGTGTTACAAACAATCCAATTATCCCTTTTATTTTAAAATGTGCAATAAATTACTTTTGACTATAGTCACCCTGTTGTGCTATCAAATACTAGATCTTATTTATTCTATCTAACTATATGTTTATGCTCATTAAATATATTCTTCTCTCATTTGTCTTTACTGACTCATTCATGAAAATGTCAAAAGTGTAATGAAACGTTGCTATTAGTAGTTAAACTACTAAGTGAAAATTAAAATTTCTTTGTGTTTATTTTGCCCCTAGATAGCTGACTCTGAGTGCGAATCTTCTTTTCAAAAATGATTTAAATACTTCTTATCTCTGGTTCACCCTATTACCGAATCCATAGAGTTGTATATTAATTTTCACTTGTTTTCTTCATTCTTAGATTTTGCTTTTTTCTTTCTTATATACTAACAATAAACTGTCTGAAAAAGAAATTTAAAGATCTATTCCTTTTCTGATAACACCAAAAAATAAAATTAGGAGTAAATTTAACCAAGGATCTCAAAAATCTATATATTTTAAACAATACAATATTGATGAAACAAATTGAAGAAGACACACATAAACAGAAAAATAGCCCATGTTCAGGAACTGCAAGATTTAATATGGGTAAAATGTTCATATTACACAAAAAGATGTAAGGATTCAATGCAGTCCCCATCAAAATTCTAATGTCATTTTTCACAAAAAAATGAAAAACAGTTCAAAAATATGTATGAAATGACAAGAGATCCCGAAGGTCAAAGTAATTTTGATTAAAAAGAACAAAGCTGGAGGCATTACACTTCTAAATTTTGAATTATGATATAATGCTATTATAGGCAAGATAGCATGACATTGGCATAAAACAAGACACCAATAAAACAGAATAGAATTCAATATATTTTCAATAAAGATGACAAGAACTCACATAGGGAAAATAATAGTCTCTTCAATACATCTTGCTGGGAACATCGGATATTCACACATAGAAGAATGTAATTGATCCGCTGTTTCACACTACATAAAACTACTCAGAATATATGTAAGACTGACATGTAAAGCTTGAAACTATAAAACTGCTAGAGGAAAATAAGAGAAAAAAATACATGACATTGGTCTGGGCTATGATTTCTTGGATTGGTTCCCCAAGCATAGGCAACAAAAGGAAAAATACACACATTGTATTACATCAAACTAAAAAGCTTCTGCACAGCAAAGTAAACAATGCCCAGAGTGAAGAGACAACTCATGAGTTGGAAAAATATTTGCAAGCCATATATCTGATAAAGCGTTAATATTCAAAATATATAAGGAACTCAACTCAATGGCTAATAAAAAGGAATTAACCAATTTAAAAATAGGCAATGTACCTGAATGGACATTTCTCAAAAGAAGACGTACCAATGGCCAACAAGTATTATTATCAACAATACAAAAAAAATCAAGTGTTATCAAACATGTGGAGAAAAGGACACACTTGCACATTGTTGATGGAAATGTATATTAGTATAGCCATTATGGAAGATACTATAGAGTTTGTCAAAAATGAAAAGCAGAACATATAATCAATCCAGTAATCCTACTACTGAATATATGTACAAAGAAAAAGGAATCAGTATGTCAAAGAGTTATCTGCATTCCCATCTTCATTACAGCATTATTTATAATAGCCAAAATATGGAATCAACTTAAGTATCCATTACAGATGAATAGATAAAGAAAATGTGGTCTATATACACAATGTAATACTATTCAGCTTTGAAAAAAGGAAATCCTGCATTTTCAAGAACATAGAATAAACAGGGAGGACATTAAGTTAGGTGGAATAAGACAGACAAAACCACATGATTGCACTTATACATGCAATCCGTTGTAAAATATGGTGACTTTAGTTAACAATAATATGTTGTATTCTTGAAAACTACTTAGTGTAGATTTTAAGCAGTCTCACCACACACAAAAATGAGAAGTATGTGAAGTAAAGCATATATTTATTAGCTTGATTTAGCCATTATCTAATGTATACATATTTCAACACAATATGTTTTACATAATAAATATATGCAATTTTATTTGCCAATAAAAAATAAATGAAAATGTTTACAAAAAGAGAATATGTGGTATAGATACACAGTAGAATACTATACAAACTAAAAAGAAGACAATTTTGTCAATAGGGAAAACGTGGATGAATCTAGTGGACATTATGCTATCTAAAATAAAGTCAACACAAAGAAAAATCCTGCATGATCTTATTGATATGTGGAATCTAAAAAATTCAAATTTACAGAAGGTGAGAGTAGAGTGGTGGTTACCAGAAGCTGAAGGGATGGCGGTGTTTCTAGGAGGTGTTGGTCAAAGGGTATAAATTTTCAGTTAGACTAGAGGAATACGTTTTACTATCTATTTCACAGCATGGTGTTCACACTTAATAATAATAATAATAATAGTGATAATATTATATATTTCAATATTGCTGAGTACATATATTCTATTTAATATATTTAAGCCTAGCCTTTCTAACTACTACAGAAAGAGAAGCTAAATGTCTGTTGTAAGTATGCTTATCTTACAAAAAATAAGTTCATTTGACATTCATGTAATAAATCTAATCTTTGTTTTATTGATTTTCAGATTAACAAAGACCTTATCTGAATACTCTTTACAACTTTTATGTAAATCTAAAATTATTCCATAGGAGAAATTTTATGTAAAAAAAGATAAAAGTATGAAGCATGTTTCAGTTTGGGTATTTCACTTTGTATTCACTGAATATTGAAAAAATTAAAATACTATCAACTAATACATAAAGTCATATAAACTCCTAAATAACCGCTAAGGAACCTACTTACTTTTGTGTGTCATTTTGGATAGTCAAGGTTTTTTGCTATGCTATACTTTAAAAAGTAATTAATGAAGGGGCTGACTCTTTTTTTGTTAATAGCACACTTAACAATATTAGTGGATTCCTGGTGTTCTTCACTAAGGTCCTTGGTCAGTAATTTCTGATTATATTTTATGCAAAGAACTTTGAAAACACCTTGTGCTGTATTTTAAAGTTTATTATTATCCATATTTCTGACCAATCACAGATGTTGCAAAAGGTTGGGACACTTGGAAAAATAAAATTATTTTCAAAAAGATTATTTTTTTATAGAATTTCAAAAACAACCATCTTTAAAATACTAACAATAGTTTTAAAAATTACAATACTTTTATAAAGTTTTTACGAACACTACTTACAGATAGAGTAAAATTTCATTATAACTGAAAATGTTTTCAGTAACCTGTTATACTTGGCTAAGTGTCATTATTCAACTGAAATTCCACCTCTCTTCAACATTTACGTATATATTTTCCTGAAGATTTTTGTCTTATGTTTTGCAGTTATTTTAAAGTTATGGAGGAGGTTTTGCTTATTTTACTATATTTACTATATGGTTTGTCTTTAGCATTATTGATAGATCTTTTTCTTCTAAATATGGGCCGTATTTTCTGCTTCTTTACATATCTAGTAGTGTTTTATTCTACTCTGGTCAATGCCAATAACACATTGTGATGACAGCCATGGAATATAAAAGTTACCTATGGGTTTGTCATATATGCTATTTATGGTATTGGGGTACTTTTCCTCTATACATATGTTTTTAAATTTTCATGTGCACATCATAGGTGTACAGTAGGTGTATGTATTGATGGAGTACTTAGAATGTTTTGATACAGGCATACAATGTGAAATAAGCACATCATGGGGAATGGGGTATACATGCCCTCAAGTATCTTTCCTTTGAGTTCCAACCATCCAATAATACTGTATAAGTTATTTTAAAATGTACAAGTAAGTTATCATTGACTATAGCCAACCGATTGTGCTGTCAAATAGATGGACTTATTTATTTTTTCTATTTTTTTTCGTACACATTGACCATCCCCATCTCCCCTCTAGCCCTATACCACCCTTCACAGTCTCTAGTAACCATCCTTCAACTTTCTATGTCCAAGAGTTCAATTGTTTTGATTTTTAGATGCCACAGATAAGTGAGAACATGTGAGGTTTGTATTTCTGTGCCTGGCTAATTTCACTTAAAATAATGATCTCCAGTTCCATCCATGTTGTTGCAAATGATTGGATCTCATTCTTTATTATGGCAAAGTAGTACTCCATTGTGTATGTGTGCCACATTTTATTTATTCATTCATCTGTTGATGGACACTTTGGTGGCTTCCAAATCGTAGCTATTGTATACAGTGAGGCAACAAACATAGGTGTGCAGATATCGCTTCCATACACTGATTTCCGTACACTGCTGGTGTATACACAGCATTAGGATGGCTGGATCATAAGGTAGCTCAATTTTTAGTTTTCTAAGAAACCTCCAAACTGTTCTCCATAGTGGTTGTATTAATTTACATTCCCACCAACAGTGTACAAGATTTCCCTATTCTCCACATCCTCATTAGCATCTGTTATTTTCTCTCTTTTCCATATAAGCCATTTTCACTGGAGTGAGATGATATCTCACTGTAGTTCTGATTTGCATTTCTCTGATGATCAGTTATGTTGATCATCTTTTCACATGTCTGTTTTCCATTTGAATGTATCCTTTTAAGAAATCTATATTCAGATCTTTTGCCCTTTTTTGATCTGATTATTAGATGATTTCTGATAGAGTTGTTTGAGCTCTTTAATTATTCTGGTTATTAATCCCCTGTCAGATGGGTAGTTTGCAATATTTTGTCCCACTCAGTGTTATTTCTTCACTTTGTTCATTGTGTCCTTTGCTGTGCAGAACATTTTTAACTTGATGTGATCTCATTTGTCCATTTCTGCTTTGCTTGCCTGTGCTTGTGAGTTATTGCTGAAGAAATTTTTGCCCAGAACAAAGTCCTTGAGATTTTCCCCAATGTTTTCTGGTAGAAGTTTCATAGTTTGAGGTCTTAGACTTAAGTCTTTATCCATTTGATTTGATTTTTGGATATGGTAAAACATAGAGGTCTAGTTTCATTCTTCTGCATATGAAAATCCAGTTTTCCTAGAACTGTTAATTGCAGAGACTCTTTTCCACAGCGTTCCTTTGTCAAAAATGCATTCACTGTAGATGTGTAAATTTGTTTCTGTGTTTTCTATTCTGTTCCATTAGACTGTATGTCTGTTTTTATGCCAGTACTATGCTGTTTTAGTTACTACAACTCTGTAGTATAATTTGAAGTCAGGTAATGTTATTCCTTCAGTTTTGTTTTTATTGCTTAGGATAGCTTTAGCTATTTTGGGTACCTTTAGCTTTTGTGGTACCATAAAAATTTTAGGATTGTTTTTCTCTATTACTGTGAAGAATGTCCCTGGTATTTTCATAGTGATTTCTTGAATCTGTAGATTGCCTTGGGTAGTATGGACATTATAACAATATTGATCCTTCCAGTCCATGATCATGAAATATCTTTTTTTTTTTTGGTGTCCTCTTCAACTTCTATTTTTAGTGTTTTACTCTTTTTCTTATAGAGATCTTTGACTTCTTTGGTTAATATCTAATTATTTATTTTTATCTGTGGTTACTGTAAATGGGATTACCTTTAGGATTTTTTTCAGATTGTTTGCTGTCAACATATACAAGTGCTACTGGTTTTTTATGTTGATATTATATCTTGCACCCTTACTGGACTTATCAGTTCTAATAGTTTTCTGGTGATTACCTTACGTTTATCGAAAAAAACTTATACCATCTGCAAACAAAGATAATTTGGCTTCTTTCGTTTCAATTTGGATACCTTTATATCCCTCTCTTGTCTAACTGCTGTAGCCAGGACTTCCAGTATTATGTTGAATAACAGTGGTGAAGTGGGTATCCTTGTCATGTTCCAGTACTTTGAGGAAATTATTTCAGACTTTCTCCATTCAGTATGATAGTAGCTGTGTGTCTGTCAAATGCAGCTTTGATTATGTTTGGGTGTGTTCCTTCTATCTTCAGTTTTCTTTAGTGTTTTATCATGAAGGATTTTGAATTTTATCAAATGCCTTTTTGGAATCAATTGAAATAATCATGTGGTTTATATCCTTCATTGTGTTGGTATGATGTATTACATTGATTGAGTTGTGTATGTTGAGCCATCTTTGCATCTCAAGGATAAATCCCATTTGGTCATGTTGAATGATCTTTCTAGTATGCTGTTAAATTTGTTGCTATTCTTTTGTTGAGAATTTTTACAATTACATTTGTCAGAGATATTGACCTGTAGTATTCTTTTTTTAATGTGTCTTTGTCTGATTTTCTTTTCAGGGTAATATTAGCCTCACATTGGAAGTATTTGCTCCTCCTCCTCCTCTATTTTTCAAAATAGTTAGAGTAGAATTGGTACTAGTTCTTCTTTAAATGTTAGGGAGAATTCAACAGTGAAGCCAATATGTCCTGAGCTTTTCTTTACTATGAAACTTTTTATTCTGGCTTTGATCTCATTACTTGTATTAATAATTGATCTGTTCAGGTTTTGGATTTCTTTCTGCTTCAATCTTAGTAGGTTTTATGTGTCTAGGAATTTGTCCATTTCTTCTAGACTTTCCAATTTATTGGAATATCATTCCACATAGTGGCTAATAATGATTCTTTGAATTTCTCCAGGATCAGAAGTAATGTTTCCTTTTCATTTCTGATTTTATTTATTTGAATTCTCACTCTTTTTCTCTTAGTCTGGATAAAGGTTGATCAGCATGTTTAGTATTTTAAAATAACAACTTATGTTTCATTGATCTTTGTATTTTATTCATTTCAATTTCAAGTTTATCTGCTGTGATATTTATTATTTATTTTCTTCTAATAATTTTGGATTTGGATTGCCCTTCCTTTTCTAGTTCATTAACATAAATCACCAAATTGTTTATTTGAAGTTTTTCCTTTCTTTTTTATGTAGTCACTTATAGCTATAAATTTTTCTCTTGGTACTAAAACTGCTATATCCCATAGGTTTTGTGTTTCCATTATCATTTGTTTCACAAAATATTTTAATTTCTTCATTGATCCACTGTGCATTCAGGGGCATATTCTTTAATTTCCAGATTCTTTAATTTTTTGTTTCAACTTACCATATGGATTGCAAATACTATCTTAAAACCAGAAAACATAACACTGTTTGCATAAACAAACAAGCCAAAGAAAACTCATAAATACTTTCCACCTTAATTTTCCCTTCTGCTTTCAAACTTTTTGTTGTTTCTATTTTTATCTTATTGTACAGACTATGTCTTGAAAATCTGTAGTTATTATGTTTCATTAGTTCATTATTTAGTCTTTCTACTTAGGATATTAGCTTACACAACCCAGTTGCAGTGTTTTAATATTCTGTATTTTTCTATGTACTTACTATTACCAGTGAGATTTGTGTCTTCAGGTGATTATTTATTGTTCATGAATTTCGTTTTTTGATTGAAATATTCCCTTTAGCATTTCTTGTAGGACAGGTCTGGCATAATAAAATTCCTCACCTTTTGCTCATCTGAGAATGTCTTTATTTCTTCTTTATGTTTAAGGGATATTTTCACCAGATATTCTACTCTAGGATAAACGTTATTTTTCTGTCAGCATGTGTCATATCACTCCTGTAAGGATTCCTCTAAAAAGCCTGCTACCAGATGTATTGGTGCTTCATTGTATGTTATTTATTTCTTTGTTCTTACTGATTTTAGAATAGTCTCTTTATCCTTGACCTTAGAGAATTTGATTATTAAATGAGTTGAGGTAGTCTTCTTTGGGTTAAATCTGCTTGGCATTCTATAACCTTCTTGTACTTGATATAGATCTCATTCTCTAGGTTTGGGAAGTTCTTTGTGATTATCCATTTGAATAAACTTTCTACTCCTATCTCGTTCTCTACTTCTTCCTTAAGGTGAATACTCTTAGATTTGCTTTTTGGAGGTTATTTTTTAGATCCTGTAGGCATACTTCATTGTTTTTAATTCTTTATTTTTTTGTCTCCTCTGACTGTGTATTTTCACATAGCTTGTCTTCAAGCTCAACAATTCTTTCTTCTGCTTGATCTATTCTGCTATTAAAGAATAGCACGTGTAATATCTTCTTCAGTATGTCAATTGCATGTTTCGGCTCCAGAATCTCTGCTTGATTTTTTAAAATTATTTCAATCTCTTTGTTCAATTTATCTGATAGAGTTCAGAATTCCTTCTCTGTGTTATCTTGATTTTCTTTGAGTTTCTTCAACAAAACTATTTTGAATTCGTTGTTTGAAAGGTGACATAACTCAGTTTCTCTAGGATTGTTCCCTGGTGCTTTGTTTAGTTCATTTGGTGAGGTCGGGTTTTCCTGGATGGCGTTAATGCTAGCAGATATTCTTCTGTGTCTGGGCACTGAAGAGTTAGGTATTTATTGTTTTCTTCACTGTCTGGGCTTAATTGTAACCATCCTTCTTGGCAAGATGTTCCACATGTTTGAAAGGACTTGGGTGTTGTGACCTAAGCTGTAACTTCTTTACAGGGTGTCAAAATCCCAGCAATGCAGTGGTTCTTGCAGACTTCTAGGGGTACTGTATTGATGGTCTTGCACATGATCTGAGAGAATTCAGGGTGATGAGGGCCCCTGGACCAGGGTGGTTTCCAGGGGACCAGTTTCAAAAACCTTAGATGTCTGCTTGATGTTATATGGTACTGTATCTGGGCTGGCAGTCATATTGCAAGTTAAAATGTTGTGGGGTGGGGTGGGGGGAGGGGGGAGGGATAGCATTTGGAGATATACCTAATGTTAAATGACGAGTTACTGGGTTCAGCACACCAACATGGCACATGTATACATAGGTAACTAACCTGCACGTTGTGCACATGTACCCTAAACCTTAAAGTATAATAATAAAAAAAAATCCTCCTCACTGTTCCCTCCCCTTTCCAAAGTCAGAGGAGCCTCACCCTATGGTCTAACACCACTCCAGGCCATGAGGAGTACTGCCAGACAACTGCTGATGTTCCCTTAAGGTTTAGGTGCTCCTAAGTCAGTTTGTGGTGAATGCTGGCTAGCCTAGGATTCACCCTTCTGGGAACTGGGCTCCCATCTGGTCCATGGTATGTCCAAAAATGCCACCCACCAGTCAAGTCCAGGAACTGGGGACCCTGGGAGCCCAGGTGGTTCTCTATCCCCTGTGGCCATGCTGGTACCTGAAGCCAGCAAGTCTCAGAGGCTCACCTAAGGCCCTCAACATAGTATCTGGGTATCACTGCAGGTTATTGAGGGCCAAGGGCTCTTCAGTTAGGCTGGGTGAATGCTGCCAGGACTGCATCATTTCCTTCAGGGCATTGGGTTCCCTTTTGGTTCAGGGTATGTCAAGAAATGTCATCTGGGAGCTAGGGCTTAAAGCAGGGGCCTCATTCCTTTGACAGTTGCCCTATCCTGCTTTGTCTGAGCTGATATCCAAGATGTAAGACAAAGTCTTCCCCGTTCTTCCCTCTCCTCTCCTCAAGCAGAAGGAAGGGGTTTCTTTTGGAGCTGTGAAATGTGAAGCCTGGGGTTAGGGGTTGGGTGATGCCAGCACGCTCTTTGCTGCCTCACCTGGTGCAGTTGGTGTCTCTGAATATTCTGTGTCTTCCCCCAGTCCATAGTCTCTGAGCCTAGTTCAGCACTAGGACTCACATACGTGTGCAGTCCTTATGTCCTAGACTGTCTTTCTAGTTTATTTGAGACACAATGCATGGTAGGTAGCCCTAGGTGGCAAGATTTGTGGGAACTTGATTTCAGACCCCTGCAGTCAGCAATACCGTCATGGCTAGCATTGGTTTAAATACTCCCTCCATGGGAAGGGGTTAGCTGAGTTTGGTTTGGTTTTCCTTTCTGCTCTAATAGCACAGCATTTTGTTCAATGCCTCACAATTGCTATGTTCTCCCTCCCTCAGTGCCTAGAGCAAGGCTCTGTACACCATGGCACAGCTGCAAGTGTGGGGAGAGGGGAAAGGGTAGTGTCAGTGATTCAAGATTGTCTGACCTATCTCTTACGTGCCACTTTCAGGGATATGAAGTTAAAACCATGTACTATGAGTGCTAATCTGATAATGTTTTCATTTTATGAAGGTGTTTTTTTTTTTTTTTTTCTGTGTACATAGTTGTTAACTTAGTATCTTTGAAGGGGAATGGTTGGTGTCTCCTATTCCACCATCTGGCTCTGCTCTGCCTAATTTGTGGAAACTCTTTATCATGAAGAAATGTCAAAGTTTCTCAAATGTTTTTAGTACTTCTATTAAAATGATCATATAGTTTTGTTCATTCTGTTATTGTGATATGTTACATCTATTGGTTTGTGTATGTCTACCCATCTTTATTTTATGCATAGTTTGAAAAACAATACTACCAGTTTTTTATACTGTTTGGTTGAATTCAGCAGTGAAGATAACAGGCGTTGGGCTTTTTTGATAGGTGAATTTTATTACTGATTTAATCAACTTACTCATTATTTGTTTGTTTTGATTTTCTATTTATTCCTAATACAATCTGTATTAGGAATTTTTATTTTAATTTGTATTTGTATTTTACAAGCTATTTTATTTTTAGCTTGTATTTGTATTTGTAGCTGTATTTGTATTTTAGCTTGCTTCTCCCTTAGATTCCCCCATGAGATGTACCTAAAGAAAACTTGGACCAAGTGAAAGACAAGGCATTATCTGGTAGCAGCTGCTGGTAGCAGCTGAGATCACCAACAGTAGCTTTCCTTGCTTCTGGAAGTTTTCCTAAAAAACATCCACTGCAGTACAATGGATAATTAGTGGGGCATCACTAAGATTCCTGAACTTCGGAATTTTCTGGAAATAGCATTTTTGACCTTTGTTCCCTCAGTTCTTCCAATAGTTGTGGAAGCCTTTCGTTCCCTTTATTGATACTCTCTTTACTCAAAAAATGAGAGATAAAATAAATTAATGTTTTATATTACTTTTGGATTCAGTCCATTACTGTCCCTAAATAATATTTTACAAGTACATTTCAGGGAATCAATTCCACAGATGGTTGTGAAACCACTAACTGGAATTATTGAAGCATTTTGCAAAACTCTCTGAACTTTGATATTTACTAAGTGACCTTAAAGGCCTAGCTTCGTGGTAGTTTCCTCAAATTCGGAATCACCCTTGGTAACTAATAATGAAAGATTTCAAACTCCAAACAGTACAACTGAAACTTTTGCATTACTATACTACTGAGAATATCTAACATGTTGTTACTAATTAATGTCATTCTCACCTTGTGGGTTTCCTATGCTAATGGACAAGGTAAATTGGAAGAGATCTAAACACTCAGCTCCCATCTTAAATGTAACTTCATGTAATATCTAGCTTCCTATGTCTCCATGTCTACAATTTTTTATGAACCAAAGAGGATTTATTCATTATGCTAGTAGAAATAGCATATTTTGTAAGACTATAACAGAAATTAATTTTATGAAATATTATCTCATTTTAACTTAAACAATGAATAATATTTTCTTTGTTTTATAAGTTCTACAGTGTAAAAGACATTTAATATTGATTATGGAGATATGTGAATATACTCATGAAACTTTAAGTAGGAAACATGTCACTAGACAGATTCTAACCTTAAAATGTTCAGAAGTTTCTTATTTGTAATGCAAGGGGAGTGACTGATATTTTCATAATCTTACAGATGGTGATTTTTTATAGATTCATATACCAAAACATCAAATAATACATTTTAAATTCTGCAGTTTCTTTTATTTCTATAATACCTTAAGAAAGCTGCTAAAATGAATTAACATTAATATGAACTTAATATTTCAACAAGATTAGCAACATGTAAATCACAACATGTAAATCACAACATGAATATAATCAAAAAGTAGACTATATGCTTAACTTACTTTTGAATGACAGTAAATTTTGCATTTCTGAGCTCACTAGCAAATGTTCAATAAATAAATACATAAATAATTATTTTTTATAGCTTTATGTTATTGTTCACTGATTTGTTTTCTCCTCAACAGTCATATATTTTCTATATTAACTATCTTTTTGAATGCAGGCCTTGCATATTAAAGAACTATATCGTAACATTAGCAGTGGAACCACATGGGTCAAAAATCATGGACAATCAAGGGTTTGTGGCCATTAATGAAGAATATAAATTTTGTAATTATCCGAAACTTCATAATATTTCAACAAATGTAGTGGAGGGTAATACTGGAAATCCAATTATCAATTTATGAGAGTATCTTTTCCCTCAGCCTCTCTTCTCAAAGCTATGCCACTTTATTTGATTCTAGGTAAAGAGCTTTAGGTTTTACAGTGTTATCTATCACATGATTTGCTAGTTTTATTTGTTGTGCAAAATCAAACTTGATCTGTGCCAAAATGGAAAGAAAAGGAAATTCTCCTGTTATTTCCTTTGTTAACTGAACTGATACAGGTACATTTTTTTCAAATAAAGATTAAATAGATTAAAATAGAATGAAAAGAAGAAAAGTAGTACCATTTTGAAATGACTGGAATTAGAGAAGCATATGCACTATACTTTCTTACTTACTTTCTTAAAAGCACTATAAAAAAAGAATGATGACAAATTCTTCCTTATCTGATATTCCAGTTGAAAACTTGTCTCCTCCAATGAACTTTTTGTAAGAGTAAACTTGAGCAAAATGTCTTGTAAATTTAGGTCGCACCTATATTTCTCAAAGGAGAAAGTAACTCATTGGGTTACTTTCAACGTCTTGGTTAGAGAGAAACATCTTTGTGTATTCAGTAGCATTGGCTCAACTGCATCCCGCCAAAATTCATTTGTTAAAGTCCAAATTCCCAATACCTGAGAATGTGACTGCATTTGGAGAAGGAGTGCTTAAAGATGTAATTAAGTTAAAGGTCAATGATTCAGGTGGGTCCTACTCCAATATAACTGGTGTCTATATAAGAAGAGAAAATAAGAACACACCATATAGAGAAAGATCACGCAAGGCATAGAAAGAATACAACCATTTACAAGGCAAAGGAAGAGGTCTCAGAAGAATCCAATCCTGTTGACAGCTCTATCTCAAACTATTAGCCTCCAGAACTGTGAGAAAATAAATTTCTATGAAATCAGTGGTACTTTGTTATGGTAGCTCTAGCAGATGAATACCATGATATTTACACAATTTATTAAAAGAACATTAATAACTAAAAATAACTTTTTACGTTTTACTCAAGAGTATATATATATATATGTAGCCACCACACAGATTTTAGAGGCTATTCATCAGAATTTGGTAATTATATCTTGGGTGTATTTTCCTGCTGATTTTTGTCTTGTTGAATACTTTATGTGTATATATATCTGTATTCATCTATATTCAGAATCTAGTAAATCAAATCTAAGAAAGATTTTTCATATCATTAATGAAGGACATACTTTGTGAATTGCTTATGCTAATAAAATTTTTTTAATGGTAGTTGATATTTCAGTTCTGAACAATAAAATCGGCACACCAATTCTTTTGGAAACCACACTATTTGAAAGACAAACTCGACAGAAAATTTGTAATTGTAACCTATTATAATGTTCATTGAATTTGTATTGGCCATTATTTCTTCCATTAAGTCATAAGTTATTTATACTTATTTAAAGATAGGTTATCAAGAGCATTATTTTTAATTATGAATATCCTTTCAGAATTGTATAAATTTCATATTCATCTACTAGAGTTGCCATAACAAAGTGTCAAGGGTGACAATTAACATTGTAGAGCAGGGTTGCTTCTAAATCCCTTTTAAACTGATCATTTTCAGTACCCAATGCATTACAGTTAATTGCCATTGTACTTCTTTGGGACGCTCAAATTTGTTTCAAATCTCACTAAGAAGCTGGCTTTTGTGTATATTTCATGTGCCCCCATTAAGCTTTGGCATAACAAAAGGTCCCATGCTTTCCTTGACTTTTGCTACTACAGACTAACTTTCAATAATTTCTGTATGAAATTCCAGTGACTTTTAGTGGGAAAAACGATTTTTAGAAACAAACCTAAACTATGAAAAACTCACTTCAGGTTTGAAATTATCGTTGACTAAGAAAAATAATATTTGGCCTAGTGGGGTGGCTCACACCTTCATCCCAGCACTTTGGAGGGCCAAGGCGCGCAGATCACTTGAGACCGGGAGTTGGAGACCAACCTGGCCAACATGATGAGATGCTTTCTCTACTAAAAATTCAAAAAATTAGCAGGATGTAGTGGCACACACCTGTAATTCCAGCTTCTCAGGAGACTGAGGCAGGAGTATCACTTGAACCCGGGAAGCAGAGGTTGAAGTGAGCTGAGATCGCGCCACTGCACTCTAGCCTTGGCAACAGAGCAAGACTGTTAAAAATAAAAATAAAGAAAGATTTAAATGATTTCCTTTAATTAATGTCCCTTTCTTCCTCGGACTAAATATCCTGCAATCATAAGAAAATGTAAAAGTATCTCAGGAGGTTACACAGGGCACGGAAGTTTCGATTTTCCAATACGGAGGAGACAGCAGAAAACTGTGCAGCCATGCTTGAGGGGCTGGGTCAGACAAGCTGTCATGCGTCACCTAACAAGCCTCTAGGGCCAGTTCTGTAACTAGCAAACGCTTCCCTCAAAGTAAAGATGTCACGTCTATGAACTTAGTCTTCTCATCTGCACACTAAAGCTGTTGTGCCACTAGCTTCCTTCCCGTTCTCTCTGATTTATGATGATTCAAACTTAAAGATTTTTCTTTAGTTATATTCTTAAGTTCTCATAACAAATAGAATGTAAATACTATTTTCTATCACTTGTTCCATAATTATAGAAGAAACATAAATTATATGCTATTTAAATTGTGGTGGTGTTCAACATTCTATAGGTATACATACCTATAGAATATAAGAATATATATATATTTGTACATTCGTCTATGCACCTATTTTTTATGTCAATAATATGTCTCATCTGATACATGAATTCTAACTATGGTAAGAATGCATGCCATCGCATACAAACAAAATGCCACAAAACTAAACAAAATGTTTTATATCTGGAGATAATTTGCTACATTTCAGATTTTTTTATGCTACAGTCATATTTCTTGTCTCTCTTTTCCAAAACACAATCATTGCTGATGTGTGCACCCTAAACTGACAGCTTGAGCTTAACTTGGTATAGTTGTAGATAAGTTCAGTTTAAATTAATGCTGATAAAACCTCCAGAATTGCTGAAGAGACCATACTATGTTAGTAGAAGTAGAGAAAGTGAAATGAGCTTCTTGTCCTGTTAGCTGACTTGAGTTCCATTAAAGATTTTAAGTGGAGAAATAAAATGACCAGATGAAAGGTCATTAATTTATACACAGGAAAATAGATTATAAAGATGAGAGGTCAGGATCAGGAAACTAGTTACGGTTGCTGTAATCTCAGAAGAATTTGGTTGAGGGACGATGATATCAAAGGTTATTGCCAGGGTTTTTTTATGCCTGTTGTGTTTATTTGTTTGTTTGTTTTGACAGAAAAAAATTGAGTGAAAGGGAATACCACAATTGCAGAAGTTCAGTTATTATTGAGAGAGGTAATGAGAATGATTGACATGAATTTCCCCCAAAAAATGTTCTGTCAATAATTACTATATTACGAATAAATAGAGCATGGAATATTTTTACAGCTGACTCAGAGAAAATAGCTATTACAGCAAACCTATGTCTATATTGAAATTCATATATACATTCAAAGAATATTACTCTATACCATTTATCTCAAGAGAACTAATCTTCAAAGCAAAAGAAATCAGCAACATGTTTTTAATTAAAATTTTAACTTCCTTCAAAAATGTCTTTTGGGCCAGGCGCGGTGGCTCACGCCTGTAATCCCGACACTTTGGGAGGCTGAGGAGGGCGGATCACGAGGTCAGGAGATTGAGACGATCCTGGCTAACACGGTGAAACCCCGTCTCTACTAAAAAATATACAAAAAAAATTAGCTGGGCATGGTGGCGGGTGCCTGTAGTCCCAGCTACTCGGGAGGCTAAGGCTGGAGCATTGCGTGAATCCAGGAGGCAGAGCTTGCAGTGAGCGGAGATCGAGCCACTGCACTCCAGCCTGGGCGACTGAGCAAGACTCTGTCTCAAAAAAAAAAAAAAAAAAAGTCTTTTTTATTTATCTGTTAAGAACAGATAAATCATTCATGCGGCATTCAAGTCAAAAAAGAATTTTTTGTTGTTGGCAGATTTACCTAGTGGAAACAACATTTGTATTTAGCTTCTAAAGTAAATTAAGTGGAGGAAAATGAAGATTTTCATTAATAACCTTAATATTAATAGACAATGGTGGTACTGAGGAGAACATCTATCTCTTTTAGGCTTCATGAGGAAATGATGTTTTTCAGTGTCGACAAATTAATTTCAGCTGTGTGGTTTGCCCACCAAATATCATGCCTGTAATAATATACTGTACTTAGCCTACCATATTTTAAAATGATTGGTTTCCAACTATCAAGGCATAGAAGAGAATATATAGATAGTTGAAGAGTTAAAGAAATTATAGCATAAGAAGCATGCAAAAAGATACAGTTATAGCATTATAATGACTGTCTTGAGATACTTGAAAACATTTATGAAGGGGAGCAAGTTAACTTTTGATGAGGACTGTCACAGTCAGTGAAGCAGGTAACAGTATTATCCAACATCGAATCAGAGGTCAAGTGATTTTCTAAAAGTGTGACCTATACGGATATTGCCATATGTCGGGGGTGGGGGTAGAAGAGTTGATCTCTTCTGAGCCCTCCACGTTTTAAGTTGTATGATTCAAAATTATACATACAAACCTTGTTTTTATTACACTCTATTTTAAAAACTGCAGTTATCTTTTGAGTTGATTTTATAATTTATTTTTGTTTTAATTGCTAATGAGCTCAGAAGCAGTTCCTTGGAAAATATATTTCACTACACAATTCAGATATCTTCACTTGTAAGCACTGTTAAGAAAAATATGTTAGACAGAAGTTAATGAGGTTAAAGAGTCACCACTTTCTTTCTCCAGGCTGCGTAGATGACATCTATGAAATGCGTTTGCCTTGCAGTTCCCTGTCAAATTTCTTCTATGTGGAGCCGCCTCTCTCAGCTCAAAACACACATTTCAGCTCTCCTGCTCTCTCCTACAGGAACACTGCTGTTCTGTGTAAAGAGGAGGTAGGGCCTTGTCTTTCACGCAAGCCTGGCTCAATTGGGCACCTCACCACTGGGGTTGCAGCCACCGCTAATCCCCCTAGAATGTCTGTCCTCTGGTGTGTCTGCACCAGTCTCCTTTGCGAGTGACCACAGCTATGTCCACAGAATTGGGTGCAGGGGAGATGTCCCCCTCTCTACATCTGTGCCCAAGCACTGGGGCCACCTGTCTCCTAGGATGGATCTATACTCCCTTGCAAGGCAAGCACGGTGCCTGTGTGCCTGCTGAAAGTGGTCTAGTCACTTTCAGCCCACAAGCAGGTTTCTCTTGCACACAGGAAAGTGGAATGAACAAAATTAGGAATCAACAAAAAAAGTTTATCATAATCTTAACTATTTGGATATTAAGAAATATTCCTAGTCTATTTCTGCGGTTTAATAAACACTGGAAATCTTGGCTCAGTGACTTGTTTGAGGCGTGAATTAGCTGTGTTATTTTTCTGTGCGGTATTATCAAAGAAAAATTTTTGTGTTCCTCAATATGTTTATATTGTCCAGTAATTAGAAAAGAGCCTAGTGAATTTATTTGTTTTCTATTTTTATTTTTATTTTTTGAGATGGAGCCTCGCTCTGTCACCCAGACTGGAGTGGAATGGCGCAATCTCAATTCACTGCAAACTCTGCCTCCTGGGTTCAAGCGATTCTCCTGCCTCTGCCTCCTAAGTAGCTGGAATTACAAGGGCGCACCACCAGGCCCAGCTAATTTTTTTTGTATTTTTAGTAGAAACGGGTTTCATCATGTTGGCCAGGCTGGTCTCGAAGTCCTGACCTCAAGTGATCTGCCTGCCTCAACCTCCCAAAGAGCTGGGATTATAGGCATGAGCCACCGTGCGCAGCCCATGAATTTAATCCAAAACAATAAAAACCTTAAATCCCTCAAAATACTACCTCCTTACATTGAATTTTTCTGAGAAGAAAATACAGGGCTCTGTTTACTGATGACAGTAGAAAAGAAAAAAAAAAGGAATACCTGAGCTAAGTGATAAAATTGACATATTTCTCAACCAAAAAGCTCATTTAATTAGCCAGAGGTAGGGTATATGTACTCAAGGGGAATACATTAAATAGGTTTGTACATTTTTCCTTCTAGAGAGCCTTCCTACAAATTTATGCATCACGTGATCCACAAGACATAATCTCATCTTCATTAGCAAAGACCTTCTCGTCACATATCTTAGTCATCTGAGTTCTATCATTTGTTTTGACCTAGAAACCCTAATGGAATGTGTAATTATTCTAAGAAGAGAATATAATTCAGTGATAAAAAAATTTATCTCTAATATGATTATTTATTACAGTAAAAAGTATTCATACTTTTTTTTGTTTTTTATTGCAAGTGAAATCTTGTGATTTTCCAGACATTAAACATGGAGGTCTATATTATGAAAGTATGTGTAGACCATACTTTCCAGTAGCTGTAGGAAAATCTTACTCCTATTACTGTGATGAATCTTTTGAGACTCCTTCAGGAAGTTACTAGGATTACATTTATTGCACACAAGATGGGTGGTCGCCAGCAGTACCATGTCTCAGTAAGTAAACCTCTGGACAGCCATATATGTATAAAACTTTCAAAGATTGAAGAGAGGAGAGCACATAAGTGATTACACTTGACTTATATAACAGAAATAGGGCCAAGAAAAGAGTTGTTCAAGCAAAATGACCAAAATAGATCTTTTCTATTATGAGTTCTTAAAAATCACGAGAAATAAATATAGAGACTTTATGAGAATATCTATATAATTGATACATATTTTAATTATAAAAACTTAAGTAGTATTAAATATTGATATTTCTTTTTGTACAAACCTTTGTTAGTAATTTTAGTTCATATTCAGTTATACATTGTTTTTGGATGTTTATGCAATCTTATTTAAATATTTTAAAAATAATTGTAATATACTATTTTGAGCACATTTTTGTGTCTCATTTACTTTATTCATTTATCATTGTTATCGTCCTTAGGAAAACGTTATTTTCCTTATTTGGAAAATGGACATAATGAAAATTACGGAAGAAAGTTTGTACAGGGTAACTCTGTAGAAGTTGCCTTCCTTCCTGGCTGTGGTCTTCCAAATGAGCAGACCACAGTTACATGTATGGAGAATGGCTGGTCTCCTCCTTGCAGATGCATCCGTGTCACTAAGTACACTACTCTGAGATCCCAGCAAGTTCATGTCTTTCTAAGTAACACAGATGACATGCTAAGACTCATCTATATTAACTGCGGCAAAATATTTATGTCAACTTGCTTCGCCATCGGACCTATTTAGTTTTATTTTTTCAATTCTGT
Source organism: Homo sapiens (assembly GCF_000001405.40). Lineage (NCBI taxonomy): Eukaryota > Metazoa > Chordata > Mammalia > Primates > Hominidae > Homo > Homo sapiens. Next base: position 623,607 of record NW_025791754.1, read on the forward strand.
ATAAACAAATATACACATTTCTTGATAAGTTCATAGTAAAATAAATGCTCCTATTATTGGGCATTAGTCAAGAATACAGTAAAAGAGTTTGAAAACAATACTTGTTGGTTAAATTAAGACATATTGAAATGGCATCATTGTCTGGAGTAAATACCCGAGGTTTCTCATCTGGCACTGAGAAGATTAAGGACATGGACACACACAAGGAGTGGGCGTAGGATCGCAGGTTTAATAGGCAAAAGAAAGAGAAAGGAGAACAGCTCTGTCTCTTGTGAGAGAGAGGGGCACCCAAAAGTGAATTCTGGCCCCGGCTGGGGTGCACTGGATTTTATAAACAGGCTTGAGGAAGCAGTGTCTGATTTACATAGGGCCCAAAGATTGATTGGACCAGGTGTGATATTTACATAATGTGCTAGGAAGCTGGCTGCCCCACCCTAATCTTATTATGCAAATGGGATCTTTGCCTGGCCAGCGCCATGTTGCCTTTTCCTTACTGTACACGTGGCTGGCAAAGAGAAGGGAAGATGGAGTTGCCATATGAACATGCCTAGTCCCAGGTAGCCTTTTCCTATTGGCACAACTGCTGCCATTCACCTTGCAAGCTTCCAACTTGCTTGTCTATGTTTACATCTCTGTTTTACAGGTTCCACTTTGTTAGAAAAAGAAATGATTTGGGGGCTCCTATTATTAAAAGGAAAACTTTACCAAGGACTCCTGTACCCTCATTATCTGCCTAAATAATTTCTTCTTAACTCGTGTATCAATATTAATATGTACTTTGGAATCAATCATTTGACTCAAAATGATTATACATTTATAGTTTAAAATAGAAAGTGAGTACAATGATAGCCAATAATGTCATTCATACATTCAAACAGTCATAGGTCACTTTTACAATAAAGTTATCTAACTTTCTCTATTATATGTAAGTACAAATGGATTTTCTGGGATATTGTGCATATTCGACTCTAGAAGGTTTCCTATATTATTTATCCCAATATACATTTATATCAACAGTTCCTTCTTAGGTGTTTTACATGTTAATGATTGGTGATGTCACATTTTAATATTTACAAATTGAGTGGCTATAAAATGTTTTACCATTGTAGTGTAAATTTGCATTTCCTTTATTACTAATTGGGTTTGGAATATATATTCACAGTTTAATTGGTATTTGATTGTTCTAATCTTTGAAAATGCAGGTTTTTTGACTTACCTTTTTGGGAGTTTTGGTATTTATTAGTTGGAGTCATCTTACTAATTCTGAATATAAAATCTCTTTTAATTATATGTAATCCAAATGCATTCTTTTTTGTGGCTAGTATTTTTCTTCCCTTTTTTGTGTATTATGAATATAAGTTGCTCGTTTTACTAAATAATCATCAATCTTTTCTTATGATGAATATTTTTTGTTTCTATTTAAAGGAATACTTCAAAAACACAGAGCCATTATACTATTTTTATTGTAAAAATTTACATGCTACCTTTTTTCATATTTTAAAATTGTGTGTTGATTTTATTCATGATAATAGCTATATTTTATTTTTAAATAAAATATGGCAAACTCAACATTTCCCTAACAATTTTTATAGTACCTTTCTCATACAGTATATGCTATATTGTATATTTTGTCCCCTCCCCTCCCCTCCCATCTTCTTTTTCTCTTTCACAGTGTGTCCCCTCCCCTCCCCTTCCCTCTTCTTTTTCTTTCTTTCTTTCTTTCTTTCTTTCTTTCTTTCTTTCTTTCTTTCTCTTTCTTTCTTTCTTTCTTTCTTTCCTTCCTTCCTTCCTTTCTTTCCTTCCTTCTTTCCTTCCTTCTCTCTTTCTTTCCTTCTTTTTCTTTCTTTCTTTCTCTTCCTCTCTCTTTTTTTTCTTTCTTCCTTTTTGTTCTCTTTTTTCTCTTCCTTTCTTTCCTTTCTTTCTCTTTCTTTTGTTTTTTCTCTTTCTTTCTTTCTGCTGTTAAGAGTGAACTACTTTTTTCCCCTTTCCTTTCCTTTCCGTTCTTTTCTTTCTTTCTCTTTCTTCTTTCTTTCTTTCTTTTTTTCCTTTCTTTCCTTCTTTCTTTCTTTCTTTCTCCTTCCTTCCTTTCTTTTTTCTTTCTTCTGGCTAATAATATGCTTTGATTGAATATGCAATTTCTCCTGGTATCAAACAACTCAATCAAGGTTTATGCCTCTTGTTTTGGATTTGGAGTTGTTTGAAGAATCAACTACTTATTTTCTTTCTTTCTTTTTCTTTCTTTCTTTCTTTCTTTTCCTTTCTTTCCTTTCTTTTCTTTCTTTCTGTCTTTCTTTCTGTCTTTCCTTCCTTCCTTCATTCCTTTCTTTCTTTTTTTTCTTTTCTTTCCATTTTCTTCCTTTCTTCCTTCCTTTCCTTTCTTTATTTCTTTCACTATCCCAAGTGTGCCTGGCTCAAGTTATTCTTGAGAATGTTACTGTTTTACTCTTCATGCTAGACCCTGTACTTTAGTCAAGTTATTTAGCTACTTTATGGTGGTCATATAATTAACAAGTCTTAGCTTCATCTTCAGATTGCGATATCAACATTGTATTTTCAATGTACAGTCAATTGTCAGTGAATCACAGTACTTTTCAATTTAACAAAATCTAAATTCCTCATAACCATGTTGTGAAAATAAGCAGAAAAATTTAAATATACTTGTGCGAGTACAGTAGACAGATATTGGAGTGTGTCCTGCATGAGTGCAAACTGGCTGTGGTTTCCTTTAAAATAGTCACTTAAAGAAAACATTTGCCAAATACATCACAGAATATCAATTTTTCTGGACTTGTAAAACTTGAAATACTGGTGCCTTCTGAATGATTCTTCTGAAGTTAGAGTAGTCTGTCCTTATCTGTGGGAGACAAAAGCTGCATTAGTCCCTCTTATCCACGTGGGGTATGTTCCAAGCCCCCCAGCAGATGCCTGAAATAGTTAATACTATAAAACCCAAGTAAGCTACATTTTTCCATCTGATAACTGTGAAGACTACTAAGTGACTAACAGGCGGGAAGTATAAAATGTGTCTACACTAGACAAAGGGAGGATTCATGCCCTGGGCAGGATAGAGTTGAATGGCAAAGGATTTCATCACACTACCTAGAATATTTTTTTTTATTGCTAAGTATTATTCCATTGTATCATAGGTCACAGACTGTTAATCCATTCACTTGTTGAAAGGCATTTGCATAGTTTTTGGCATTTGTGAATCATGCTGGTAAGAAAAATATTCACCTACAGTTTTTATATAAACACAAATTTATTCCTCATGGCTTCATATCTAGGAGTGGCTTTGTTGGATAAATGGCATGTCTCTGTGTGTGCTTTTTTTATTACTATACTTTAAGTTCTGGTTTATATGTGCAGAATCTGCAGATTTGTTACATAGGTATATATACATGTGCCATAGTGGTTTGCTGCACCCATCAACCCATAATCTAGGTTGTAAGCTCCACATGCATTAGCTATTTGTCCTAATGTTATCTCTCCCCTTGCCTCCCATGTCCCAACAGGCCCCAGTGTGTGATGTTCCTCTCCCTGTGTCCATGTGTTCTCATTGTTCAACTCCCCCTTATGAGTGAGAACATGCAGCATTTGGCTTTCTGTTCCTGTGTTAGTGTGCTGAAGATGATGGTTTCCAGCTTCATCCATGCCCTGCAAGGGACGTGAACTCATTCTTTTTTATGGCTGCATGGTATTCTATGGTGTATATTTGCCACATTTTCTTTATCCAGTCTATCATTGATGGGCATTTAGGTTGGTTCCAAGTCTTTGCTGTTGTAAATAGTGCTGCAATAAACATGCGTGCATGTATCTTTATAGTAGAATGATTTATAACACTTTGTGTATATATTCAGTAATGGGATTGGTGGGTCAAATGGTATTTCTGGTTCTGGATGCTTGAGGAATCGCCACTCTGTCTTCCACAATGGTTGAACTAATTTGCACTCCCACAGACAGTGTAAAAGTATTCCTATCTCTCCACACCCTCGACAGCATGTGTTGTTTACAGACGTTTTTACAATCACCATTCTAACTAGTGTGAGATGGTATCTCATTGTGGTTTTGATTTGCATTTCTCTAATGACCAGTGATGATGAGCTCTTTTTCATGTATTTGTTGGCTGCATAAATGTCTTCTTTTGAGAACTATCTGTTCATATCCTTGACTACTTTTTGATGGGGTTGTTTTTTTCTTATAAATCTGTTTAAGGTCCTTGTAGATTCTGGATATTAGCCCTTTGTCAGATGGATAGATTGCAAAAATTTTCTCCCATCCTGTAGATTGCCTGTTCACTCTGATGATGGTTTTTTGTTTTTTTCTTTTTGTGCTGTGCAGAAGTTCTTTAGTTTAATTAGATCCTATTTGTCAATTTTGGCTTGTGCAGCAATTGCTTTTGGTGTTTTAGTCATGAAGTCTTTGCCTGTGCCTATGGCCTGAATGGTACTGCCTAGGTTTTCTTCTAGGGGTTTTATGGTTTTAGGTCTTAAAACCACCTTGTGTTAATTTTTGTATTAGGTGTAAGGAAGGGGCCCAGTTTCAATTTTCTGCATATGGCTAGCCAATTTTCCTAACACCATTTATCCAACAGGGAATCCTTTCAACATGGCTTGTTTTTGTCAGGTTTGTCAAAGTTCAGATCGTTGTAGATGTGTGGTGTTATTTCTGAGGCCTCTGTTCTGTTCCATTGGTCTATATATTTGTTTTGGTACCAGTACCATGTTGTTTTAGTTACTGTAGCCTTGTAGTATAGTTTGAAGCCAGGTAGCATGATGTTTTCAGCTTTGTGCTTTTTGCTTAGGATTGTCTTGGCTATATGGGATCTTTTTTGGTTCCATATGAAATTTAAAGTAGTTCCTTCTAGTTCTGTGAAGAAAGTTAATGATACCTTGATGGGAATAGCTTTGAATCTATAAATTACTTTGGGCAGTATAGCCATTTTCACGATATTGATTTTTGCTATCCATGAGGATGGAATGTTTTCTCATTTGTTTGTGTCCTCTCTAATTTCCTTGATCAGTGGTTTGTAGTCCCCCTTGAAGAGGTCCTTCACATCCTGTGTAAGTTGTATTCCTTGGTATTTTATTTTCTTTGTAACAATTGTGAATGGAAATTCACTCATGATTTGACTCTCTGTTTGTCTATTATTGGTGTATAGGAATGCTCGTGATTTTTGCACGTTGATTTTGTATCCTGAGACTTTGCTGAAGTTGCTTAAGAACTTAAAGAATTTTTGGGCTGAGACGATCGGGTTTTCTAAATGTAGAATCATGTCATCTGCAAACAGAGACAATTTGACTTCCTTTCTTCCTATTTGAATACGTTTTATTTCTTTCTTTTGCCTGATTGCCCAGGCCAGAATTTCCAATACTATATCAATACTAGACAGATCGGCAAGACAGAAAATTATCAAGGATATTCAGGACTTGAACTCAGCTTTGGACCAGGTGGACCTAATAGACATCTAGAGAACTCTCCACCCCAAATCAACAGAATATACATTCTTCTCAGCACTACATAGCACTTATTCTAAAATCAACCTCCTAATTGGAAGTAAAAAACTCCTCAGCAAATGCAAAAGAAAGGAAATCATAACAAACCTTCTCTCAGACCACAGTGCAATAAAATTAGAACACAGGATTAAGAAACTTACTCAAAACCACACAACTACATGGAAACTGAACAACCTGCTCCTGAATAACTACTGGGTAAATAACAAAATTAAGGCAGAAGTAAATAAGTTCCTTGAAACCAGTGAGAAGGAAGACACAACATACCTGAATCTCTGGGACACAGCAAAAGCAGTGTTTAGAGAGCAATTTACAGCACTAAATGCCACATCAGAAAGTTGGAACGTTCGAAAATCGACCCCTAACATCACAATTAAAAGAACTAGAGAAGCAAGAGCAAACAAATTCAAAAGCTAGCAGAAGATAAGAAGTAACTAAGAACAGTGCAGACCTGAAGGAGATAGAGACACAAAAAACCCTTCAAAAATCAATGCATCCAGGAGCTGGTTTTTTGAAGATTAACACAATAGATAGACCACTAGCCATACCAAAAAAGAAAAAAAGAGAGAAGAATCAAATAGACACAATAAAAAATGATAAAGAGGATATCACCACTGATTCCACAGAAATACAAACTACCATCAGAGAATATTATAAACACCTCTACACAAATAAACTAGAAAATCTGGAAGAAATGGATAAGTTCCTGGACACATACACCCTCCCAAGACTAAACCAGGAGGAAGTCGAATCCTTGAATAGCCCAACAACAAGTTCTAAATCTGAAGCAGTAATTAATAGCCTACCAACCGAAAATAGCCCAGGTCCAGATGGATTCACAGACAAATTCTATCGGAGGTACAAAGAGGAGCTGGTACCATTCCTTCTGAAACTAATCCAAACAATAGAAAAAGAAGGATTCCTCCTTATTTTATGAGGCCACCATCATCCTGATACCAAAACCTGACAGAGACACAACAGAAAAAGAAACTTTTAGGCCAATATCCCTGATGAACATCGATGCGAAAATCCTCAATAAAATACTGGCAAACTGAATCCAGCAGCACATCAAAAAGCTTGTCCACCACGATCATCCTTGGGATGCAAACTGGCTTTATCCCTGGGATGCAAACTGGTTCAACATGCAAATCAATAAATGTAATCCACCGCATAAATCAAACCCATGACAAAACCACATGATTATCTCAATAGATACAGAAAAGGCTTTCGATAAAATTCAACACCACTTCATGCTAAAAACACTCAATAAACTAGGTATGGATGAAACATATCTCAAAATAGTAAGAGCTATTTATGACAAACCCATAGCCAATATCATACTGAATGTGTGTGTTTATTTTTATAAGAAATAGACAAACTGTTTTCCTGAGTGATCATATATTCTACCTTCACATACTCAGTGTATGCGAGTTCCAATTGTTCTACAACCTCACCAGCCTTTGAGATAGTGGTTGTTTTTCCATTAAGTTATCCATTCTAATATGCGTGTAATGGTATCACATTCCCTAGTGACTAATGCTGCTGAGCATTTTCTTTGTACTTATTTACCATCTATGTACCTCCTTTAGTGAGGTACCTCCTTTAGTCCAAATTTTTTGCCCATTTTTCATTGGGTTGTTTGATTCTTTACTGAATTTTGAGACAACTTAATATATTGTGGCTACAAGTCCTTCACTGAGTAAATATTTTAGAAATATTTTTCTTGCATCTCTAGCTTTACTTTTATTTCTCTTAGCAGTCTCTTTCAATGAGCAAATGCATTTAATTTTGATGTTATCCAGTATATCAAATATTTCATTTATGGATTATGCTCTTTGTACCATCTAAAATTTCCTTGGCCTAAACCAAGGCCATGTACAGTTCTAGAAGTTAACATTTTACACATAGTTATATGATCGTTTTGAGTTAATTTTTGTATGAGGTATGAGAAATATGTTGAGGGTTTTTATTTTGCATTTGGATGCCTTACTATTCCAGTATCCCTTGTTTAAAGGATTGTGTTTTCTTTATTGAATTGCCTTTGCTCCACTATTAAATTGGAAACATCTTCAAGAAAATCTTGTAAAAACAGTTAAAGAGGAAAAAGTGAAATTCAATTAGGCTTGTTGGACAATCCATGGTAGTCATTAGGCTAGCTTTCCCACTGGCCCATTTCCTTATAGCTTGTCACTGATTACTAGTACAGGATAACATAATCTTTGTCACTAGAATCTTTGTTCCTTTTCTGTTCTTTAGATAAAATGTAAGACACTACGCGATGACAATCTTGCCATTTGAGTTTCTCCTTTAGGTTCTGCATACTAACAAAACTACTGATGCCAGCCATTCTGAAAGTCTTGGCAAGAAACTCACTTAGGGAGGACTGTAGTTTCCATATCCTGATGATTTCAGTCCCTGACCTGAATCAATTGATGACCTCAATTTCCAGCCCCTCACCCTTCAAAGACTCTTGCCCAGAAACCCTTAATGAAATGGGTTTGAGTTTTGAGAATTCTTCCCAAGTCCTTGCTTGGTGACCTTGCAATTAGTAAGTTCTTTCTCTGTTGCAAACCCCACAGTCTCGGTGTATTGTTCTGTAGCTGTGCAGCCGGCATAGAAACCTGACAGTCTTGTAAAAATTCATGGCAAGTGGCCAGGTATGGTGGCTCACACCTATAATCCCAGCACTGTGGAAGGCCAAGGCGGGCAGATCACTTGAGGTCAGGAATTCAAGACCAGCCTGGCTAACATGGTGAAACCCTGTCTCTACTAGAAATACAAAAATGTATCTAGGCATGATGGCATATGCCTGTAATCCCAGCTTCTCAGGAGGCTGAGGCTGGAGAATTACTTGAACCTGGGAGGCGGAGGTTGCAGTGAGTTGAGATCGTGCCACTGCACTCCAGCCAGGGAGACAGAGTGAGACTCCGGCTCAAAAAATAAATAAATAAATAAAAATCATGGCAAGTCACTCTCCTTGTGGTTATTTATCTACAGTCCAGTGCCCCCCATGCCACTGGGGCTGACCCACAGACAAGCCCAGGCAGCTGCTTAGCTATGATGAACTAAGGGCCTTTGCTGGGGCCTTCTGTGTTGGCAGGGCAGTGCTGACTTTCAGCACATAAACTTGTCTGCAGCAGAGAAACCATTTGTGGTCTCAGAAGAAGTCTCAGGTGAGTTTTCTCAGAGCAGCTGGCACCCCATTTCCTTCTGTTTTTTTTTTTGTTGTTGTTGTTGTTTGTTTTTGTTTTTTCATCTTAGAGGCCTTGTGACCTATTTTGAGGTCTTGTTGATCCTCCCTAAGTCATAGGTAGGGCCTTATTTGAGGAGACCTCCCCTCAGATGGAAGGAGACTAGAGGGCATTGCTTGGGAGAAATGCTCTTGGATTTTGGAATCTGAAACTTTATATTTAAAGGTCTTTTGTTTGTGTTTGTCTTGTTATAGGTATTTATGTTTGTGGAGGTGTTCTCTGAAGAAATTACTAGTGGAAGAAATTACTAACTCAGGAAACTCTTCTTGTTTGTCTGGTCATTTATATTCACTTAGTCCTGAAGGAGTTGCTAGTGGAATCTCAGCAAGTCTAACTCAGGGTAACCGTCTGCTCTTCAATCCTTCCCAGAGTCCACCCACTGAACTCCTGACTGAAGGTCATCCCTCTCCAACTTGAGTAGATCAAATATGATGAGGGCTAATGGAACCAAGTTTGAGCCTTGCCAGGTCAATACTTGGGTTCTGAGTACGGTGACTAGTATCTGTGTTTGGTTACATGTATATAATTCCAGCCAGAATGGGAAATGTTAATTCAGTTCCTCCCTGCAGCCCAGTGAGGGCTGGTGGCTTTGAGATTATTACTCTTTCTCTGCTGCAAATCCCACTGTCTCAGTGTATTGTTCTGTTGCTGTGCTGCAGGCATACAAATCTGACAGTCTTGTAACTATTTGTGGCAAGCCAGGTCGAGGTTACTCTCCTTGAGGGCATTTACTCACAGCCTAGTGCCCCCTTGCCACTGGAGCAGACCCAGAGACAAGCACTAGCAGCTGCTTAGTAGTTCTGATGAACTAATGGCTGTCCTTTAGTTCTCCCCATGTAACCCACACTGTAATTTTGATGGGCTGCATCTTCCAAAATTGAAAAGCCTTTGTCTATCATTCCATAAAGCAAAACAAGATTATCTTATTTTTTAACATGGCTTGACCTCAATACCCATGGGGTTTGGGAGAACAGTGGCCACTGCATGGTTCTCATACATACAGTACCATCCTGTAGCTAGATTTGTTATGTATGAAGGAAGAGAAATGGGATAAAATCCCTTATGTATAATGTTTTATGTTGCTTTGGTAAAGTAGATCAATGTAGAAAAAACGGAAAAATTATGAATTAGCAAGAAATTAAAACCTGTTTGGATTGATTTACAAGAGAAAGAACTTATGGAGGAGCTGCAGCAGCACTACTGGCACCTAAGCCAGAGTCCCCACCACCAAAAAGTCACAAACCCAGAGCAACAGGAATTTTTTTTTTTTTTTTGATGGAGTCTTGCTCTGTCGCCCAGGCTGGAGTGCAGTGGCACGATCTTGCTCACTACAACCTCAACTGCCTGTGTTCAAGAGATTCTCCTACCTCAGCTTCCTGAGCAGCTGGGACTACAGACACGTGCCACCAAGCCCAGCTCATTTTTGTATTTTTAGTAGAGATGGGGTTTCACCATACTGGCGAGCCTGGTCTCGAACTCCTGACCTCAGGTGAACCACCCCCGCCTTGGCCTCCCAAAGTGCTGGGATTACAAGCGTGAGCCACCGTGCCCGGCCTTTATCTCTGCTTCTTCTACCCAACAGGTGACTCCTTTTAGCTAGGGTATCACTTATACCTAACAGGGGACTCAATTTAGCCAGGATTTCACTCTGGCTCTGAAAGGCAGTTTCCCCTATAACAACTACCTATAGGAGGTGATGCTGCCACAGCCCAGCCTATAGGATTTATGTGGGTTTATTCTCTGTTCTCCACTACCCACCTATTTAATTAGAAAAATAATATGCCTATTTATTGAGAAGATCTAAAGTTTATGGAAGAAAAAGGATAAAAAAAAAATCCAAAGCATATGGAGAATCTATTCTCCTCTGTATTTGCCACCCACAATCCTACCTGAGCAGATACCTAAAATTTGCTCAATATTTTGTTGAGTTCAGAGAAGCAAAGAATGGTTTTAGAAAAAGCTAAGGAAAAGGCTGATCTTATTCACACTGACTCTCCCAGTAATCCAGTAAGGGCAGCAGTAAGGGCAGCTGCTCAGATTGCAGTTCCCACCTCTGTCCTGGGATAGAATATAAACACTGGAGATAGATCTAACCTCGAACACTATCAAAACTGCATTTTGGCCAGCCTCTGCAAGGGAGTGCCCAAGGAAAGCGGCCTCAGTAAGGTCCAGGAGATCAAGCAGAAGCCTAATGAGTGTGCCTTTGGAATTTTTAGAACAAGTCTTTGAAGCTTTCAGACAATAAATGGATATTGACTCAGAAGCCTCAGAAAATTTAAAGTTAGCTAATACGATGTTTATCCAACAAAGTACCCCAGCTATGCAGGGAAAGTTACAAAATGTAGATGAGGCTTTGGACATGTTTATGTCTCAATTAGTGAAGATTGTTTTTAATGTATTTACTGATCACAATTTTAAATAGTGAAAAATAAAAACACAAGGAATAATGAAGAGAAAAGCTGACTTGTTAGCTGTGGCTCTGAACCTAGTAGTCCCTGGACCACAACAAGGGCCCTCATCAGATGCTCCATCTAAGGTAGGACCACCTGGGCCCCCAAAAGCCAAAAAAAAGGGACATCCCATTGCAGGTCCCAAGCAGTGTGCTTACTGCAACAGGGGGGACACTGAAAGGAAAATTGCCCATGCCTTACAAAGCCTGATGTTAAACACAGTCAGTCTTCTGCCCACCAAATGCCTGGGATAGCTGGGGAGCTTGAGAGAGATACTGAAGAAAAAGACCAGAAATGATGGCACCCAGGGGCTTATCCTGACTCAAACAACACCCTCCATATTTCCCACATGGGGCTTGAGATCCTGATGATGGTGAGAAATCAGCTTCTGGACTTTCTAGTAGACATGGTGCCACCTATTTGGTGTTAAATATCTGGTTGTCTAAACTTTCCTCAGAAACTATGAAGGTGACTGAAATCTCAGGAAAAATACTGATGAGATCATTCCTCCCAATTTTGGATTCTCAGCTAGAGCAAGGTAATTTAAAGCAGTTTTTCTATACATGTGTGAATGTCCCATCCCTTTGTTGGGGCAAGTCCTCTTAACCAAACTAAATGCTAAGATTACTTTTTCTCTGAGATGATTGGACATCCAGGTGCCTTCAGACCAAGCATGTGCTCTGCAGGCCACATTATTACAACTGGAAGTCCTTGAAAGTGCCCTCATCCCTGAAGAGATACTCCAAAATGTTAGTCCGGGAGCATGGGAAATGGAAGGCCAGGGAAAACAAAAACTGCATCTCCAGTACAAGTCAAGTTTTGTGCAGGAGTAGCGCTGCCAAATCTAAAACAGTATCCTTTGAGAGAAAAGGCACAGCAATGCATTTAGCCTCTGCTAATGGCCTTCCTGCAATACAGGAAGACTTCATCATTCCCCATGTAATGTCCTAAAGACACAGTCCTGGGTCAATTGAAGGGTGGCATGCCTGCCATACTGTGTGGTATCATGTACGTGTTTGATGATATCTGTCGTGAGATACTTGGGTACCAGAACCTTTTCTTCTGTGTTACATATCTACTCAGGAATATTGATTCGTACAGGATTTGAGGGCTACTAGCCAAATTTTCAAAGTCATTTATCTGGTGGTACCCAATGCTTATACATTATTCATGACTTTAACCAGTGAGTTGTACTGGTGTTCAGTCTTGGATTTGAAAGATGCCTTCATCTGTATTCCTCTGAGTCCAGAGTCCCATGAAGTGTTTGCCTTTGAATACGAAGACACTGACACTAAAGCAAACCAACAGTATTGCTGGACAATGCTTCCTCAAGGCTTCAAAAACTCACTAATTGGTTGGGAGGAAATACGTGCTAAGGAGTTTGGGACCTTCGATTGAAAAATGGGACTTTGTTTATTTATGTTGATGACATATCCATAGCCCCCAAAACTAAGGCAAACTGACCAGAATACTATACTGACTTTACATTTCTTGTCTGAATTGGGATCCAAGGTATCCAAGAAAAAGGCACAAATCTTGAAACCCTCAGTTACATATCTTGGATTTGAACTTTCTCAGGAGCAGAGCAATCTGCTTTCGGACTGCAGAGAAGCTCTTGTCAGGGTGGCCAGACTCAGGACATGGCAGCAGCTGTGAGGGGTTTTTAGGTATGGCTGGATGTTGCCTTATTTGATTTTCTTATTTTGGGCTTATAGCAAAATCTCCCTATAAAGCCCTAAGACCAGACAGTTGACTTCTGGAATGGACCAAGGAATGTCAAAAGGCCTTTCTAACCATTAAATAAAAATTGTTAATGGCTCTGGCTACTGGTACCCCCTGAACTAAGAAAGCCATTTAATTTGTTCATATGTGAGAGAGAAGGGGTGAGTTTAGGAGTACTAACCCAAGACTTGGGGAATATCATGAGGCCTGTAGCCTACTTTTCAAAACAGCTGGACATTGTCCAAAACTGGGTTGGACTTCTTGCCTCTGAGCCATTGGTACCACTTGTGATCTTCTCCAGGAGGCAGAAGAGTTCACTTTGGGTTAACCTAGCACAGTACACACCCCACACTATGTATGCTCTTTGTCAGAGCAGAAGTGGATCTACTGACTTAATTCTAGAAGACTGAATAGATATCAGGCCATCTTCCTGCATAATCCCAGTGTTACTCTGAGAGCTGTTTCTACTCTAAATCCTGCTAACTAAATCTATACATGATTGCTTATAAAGTATTGAGCAAGTTTATTCTATTCAACCAGACTTGACCAAAATTCCCTTTAAAAACCTGGACTTAGAAATATTCACTGAGGAAAGCAGCTTTATGAACCACAGACAACAGAAGGCTGAGTATGCTATGGTAACCCTGTGACAGATCCTAGATGCAGAGACACTCACTCTGGGTTCATCAGCACAAAAGGCAGAACTTAGAGTCCTAAACAGGGCATCCCAACTATGTAAAGACTCCTGAGTCACCATTTGCTCTTATTCCAGGTATACTTTTATTGTTGTCCATGCTTATGGGGCTACTGGAAAGAAAGGGGATTCTTAACCTTTGGTGATTAAAAAAAATGATTAAGCATGCTAAAGAATCTTAGCCTGACTAAAGACAGTCTTGGTACCCAAGAAAGTAGCTATACTACACCACCCTGGACATCAGTGGATGGACAATTTGGTAGCAAGAAAAAAAATCACTAGGCAGACCAGGCCACTAAAGGGATGACCAGAGAAAAAATACCCAAAGCCTTGCTAATGCCATTAATCCCTGAAATAAACTTCAGCCTAAAATCTATATCTATTTGGAAGAAGATCTAAAAGCACTTGATTGAGGCTTTGACTCCAATCAAAGAACCCAAAATGAGTAGATATGTAACACAGAAGAAAAGGTTCTTGTACCCAAGTATCTTACCACAGATATCATCAAACACATACATGATACCACGTAGTATGACAGGCATGCCACCCTTCAATTGATCCAGGACTACGTCTTTGGGACACACTTAAAGAAGGCTATCCAACAAATAATTCTAAAATACCTACTTTGTGCCCAGAACAATCTTAAGACTGGTCCTCCACCCCCAGTTCCAGGGATTCAAGCAAGAGGTGCAGGACAAATAGAGGACTGGCAAATTGATTTTAACGTGATGCCAAGGGTAGCAGGAAATTTTAAATACTTGCTGATATTTGTAGATACATTTTCAAGATAAATGAAAGCATTCCCCTGCAAGACCAAGAGAATGTATGAGGTTATAAAAGACTTGTTAGAGAAGATTACCCTCAGGTTTAGATGGCCTGTCTTCATCCAGTGTGACTATAGTGCAACTTTTGTAGCCTAGGACACCATATATTCCAGGCCCTCAGCATAATCTGGAATCTTCATACAGCCTGGAGACTGAAGTCTACTGAGAAAACTGAAAAGTTAAATCATACTATAAAAAACAAAACAAACTTTTGCTAAGATTTGCCAAGAAACTAACAACCTGGAATAAAATTCTGTCCTTCTCCCTGCTCAGAGTAAGGGTGGTCCCTAAAAGTGGGCTTAAATAAGCCCTTTATAAATTTTATATGGGAGATTATTCTGTTCTCTTCTCAGACTAAGGAATGCCAATAATATACACATAAAGAAATTAGATATTATCAAATATATACAATCTTTAGGTCACACTTTAATTACTATTCATGAGTTTGTGGTTCCAGCAGATTGTGGTATCCAACTGACATTCTCTTGCGTCGCATCCAACCAAGAGACTGGATTCTGCTCAAGACCAGGAAAAGTCAACATCCTGAGGACCACTTGAAAACACAGTGAAAGAGGCCATACAATGCATGACTGGTGACTCATTCCTCTGTTCGGGTGAAGGACTTAGACCCTGGATTCACCACAGCCATATAAAACCCACCCCGCCAGACTCTAGTGCTATCAAGAAATGTAGAAAGGCCAACCCTATCTGAATGGATAAGTACATCTTTGATGGGCCTCAAATATCTTTTGAAGAAAAATATCATATAAATAACAAACTTAAAGAAAATTAGACAAAACACATGTCCTCTTGACAACTACAATAGTTACTTTGAGCATAATAGGAATTTTTGTTATAATTATTTTACATAAAAAGGTGAGATACCTTCCTGTCTATTCCGTGCCTTACTGAATGCTTAACCCATAGATTTACCTGGTCATTATAATTGCCTTGGTCATTACAATTGCTACACTTATAGATTTTACTTCACAATTGCCTTGGTCATTACAATTGCTAGACTTACAGATTTTCCAGACATCCTATACCATGCTGACTTAGTCTCCTGCCTCCCATTATTTGGACATTCTAAAATTTAGAAATGGTCACTCTTGTTTTAAAACTTCTAATAAATTTCCTTTTACTGCAATGCCTAGACAGGGATAACAACACTGTAGTTAAACTGCTTCAAGGTATTGCCACTGGAAGAAACCTACCAGAATGATGGATCTGTCAGTAACTCCCTCAAACGATTCAAAATAAGCATTTTCTGTTAGTCATACTTGTAACTGACTTTCTGTCCCAAATACGACTACCTATCTGCAACAGCTTCTTTCCATGGCTAATTTCCAGGTCCAACTGGTAGTACACCAAGAAATCACCACCCCACATCTCAATCTCTCTCTGTATATCATAAATGGAAAGTCATTCCATAACATAGGCCCTCCATGGCCCATGGCATAATGGGTAGACAAATGCAGCCAGGAGAAGGGAAATAAAATTAAAAGTTTCTCTTTGCTGTGCCAAAAATATTTACAGTGGGGAATATCACACAAATTTTGGGGAGCCTGTAGAAAAAGATCCACAGTTCAATTCCATTTGTCTATATTCCCCATGAAAAAAAACCATCAATACATGCATCTTTGAGGGCTTCACTTGTGTGTCCCCTTGGCAAATGTTTATTTGTGACACAGGATCAGAACCTCCTCTGTTAGGACAAGCTCACTGGTGTCTCAATAACCTGTATATTGAGGGCTCTTACTTATTGGGACACTGGTCAGTCCATCCTAATGACTAAAGATTCTGCCCATTTTCCCACGGACTCCAAAAGCCACTGCCAGGCATATATCAATATATCCGGTGACAGGGCCTTCTTGGGCATCACAATTCCTAGCTATGAAGTATACACTAACTGGGTCATGATCAGAAACTTACCGGCAACTTTAGAAATAATTGCAAAAGAGGCTGCTAAGAACATTAAGGCTGAGAAAACTCTTTAAATTTACTTACCCAGATAGTTCTTAACAATGGAGCTGCACTTGATTTTCTCTTGGCTTTACCGAGGGGAGTCTGTACAGTGATCAATACCACCTGTTATACTTATATCAATGCTTCTGGTAAAATAAAAACCAAGCTAAAGAAAATATTTCAGCAGTCTCGCTGGAGACCATATGTCTACACCACAGACCCTAAGTCTGACTAGCTTTTTGAGCTTTTCCCCTCGATACTCCACGTTTTCCAGTCCATTTTCCAAGGGCTCTTAAAGTTCAAGCTCACAATTCTGTTTATAGGGCTTACAGTTTACATCATAGGCTGCTATTCAATTAAATATTACAATAAAACCATAGACTGAAGTACTAACATGTTCATGCAGCACCTTCAGCTGGGTGTAACGACTTGCAGGTTGTTACAATACGGTTTCATTCCTCTAATCCCGACTCATTCTCTGACTGTGCCCCTTGTCAGCAAAAAGAAGCTAGAGTCGTCATTGCCTGTTTCCCACCATATTAGCTGTTACACCTCAAGATTAAGAAGGGATCAAGCCTGGGAGGAACTGAAACTGTCCCTAAGAAAATTACATAAAATTGATTAAGGGGGGAAAATTCATCTACGCTTTCAGGACAAGCAGCAGTAATCATTAGGCCAGCTTTCCCTTTGTCCTACGTCTTTGTAGCTGGTCATGGATTACTACCACCCTAGGATAATGTAGCCCTTGTCACAAGACCTTTTGGTCCTTTTCTTTTCTACAGATAAAATCTAAGACATTGTGAGACTATAATCTTTCTGCATGAGTTTCTCCTTTAGGTTCGGCATACCAAAAAACCTATCAACATACTCGTCAACAAGGCAAAACCACATTTTCACAAAAAATTAAAGAAATTAGGCCAGGCATCATGGCACAGGTCTGTAGTACCAGCTGCTCAGGAGATCTGAGGTGGGAGGACCACTTGAGCCTGGGAGGCAGAAGTTGCAGTGAGCTGAGGTCACGCTACTGCAGTGAGGTCACGCTACTGAAATCCAGTTGGGCAACAGAGCAAGACCATGTCTCAAAAACAAAAAACAAATATACATACACACACACACACACACACACACACACACATCAGCTGGTCTAAAGAGCCCAGCAAAAAGCTGACTCAGGAAATAATGCAGGTTCCACATCCCACATCCCGGTGACTTCATCCCCCTTACCCTGACCAATTGACAACCCAAATTTTCTAGCCCCTCACCCTCCATGATCCCCTTAAAGTCCCTTGCCCAGAACCCCTTCACAGAACAGATTTGGGGCTTGAGAATCCTCCCATTTCCTTGTTTGGTGCCCTTGCATTGATTAAAGTTTTTCTTTGCTGCAAACTCTACTGTCTCAGTGTATTGGTCTATTGCTAGACAGTGGGCATGTGAACCTGATAGTGTTATAACAAAATAGAATAGAAGCTATTTACAAAATCGATCCATGCATGTGAGTCTATTTCTGGACACCATTTTCTCTTCTATTCTTCTGTGTGTTTATCCTTTCACCAGTGTCAGGAGATCCTTTTACTCACTGTAGCTTTTTCTAAGTCTTAAAATTTGGTAATGTGAGCTTTTCAACTTCTCTTATCTTTTGAAGAATTGTGTAGCTATTTTAGTCCCTTTGCCTTTCTGTATGACTTTAGAATCAGCATGTCCATATGTGTAAAACATTGTGCTTGGTTATTCACTAGAAATGGGACACACTCATAGATGAATCTGGGGAGAACTGACATGTAACAGTATTAAATTGTTCAGTCCAGGCCGACCGCGGTGGCTCACGCCTGTAATCCTAGCACTTTGGGAGGCTGAGTCGGGTGGATCACGAGGTCAGGAGATCGATCGAGACCATTCTGGCTAACTTGGTGAAACCCCATCTCTACTAAAAATACAAAAAATTAGCCAGGGGTAGTGGCGGGCGCCTGTAGTCCCAGCTACTCGGGAGGCTGAGGCAGGAGAATGGCGTGAACCCGAGAGGCGGAGCTTGCAGTGAGCCGAGATTGCGCCACTGCACTCCACCCTGGGCGACAGAGCGAGACTCTGCCTCAAAAAAAAAAAAAAAAAAATTCAGTCCATGAGCATTATATATCCTTTGATTTAGTAAGATCATACATTCTTACACTAGTTTTTTTTGTGTGATTTTCAGCATACAGATCCTGTATTTTATTAGATTTATCACTAAATATTTTGTTTTTCATGCTTCAGCTACAAATTCAATTTGTTTAATAGATATAATTTATTAATGCTACCTAATCCTTCTTCAGTGAGCTGTGACAGTTTGTGGCTTTAGTAAGTTTCTAGTTCATTCAAGTTATTGAATTTATTGACATGGCATTATTCAGAATATTTCTTTATTTTTCTTTTAATATATGTAAAAACCATAATGATGTCATTTCTGTCATTGCTGTTATAAGCAATTTGTGTCATCTTTTTTTCTGATTCAGTCTGTCTAAGGTTTCTCAATTATAGAGATCTAAAATAACAAGCTTTTGGTTTCCTTGTTTATATACATATTTACTTATTATTTCATCTCTGATCTTTATTGTATTATTTCTTCTGCTTACTTTGAGATTAATTTTTTCTACTTTTTCTAATATCTAATGGTAGAGGCTAAGGTTACTGAAGTGGAACACTGCCATTTTCTGTCCCAGGTATTTAGTGACACCAATTTATTTCATACTGCTCTAGTGTCATTCCACAACTTTTGATATGTAGTTTGGCTGGAGTAGGGAGTTTGGCTGGAGTAGGGTGAGTATACCATAAAAGATTTACTGTGTTTTTTGGAGGCAGGTGGGGAGAGGGAATTATTGCCAAAAGGTGGGTTATTTTATGTATTTATTTTTTTAACTCCACTCTGTATTTTAGCTAAGAGAAGCAGCTTTGGAACTTCTGAAGTCTGTACATCTCTGTGGCCCCCAAGGATTACTTGTTTTAAATTTTGTTTTAATAGTCTAAGTTTATCATGGGTCAACTTGATTCTTTCAAGGCTTATTTTTAAGCTTTTAAAAGGCTGGTTTAGCGGCTGCCTGGAGCGGAGCGCTGCGAGAGCTGCGCGGCGCGCCCAGGTTCCAGCCGGCTCCGCTCCGGGTCCCCCAGTGCTCGCTGGCTCCCCGCTTGAGCCAGCCCGCCCGCCCAGCGCTAGGGGCCAAGGAGCGAACCGCACCTGCGATCCGATTGTCCGGGGCACGCCGTAGAGGATGGGAGGACCCATGAGGCGCTAGCCTGCGAAGGTGGCGGTGCTGCTGCTCCGGCTGCTCTTGGAGTTGCATGTACACGACGTGGCAGACTTTCCAATGGGAGGATTGTGGATTCTGATGACATAGGAAACTGCATCTTCCAGACATTGCCACAGAAAGCACACAGACTTTGGAAACCAGCAGACCTGAAGTCAAATGTCGACTTTCAGCTTGCTCCTGTGTCACCTTTGTAAGTTAATTCACCTCTCTGAGACTTTAGTTTGCTCATTTATAAACCACCTAACTCCCAGGGTTCTTATGATGTTAAGTGAGATTTCATATGAAAAGCACCTAGTGGATTACAGGCATTCCATGTATGGCAACTACTGTTTTTGCCTTCTGAATGAGCTGGAATTAAAAGAGTCTCTACATCATTGGACATTTAGGGAAATGCCAATTAAAATCACGATGAGCTACCAGTACAGCATCAGATGGCTAATATCAAAAAACAGATAATAAGTGTTAGTGACGATGTAGAGAGACCGGAGCCCTCTTACATTGTTGATGGGAATGTAAAGTAATGCAGCTGCCTTGGAAAACAGTTTGACAGTCTCTCAACAAGTTAGGTAAGGAGTTACCGTGTGACCTGGCAGTTCCACTCCAGGTCTTGGAGTGGTCTTGGAGTGGCATGTACCCATTCTGCTTTTCTTGGTATGTACCCAAGAAATTAAGACATTTGTCCATGCGAAGATCTGTATGCAAATGGATGTAGCAGCCTTATACATAATAGCCAAAATGCAGTATCAACCCAGATGCCCATGAGCTGGAGAATGGATAAACAAAATGTGGTGTCTTCATAGAATATTGCTCAACACTAGAAAGGAATGAATTTCTGGTATATGCAGCAACATACAATCCAGACATAAGAGACTATAAGTTGTATGATTTTCTTTAATTGAACCATATAGCAAAGGCAAGACTATGGATAAAGATACAAAGCAGATCAGTATTGCTTGCGGGCTGGGATAGGAGTTGGAATTGACTGCAGAACAACATGAGGGAACTCTGTGAAGTGAAGGAAGGGTTCTGAAGTTGGATTGGGGTGTTGGAGGCACAGCTGTATACATTTCCTAAAACACATCAAACTATACCTTGAAAATGGGTGGTTTTAGAGTGTATAAAGTAAACTGAGCTAGAACTTGGATCACCTGATCCAAGTATCATAAATTGTGATTTATATTGATAATTATGTTTAAAAGATACCATGGTTTTCAGAATGCTTGTGCTCAGTGGGCATGAGTAGGAGCTCCTGAGTGCCCGTGTGTGTTGGGTATTGCAGTTAATCCAGTCCTTTGCACTCATTGAGGACTCTTACGTGTCCCTTGTCTCTTGCCACAACAGCCTCTATCACCAGAAATGAAGGCTTCAGTAGAGAGATATTTTAAAAAGAAATCACACCATCCAAATACAACACTGTGAATTTAGGCTTATGCTGTTACATTCTTTCTCCTATGAATATGTTTATTTTTACGTTGTTGAAATTAAATATACATAATGTGTTTTAAATTAACTATATGCAATAAACATTTTCCAGGATGTTAAAAAAATAAAAATATATTGATTCTTCCTATCCAAGAGCATGGAATGTTCTTTCATTTGTTTGTGTCCTCTTTTATTTTGTTGAGCAGTGGTTTGTAGTTCTCCTTGAAGAGGTCTTTCACGTCCCTTGTAAGTTGGATTCCTAGGTATTTTATTCTCTTTGAAGCAATTGTGAATGGGAGTTCACTCATGATTTGGCTCTCTGTCTGTTATTGGTGTATAAGAATGCTTGTGATTTTTGCACATTGATTTTGTATCCTGAGACTTTGCTGAAGTTGTTTATCAACCTAAGGAGATTTTGGGCTGAGACGATGGGGTTTTCTAGATATACAATCATATCATCTGCAAACAGGGACAATTTGACTTCCTCTTTTCCTAATTGAATACCCTTGATTTCTTTCTCCTGCCTGATTGCCCTGGCCAGAACTTCCAACACTATGCTGAATAGGAGTGGTGAAAGAGGGCATTCCTGTCTTGTGCTGATTTTCAAAGGGAATGCTTCCAGTTTTTGCCCATTCAGTATGATATTGGCTGTGGGTTTGTCATGAATAGCTCTTACTATTTTTAGATACGTCCTATCAATACCTAATTTATTGAGAGTTTTTAGCATGAAGGGTTGTTGAATTTTGTCAAAGGCCTTTTCTGCATCTATGAGATAATCATGTGGTTTTTGTCTTTGGTTCTGTTTATATGATGGATTACGTTTATTGATTTGAGTATGTTGAACCAGCCTTGCATCCCAGGGATGAAGCCCACTTGATCATGGTGGATAAGCTTTTTGATGTGCTGCTGGATTCGGTTTGCCAGTATTTTATTGAGGATTTTTGCATGGATGTTCATCAGGGATATTGGTCTAAAATTCTCTTTTTTTGTTGTGTCTCTGCCAGGCTTTGGTACCAGGATGATGCGAGCCTCAAAAAATGAGTGAGGGAGGATTCCCTCTTTTTCTATTGATTGGAATAGTTTCAGAAGGAATGGTACCAGCTCCTCCTTGTACCTCTGGTAGAATTCGGCTGTGAATCTGTCTGGTCCTGGACTTTTTTTGGTTGGTAAGCTATTAATTATTGCCTCAATTTCAGAGCCTGTTATTGGCCTATTAAGACACTCAATTTCTTCCTGGTTTAGTCTTGGGAGGGTGTATGTGTGGAGGAATTTATCCATTTCTTCTAGATTTTCTAGTTTATTTGCGTAGAGGTGTTTATAGTATTCTCTGATGGTAGTTTCTATTTCTGTGGGATTGGTGGTGATATCCCCTTTATCATTTTTTATTGCATCTATTTGATTCTTCTCTCTTTTCTTCTTTATTAGTCTTGCTAGCGGTCTATCAATTTTCTTGATCTTTTCAAAAAACCAGCTCCTGGATTCATTGATTTTTTGAAGGGTTTTTTTGTGTCTCTATCTCCTTCAGTTCTGCTCTGATCTTAGTTATTTCTTGCCTTCTCCTAGCTTTTGAATGTGTTTGCTATTGCTTCTCTAATTCTTTTAATTGTGATGTTAGGGTGTCAATTTTAGATCTTTCCTGCTTTCTCTTGTGGGCATTTAGTGCTATAAATTTCCCTCTCCACTGCTTTAAATGTCTCCCAGAGATTCTGCTACATTGTGTCTTTGTTCTCGTTGGTGTCGAAGAACGTCTTTATTTCTGCCTTCATTTCATTATGTACCCAGTAGTCATTCAGGAGCAGGTTGTTCAGTTTCCATGTAGTTGAGCGGTTTTGAGTGAGTTTCTTAATCCTGAGTTCTAGTTTGATTGCACTGTGGTCTGAGAGACAGTTTGTTGTAATTTCAGTTCTTTTACATTTGCTGAGGAGTGCTTTACTTCCAACTATGTGGTCAATTTTGGAATAGGTGCAGTGTGGTGCTGAGGAGAATGTATATTCTGTTGATTTTGGCCATAATGCCCAAGGTAAATTATAGATTCAATGCCATCCCCATCAAGCTACCAATGACTTTCTTCACAGAATTGGAAAAAATTACTTTAAAGTTCACATGGAACCAAAAAAAATCCCGCATTTCCTAGTCAATCCTAAGACAAAAGAACAAAGCTGGAGGCATCACGCTACCTGACTTTAAACTATACTGCAATGCTACAGTAACCAAAACAGCATGGTACTGGTACCAAAACAGAGATACAGACCAATGGAACAGAACAGAGTCCTCAGAAATAATACCACACATCTACAACTATCTGATCTTTGGCAAACCTGACAAAAACAAGAAATGGGGGAAGGATTCCCTATTTAATAAATGGTGCTTGGAAAACTGGCTAGCCATATGTAGAAAGCTGAAACTGGATCCCTTCCTTACACCTTATACAAAAATTAATTCAAGATGGATTAAAGACTTAAATGTTAGACCTAAAAACCATAAAAACCCTAGAAGAAAACCTAGGCGATACCATTCAGGACATAGGCATGGGCAAGGACTTCATGTCTAAAACACCAAAAGCAATGGCAACAAAAGCCAAAATTGGCAAATGGGATCTAATTAAACTAAAGAGCTTCTGCACTGCAAAAGAAACTACAATCAGATTGAACAGGCAACCTACAGAATGGGAGAAAATTTTTGCAATCTACTCATCTGACAAAGGGCTAATATCCAGAATCTACAAAGAACTCAAACAAATTTACAAGAGAAAAACTACCCCATCGAAAAGTGGGCAAAGGATATGAACAGACACTTCTCAAAAGAAGACATTTATGCAGCCAACAGACACATGAAAAAATGCTCATCATCACTAGCCGTAAGAGAAATGCAAATCAAAACCACAATGAGATATCATCTCACACCAGTTAGAATGGGGATCTTTAAAAAGTCAGGAAATAACAGGTGCTGGAGAGGATGTGGAGAAATAGAAACACTTTTACACTGTTGGTGGGACTGTAAACTAGTTCAACAATTGTGGAGGACAGTGTGGTGATTCCTCAGGGATCTAGAACTAGAAATACCATTTGACCCAGCCATCCCATTATTGGGTATATACCCAAAGGTGTGAAGAGGGTATTATTGCCAAAATGTGGATTTTTTTTTTTTAACTACACTCTGTATTTTGGCTAAGAGAAGCAGCTTTGGAACTTCTCAAGTCTGTACATCTGTAAGACCCCAAGTATTACTTGTTTTAATTTTTTTTTTAAGTCTAAGTTTGTTATGGGTCAACTTAGTTCTTTCAAGGCTTATTTTTAAGCTTTTAAAAAGCTGGTTTAGGGAGGCTAGAACTGTGTCCCAGTTCTAGCCTCTGGGTAAACCGCAGAGATAGTTTGTTCAGAATATTAAGCTGCTTCTGATGTCTCTACTAAATGACCTAGATGTTCAAACGAGTCTTTCTACTCCGATTGATTCCATTTAAATGTCTCCCTGTGTTGTGTGTGCTCTGCGAATCCTTTACCTTTTTGTTCTCTGGTAGTGTTCTTCATCTGATAGGTATCCTTGGTCCATTCTTGGGGAGTTTTACTCTACTCTCCAGAGTGTCAATATTCATCCAAATAATCTAGGGAGTTGTTGTGGAAATTTGTAGAGCCCTTTCACTCCATAGTTTCTTCTTTTCTGACTCTCTTTCCTGCAGATTCTAGTGACCTCATCTTCTTTGGGAACATTGAGTTTTGTTTCTTCTACTCAGCAAGTCTGCCATTTTCTGCTTGAATTCTCCTTCTCCGTGCGGCTGTTTGGAAATTTTCTCCCAGCATAAAGTCACTTTGATGATGGAATTCATCTCATTGTCACTTTTTATCTGGAATTAGGTGCTTCCTGCTTTCCAATGTCTGAAAATGTTATTTTCATCTATTTGGTTCCATTTCCTTATTTGTGGCTGGAACTCTGTTTTACTTGATTATTCTTGCCTGAGCTTTTACCTTTTTAAATTGTCTCTACTGTTTGTTTTCTATTTGATTTCTACTTATATTTGAATTTGTTTCAAAATTTATACTCATGCTGTATTTTGTTTGCTTTCTTTGTTATAATTTATTATAAATAATAATTTATTTTCAGTTTTACTCTTTTCTTTTATAGCTATGTAATGATAAATTTCCCTCTAAGCACTATTTGAGTGTCATCTCACCAAGTTTTATTTAATATGTTTTTATTATCATTCAATTCAAAATATTTGATGTTTCCTCTTCCAATTTTCTCCTTATCCATGAGTTATTTATAAATGAAGCTGATTTCTGGGAGGCAACCTAGGAACCAACAGTAATTTCTATCATCAGTTTACAGAGACAGTAATGTCCACTCTTTCAAGTTAAGTACTACATAATTTGAAGAATCATCATTTTGGCCTTTCAAGATAAATAAATCTGTTACTGTCTCTCATCTTCTTTGAACTCCACATGTCCATTTACTTTGAAGCACACAGTAAGAATGGCATTTCAAATTCTTGGAGCCAAAGGCTATGACAATTATTTTGGCAGATTTTCTAAGATCATCACGGGATCTCAGACACTCCAATTGGTTAAATGAGTTTTGGAATTGCCTAAAAGATCTAAAATAGGCAAGATTAAAAAGTCTTAAGAAATAATACTCATTGTCTATTGAGTTCTGACATGCTGTAGAATTCCAAATCCATTAGACCAACAGATTTCCAATAATTTCTTAGAAATAATTGTAAGAGTCTTAAATAATGCCTTGTTTTAGAAAATGATGGAGAGTCTTGATGTAATGTCTTTGGCAACTCAGAACTTATTTTCTTTGACTTAAGTATCTGAATGCTTATGATTATCCAAGTTTTCAGTTACAAATCACTCATTATTTTTTATATTTGCATATTATTTACATTCTTATAAAATGTTATTGAACATATGCTTGTCTTTTTCTTATTCTCTTCCTTTTTAGAAACATGTTCCAAATCAAGTATCGATATTGAGAATGGGTTTATTTCTGAATCTCAGTATATATATGACTTACATAAACAAGCAAAATATCAATGCAAACTAGGATATATAACAGCAGATGGTGAAACATCAGGATCAATTACATGTCAGAAAAATGGATGGTCAGCTCAACCCACATGCGTTAGTAATTTATTATGTTTGTATTGATTATCCAGATGATACACAAAAGTTTACTAACTTTAGTCTTTTTATGGGGGCTGATATAATTTCATTTGAAAACATAAGAAAAAAACTTTGAGGAACAAAGCAGACATCAATTTTTTTTTCCTTTTCACATTAATTACTCAAATATTAGTGTGCTTTTCCATTCAGGCTTTTCCCACTCTAAAGCATTCTGTGTTACAGAGACGAGTTAGGGAGCTTTATGTGTATTCTGGTTTAAACTTATTTCTTTTTAGCTGAGACCTTTATAACTGTTGTATATACCTGTTTTATGTGATTAGCCTTCTATATCAAAGTCTTTCTCCTAGATATAAAAGTAATGTTTTTAATGAAGATATGGAGGCATAGTGCATAATATCAAAATAATTTAAACTCTATAATTTGTAGATTTGGCACTGTAGGATATGTCCAATTCTGAATATCTTCCCCCTTAGAAATTTTTTGCAAATATATAGGTAGTAGAGAGACAAAATATTTCTAGATGGTACCCATTTCTGCTCTATTGAAAGATTTCCCTACCATACTATCTAAATATTTATGAAGATTTTCTAGGAACAGTTGGCTCAGTTTGTGCTATTTTTTGCAAAGCCACTCGGTAATATATGTATATTTATATATATATATATCATATATATAAAGATATATATATTATATATTTATATTTATATATATGATATATATATTATATATTTATATTTATATATATGATATATATTATATATATCATATATATATGATATATATATTATATATATCATATATATATGATATATATATGATATATATCATATATATATATATATATAGAGAGAGAGAGAGAGAGAGAGGGAGAGAGAGAGAGAGAGAGAGAGTCTTGCTCTGTCATCGTCCAGGATGGAGCACAGTGGCATGATCTTGGCTCACTGCAACTTCTGCCTTCCATGTTCAAGCAATTCTCCTGCCTCAACCTCCTGAATAGCTGGGATTACAGGCACCTGCCATCTTACACCCACCTAATTTTTGTATTTTTAGTAGAGACAGGGTTTTGCCATGTTAGCCAGGCTGGTCTTGAACTCCTGACCTCCAGTGATCTGCCTGCCTCTCAGTAATATTAGTGAAGTAATGTTTAATATACTCACATTAAGTGAAGTTAATATTTAGGATATTCATGCATACTGTTTTCATTTCTTTTTTAAATGTCTATGCTTAATATGAGGTCTAGTTTACAAAAATGTTACTCATCATAAAAAAATCTTAGTAAATTTTTATTAATTATTCTTTTAAGATTTTCTTATTATGAAAGAGAAAATGTCTTGTATAACAAAGGAATTCATCTTTTTAATCCTTTTTTTCCCTTTTTACATATGTCTCAACTACAATTTAGCCTGGACTTTTAATGTACAAAATTCTGTTATGATTTTCTTTAAAATGTAATATACACCTGTAGTGACCTGTTTTATTACTAGCATTGTCATAAATGCTTTAGTATAAATGAATTAAGAAAAATGCTCTTAAAATAGATTTTGGGGCTTATCGGGGGAAACCAGCCCCTGGCAATTCAATGTAGGTTCTTTTCTATTTCCCTAAGTGTCAGCTGGTCTGAGAAATAAAGGGAAAGAGTACAAAAGAGAGAAATTTTAAAGCTGGGTGTCCAGGGGAGACATCACATGTTGGCAGATTCCGTGATGCCCCCCAAGCTGCAAAACCAGCAAGTTTTTATTAGTGATTTTCAAAGGGGAGGGAATGTACGAATAGGGTGTGGGTCACAGAGATCACATGCTTCACAAGCCAATAAAATATCACAAGGCAAATGGGGGCAGAGCACCAGGACAAAATTAAAATTGCTAATGAATTTTCAGGCATGCATTGTCATTGATAACATCTTATCAGGAGGCAGGGTTTGAGAGCAAACAACCCGTCTGACTAAAATTTACTGGGCGGGATTTCCTCGTCCTAATAAGCCTGGGAGCACTACCCAAAACCAGGGCTTATTTCATCCCTTATCTGCAACCGTATAAGACAGACATTCCCAGAGCAGCCATTTCAGAGATCTCCCCCTAGGAATGCATTCTCTTTCTCAGGGCTGTTCCTTGCTGAGAGAAAGAATTCAGTGATATTTCTCCTATTTGCTTTTGTAAGAAGAGAAATGTGGCTCTGTTCTTCCCAGCTCTCAGGCAGCCAGACCTAATGGTTATCTCCATTGTTCCTTATTGTACCTTAAAATAATACATACCCCAAAACACAAGTTTAAAAAGATTGAGATATCAAGAATATGCTGAAACTTTTGTACTCAGTATGATCCATTGTGAGTTATCAAAATCAGTATGCTACTCTAAACACATGAAAATACAGACAGTGGAATGGGGTCCAGACATACTGGTTTGTTTTCATACGATCCTTAAATAATTAAGTTGGGTATTGGGAAGCAAAGGACGATAGAATATTAAAGTAACATGGACCCTGAGAGATATTCATTTATGATTCATCTGCTTGTGGAAGAACTTCAAACAATTTTCCAGTCTTTAATTTTAAAATTAGTGTTCTCGTTGTAAGAAGAGTATGTGTGTGATAGGAGATAGTATTATGACCATTTGTGGAAAAAAAACAACCTACCATGCTCAAACAGCAGGATTTTCAGAAGTAGAATAGTGTGCCAGATGTTTATTTTCAACGTGATGTCAACACGGCTCCTATCTTCATTTTCTTCTCCATTGCAGAAGATAAGTCTGAAACTACAGTTTCTGAAGCCTGTTTCTCCATAACTTGCTTCTTCCTTAGATTCCCCCATGAGATGTACTTAAAGAAGACTTGGAAGAAGAGAAAGACAAGGCATTATCTGTCAGCAGCTGCTGGTAGCAGCTGAGATCACCAACAGTAGCTTTCCTTGCTTCTGGAAGTTTTCCTGAGAAACATCCACTGCAGCACCATGGATAATTAGTGAGGGCATCACTAAGATTCCTGAACTTCAGAATTTTCTGGAAATAGCATTTCTGACCTTTGTCCCTCAATGCTTCCAATAGTTGCAGAAGCCTTTCATTCCCTGTATTAAAACTCTCTTTACTTAAAAAATAAGAAATAAAAATGAATTAATGTTTTATGTTACTTTTGGAGTTGGTCCATTACTGTCACTAAATAAAGCTGTACATGTACATACCAGGGAATCAATTCCAGAGATGATTGTGAAACCACTAACAAGAATCATTGAAGCATTTTGCAAAACTCTCTGAACTTTGATATTTACTAAGTGACCTTAAAGCCCTAGCTTTGTGGTAGTGCACTTAAATTCAGAATCACACTTGGTAACTAATAATGAAAGATTTCAAACCCCAAACAGTGCAACTGAAACTTTTGCATTACTATACTACTGAGAATATCTAACATGTTGTTACTAATCAATGTCATTCTGACCTTGTGGGTTTCCTGTGCTAATGGACAAGGTAAGTTGAAAGAGATCTAAACACTCAGCTTCCCTCTTAAATGTAACTTCGTGTAATATCTAACTTCATATGTCTATAATTTTTTTATAAATCTGATAGGATATATTCACTATGCTAGCAGAAGTAGCATATTTTGTGAGAGTATAACAGAAATTAATTTTATGAAAAAATATCTCATAATTTAAAGAAAAAATGAATAATATTTTCTTTGTTTTACAAATTCTACAGTGTAAAAAGCATCTAATATTCATTATGGAGATATATGAATATACTCATAAAACTTTAAGTAGGAAACATGTCATTAGATAGATTCTAACCTTAAAATGTTCAGAATTTTCTTATTCATAATACAAGGGAAACTTTGGGAGTGATTGATACTTTCATAATCTTACATACAGTGATTTTTTATTGATTCATATATCAAAACAGCAAATAAAATATTTTAAATTATGCCATTTCTTATATTTCTATTATACCTTAAGAAAGCTGCTACATCTAATTAACATTAATATGAATTTAATATTTCAACAAGATTAGCAATATGTAAATCACAACATATATGTAATCAAAAAGCAGAATATATACTTAACTTACATTGGAATGACAGTAAATTTTAATTTGCATTTCTGAGTTCACTAGCAAATGTTCAATAAATAAATACATAAATAATTTTCATAGCTTTATGTCATTGTTCTCTGATATGTTTTCTCCTCGATAGTCATGTATTTTCTATATTAACTATCTCTTTGAATGCAGGCCTTGCATATTAAAGAACTATATTGTATGTAACATTAGCAGTGGAACCACATGGGTCAAAAATCATGGACAATCAAAGGTGTGTCACCATTAATGAAGAAAACAAATTTTATAATTATCCAAAACTTTATAATATTCCAACAAATGTAATGGAGGATAATATTGGAAATCCCACTATCAATTATTGAGAGTATCTTTTCCCTCAGCCTCTCCTCTCAAAGCTATGCCACTTTATTTGATTCTAAGTAAACAGCTTTAGGTTTTACAGTATTATCTATCACATGATTCGCTAGTTTTAATTGCTGTGCAAAATCAACCTTGATTTGTGCCAAAATGAAAAAAAAGGAATTTCTCTTGTTATTCCCTTTGTTAACTAAACTGCTACAGGCACATTTTTTAAAATAAGGATTACATAGATTAAAGTAGAATGCAAAGCAGAAAAATAGAGAAAAACAGTACTATTTTGAAATGACTGAAATTAGATTAGAATAAGCTCTACTTTCTTAGTTACTTTCTCAAAAGCAGTATAAGAAAAGAATGCTGACAAATTCTTTCTTATTTGATATTCCAGTTGAAAACTTTTCTCCTCCAATGAACTCTTTGTAAGAGTAAACTTGAGAAAAATGTCTTGTAAATTTGGGTCACACCTATATTTCTCAAAGGAGAAAGTAACTCATTTAGTGGAATAACATCTTGGGTAGTGAGAAACATCTTTGTGAATTCAGTAGCATTGGCTCAACTGCATCCCTCCAAAATTTATTTGTAAAAGTCCAAATTCCCAATACCTGAGAATGTGACTGCATTTGAAGAAGGAGAGCTTAAAGATGTAATTAAGTTAAAGGTCAATGATTCAGGTGGGACCTACTCCAATATAACTGGTGTCAATAAGAAGAGAAAATAAGGACACACCATATAGAGAAAGACCACGTAAGGCATAGAGAGAATACAACCATTTACAAGGCAAAGGAAGAGGCCTCAGAAGAATGCAGCCCTGTTGACAGCCACATCTCAAAGTATTAGCCTCCAGAACTGTAAGAAAATAAATTTCTATGAAATCTGTGGTACTTTCTTATGGTAGCACTAGAAGATAAATACAATGATTTTACACAATTTATTAAAAGAATATTAACTTAAAATAATTTTTTACTCTTTAATCATGGATACGTATATACCCACCATACATATTTTAGAGGGTATTTATCAGAATTTGATAATTATATCTTGGCTGTATTGTCTTCGCTGAGTTTTGTCTAGTTGAATACTTTATGTTTATATATACCTGTATTCATATCTATTCAGAATCTGGCAAAGCAAACCTGAGAAATATTTTTCATATGATTAATGAAGGACATACTTTGTGAGTTGCCTATGCTAAGAAACTTTGTTTTTAATGGTAGTTGATGTTTCAGTTCTGAATAATAATTCTTTTGGAAGCCACGCTATTTGAAAAATAAACTTGACAGAAAATTAGTAATTGTAACCTATTATAATGTTCATTGAATTTGTATTGAGCATTATTTCTTCCATCAACTTGTAAGTTATTTACATTTAATTTAAAATAGGTTGTCAGGAAAATTATTTTAATTATGAATATCCTTTTAAAATTGTATAAATATTTCATTCATCTATTAGAGTTGCCATAACAAAGTATCAAAGGTGACAATTAGTATTTTAGAGCAGGATTGCTTCTAAATCTCTTTCAAACTAGATCATTTTCAATACCCAGTGCATTACACTCTGTTGCCATTGTACTTCTTTGGGATGCTCAAATTAGTTTCAAATCTCACTAAGAAGCTGGTTTCTGTGTGTATTTCACGTGCCCCCATTAAGCTTTCGCATAACAAAAGGTTCCAGGCTTTCCTTGACTTTTCCTACTACACACCCAGTTCTAATAACTTCTCTATGAAACTCCAGTGCCTTCTAGTGGGAGAAACGATTTTTAGAAATGAACCTAAACTATGAAAACCTCACTTCAGGTTCGAAAATGTCGTTTATTAAGAAAAAGAATTTTTGGCCAGTCATGGTGGCTGTAATCCCAGCAATTTGGAGGCCAAGTCGGGGAGATCACTTGAGGCCAGGAGTTTGGGACCAGCCTGGCCAACATGGTGAAACACTGTCTCTACTAAAAATTCAAAAAATTAGCCAGGTGTGGTGGCAAACACGTGTAATTTCAGCTACTCAGGAGCCTGAGGCAGGAGAATCACTTGAACCCGGGAGGTGGAGGTTGCAGTGAGCCAAGATCACTCTACTGAACTCCAGCCTTGGCGACAGAGCAAGACTGTCTCAATAAATAAATAAGTAAATAAAATGATTTCCTTTAGTTTACGTCTCTTTCTTCCTTGGACTAAATATCCTGCAATCATAAGAAAATGTAAGAGTATCTCAGGATGTTACACAGAGCAGGGATGGTTAGATTTTCCAATACGGAGGAGACACTCAGCAAAAAACTGTGCATCCGTGCTTGACGGACTGGGTCAGAGAAGCTGTCATGCGTCACCCAACAAGCCTCTGGAGCCAGTTCTGTAACTAGCAAACGCCTCCCAGAAAGTAAAGATGTCACTTCTCTGAACTTAGTCTTCTCATCTACACACTAAAGCTGTTGTGTCACTAGCCTCCTTCCAGTTCTCTCTGATTTATGATGATTCAAACTTAATTTTTCTTTAGTTATATTCTTAAGATTTCATAACAAATAGAACGTAAATATTAATTTCTCTCATGTTTCAGAATTATAAAGAACTTGATATAAAGAAACTTGTTTCAAAATTATAAAGAAACATAAATTATTTGCTATTTAAATTGTGGTAGTGTTCAATGTTCTCTTTGTATATACATATACATATATAAATATACATATAGAATGTATGAATATATATGTATATTCGTGTGTGGACCTATATTTTTATATCAATAATATGTCTCACCTGATACATGAATTCTAACTATGGTAAGAATGTATGCCATCTAATACAAACAAAATGCCACAAAACTCAACAAAATGTTTTATTTCTGGAGATAATTTGCTACATTTCAGATTTTTTCTTATGTTATAGTAATATTTCTTTTCTCTATTTTCCAAAAAACAATTATTGCTAATGTGTGCACCTGAACTGACAGCTTTAGCATAACTTGGTATAGTTTTAGATAAGCTGAGTTTAAATTAACGCTGATAAAATTTCCAGAATTGCCGAAGAGACCATACTACGTAGGAGAAGTGGATAAAGTGGAATGAGGTTCTTCTTGTCTTGTTAGCTGATTTGGGAGCCACTAAGGATTTTAAGTGGAGCAATAAAATGACCAGATGAAGGATCACTAATTTATACACAGGAAAATAGATTATAAAGATGAGAGGTCAGGATCAGGAAATTAGTTATGGTTGCTGTAATCCCAGAAGAAAATGGTTGAGAGAAGATGATATCAAAGATTATTGGCAGGGTTTTTTTGTGCCTGTTGTGTTTGTTTGTTTCTTTGTTTTGATAGAAAAATTGAGTGAAAGGGAACACCACAAATGCAGAAGTTCAGTTAATTTTGAGAGAGGTAATGAGAATGATTAACATGAATTTCCCCCCAAAAAAGTTCTGTCAATAATTACCATATTATGAATAAATAGGGCATGGGTTATTTTTGCAGCTGACTCAGAGAAAATAGCTATCACAGCAAACCTATGTCTATATTGAAATTCATATATACATTTAAAGAATATTATTCTATACCATTTATCTCAAGAGAACTAATCTTCAAAGGAAATAAAATCAGCAACATATTTTTAATTAAAATTTTAACTTCTTTCAAAAATGCCTTTATTATTTATCTGTTAAGAACAGATAAATCATTCATGAAGCATTCAAGTCAAAAAGAATTTTTATTTTTTTGTTGGCAGATTTACCTAGTGGAAACAACATGTGTATTTAGCTTTAAAAAGAAAATTCCATTAATATCAGATGAGGAAACATTCAACTAACAATGCAGTTAAGTGGAAGAAAATGAAGAGTTTCATTAATAACCCTAATATTAATGGACAATGGTGGTACTGAGAGGAACATCTATCTCTTTTAGGCTTCATAAGGAAATGGTGTTTTTCAGTGTCAACAAATTAATCTCCACTGCGTGGTTCACCCACCAAATAGCATATCTGTAATAATATATTGTACTTAGTCTACCACGTTTTAAAATGATTGGTTTCAAACTATCACAGCATAGAAGACAATATATAGATAGTTGAAGAGTTAAAGAAATTGTAGCGTAAGAAGCATGCAAAAAGATAGAGTTATAGCGTTATAATGACTGTCTTGAGATATTTCAAAACACTTACGAAGGGGAGCAAGTTAGCTTTTGATGAGGACTGTCACAGTCAGTGAAGCAGGTAACAGTATTATCCAACATCGAATCAGAGGTCGAGTGACTTTCTAAAAGGGTGACCTTTACAGATATTGCCATATGTTGCTGGGATGGGGGTTGGTGGTAGAAGAGTTGATCTATTCTGAGCCTTCCACATTTTAAGTGGTATGATTCAAAATTACACATACAAACTTTGTTTTAATTATACTCTATTTTAAAAACTGCAATTATCTTTTGAGTTGATTTTATAATTTATTTTTCTTTTAATTTTTGACTTAAGCTCACAAGCAGTTCCTTGGAAAATATATTTCACTACACAATTGAGCGATCTTCACTTATAAGCACTGTTAAGAAAATATGTTAGAAAGAGGTTAATGAACACAAGAAAATGATAACCCACATTAGATTTATGTTTGGCTGATGGTATGTGTAATACCATTGTTTGTCTTCAGATGTAAAAGATTTACCAACACAAGAAGCAGATTTGCTTGTTATTTGGGAATAACTGTATTCCCAAATCTCAGTAGCTTAATAAACCAAAGTTTATGTCTTGTTCACACTTTGTTTTCAATGTAGCTTAGAAGGGAATTTTGTTTATTACATGAATTCTAAGACTCAGGTGACACAGACCTAATCTCTCTATGTGCTTCCATGATAACTCTTAACAGCTGGGAAGATAACACAAAAATTTCTCCAATGGTTTCTTAAAATTCCTCCGAAGCTGAATATTAACTCTCATTTACACCTATTATATATTACAACACTCTCAGTTAAATTGCACCTGCTTAACTTCGCTAATATAGAAAAACTGCTCTATCCCCCCTTTTCCGTTGTTAATGTCACAGAATTTCATCTTTACACATCATGTGCCCAAAACTTAATAATTCACTTAAATGCATTGGTTTCCTAAATTATGTAGAAAATGAAATATGGAGTTTTAAACCAAAGTTACAACAATAAAAGCTTTTAGGTTAATAATTGTTTTTCTAAACTTCACTGGTCTCTTAAATCATATAGAAAAACAAAAAATGGAGACAAAAACCATTGTTACCATAATGCTAGCCTTTTTAAATTGCCCATGTATTTACCTTTATTGAGGTCATTATTTCTTCCTGCAATGTCCAGTTACTGTCTAGTATTATTTCACTTTACCCTTCAGGACTCTATTAGACATTTCTTGAAAGGCAAGTCTAGTGGTCTCAAACTCCCTCAGCTTTTGTTTATCTGGGAATGAATTAATTTCTCCTTCACTTTTGAAGGACACTTTTGACAGATATGGGATTCTTAGTTGAAAGACGTTTTTTTTCTTTTAGCGTTTTGAACATATTGGCCCAATGCCTCTGGCCTATAAACTTCTGATGAGAAATCTGCTAATAATCTGACTAAGAAATACTTACCTGTGAGAAATTGCTTCTCTCTTGCTGCATACAAGACTCTCTCTGTGTCTTTGCTATTTAAAAATTTGATTATGACCAAGTATAGTGGCTCATTCCTGTAACGCCAGCACTTTGGAAGACTGAATGGGGAGAGTTGCTTGAGGCCAGAAGTTTGAGGTCAGCCTGGCAAGCATGGCAAAACCCTGTCTCTAAAAACAACAACAACAACAACAACAACAACAAATTATTCAGGTATGGTGAAATGCACCTGTAGTCCCAGCTACTCAAGAGGCTGAAGTGGAAGGATCACTTGAGCCCAGGAGGTCGAGGCTACAGTAAGGTGTGATCACATCATTGCATTCTGGCCTGGGTGCCAGAGCATGACCCTGTCAAAAAAAATTATATTAAAGAAAAAAGTTAGCCTGATATAGTAGAGCATGCCTGTAGTCCTTACAATTCAAGAGACTGAGGCAGGAGGATTGCTTTAGACTAGGAATTTGAGATTGCAGTGAGCTATGATCACACCACTGCACTCCTCCCTGGGTGACAGAGCAAGACCCTATCACTACAAATTAAAAAACTTAATTAAATTAAAGTTTGATTATAATGTATCTTGATATCTATCTCTTTGAGTTAATCTCATTAAGTTCATTAAGCTTATTGAGGGTCTCTATTAATGCCATTATTTCTTCAAACATTCTCTATTCATCTTTCTCTTCTCCTTCCGAAATCCACTTTGTGTGTGTTGGTCTGCTTCCTGGTGTCCCATGTTCCTTAGATTCTTTTCACTTTATACTTTAATTTCTTTTTCTGTTATTCAGATTCAATAATTTTGGTTTTTCTAAAATTGTTAATTCTTTCATCTGCCTGCTCTACTATGCCTCTGAATCTCTTTTTTGATTTTTTTCCTTTTAATTATTGTACTTTCAGAATTTCTTTTTGTTTCCTTTTCAGGCTTTCTATCCCTTTATTCATATTTCCATTTTGATCATACATCATTTTCTTTCTTCACATCTTTCTTTACTTCTTTCAGTATCTTTAATACAGTTATTTTAAAGTTTCTAATAGACCTACCATCAGAGCTTTTTCAGGGAAACTTTCAGTTTATTTTTTTTCTTTTAATAGGCCATACTTTCCTATTTCTTTGTATGACATAATTTTTTTGTTGAAAACTGAACATTTTAGTCTAATAATGGGTAACAACTGGAATCAGATTCTCCTCCTTCTACATGTTTGTTGAGGGGCTTCCTGCATTGTTTTCATTTATTGTTTTTGTCTGAATGTTGTAGGCTATGTCTGTGTCACAAATTAGCCTGTAGTATAGACTTTAGGTTGTCTCCAGTGTTTTCCAAGCCTGCACTTTTTGCTAAGTGTTCATAGTCATTTTCTAATTTTCCCCATTCATGCAGTTGCTTTGGAACATCCTAGTGTTTAGTGTCTGGCTGCCAAAATATTCTTTTTGTGGAAAACTGAACTTTTTAATCTAATAATGGGTAACAATGGGAATCAGATTCTCCTCCTTCTACATGTTTGTTGAGGGGCTTCCTGCATTGTTTTCATTTATTGTTTTTGTCTGAATATAGTAGGCTATGTCTGTGTCAAGAATTAGCCTGTAGCATAGACTTTAGGTTGTCTCCAGTGTTTTCCAAGCCTGCACTTTTTGCTAAGTGTTCATAGTCATTTTCTAATTTTCCCCATTCATGCGGTTGCTTTGGAATATCCTAGTGTATCTCCCCTTGGACAAATTCACATCAGCCAAGGGGAGGGGCTTGCAACAATGGAGAAAACTGAAAAACAATGGCCGCCTATCTTTCTGTCTGCATCTCTGTGATCAAAGAACCCAGCAATCAGAGCACAAATCTCAAATATTTGAAGAATCGAGTTGTTTTCGACACTCTGGCTCCCCGCTGCTATGTGCAGGTTGCTCCATAAATACACATACAGCTGCCTGCCATGTGGCTAAGGAGCGTGGTATGAACATATGACACTGTGCTAGGAGCTAAAATTGACTGAATGTGAGTGCAACTTACGATCCAAGTCATCCCTAGAAGTTGTAGGGCTTCAATAGACTCCAAAAATAGTACAATCAGACAAATTCTGGCCATGCAACTGTAAAGGTGAGGAGTCAGATTCCAGGTGTTTCCTCCTCCGCCATCTTCCCAGATTTCTTTTTCTATATTTCTTAGATTGCTTTCAGTAAATAGAATAACAAGCTAATGAATTTAATCTTTTTTATTATTATTATTATACTTTAAGTTCTAGGGTACATGTGCACAACGTGCAGGTTTGTTACATATGTATAAATACGCTGTGTTGGTTTGCTGCACTCATCATTTACATTAGGTATCAAACATAAACACTACTAGCTCCCTCCATTGAGTCGTTCTGAGAAGAAAAGGCAGGGCTCTGAATTCCGATGGAAGGGAACAGAAAGAAAAAAAGAAAAGGACTGAACTGGTGAAAGCACCTTTGTCTTTCAATCAAGATGAAATGGGGGAGTTCCCTGATTCCCCTCGCAGGACGTGCGAGAGGGGTGTTATCTGCTTTGTCGCCCCGCAGCTCAAACCCCTAGGGGCAGCTTGCAGACGGGCAGGTGCAGAGGCCGGCATGAGTGCTTTTGAGCTCTGGCCCCACGGCAGCGTCTAGGGTAGGCGTCTGTGAGTACAGACGCCCAAGTGGACGCGTGTTACAAAACTCAGATTTGCTGTCTGCAGACGGCTTGTGTGTTAATCCGCTCAATGGACCCTCTGCCTTATCTCAAGAGCCTGGGGCCAGTGTGACAGACTTCTGTATCCTGAGCTCTTGCCCAGTGGTCCTAAAGAATTGGATCACATGCGGGCTCAAAGGATGACTGCAAGGTTTTATTGAGTGATGGCGGTGGTTCTCAGCAAGTTGGATAGGGAGCCCGAAGTGGGGGATGGAGTGGGAAGGTGGTCTTCCCCTGGAGTTAGGCCACCCAGCGGCCAGATTTTTCTCCGACCTCCCCTAGCGGAACTCATTTCCCTCGGCATCCAGACATTCCTGCTCTTCTCTCTTTCTCTGCTGCCTTGTTCCGCTGTGATTGTTCAGCCGCGTATGTGTGCCCGCTAAGGTGTTGGGTTTATATGGGGGCTGGATGAGGAGCATGGAGGGCCAAAAGGCAACATTTTGGACAGGAAAACAGACATGCCTGTCCTCATTTAGGGTCGGGGTGGGGCCTTTGACAGGGAATCGCCCTCTTCTAACCAGTATTTGCCTGTCTCCTTTCCGTATCAAAGACTCTCACTAAATCAACCAGAGCTAAGATATGTGTACTCAAGGAGAAAAGCTGAAAGACTTCTGTGTGGAATACATGGATGGTTAACACTGTAAGTCCTTACTCAGGCCTTCCTTATTTGCATTTTTACTGTGTTTCTAGCAAGAATGTACTTTATTTTAATGGGTAGTGATTTCTACATAGTCCACACAGCCGTTTTCTTTTCAGAAAAAAAAAAATGTAATCCTCCTTATATTCAAAATGATGTCTACACACCTGAAAAGACAAAACACAGAATTGAAGATTTAATCATATGTGAGTTTATAGATGGCTTTTATCCTACAACCCAGGGAAACAGGGCAAATGCACTAGTAGTGGGTGGGTACCTACGTGCTCCAGGATGTAGCAGTAAGTTCCAGTCCATATACTGACTTACATTTAAAATCTGAAATTACTTTCTCTTAAACACAAAAAAAGGGGAGACAATAAATTTCAATATTTTAGTATATGGAGTTTTGAGAAGTCTTTGCTTTCCAAAGTAGATAATTCTAAGTAGAATTTAAAACAATTATTGTAAACTAAAATTCTCTTTAATGTTTGCTACTCAGAATTATACAGATGGATGTGTGTATATGAATAGATATTTCTCTATTCTTCCAATGTCCAAAATAATACACTGGGTGAGACTAGCACCCTCTAAAGCCTAGTATATTAGTTATGTATGGTTGTGAAACATATTTTGCTAAAAACATATTTGCTTAAAACAATAAACCTTTATTTTCTCACAGATTTTGTGGGTCAGGCATTTGGGAGTGACTTTACTGTTTAGTTCTGTGTCAGATGCTCTCCTGTGTCGTTGTCAAGGATGTTGGCCTGGGCTGCAGTGACCTGACAACTTGGCTGGGCTGCAGGATCTGCTTCCAACATGGCTCACTCACACAGATTTTGGTAGGAGGTCCCAGTACCTTACCACATTGTCCCCTCCACAGGTTGCTTGAATGGCAACTACATTTCTCCAGAGCTAAAGATTCAAGACAGAGAGAGTGAGGAGTAGGAGGAAGCCTTCATGTCATTTATCACCTAGTCACACACTCTCACCTGAGCCATATTTATTCTTCAGAAATGAGTCACTAAGTCCAGCACACAACAAGTGGAGGAGAATTAGGCTCCACTATTTTGAGGAAGGAGTATTGAAGAATTTGTGGAATTTCCACAATCATCAAATGTAGCAAAATGTCTCTCACGTCAATAGGGTGTTTTATTTCTATGATGGTTCCTTTGCCTTTTTCAAGATTTTTTCTGTCTCTACAAACATATTCTTTTTTTTTTCTATCTTGCAGTGCATTGTAAAGGTGAACCATACTTAAAGTGGATAGTCCATGACAGAAAAATGTTCTTTCCTCTTCTTTTTAAAACAAGGTCTTCCTCTGTTGCCCAGGCTGGAGTGCAGCAGCGCAGTATACGTCGCT
Organism: Homo sapiens; assembly: GCF_000001405.40. Classification (NCBI taxonomy): domain Eukaryota; kingdom Metazoa; phylum Chordata; class Mammalia; order Primates; family Hominidae; genus Homo; species Homo sapiens. The sequence continues at coordinate 664,469 of NW_025791754.1, forward strand.
GCAATCTTGACCTCCTTGGCTCAAATGATCTTCCCACTGCAACCTCCTAAGCAGTTGGGAATATAGGCATGTGCCACCATGCCCAGTTACTTTTTTATTTTTATTCTGTAGACACAAGGTCTTGCTGTGATGCTTAGGCTGATCTCAAACTGGGCCTCAAGCAGTCCTCCCACCTTGGCCTCCCAAGGTGTTCGGATTATCGTGCCCAAACCCAGATGAATTGTCAAAAGCATGAGTTCTTAAGAAAGGTAGCTATTGTAACTGTGAAACCAATTTCACTGTGCATAAAAACTATAAGGTAAATAAATAATTATTCTATAGTTGGCTTATGAAAATGCTAGATCAGCCCAAATGCTTCTGGACCAACTGAATGCCAGCTATATCTGGTTTTCTGCAAAAGTATTTCGCAAGTGACCTTCTGAAATTTGTGTGGAAAAGATGGAGAAATTGACTGGTTTGATGATTTATCAAGTAGTTTGCAGTTTTATTAAATGTTTTACCTGATTATCAGATACAGCATTTTATTCTCAGGCTTCATTACTCTTTTGTGTCTGCCCATAGTTTAACGGTTTAGGAGAAATGCAGTATAAATTCACAAATGAAATGCTACAGCAGATGGTGACAGTGAATCTGCATTAGTATAGATTCATAATTCCAGAAGAATCCTACGTGCAAAGCTAAATCTAAAAAAATTAAATTTAGTAGTGGTAACTGTAAGATCCTGGTCTTGGGTCAAAGGAATCAGCAGTACTAGTACAAACAGATTAGCAACCACTATAAAAATTAGTGAGTATTTTAATCAACGTTAAGGTCAGTTTGAGTTAACATTGTGATAGAACCATCATAACTGCTTGTGAGTCTACAATTCACATGGTAGAAGACTAAGAAATAGAATGAGGCTGCTCTAAGTTCTGCTGACTTCAGTGCCAATCAGATCATAGGTGGAATTTTTTTTTTTTTTTTTTTTGCTTTAGAGAACTACCATATGAGAAAGATAAAAATGGTTTAAATTTTCTCAGTAAAAAAGAAAAGTCATGAAGTGGCTCAAGCTTGTGGTATTAATGATAATGATAGCTACTTTTAATTATACTTCCTTTTTGATTTTTTGAAAAGAAATCTCAGCAGACTATGTTATTTACATTCTATGAAACACCATCATGAGATAGATAACTATACTTGTTCTGAAATCAGAAAACTAAAGTTTAAATCTCTGCTCTACCACTTAATGGAAATTTTAATTGAGTTTTTTAAGGCTCACTTCCTGCAAATCCAAAGACTCAAGCTTGTCCAAGGTGGAATTAGTGTTAAATGATCTATGTTGAAGTATCATAATGTATCATGATGAAATTTGCAAAGTTCAAAGGTAAAGAGAAAATAATACAAATATCCAAACAGTGGTCGGGGGGAAACAACAGAATGTAACATAGAAGGAATGAAACTAAATGAGGCATTTTAAGCTCAACTTTGGAAGTTCAAAAAATGGGGGGCAAAATCTATCAACAATGAGAGATATGGATATAGGCCAAGAAACTATACAAAGACAAGTTATTGTTCCCAGGTCTTTGTTAAAGACATTTACAACATGCAAGGATTCAAAGTTATAATCGGCATAACTAATCTGTAGAAACCGGTTGAAAAATTTTTCTAATCAAACAAAAAGAAATAGATTGATGAACGCCAGATGTGTTAAAGACAAATTATTCATCTGACACTTGTTAATATGACAAGACAGATTTTATTTGACTATTGCAATAGGGGAAAGAAGTCTTGAGCTAAGCTTCAAAAACAGCACAGCTGAGGGTTTATACCCTAAAATCAGAGTAATTAAGATGCTATTTATAAGCAATGAAACTGAATGAATATTTGAACTTCCACATTGGAAGTTTCAAAAATGTGGCAAAAAAAAAATGGTGAAGAGAAATATGGACTGTAGGCCAAGAATCTATACCTAGAGAAGTTACTCACGTATCTTTTAAATGAAGATACTTAAGAGATGCAAGAATTCAACATTTATAATCCACAAAACAAGACTGTAGAAACTGCCTGAAAATCTCGCTAATGAAAAAATAAGAAAGAAAGACAATAAACCAGTGGACTAAAGAATAATGGAGATAATAAACAATATTGTGCGTGTGTGTGTGGTGCATATGTTGGAATTTTTTATAATGTGTAGTATAAGGTTTCTTGAACAATGATCATATTTCATAGAAAAAATGAATATTCTTCTGGTATTACAAGTAGTAAATTATCTCCGAATCATCCCATGGAAATGGAAACTTTTTTTGGAAATATCGAGTATAAGCCTTATAATAACATAGTGCTTAAACATATATGTCAAATATTCAATATACACAAATTCCTCAATAAACTGTAAATATACTGTAAAAAATATTGTATATAAAACATTAAAAACATCTTATTTTCTAATCAAAATTAAAAATTAATAAAAATGCTTATTACACTCTTAGATATTTAGATATTAAGAAATATTCCTAGTTCATTTTCCTGGTTAAATAAAGGATAGAAATCTTGTCTTAATAACTGGTTTGAGACATGAATTAGCAATATTATTTTGTTGTGTGATGTGATCAATGAGAAATTCCTGTTTCTCTGTAGTTTTTACATTCCTTCCAGTCAATTTTTTAAAATCCTCAAAAAACTACTATCTCCCACTCTAGAGTTGGTCTGAGAAGAACAGGCAGGGCTCTGATTTCTGATGGGATGGAACAGAAAGAAAAAGAAGACAGATGAGCTGAATGGTAAAATAAGCGCCTTCATCTCTCAACCAGGAAGCTCACTAATCAACCAGGGCTACGATATATGTACTCATGGAGGGTACATTAAATAGGTCTGCACAGTTTTCTTCAATCTTCATTAGCAAACAGCTCTTCACATATCTAGGTCATTGGATTTCTGTAACTTTTCTTGCCCTAAAACCCCTAATTCATTACACTAAGAAGAGAATATAATTTATTGATCAAAAATGTCATATATGATTATCTGTTATAGAAAAACATTATTTATACTGTTTTTTGTTTTTTATTACAAGAAGTGAAACCTTGTGATTTTCCAGAAATTCAACATGGAGGTCTATATTATAAGAGTTTGCGTAGACTATACTTTCCAGCAGCTGCAGGACAATCTTATTCCTATTACTGTGATCAAAATTTTGTGACTCCTTCAGGAAGTTACTGGGATTACATTCATTGCACACAAGATGGTTGGTCACCAACGGTCCCATGCCTCAGTAAGTAAACCTCTTTACAAGAATATGTGCATAAAACTTGAAAAGAGTGAGAGAACAGCAAATAAATGATTATATTGTCTTATATAACAGAAATAGGACCAAAGGAAGAGTTGTTCAAGCAAAAAGACCAAAATGGATCTTTTTTGTTATGAGATCTTCGTGAAAATTACATGAGAAATAAATGTGGCAACTTTATGAGAATACCGATATAATTTAAACATATTTTATCATAAAAACTAAGGTTAAGTAACATTGAATACTGACTTTTTTGTAAAAACATTTAGTAGTAGCTTTAGTTTTTCTTGAGTCATACATCATTTTCAGTATTGATGCAGTCTTATTTAAATGTTCCAAAAATTATTTTAATATACTATTTTGATCAAATTCATGTCTCTAATTTACCTTTAAATCATTTTATGGTCCTTAGGACAATGTATTTTCAATTATTTGGAGAATGGATATAATAAAAAATATGGAAGAACGTATTTACAGCTGGTCTCCTCCTCCCAGATGCATTCGTGTCAGTTAGTGCACTCATTTGAGATCCCAGTATGTCCGTAACTGTCTAAGATCTAGATATTTAACTGGAAAATTTTGTACATCAACTCTGAAGCCGAATTTATGTCTTTTTATTTTAAAACAGAAGCCTATCTAGTTTCCAGTTCCAAATGTGTCTGAATACATTTAAAATTTCTGGATAATTAGTGGATTCTGTCACTTAATAGGGCCAAGCAGCAATAGAAATATAAGTCAGGGGCCAGGCGCAGTGGCTCAGTCCTGTAATCCCAGGACTGTGGGAGACCGAGACGGGCAGATCACTTTAGGTGAGGAGTTCAAGACCAACCTGGTCAACATGGTGAAACCCTGTCTCTACTAAAAATACAAAAATTAGCCGTGTGCAGTGGCACATGCCTGTAATCCCAGCTACCCAGGAGGCTGAGGCTGGAGAATGGCTTGAACCAGGGAGGCGGAGGTTGCAGTGAGCTGAGATTAGACCACTGCACTCCAGACTCGGTGATAGAGCAAGACTCTGTCTCAAGAAAAGAAAAAAACACATATATATATATATGTATATATATACACACACACACATATGTCATGAAGATCACAAAATACACTAAATACACATTAAAGTAACACTGCTTCAGTATTTATATCAAAGTGAATGCATTGATTTAAGTAGATTATAAAATTATAGCATTAATTAACAATGCTTGCCCAAAGGTCACTTGTACATCTCTCACAATTATATGACATCTATTCTTATAGCTAATGCTCATGCTCTGTCGCTTTAAATGAAGACACATTCAGTTATAGCTGACTTTCACTTTTTAGGTAAAGGGGTCTCTGAAAGTTGTTTGTGTGTATTGTTTGCAATTTACAAAACATTCCATTATAGAAACTATATGATAATTAGGATACAATAGAGATAAAGGACAATGGTAATCTTCTTACACATTCATAGAAGCACTGCCCTCAACAACAGCCTAAGCCTCTGGAAGGGAAGTCCCTTTTGCTCCTGCCATAGGCACCAACTCTGTCATTAATCCACTTAACAAATATTGTTGTGTGTCAAGTGCCTTTATAGGTATCGAAAATAAAATTGTTTACGAGAGAAACTGAATACTGTAGTTTAGAGACTGGAGGAGATTAATCGAAAAGTTGACAAGAATAGATCAGAAAACTCATGATTATGACAAATGCTTTATTATAAACATGTATCATCTTTAACATGATTTATTTTCCTTTCAGATAGTAAAATTGGTCCATTTACATTTTTTTCTAATTACTAACCAAAAAAGAACATACACATTATTAATAAGTTAGAACATACGCATTACTAAAATAATTACTACCTTATACATATACCCATTAGTAATGTATAGAACACATACATTGATAATATATAAAGAACATATACATTACTAATATATTAGAACTTATTTTTGCTATCTTGTTTGTTTTTTCCTGCTTACATTTCCACATTTCTCTCAAACACCATGGCTATATGGGTTTAAGCATCCACTTAAGATGACAACTATTTTAAATTCCTGGAGACAAAAGATTTACAAATTTATTTCCTTGCCTGTGGTAGCAGTGTGTACTGTATCTTTGCCTGGGAAATGGCATTTGACTAAATGAAGTCTAAGACCTCTTAATAGCACCAGAAAGGTTCAGGTTATTGCAAAGTAGCCAGAAACTCTTCCAAATAATTATAGGGAATTGAGAGTCTGCTAGATCTGCATTCCTCAAGGCCTGCCAGAGCTCTGTTGACAGTCTCAAAGATTCTTTGCTTTTATTCTGCCCTTCCCTGTGTTTTCACTATTTTCTTTCAAAATTCACAGATGTCTAGGAAACTTCCAGTTTTGCTGTTTTCAATTCATTAACAGATGTTTCATTGTTTCACCATACTGCCATGTTTTTACTTGTTCCCTTCTATAAAAGAAGTATTCAACAAATATTTACTTTTTTCTCTACTTTTTCTATTTTAGGAACATGCTCAAAATCAGATGTAGAAATTGAAAATGGATTCATTTCTGAATCTTCCTCTATTTATATTTTAAATGAAGAAACACAATATAATTGTAAACCAGGATATGCAACAGCAGATGGAAATTCTTCAGGATCAATTACATGTTTGCAAAATGGATGGTCAACACAACCAATTTGCATTAGTAAGTTATTTACATATTCCCACTCAGTTTCTGTCAACTTCTTTCCTCTCTTTGAGGTGATAGTGTTTTACAGAAAAAGATAGAAAACACTTTTAGGAGTAAAGAGATATAAATACTTCTAACATCATCTAACATTCTGTGCCAAACTAAGTCTTTTTTGCCTTTTTAGAGTAATGGCTACTTGGGAAGATGATCATTCCATCTCTCTCAATTCAATTTGCCTTTACGTAAAAGCAATCCCATCAGGTACAGACTAGTTAGGGAGCTGCATGGGAATATCAGCACAATGTATTACTTGTCAATAAAAACTTTGTTCTTTTCCCTTTCTTTGTATTTCAAAATTATCAACTGCTTGTATTGTATTCCTTGCTCACACTCTTAAGATGTACATGTTAGGGAAGGGATGAGTGCTTAATTCTGAGTTTCTGCTAGCATCAGGAAAATGAGACTTCAATAATTTGTATCAATGATGCAACTGAGGAGAACCAACTCAAAAAATTATTTCCAGCTTATTGTCTAGTACAGAGAAAACAAGTAAAGAAAAAGAGTAAGTGGGTGGGCTGAATGTTTACAAACCTCATACTTGGCAATGGATTCCTTACAACTAAAGTTCTCTAAAACATTCCCAACTTGTAATTATTTATTAATAAAGAGATTGCATAATGAACAATGGAAACCTTGCAGTGGCAAAAGTTTATCTTTTTTGTCTTTCCTCTTTAGGCATTCACCAAGATTTGTAAAGATAAATCATTTAATGTATTTTTAACACACATATTGATATATAATTTACATACTGCAAAATCCACTTCATTTTCAAGGGTACAATTCAACTATTTTTAGCCATGAGACGAAATGGAAAGGACTACTGATATGTAATTGAACATGGATGAATCTCAAAAATATTAATCTAAGTGAGAAAAAAGAAAATGCTACACTTAGAAAGTGATTATCTCAAAGTTACTCTGAGGTTTGGGAGCTATAAAATATCAATTCGTACATTTCTAGAATACTGTTTTCAATTTCTATGCTTATCACGGGCTCTGCAAAAGACAAAGCTGTACACTTCAATCTGATTTGACCAGCTTTGATAAATGATCTAAGATTTGTAAAATAAAAGATGCTTTAAAATTTTTATAGAACGTATATCCAATGAATATAATTTTAATCCAACTTATAAACCCTGTCAGTAAACTGAGTACATAAATATGTACATTAACTTTTAAATTCACAAAATTTTATCTTCTTTAAAATAATACATTATAGTGATAAAGGTAGACTGTAATAACAGTCAATGAGGTGTTCACAAATAAAAATAGATCTGACTAAATAGTCTTAATATGTTTTTCATAGGGTTTGAATAATGAGAAGGATCATTATAGGGAAATGTATTTTTCTCTTGTAATTAACTGTTATAGCACAAAAAAAACACTGATTGTCGGACTATTTTTAATAGTACTCAATTTATTAGCACACACTGATTGGTAAATTTTATTCCTACAATGGGACTTTCTTAGTCGAGTTGTACATCATATGGCATAGAAAAGCAATCCTCAATTTTATTTTGTTTCAGAATTTTGTGATATGCCTGTTTTTGAGAATTCCAGAGCCAAGAGTAATGGCATGTGGTTTAAGCTCCATGACACATTGGACTATGAATGCTATGATGGATATGAAAGCAGTTATGGAAACACCACAGATTCCATAGTGTGTGGTGAAGATGGCTGGTCCCATTTGCCAACATGCTATAGTAAGTATTTTATTCAAGTATTTCTTTTTACTAGAATTAAACAAATAGAAACATACATATGTATATGTACACATATGTGTATGAATACATATGTGTACATATACATGTAGTCCTCATTTGAGTGTGAATTACCTTGAAACTTAAAAAAAAAGGTTGAAAATACAAATGTCTTCCTAAGAAATCAAATAAGATACATTTAAGAGTATATAAAAAGCTTTATTCAGAAAGTTTCCAATAAAACTGTTGATTTTTCCCCAATGTAAAGTATTTTTTTTCAGATTCTTCAGAAAACTGTGGGCCTCCTCCACCTATTAGCAATGGAGATACCACGTCCTTCCCGCAAAAAGTGTATCTGCCATGGTCAAGAGTCGAGTACCAGTGCCAGTCCTACTATGAACTTCAGGGTTCTAAATATGTAACATGTAGTAATGGAGACTGGTCAGAACCACCAAGATGCATATGTAAGTTCTTAATATTCTGGATCTGAGAAAATTAGAGTAATAACTTTGATCCTTGTTTATTTATACTAAAATTTTTATGGGTTATTACCCTAGAACTGTGTTCACAAACAGCTATTCTGCTGAATATTTGCCTTTCAGATCTTAATATATAAGTGTATAAGCTTGGAAAATTTTATGTAAACAATGACAAAGTTTCCTTTTAAAAACAGGAATGTTCAGAGACCTCAATTTGTTAATGGACACAATGAGTTTTCAAGAATGATATCCATTTATTGCACACATATGAAATACAGCATCTCACCTTAACATCAATAACCATTTTCACATTATTAATACTTAGGTAAACAGTTTTCAAAGAGTTTTGAAAACACTGTTTTAAAAACCATGGATGTGGAACCAACCCAAATGTCCAGACCCAAATGACAGACTAGATAAAGAAAATGTGGCACATGTACACCATGGAATACTATGCAGCCATAAAAATGGATACGTTCATGTCCATGTCAAAAGTGACATGGAGGAAGCTGGAAACCATCCTTCTCAGCAAACTATCACAAGAACAGAAAACCTAGCACCACATGTTCTCACTCAGATGTGGGAACTGAACAAGGAGAACAGGTGGACTCAGGGAGGGGAACATCACACACCAGGGTCTGTCACAGGATGGGGAGCTAGGGGAGGGATAGCATTAAGAGAAACACCTAATGTAGGTGATGGGTTGATGGGTGCAGCAAACCACCATGGCACATGTATTCCTATGTAAAAAAACTGCATGTCCTGCACATGTACCCCGAACTTAAAGTATAATAAAAACCATGCACTATTAACTAAAATCCTACTTGAAAACCTGAAATGCTTCCTGATAGAGCACATAGCTAGTTAACACTGAGAAGTTCTTTCTCTGATTATTGTTTTTTTCTTACACTTTACCAGTATTTCTAGCAAGAAAGAAAGAAATTAACAGAAAGCTCAGCCATTTCCAAATGCCAATGCTTTCTGTTTTCACCTTCATCTCCTCTCCCCTCGTCCCAGAATGAAAATGAATACACTAAAAAGCCCTCAAGTCTGTAATACAGGTATACTCTTAGAATTTTGTCCCACAAATCCTATGAACTTGAAGAAACACAATTCAAAAAATATGAGCCAAAATAATTATGGCAGCAAAAAGAAAACCTAAAAGAAAATTTGCCACAAATTTCTACTAGCCTATGAGGTAGAGAACTGAGATACCCATCAGGCCTTGCATATCAGATAACTTATTCCTGTCACAGCTCTTAAACTGTAAACTCACGAGTTTTCCAAATGCTCAAGTTCCTAAGTACAGGATGATACAAGCAGTTCTTTTCTGTGATATGACTCATTTCTTTTATTTTGATGCTATGCTACCTTTTACCTTTTATATTGACTGATGATGCTGATATTTTGGCTGATCCTATGATGGGCTAAACCTTAATTATTGTCCCTATTTATGTATCCACTTCTGTAGATGATCATGTGTAAGTCCGGGCTCCAAACCATGCAAGTGGCAAGACTGCAGAGGAAAATTCGTATCCTCAAATCAAAATAGTTTACAAGTATCTTTGAACATGATTTCATAGGAAAAATTTAGTATTAGGTTTCAGAGATAAATTCTGAGTCTTAAATTTGATTGACTGAGGAGATGGACACTCCTAAGATGGATTTCACAGCAAAATCATTACCTCTTCTCATAATCAAGAACAGGAAAGGATTATAATTATCTGAGGACATAAGATCAGTTCCATGACACAAGCAAGACTTTCAGTCTTAAAATCTAAAGAAGCAAAGAGCATTCAAGCAGGGAATTCTAGGGAAAAAGGCAACCTTATGAAAAATATTACATATACATATGGCATATTAAAGTAATAAGGAAAACATTCCAGAACAGCAGGAAACTTTAGAAACTTTTGAAAAATATGTTTGGAGAAGTATGTAGTGCTCAAATAATATTTATTTTTGAATTGTAAACAGCCCCTGAATGTATTGAAGAGATCTTAAAAATTTTTGGATTTCAAAAGTGATATGTACTATGTTAAGAAATTTATTTAAGTGCTTGAAAGATGGATTAAAATATGATTTGGGGAAATTTCTAAAGAAATACTAATGTTAATAAGGGCTAGACTTGAGTGCAGAATACTTGCATCAAAAGGAGAGAAGAGGAGTGAATGATATCATCAAAAATGAAAAGTTTACCATGGAAGAACTGGGCTTAATACCTAGCGTATGGGTTGATAGGTGGAGCTAACCACCATGGCACACATTTACCTATGTAACAAACCTTCACATCCTACACATGTATCCAGGGAACTTAAAAAATAATTATAAAATTTAAAAAAAAATCTAAAAGAAAACCAGCCAGGCGCGGTGGCTCACACCTGTAATCCCAGGACTTTGGGAAGCCAAAGCAGGTCGATCACCTGAGGTCAGGAGTTCGAGACCAGCCTGACCAATATGGTAAAACTCTGTGTCTACTAAAATTACAAAAATTAGATGGGCGTGGTGGTGTGTGCCCATAGTGCCGGCCACTCAGGAGACTGAGGCAGGAGAATCACTTGAACCTGGGAGACGGAGGTCACAGTGAGCAGTGATCGCACCACTGCACTCCAGCCTGGGAGACAGAGCGAAATTTCATCTAAAAAAAAAAAAAAAGTAAAGAAAAAAAAAAACATTATTTGGAAGGTAACATAATCAAAACAGTCATCTCTTATATCATTGTCTGTTACAGTGAAACATTATTTATACTATTTTTGTTTTTTGTTACAAGCAATGAAACCTTGTGAGTTTCCAGAAATTCAACATGGACATCTATATTATGAGAATACGCGTAGACCATACTTTCCAGTAGCTACAGGACAATCTTACTCCTATTACTGTGACCAAAATTTTGTGACTCCTTCAGGAAGTTACTGGGATTACATTCACTGCACACAAGATGGGTGGTTGCCAACAGTCCCATGCCTCAGTAAGCAAACCTCTTTACAACAATATGTGCATAAAACTTGCAAAGAATGGAGAGAGAAGAGCAAACAAATGATTACATTGTCTTATATGACAGAGATGGTACCAAAGGAAGAGTTGTTCATGCAAAAACACCAAACTAGATCTTTTCTGTTATGAGACCTTCATGAAAATCACATGAGAAATAAATATAGGAACCTTATGAGAATACCTATATAATTTAAACATATTTTATCATAAAAACTAAAGATAAGTAACATTGAATACTGACCTTTTTGTACAAACATTTAGTAGTAGCTTTAGTTTTCCTTCAGTGATACGTCATTTTTGTGTACTGATGCAGTCTTATTTAAATATTCAAAAAATTATTTTAATATACTATTTTGATCAAATTCATGTTTCTAATCTACCTTTTAATCATTTTATGGTCTTTAGGACAATGTATTCTCAGTTATTTGGAGAATGGATATAACACAAAATATGAAGGAATATCTTTACAGAGTCAGTCTGTAAAAGTTGAGGATATCCTGGCTACAGTCTTTCAAATGTGCAGACCACAGTTCCATGTACAGAGGATGAATGGTCTCCTCCTCCCAGATGCATTCGTGTCAGTTAGTCCACTTGTTTGAGACCCCAGTATGTCCTTAACTGTCTAAGATCTACACCTTTAACTGGAAAATTTTGTATATCAACTCTCAAGCTGAATATATGTCTTTTTTATTTTTAAATAGAAGCCTAGCTAGCTTTCAGTTCCAAATGTGTCTGAATACATTTATAATTTCTGGATAATGAGTGGATTCTGTCACTTAATAGTCAAGTAACAATAGAAATATAAATCATGAATAGCACAAAATAAATAGACTACGGATTAAAGTAACATTGCTTCAGTATTTATATTGAAATCATGCTAAATGCATTGATTTAAGTAGATTATAAAATTATAGCATTAATTTAAAAATAAATATAATGCTTGCCCAAAGGTCACTGCTACATCTCTCACAATTATGTCATATCTATTTTTATAGTTAATGCTCTGTTGCTTTAAATTAAGGCTGATCTTCAGTTATAGCTGACTTTCACTTTTTAGGTAAAGGGGTCTCTGAAAGTTGTTTGTGTGTATTGCTTGCAATTTACCAAACATTCCATTATAGAAACCATATGAATATTATGATATAATTGAGATGAAAGACAATGGGAATCTTCTTACCCCTTTGTAAGAGCAACTGTCCTCAACAATAGGCCTAAGCCACTGAAAGAAAAGTCCCTTTTTCTCCTGCCATAGGCACCAACTCTATCATTAATCCACCTAATAAATATTGTTGTGTGTCAAGCACTTTATAGGTATTGAAAATAAAACTGTTTACAATAGAAACTGAACACTGTAGTTTAGAGGCTGGAGGAGATTAATAGGAAAGTAGGCAAGAATAGATCAGAAAACTCATGATTATGACAAATGCTATATTATAAATATGCATCATCTTTAACATGATTTTTCTTTCAGATAGTAAAATTAGTCCATTTACATTTGTTTTCTAATTACTAATTAGAAAAGAACATATACATTACTAATATCTTAAAACATATACATTACTAAAATAATTACTACCTTATACATATACCCATTAGTAATGTATAGAACACATACATTACTAATATATAAAGAACAAATACATTGCTAATATATTAGAACTTATTTTTGCTATCTTATTTGCTTTCTTTTTTCTGCTTACATTTCCACATGCCTCTCAAACACCACGTCTATATGGGTTTAAGCACCCACTTAAGATGACGACCACTTTAAATTCTTGGAGACAAAGGATTTACAAAATTACTTTCTTGCCTATGGTAGCAGTGTGTACCGTATCTTTGCCTGGGAAATGGCATTTGACTTAAGGAGGTTTAAGACCCCTTAATAGTACCAAAAATACTCAGGTTGTTGCAAAGTAGCCAGAAAGTCTTCCAAAATATCATTAGGGACTTGAGAGTCTGCTAGATCTGCATTCCTTAAGGCCCGCCAGAGCTCTGTTGACAGTCTCAAGGATTCTTTGCTTTTATTCTGCCCTTCCCTGTGTCTTCAACATTTCCTTCAGAAATTCGTGGTTTCCTTTAAGAACACGGATGTCTAGGAAACTTCCAGTTTTGCTGTTTTCAATTCATTAACAAATGTTTCATTGTTTTGCCATATTGCCATGTTTTTACTTGTTCCCTCCTATAAAAGAAGTATTCAACAAATATTTACTTTTTTCTCTACTTTTTCTATTTTAGGAACATGCTCAAAATCAGATATAGAAATTGAAAATGGATTCATTTCTGAATCTTCCTCTATTTATATTTTAAATAAAGAAATACAATATAAATGTAAACCAGGATATGCAACAGCAGATGGAAATTCTTCAGGTTCAATTACATGTTTGCAAAATGGATGGTCAGCACAACCAATTTGCATTAGTAAGTGATTTACATATTCCCATTCAGTTTCTGTCAACTTCGTTCCTCTCTTTGAGATGATAGTGTTTTACTTAAAAATATAGAAAACACTTTTAGGAGTAAAGAGATACAAATACTTCTAAAACCATTCAACATTCTGTGCCAAATTAAGTCTTTTGCATGTTTAGAGTAATGGCTACTTGGGAAGATGATCATTTCATCTCTTACAACTCAATCTGCCTTTACATAAAAGCAATCTTATCATGTACAGACTAGTTAGGGAGCTGCATGAGAATAACAGCAAAATGTGTTAGTTGCCATTAAAAACTTCGTTGTTTTCCCTTTCTTTGTATTTCAAAATTATCAACTGCTTGTATTGCATTCCTTGCTCACACTCAGAAAAGCTGTACATGTCGGGGGAGAAATGAGTGCTTAATTCTGAATTTCTGCTAGCATCAGGAGAATCAGACCATAATAATTTGTATCAATGATGCTACTGAGGATATCCAATCAAAAAATTATCTCTACCCTATTGTTTACTACAGAGAAAACAAGTAAAGGAAAAGGGTAGGTGGGTGGGCTGAATGTTTACAAACCTCCTACCTGCCAATGGATTCTTTACATGTAAAGTTCTCTGAACATGCTCGACCTTTACTTATTATGATAAAGAGATTGCATAATGAACAAAGGAAATCTTTCAGTGGCAAAAGTTGATTTTTTTTCTTTCCTCTTTATATATTCACAAAGATTTTTAAAGATAAATTGCCTAATGTATTTTTAACCCAGATACTGTTGTATAATTTACATACTCCCAAATCCACTTCATTATCAAGGGTACAATTCAACTATTTTTAGCCATGAGATAATATGGAACCTTGATACATAATACAACATGGATGACTCTCAAAAATACTAGGCTAAGTGAGAAAAAAGAAAGACACATTTACAAAGTGATTATCTCAATGTTACCATGAGTTTTGGGGGCTATATCAATTCCTACATTTCTAGAATACTGTTTTCAATTTCTATGCTTATCATGGGCTCTGTGTAAAGAAAAAGGTGTATACTTCAATTTTACTCAGCTTTGATAAATGATCTACTTTAAAACTTGTAAAATAAAAGACAGGATGCTTCATAAATTTTTATAGAACTTATATCCAATTAATATAATTTTTATCTAATATATACACCCTTACTGTTAGTAAATCGTTACATAACTACATAAATGGTTTCGTTAACTTTTAAATTCACAAAATTTTATCATCTTTAAAATAATAGATTGTAGTATCATAGTAGTAGACTTTAATAACAGCCAATGAGATTTTTCACAAATAAAAATAGGTCTGACCAAATGTTTCTAATATATTTTCACAGGATTTGAATGATAAGAAAGAATATACAGAGAGAAATATATTTAACTATTGTAATTAACTATTATAGCACAAAAAGCACTGATTGTCAGACTATTTTTAATAGTACTCAATTTATTAGCACACACTGATTGGTAAATTTTATCCCTACAATGGGACTTTCTTAGTTGAGTTGTGCATCGTATGGCATAGAAAAGCAATCCTCAATTTTATTTTGTTTCAGAATTTTGTGATATGCCTGTTTTTGAGAATTCCAGAGCCAAGAGTAATGGCATGCGGTTTAAGCTCCATGACACATTGGACTACGAATGCTACGATGGATATGAAATCAGTTATGGAAACACCACAGGTTCCATAGTGTGTGGTGAAGATGGGTGGTCCCATTTCCCAACATGTTATAGTAAGTATTTTATTCAAGTATTTTTTATTAGAATTAAATAAAATAATAGACACCTACATATGTATATGTACACATATGTGTGTACATATATGTACATATATATGTAGTCCTCCTATGAGTGTGAATTATCTTGAGACTTAAAAAAAAAAAAAACAACATTGAAAATGCAGATGTCTTCCTAAGAAATCAAATAAGATACAGTTAAGAGTATATAAAAAGCTTTATTTAGAAAGTTTCCAATAAGACTATTGATTTTTCCCCACATATAAAGTATTTTTTTTCAGATTCTTCAGAAAAGTGTGGGCCTCCTCCACCTATTAGCAATGGTGATACCACCTCCTTTCTACTAAAAGTGTATGTGCCACAGTCAAGAGTCGAGTACCAATGCCAGTCCTACTATGAACTTCAGGGTTCTAATTATGTAACATGTAGTAATGGAGAGTGGTCGGAACCACCAAGATGCATACGTAAGTTCTTAAAATTCTAGATCCTGAGAAAATCAGAGTAATAAGTTTGATATTTGCTTTTTTATACTAGAATTTTTATGGGTTATTACCCTAGAACTGTGTTCACAAACAGCTATTCTGCTGAATGTTTGCCTTTCAGATCTTAATATATAAGTGTATAAGCTTGGAAAATTCCATGTAAACAATGACCAAGTTTCTTTTTTAAAACAGGAATGTCGGCCTGGGGTGGTGGCTCACGCCTGTAGTCCCAGCACTTTGGAAGGCCGAGGCAGGCAGATCACGAGGTCAGGAGTTCGAGATCAGCCTGACCAACATGGTGAACCCTGTCTCTACAAAAAATACAAAAATTAGCCAGGCATGCTGGCATATGCCTGTAATCCTAGCTACTCAGGAGGGTGAGGCAGGAGAATCATCTGAACCCGGGAGGCAGAGGTTGCAGTGAGCGGAGATTGCACCATTGCCCTCCAGCCTGGGGGACAGAGGGAGACTCCGTCTCCAAAAATAAAAAAATAAAAAATAAAAAATAAATAAATAAAACAGAAGAAGAAGAAAAGAAAAAGAGAAAAAGAAAAAACCAAGAATGTTCAGAGTCTTCAATTTGTTAATGGATACAATGAGTCTTCAAGAATGACATCCATTTATTGCGCACATATGAAATATGGCATCTCAGCTTAACACCAGTAATCATTTTCACATTATTAACACTGAGGTAGAGTTTTCAAACAGTTATGAAAACACTGTTTCAAAAAACCACGAACTATTAAATCCTCCTTGAAAACATGAAATTTTTCCGGATAGAATACATAGCTGGTTAACACTGAGAAGTTCTTTCTCTGATTATTATTCTTACTTATATTTTATCAGTATTCCTAGCAAGCAACAAAGAAATTAACGAAACTTCAGCCATTTCCACAACCCATTGCTTTTCCATTTTTACCTTATTCTCCTCTTCCCTTATACCATAATCAAAATGAATACACTAAAAACCCCTCAAGCCAGTAATATAGGTATACTTCTAGAATTTTGTCCCCCAAGTACTATGAACTTGAAGCAACACAATTCAAAAAAATATAAGGCACAATAATTATGGCAACAACAAGAAAACCTAAAAGAAAACTTGCCACAAGTTTCTACTAGCCTATGAGGTAGAGCCCTGGGATACCCATCAGTCCTTGCATGTCAGATAACCTATTCCTATCACAGCTCTTAAACTATAAGTTCATGAGTTTTTCAAGTGCTCAAGTTCCTAAGTAAAGGATGATACAAGCCGTTCTTTTCTGTGATGTGACTCATTTCCTTTATTTTGATGCTATGCTACCTTTTACCTTTCATATTGACTGATGACGCTGATATTTTGGCTGATCTTACAATGGGCTAAACCTTAATTATTGTCCCCTACTTAGGTATCCACTTCTGTAGATGATCATGTCCAAGTTTGAGCTCCAAACTATGCAAGTGGCAAGACTGAAGAAGAAATTAGTATCCTCAAATCAAAATAGTTTACAAGTATCTTCAAACTTGATTTCATAGAAAAGTGTTAGGTTTCAGAGATAAATTCTGAGTCTCAAATTTGATTGAATGGGGAGATGGACACTCCTAAGATGGGTTTCACAGCAAAAGCATTACCTCTTCTCACAATCAAGAACAGGAAAGGATTATAATTATCTGAAGATACAAGATCAGTTCCATGATACAAGCAAGACTTTCAGTCTTCAAAACTAAAGAAGCAAAGAGCATTCAAGCACAGAATTCTAGGGAAAAAGGCAACCTTATGGAAAAGATTACATATACATATGGCATATTAAAGCAATGAGGAAAACTTTCCCAGGCAGCAGGAAACTTTAGAAAGTTTTGGAAAATATGTTTGGAGAAGTATTTAGAGTTCAAATAATATTTATTTTTGAATTGTAAACAGCCTCTGAATGTATTGAAGAGCTCTTAAAATTTTTTGGATCTCAAAAGTGATATGTACTATGTTAAGAAATTTATTTAAGTAAGTACTTGAAAGATGTATTAAAATATGATTGGGGAAATTTCTAAAGAAATGCTAATGCTAATAAGGGCTAAACTAGAATGCAGAATACTTGAGTCAAAAGAAGAGATAGGTGAGTGAATGATATCATCAAAAATGAAAAGCTTGCTATGTAAGAACTGACATTTTTATCATGTAAGAATTAGGCTTAATACCTAGGGTATGGGTTGATAGGTACAGCAAACCACCATGGCACACATTTACCTATGGAACAAACCTGCACATCCTGCACATGTACCCTGGAACTTAAAAAAAAATTATAAATTTTTTTACAAAAGAATTTTATAAAAGAAAACCCATATGTGGAAGTAACATTATCTTACTGATTTTACAGATGAAGGCATAGTGAGATAGAGTAATTTGTCCATAATCATGTAGGGATTCACATTAACTCCTGTGTGCTTATCCTTGCCTCTTTAAAATAGAAAATGAAGATGACAGGGATAGATGATGGTGATAGAGAGAGAGATAATTGACAGATATTGAGGTGTATGTATGTATGTATGTATGTATGTATATATAGAGAGTTTTATTTTAATAGATGACTATTAGAAAGATTATACCTTTCTACAGTTCTTTTTCTACACTGTGGGCATAAGAGAAAAATATAAACATAGAATTAAATTAGCAAAATGTGAGTACATTTGGAGTGCTTGTAGTCACGGCTTGTCAAATGGGGGAAAGGAGGATAAGTAACCATGACTCCAGTGGAACATGTTAGCATAATCCTTTTTGATATGAAGTCACTAGGGTGGACACAACATGTTTTAGGGAAGAAGAGTTCAGGCTCTAGAGAAAGACTGCCAGGGTTCACGTTTATCACCTCACCTGATGATCTCTGCTGTGACGTTGGGGAAGTGCAACTGAACTTATTATATTTGTGAAATGCTAAAGTCAGTATGTAGCACAAATTAATAACTATTAACTATTTGGATTATTTTATAATTTTATTTTATCCTAAACTACTCATTAGGATGCATTTTATTTGCTCATGAAAGGCAAGATTATGATTGTTAATTGTTTCTTTTTCTGCTTTCAGATCCATGTATAATAACTGAAGAAAACATGAATAAAAATAACATACAGTTAAAAGGAAAAAGTGACATAAAATATTATGCAAAAACAGGGGATACCATTGAATTTATGTGTAAATTGGGATATAATGCGAATACATCAGTTCTATCATTTCAAGCAGTGTGTAGGGAAGGCATAGTGGAATACCCCAGATGCGAATAAGGCAGCATTGTTACCCTAAATGTATGTCCAACTTCCACTTCTCACTCTTATGGTCTCAAAGCTTGCAAAGATAGCTTCTGATATTGTTGTAATTTCTACTTTATTTCAAAGAAAATTAATATAATAGTTTCAATTTGCAACTTAATATGTTCTCAAAAATATGTTAAAACAAACTAAATTATTGCTTATGCTTGTACTAAAATAATAAAAACTACCCTTATATTGGACTTCCTATCAATGAATTAGTAAGTATAGAAACAGATAACTGAATGGCTTTCTGCATATTGTACAGTATACCTAGACATAGAAACAAAATGACTTTAGACTTTATTTGGGGAAGTAATAATAACATAAAATTAGATGTTAAAATTGTAAGTGAAAATAAACACACTATAGTATTCCCTTATTGCAGCCATGGTCCTCTAGATGCAGTTAACCAAATAGGGTCATTTTTATTAAAAGTAGTGTTTCCTGCCAAACACTGACATTACATCATTATCATGATTTAAAGGAAAAAGTACTAAAGAAGGTGAATTATCATCATTTTCCTGTGAAAAAAGAAAAGAGGTTTTGCTAACCCTTTCAGAGCACTGGGAACACAGCCAGAAGTGCATTAAATGTATATATTAACTTGGGCAATGCTGACACTTTAGGATGCTGAAGCCAGGTGCAGTGGCACACGCCTGTAATCCCAGCACTTTGAGAGGCCAAGCTGGGAATCATCTGAGGTCAAAAGTTCGAGACCAGCCTGGCCAACATGGTGAAACCCTGTCTCTACTAAAAATAGAAAAACTAGCTGGGCATCATGGCGTGCACCCATAGTCCCAGCTACTCAGGAGGCTGAGGTGGGAGAATCACTTTAACCAGTGGGGCAGAGGTTGAACTGAGCCGAGATAGTGCCACTGCACTCCAGCCTGGGCAATAGAGTGAGACTCTGTCTTAAAAATAAATAAATAGGATTCTGAAAATTCCTATTTAAGGAAATAATTCTTTTTCTGATTTATTTAAGGCTACATTTGTATTTTCTTAATACAAATATTTTGAAAGTTTCTTCACATATGGTTTTTGCATTTCTTATTAAGTTTTGCTTCCGATTTTTTTTTGTCTTTTCTCCTGTTAATTGCCTTCACTCTCTTTCTGTTCTGTACTTTTTTTTGTATATAAGAATTTTTTGAAAAGATTGTATATCCCTGTTAACAAATTGAAATCTCTATTCACTTTAATAGATTTTTAGCCCCAGTTAGCATATGGTTAGTGAGAAATTGCAGGGTAAGAAGAAAACAATGCTCCCTTTCCCAACACTTTTCCTGATTATAGAGAAAAAAGCATGAACTTGTATAATAATCTAGTCCTGTACAGAATAAGAAATATTAATTGCTAGACTGAGAATGTTTTTGTGACTAAAGCTAGGAATAACTTTTTAAGACTGAAGAATGATATAAGCTATCAAATCTAACTCAGTTTTCAAATAACAGGTTTGCAGAGACTGGAGAATAAAAAGTAAAAAATTGTTTTATTAATTCCAGTGACTAATTCTACTTCATCAACATATATCATAAATAAAATTTCAAAAATAATTGCTGATATGGTTTGGCTGTGTCCCCACCCAATTCTCACCTTGAATTATATAATCCCCATGCATCAAAGGTGGGGCCAGGTGGAGATAATGGAATCATGCAAGCAGTTTCCCCCATACCCTACTCATGGTAGTAAATACGTCTCATGAGATCTAATGGTTTTATAAATGAGAGTTCCCCTGGACAAGTTCTCTTGCCTGCCACCATGTAAGATGTACCTTTGCTACTCATTCACCTTCTGTCATGATGGTGAGGCCTTCCCAGCAACGTGGAACTGTGAGTCCATTAAACCTCTTTCCTTTATAAATTACCTAGTCTCAAGTATGTTTTTATTAGCAGTGTGAGAATCAACTAATACAGTAAATTGGTATTACACAGTAGAGTGGGGTGCTGCTGTAAAGATAACCAAAAATGTAGCAGTGACTTTGGAACTGGGAAACAGACAGAGGTTGGAACAGTTTGGAGGACTCAGAAGAAGGCAGGAAGATGTGGGGAAGTTTGGAACTTCTTAGAGACTTGTTAAATGGCTTTGACCAAAATGCTGATAGTGATTTGGAAAATACAATCTAGGCTGAGGTGGTCTCAGCTAGAGATGAGAAACTTGTTGGGAACAGGAGCAAAGGTGATTGTTGCTATGTTATAGCTCAAAGACTGGTGGCATTTTGCCACTGCCCTAGAGATGTGGAACTTTGAACTTGAAAGAGATGATTCAAGGCATCTGGTGGAAAAAATTTCTAAGCAGCAAAGCGTTCAAGAGATGACTTGGGTGCTGTTAAAAGCATTCAATTTTATATATTCACAAATATATGGTTTGGAATTGGAAATTATGTTAAAAGGGAAGCAGAGCATAAAAGTTCAGAAAATTTGCAGCCTGATGATTTGATAGAAAAGAAAAACCCATTTTCTGGGGAGCAATTTAAGCTGGCTGCAGAAATTTGCACAAGTAATGAGAAACCAAATGTTAATCACCAAGACAATGGGGAAAATGTCTCCAGGGCATGTCAGAGGTCTCCAGGGCATGTCAGAGGTCTTCAGGACAACCCCTCCCATCACAGGCCCAGAGGCCTAGGAGAAAAAAATGGTTTTGTGAGCAGGGCCCAGGACCATGCTGCTTTTTGCAGTTTCAGGAGTTGGTGCCCTGCATCCCAGCAGGGGCTAAAAGGGGCCAACATAGAGCTCAGACCATTGCTTTGGATGGTGCAAGCCCCAAGCCTTGGTAGCTTCCATGTGATGTTGAGATTGTGGTTCACAGAAGTCAAGAATTAAGGTTTGGGAACCTCTGCTTAGATTTCAAAGGATGTATGGAAATGCCTGGATGTCCAGCAAATGTTTGCTGCAGGGGTGGGGCCCTCATGGAGAACCTCTGCTATGGCAGTGCAGAAGGAAAATGTGGGGTGGGAGCCCCCACACAGAGTCCCCACTGGGGCACTGCTTAGTGGAGCTGTGAGAAGAGGCCCACTGTACTCCAGACCCCAGAATGGTAGTTCCACCGACAGTTAGCATCGTGCACCTGGAAAAGATGCAGACACTCAATGCCATCCCATGGAAGCAGTCAGGAGGGAAGCTGTACCCTGCAAAGCCACAGGGGTGGAGTTGCCTAAGACCATGGGAACCCACCTGTTGCATCAGCGTGACCTGGATGTGAGACATGGAGTCAAATGAGATCATTTTTGAGCTTTAAGATTTGACTGCCCTGCTGGATTTTGTACTTGCATGAGACCTGTAGCCCCTTTGTTTTGGCCAATTTCTCCCATTTGGAACAGGTTTACTTACCCATTGTCTGCACCATTGTCTGTACCATTGTATCTAGGAAATAACTAATTTGCTTTTGATTTTACAAAGGGACTTGCCTTGTCTCAGATGAGACTTGGGACTGTGGACTTTTGAGTTAATGCTGTAATGAGTTAAGACTTTGAGAGGCTTTTGGGAAGGTATTATTGGTTCTGAAATGTGAGGACATGAGATTTGGGAGGGACCAGGGTGGAATGATATAGTTTGACTCTGTGTCTCTGCTCAAATCTTACTACATGTTAAGGGCAGGGCCATGTGGAGATAATTGAATCATGGGGACTGTTTCCCCATATTGTTCTCATGGTAGTGAGTAAGTCTCACAAGATCTGATGGTTTTATAAATGGGAGTTCCCCTGAACAAGCCCTCTTGCATGTCACCATGTAAGATGTGACTTTGCTCCTCATTTACCTTCCACCATGATTGTGAGGCCTCCCCAGCAGTGTGGAACTGTGAGTCAATTAAACCTCTTGTTTTAATAAATTACCTAGTCTCAGGTATGTCTTTATTAGCAGCATGAGAACAGACTAATATGATTGCCTTAGTTTCCTAAAATGGTACAAAAATAAATGGCAGGAAACCACAACTGTAGGAGCAACAAGCAATATCATCAGGAAGATGAAAATAAAATGTGATATAAAAGCATCAGTGGGGTTATTAAAGAGTAGAGTATGCACCTAACAAAGTGAATTGGTGTGATAGATAAGAAATTTGGTGTAGTGGATTTTCAAAGGGAAACCATAAAGAAATGAATGATTACAGAGATTATTAATCTGGAGAATAAACAATAAAAATCTAAGTCTAGGGAAGAAACCAGAACAATTGCAATAAGTACAATCATCAAAATATTCTTACATTCCTTTCTAAACAATTATTCCTAGTGTATAGCTTAATGTGGTTCCAGGCAAAGTGAGAGATAAAATCTCTAGAATAAATCACTAGATAAAATCACTAGAAACATAATCTAGCCAATTGTTTCTTAATTATAAGACTAATGAACAAATATTACAAATCTTTAGGCAGGAAAATAAAAATGACTGAAAATGAAATCTTAGGGAAAACAGAATGGTTGTTATATTAAAATGTAAATATACTGGTGTGATATTTATCAAGCAAAATACCTATTTATGGGCCAGACATAGTGGATCATCCTGTAATCCCAGCACTTTGGGATGCTGAGGTGAAAGGGTTGCTTGAGGTCAGGAGTTTGTGATCAGCCTGGGAATCATAGCAAGATCCTGTTTATAAAAACAAAGAAAACGAATTAGCTGGGCATGGTGGTGCACGCCTGTAGTCCCAGCTACTAGAGGAGGATGAGGTGGGACAATTGTGACACTGCACTCCAACCCAGCCACAGAGCCAGTCCCTGTCTCAAAACGAAAATAAAACAACCCCCCTATTTATTAGTTCATTAATTTATGCCTAGAAATAAACTGTTTTAACACACCCATTAAGAATCATTATATGCCAAGCCTTTTATCTAGATAGAAAGCACATTTTGAATTTGAAAATACTATTGCTTGATATGAAGTTAATTATAACTTCTTTGAAGATACAATGCAAACACAAAATTCAGAATACAAAAGTATGTAGACAGTATGTTGTTAACAATAAGGGAAGAAAATATAGCAGGGAGATTGGCAGGAAAAACAAGACATTTTGATTTTATCACTTTGAGGTTTCTTCTACTTTACAGTTATTTTATTTATTTATTTATTTTTCATTTTGTGGGTACACAGTAGGTATATATATTTATGGGGTGTATGAGATATTTTGATACAGGCATGCAACGTGAGATAAGCACATCGTGGAGAATAGGGTATCCATCCCCTCAAGCATTTATCCTTTGAGTTACAAACAACCCAATTACACTATTTAAGTTATATTGAAGGTATACTATTAAATTATTGTTGACTATAGTCGCCTTATTGTGCTATCAATTAGTAGGTCTTATTCATTCTTCTAATTATTTATTTGTACCTATTGAAAATAGGTACCCACCTCCTCCCTGACACCCCCAACCACTGCCTTCCACCACTAGCCCCTTGCGTCTGGTAACCATTCATCTACTGTCTATGTCCATGAGTTCAATTGTTCTTATTTGTAGATCCCACAAATAAGTGAGAAAATGTGATGTTTGTCTTTCTGTGCCTGGCTTATTTCACTTAACATAATGATCTCCAGTTCCATCCATGTTGTTATAAATAACTAGATCTCATTCTTTTTTATGGCAGAATACTACTCCATTGTATATACGTACCACATTTTCTTGATCCATTCATCTGTTGATGGACACTTAGGCTGCTTACAAACCTTAGCTATTGTAAACAGTGCAGCAACAAACATAGGGATGCAGATGTCTCTTCCATATACTGATTTCCTTTCTTTTGGGTATATGCCCTGCAGTGGGATTGCTGGATCATATGGTAGCTCAATGTTTAGTTTTCTGAGGAACCTCCAAACTGTTCTCCATAGTGGTTATGCTAACTTGCATGTCCACCAACAGTGTGCAAGTGTTCCTTTTTCTCCACATCCTCCCAAGCATTTATTACTGATTTTTGGATATAAGCCATATTAATTGGAGTTAGATGACATCACATTGTAGTTTTGATTTGCATTTCTCTGATAATCAATGATGTTGAGTACCTTTTCATATGCTTGTTTGCCATTTACATGTCTTTCTTTAAGAAATGTCTATTCAAATCTTTTGCACGTTTTTAATTGGATTATTAGAATCTTTCCTATAGAGTTGTTTGAGCTCCTTATATATTGCGGTTTATTCATGTCCTGTCAGATGGGTACTTCACAAATATTTTCTCCCGTTCTGTGGGTTGTCGCTTCTCTTTGTTGTTTCTTTTACTGTGCAGAAGAAGATTTTTAACTTTATGTAATCCCATTGGTTCATTTGTGTTTAGGTTTCCTGTGCTTATGGGATATTGCCCCCAAAATTTTTGAACAGACCTATATCCTGGAGATTCTCTGCAATGTTTTCTTATAGTAGTTTCATAGTTTGAGGTCTTAGATTTAAGTCTGTAATCCACTTTGATTTTTTTTTATATGGTGAGACATAAGGGTCTAGTTACATTCTTCTGCATATGAACATCCTGTTTTCCCAGCACCATTTATTGAAAGACAGTCTTTTCCCCAGTGTACATTCTTGGCACTCTTGTCAGAAATGAGTTCACTGTAGGTGTGTGGATTTACTTCTGTGTTCTCTATTCTGTTCCATTGGTCTATGTGTCTGTTTTTATGCCACTATTATGCTGTTTTGATTACTATAGTTGTGTAGTATAATTTGAAGTCAGGTAATATGATTCCCTAGTTTTGTTCTTATTGCTTAGGATAGCTTTGGCTATTCTGGGTCTTTTGTGGTTCCATATAAATTTTAGAATTGTTTTTTCCTATGTCTGTAAAGAATGTTACTGGTATTTTGACAGTGATTGCACTGAATCTGTAGATTGCTTTAGGTAGTATGGACATTTTAACAATGTTGATTCTTCCAATCCATAAACATAAAATATCTTTCCATCTTTTTGTATCCTTTTCAATTTCTTTCATCAGTCTTTTATAGTTTTCATTAAAGAGCTCTTTAACTTCTTTATTTAATTCCTAGGTATTTAACTTTATGTGTGGCTACTGTAAATGGGACTACTTTCTTGATTTCTTTTTCACATTGTTCACTGTTGATGTATAGAAATGCTACTGATTTCTGTATGTTTATTTCATACCCAGCAAATTTATCAAATTTATCAGTTCTAATAGTTTTCTGGTTGAGTCTTTAGGTTTTTCCGAATATAAGATCATATCATCTGCAAACAAGGATAACTTGGTTTCTTCCTTCCCAACTTGGATGGCCTTTGTATCCTTCTCTTGTCTGATTGCTGTAGCTAGGACTTCCTGTATTATGTTGAATAACTATGTAACAGTGGGCATCCTTGTCATGTTCCAGTCCTTTGAGGAAAGGATTTCAGTTTTTCTCCATTCAGTATGATACTAACTGTGTATCTGTTGAATACAGCTTTTGTTACTTTGAGGTGTGTTCCTTCCATCCCCAGTATTTGAGGGTTTTCATCATGAAGGATATTGAATTTTATCGAATACTTTTTCAGCATCAACTGAAATGATCGTATGGTTTTTATCCTTCATTCTGTTAATATGATGTATCACATTGATTGACTTGTGTGTATTGCACCATCCTTGCATCCCACAGGTAAACCCCATTTGGTCATGATGAATGATCTTTCTAATGTATTGCTGTATTCAGTTTGCTAGTATTTTGTTGAGGATTTTTGTATCGATATTTATTAGAGATTTTAACCTGTAACTTTCTCTCTTTCTGGGGTGTGTCTTTGTCTAATTTTGGCATCAGGGTAATACTGGCTCCATATATTCCCCCAGCATCTGCCATACCTCAGTACCATATCAGAAAGAAGGAGCCTAGAGTATTATTCTGTTTCTCTGGGATGTTCTCTCACATACATGCATTCCCTCATCATTGGTCACACTTTTTGCCATTTTCTGTTTACTATCTACCTTAACCAAGCTTAGCATCTGTGGATGGAAGTCCATAGGTGAGCTATAATACCCACCCATAGAGTGCAGCAATAGCCCCTTGCATCAATAGCCTTTCCAGAACTTCCCTCTATGAACATTCCCAATAAGAAAAAGTACAGTCACAAATATAAAACATGGCAGGCGTATCTCTACCACTAGTCAGGGGGCAGCATCTAGGCAGTCTTAGTTTAGTGAGAGAAATAATCATTCCTCAGCCCATTGTCCCTTTAGTAATGTACACTTAAATTCAGAGGACTTGAAGTAATGTTTTCAGCTGCAATGACTTCTTGTGGTAAAATCTACAGCTGTAATTCTAAATTGGTAAAAATGGATCTGGCAAAACAGAAACAGTTTACGGGGTTGGAAATATGTACGATCTGACCATTGATAGCATTTGCCATAATCCATGTGTCTGTACATATCTAAGCATTGCCTTTGATATAACCTCTCAATTCTTTCAGAACTTCCAGACATATTGCCTTCAATGTTATTTACCACGAATCTTGCCTTGTAATCTAGATTTTATTATCTACAAGGTGATTGCTTCACTCAAATTGGGACGTGCTATCAGAAAAATGGGCAGATTGCTTTGCACAAGGAGGAAAAGAATCACAGAGTTTAGATCATTTCAAAAAAGGAGCCAGAAGTTCTTTTGTGGATTATATCATTGGTCAAAAATGCTGGCTGCAAACTGCTTATGAATGTAACATACACCAAGAGCAACCACCAGTGGAGGGCTGCTGCATGTGTCATTTCCATATTATTAGTTTTTCTAAACTGTTCCATGCTAATTGGAATGTTTGTCTGATATTACCTATGAAATAATAGGCATTTTGAGTTTTAGAGTTATTATCCACAATGGTGAGGGCTATCTTCATCAAAGCTCAGTAATGAACAAGGAATTGTCTTTTAATCCCCCTTTAAAAATTCACAAATAATAACCATACATATTTATGGGGTGCATAGTAATGTGTGTGTGTGTGTGTGTGTGAGTGTATATATATATACACACATATATATACACACATCTATATACACACACATATATATACATATATATACACACATATATATATAATGTATAGTAGTCAGAGTAATTAGCATCTCCATTATCTCAAACATTTATCATTTCTCTTTCTGTTGGGAACACTGAATATTCTGCTTCCAGCTATTTGGTACTATCTAGTATATTCTTGGTAACTGAAGAAAAATTATATCTAAGTGTTAACCCCAGGTATCTTGAAATGCCAACTCCTAACAGTCACAGCCTGGGAGTTCATGTTAGCCTTCTTGCAACTATGCATATCCACATAATTAATCAAAATCATTTGTGTTTTGGTGAGAATTAGCATCTGCAATGGTGAGTTTTATGTGTCAGCTTAGCTAGGCTGTCAATCCAAGTTATTTAATCAAATATTAATCTAAGTGTTGCTGTGAACAAGGTATTTTATAGATGGAGTTAATAACATCTACAATAAGTTGCCTTTAAGTAAAGATTACCCTTGATAATATGGGTGGGTCACATTCAATCAATTGAAGCAATAAGAGTCAAAACTTCGGCTTCCCAAAGAAGAAATTCTACCTCAAGACTGTAACATCAACCCTTGTCTGAGTTTCTACTCTATTAACCTGCCCTGTGAATTTTGGACTTGCTTATACTCACAAATCAAGTAAACCAATTGCATAAAACAAATCTCTCTCTATCTCATCTATCTATATACACCTCACACTATACATTCTGTTTCTCTGGAAAACACTAATACATCATCATACCACTTAACATTTTTAAGCAATTAAAATCTCTCACTATCTTCCCAAGATTTGGTATTACTTAATATTCACTAGAGAGGCTGGTTTGACCAATTATAAAATTCCCATTTAACAAGAACCACTAAGACCAGGTGAAGAGAGCCCTTTTCCAAAGTCTGACTATAAGCCGGTAATTGAATTCACTACCAAATTACAAACCATTTATTTCAAGGAATCTGTGGAAAGATTAATCTGGCAGGCACCAATACTTTTCTGTTTTGCAAAACAGACCACATATTTAATGTTATTTCTCTAGTATTGATGGTCATCTGGTCTTTAAATCCTGGCGCTTGGAAGGTAGGATCTGTTGATGAAGGGTCAGAGTGAAGGAGTGCCATGATTTAACCTGTATCTCCCCAAGTCTCCATCAAAACCTTTGTCACACATGAAGCCAATTATATTTGGTTCAGATATTTATCTCAATATTGCTGCGGTTGATTGTTCATTTGCTTTACTTTCCACCATGAGATGTTTTAATATCACCAAACTTGCTAGCAGCAACCAAGAAAATGTATTTCTAGTAATTTCTCCATCATTTTGTATCATATTCTAAATACATATATATATATATATATATATATATATATATATTACAAACTCTTGAGTCAAAGTCATATACTCCAAACTACACTCCTACGATTCATTCCAGATAATCTTCCTCTGAGGATTTTCCCTTCAGACAAAGAGTGGATTGGTAACACCCTCGCAATAAACGTTTGTCAGACCCTTCATCCTATCCTCCTTAAATTTCATGGTGCCTTTGCCATATCATGAAGAAGGAAAGAAGCTCAGTGTCCACTTCTGATACCACTCTGCCACTCCTACACTGCTAAGCTAACAGCAGTGATCTTGCTTTCAGAACTAGCAATTCACATTTTTACCTATCATTATGTTAACTGTTGAAAATTATTTAACACAGCATTAATGTCAACAGCATAGTGAGAATTGTGACTCTTACGTGTAGTGTCTGATTATCCTAATCTTCACCTTGAATTCATATGTTTAAGGGAGATGACTCAATGAGTGTCTGTGACCTCTGAAGTTCTTCCATCTCCTTTCCTTTATTAGTTGATGAGCTCCCTCAGCTGCATCTTATGAAATCCAGTTATTTATTATACTTATTTTAGATGAACAACCTAAAAAATGTGATTTGAGCACTTAACTCAGATTCTTATTTATCTTCAATCTGGTGTACACCTAAAGATTCTCTTGCAAGAATTTTAACAAGGGTCAAATTATCAGTCTTCTATGAAACTACAGAAAATATCACAGACTTGTTTTTAAAACTTTTCTTAAAGAAACAGGCAGAAAACTGTCAAAAACATGGGTGAGCGCTACCTAGGTAGAGAAATAAAATATTACTCTTTCATTAGATACAAATAAACTTTGAAAACAAATTTAAATATGATTTCTAAAATAGTTAAGACTTGGTTACATTTGATGACATCAATAAAGATGAACTAGGTAAGTAATCATAATGGAGTACATTCTTAAATGCAATCATTTTTATGACACATACGTACCTCAGAGTGGAGATAAATTAAAATATTAGCATGTAATGTATCATAGTTACTATGTTTTGCAGATTAAAGATGTCCACAAATAATTTGAAAATCCTCTGATTAAGTGACCTATTTCCCCATCATCTTGAACTTGTGCTAACCCATGACTTTTCTGACCAATAGGATACGGTATAAGTATCTCTATGCCAGTTACGGATGTAAGCTTTAAAAAAATAGCAGCTTCTGCCTTGGTGTCTTGTAGCTTCTAATCAGCATGAGAGAATTC